>NC_000012.12:8959650-9584650 GCF_000001405.40 Homo sapiens | reverse complement strand
TTCAACCATGCTGATAATTCTTTATATAAATTTTCCTGTTAGATTGCTGGTATGATTTCTGTCTTCTAAATGGATCCTGACCAATACGAACACCAAATTAGTTTCATTACTCATTGAGCATGCCTGCATTTGGCAGTGCCAATATATTTTCTCAGGATTTGAATGGAAAGAATACACTGTATTACCGAGTTTACTCAATATTCAAAAATAATCAAAACCTACAAACCCCAAGCTTGTTTGAACAACAAATTAAATATACATGTCTTCAGGCTAAATTTTTCACTCCCACTTCAAACCAAGTATAAACTGAATTTTAACACAATACATAAGCAGGACATCTTCAACACCGCTTTGTTTAATTCTCCAGGGATTATCTAGATAACTATTATCAAGCTCTACAAAATATAATAATACTTAACCTAACCCCCTACAAACAATCTCCTGAATAGAGTCTAAAAATTTACCTACATAGATATGGTTTCTTACCTTTAAATTCTTGATAACACAAGCAGCAGTTTTCCTGGTGGGCACTGATGTGGGCAGACCTGTAACATCACAAAATAAATAGCCCTCATTCTTGACTCTCTCAAGACAGAGCTGTGGCTGTGATATCTTGGAAGAATCAGAAATCACAGAATGCAAGGTTATTTTTACGTCCTTTCTCACATTAGTATTAAGTGATTTTGGCCAAACAGCAAGTTTTCGTGAACTGATTAGTCCATCTATTTATTATCATCATGTTAATACTAAATATTTACAATCGAGAAGGTGCATTTTGGTCACTCAGTGGGTTGCAAGGTATGACCACAGTTAGGTACAACAATACATAACATAGTTCTTGCCCACTTACAATCTGTAATCTATTTCAATACAAATAGCTTATGAGAAAAAAAAGTTTAAATTACAGTTTTCTTTTCATACCCCAAAGAACCACTTTCTACTTGCAACCTGAGTTCAACCATGGGCATAGACTATTTTTTTCCTTTGCTTTTTTTTTTTAACTTTAATTTTAGGTTCAGGGGTGCATGTGCAGGTTTGTTATATAAGTAAACTCATGTCACAGGGGTTTATTGTACAGATTATTTCATCATCCAGATCTTAAGCCTGGTACTCAATAGCTGTTTTTTCTGTTCTTCTTCCTCCTCCCACACTCTACCCTTAAAGAGGCTCCAGTGTCTGTTGTTCCCTTTGTGTCCATGAGTTCTTATCATTTAGCTCCCACTTACAGGTGAGAACATGCTGTATTTGGTTTTCCGTTCCTGCGTTAGTTTCCTAAGGATAATGGCCTCCTACAAAAGACATGATCATGTTCCTACAAAAGACATGATCTCATTCTTTCTTATGGCTGCATTGTATTCCATGGTGTATATGTACCACATTTTATTTATCCCATCTGTCGTTAATGGAAATTTAGGTTAATTTCATGTCTCTGCTATTGTAAATAGTGCTGCAATGAACATTCGTGTGCATGTGTCTTTATGGTAGAATGATTTATATTCCTCTGGGAATATACCCAGTAATGAAATTGCTGGGTCGAATGGTAGCTCTGTTTTTAGCTACGTCATACTGCTTTCCACAATGGTTGAACTAATTTACATTCCTGCCAACAGTGCATAAGTGTTCCCTTTTCTCTGCAACCTCACCAGCATCTGTTAGTTTTTGACTTTTTAATAATAGACTCTTATGTTCACTAAATTCTAAGAAGCCAGAACTGGTAATGAACTCAGAGACTAATTTAACTTTTGGCAACTAACTCAACTAAGGAAAACAGGCTTGAGAGGTAAAGTAATATATAGAATCACAGAGGCATTGAAAATTTCGGAATTAGAATACAAATATTTGAATATTAGGGCAAGCCACATTACATATACAACCTAAGAAACCAACATTCTTACTGGTTAAGAAGTACAGTCCCTGAAGCCAGCCTGATGAGTTCTCATCCGGAATCTGCCACTTATTAGCTACCTGACCTTGAACAACTTAACTAATCCCTCTATGCTTCAGTTTCCTCATTTGTAAAATGGGTACAATAGCAATCATAATTACCACTTAGGACTGATAGTGAGCTTCAACTGAGGTTCACATGTAAAGCACTTAGAAGTGTCTAGAACATGGTAAGTGTCACTTTAATTATTACAGAATTTTGTTTTAGGAAACATCTTGAAAGACATCTTTCCCAACCTTTTACCACAGTCAGTAATTTTTTTTTTATTATACTTTAAGTTTTAGGGTACATGTGCACATTGTGCAGGTTAGTTACATATGTATATATCTGCCATGCTGGTGCACTGCACCCACTAACTCGTCATCTAGCATTAGGTATATCTCCCAATGCTATCCCTCCCCCCTCCCCCCACCCCACAACAGTCCCCAGAGTGTGATATTCCCCTTCCTGTGTCCATGTGATCTCATTGTTCAATTCCCACCTATGAGTGAGAATATGCGGTGTTTGGTTTTTTGTTCTTGCGATAGTTTACTGAGAATGATGTTTTCCAATTTCATCCATGTCCCTACAAAGGACATGAACTCATCATTTTTTATGGCTGCATAGTATTCCATGGTGTATATGTGCCACATTTTCTTAATCCAGTCTATCATTGTTGGACATTTGGGTTGGTTCCAAGTCTTTGCTATTGTGAATAATGCCGCAATAAACATACGTGTGCATGTGTCTTTATAGCAGCATGATTTATAGTCCTTTGGGCATATACCCAGTAATGGGATGGCTGGGTCAAACGGTATTTCCAGTTCTAGATCCCTGAGGAATTGCCACACTGACTTCCACAATGGTTGAACTAGTTTACAGTCCCAACAACAGTGTAAAAGTGTTCCTATTTCTCCACATCCTCTCCAGCACCTGTTGTTTCCTGACTTTTTAATGATTACCATTCTAACTGGTGTGAGATGGTATCTCATTGTGGTTTTGATTTGCATTTCTCTGATGGCCAGTGATGATGAGCATTTTTTCATGTGTTTTTTGGCTGCATAAATGTCTTCTTTTGAGAAGTGTCTGTTCATGTCCTTCGCCCACTTTTTGATGGGGTTGTTTTTTTCTTGTAAATTTGTTTGAGTTCATTGTAGATTCTGGATATTAGCCCTTTGTCAGATGAGTAGGTTGTGAAAATTTTCTCCCATTTTGTAGGTTGCCTGTTCACTCTGATGGTAGTTTCTTTTGCTGTGCAGAAGCTCTTTAGTTTAATTAGATCCCATTTGTCAATTTTGGCTTTTGTTGCCATTGCTTTTGGTGTTTTATACATGAAGTCCTTGCCCATGCCTATGTCCTGAATGGTAATGCCTAGGTTTTCTTCTAGGGTTTTTATGGTTTTAGGTCTAACGTTTAAGTCTTTAATCCATCTTGAATTGATTTTTGTATAAGGTGTAAGGAAGGGATCCAGTTTCAGCTTTCTACATATGGCTAGCCAGTTTTCCCAGCACCACTTATTAAATAGGGAATCCTTTCCCCATTGCTTGTTTTTCTCAGGTTTGTCAAAGATCAGATAGTTGTAGATATGCGGCGTTATTTCTGAGGGCTCTGTTCCATTGATCTATATGTCTGTTTTGGTAGCAGTACCATGCTGTTTTGGTTACTGTAGCCTTGTAGTATAGTTTGAAGTCAGGTAGTGTGATGCCTCCAGCTTTGTTCTTTTGGCTTAGGATTGACTTGGCGATGTGGGCTCTTTTTTGGTTCCATATGAACTTTAAAGTAGTTTTTTCCAATTCTGTGAAGAAAGTCATTGGTAGCTTGATGGGGATGGCATTGAATCTGTAAATTACCTTGGGCAGTATGGCCATTTTCACGATATTGATTCTTCCTACCCATGAGCATGGAATGTTCTTCCATTTGTTTGTATCCTCTTTTATTTCCTTGAGCAGTGGTTTGTAGTTCTCCTTGAAGAGGTCCTTCACATCCCTTGTAAGTTGGATTCCTAGGTATTTTATTCTCTTTGAAGCAATTGTGAATGGGAGTTCACTCATGATTTGGCTCTCTGTTTGTCTGTTGCTGGTGTATAAGAATGCTTGTGATTTTTGTACATTGATTTTGTATCCTGAGACTTTGTTGAAGTTGCTTATCAGCTTAAGGAGATTTTGGGCTGAGACAATGGGGTTTTCTAGATATACAATCATGTAGTCTGCAAACAGGGACAATTTGACTTCCTCTTTTCCTAATTGAATAACTTTTATTTCCTGCTCCTACCTAATTGCCCTGGCCAGAACTTCCAACACTATGTTGAATAGGAGTGGTGAGAGAGGGCATCCCTGTCTTGTGCCAGTTTTCAAAGGGAATGCTGCCAGTTTTTGCCCATTCAGTATGATATTGGCTGTGGGTTTGTCATAGATAGCTCTTATTATTATGAAATACGTCCCATCAATACCTAATTTATTGAGAGTTTTTAGCATGAAGGGTTGTTGAATTTTGTCAAAGGCTTTTTCTGCATCTATTGAGATAATCATGTGGTTTTTGTCTTTGGCTCTGTTTATATGCTGGATTACATTTATTGATTTGCGTATATTGAACCAGCCTTGCATCCCAGGGATGAAGCCCACTTGATCATGGTGGATAAGCTTTTTGATGTGCTGCTGGATTCGTTTTGCCAGTATTTTATAGAGGATTTTTGCATCAATGTTCATCAAGGATATTGGTCTAAAATTCTCTTTCTTTGTTGTGTCTCTGCCTGGCTTTGGTATCAGAATGATGCTGGCCTCATAAAATGAGTTAGGGAGGATTCCCTCTTTTTCTATTGATTGGAATAGTTTCAGAAGGAATGGTACCAGTTCCTCCTTGTACCTCTGGTAGAATTCAGCTGTGAATCCATCTGGTCCTGGACTCTTTTTGGTTGGTAAGCTATTGATTATTGCCACAATTTCAGATCCTGTTATTGGTCTATTCAGAGATTCAACTTCTTCCTGGTTTAGTCTTGGGAGAGTGTATGTGTCGAGGAATTTATCCATTTCTTCTAGATTTTTCTAGTTTATTTGCGTAGAGGTGTTTGTAGTATTCTATGATGGTAGTTTGTATTTCTCTGGGATCGGTGGTGATATCCCCTTTATCATTTTTTATTGCGCCTATTAGATTCTTCTTTTTTTCTTTATTAGTCTTGCTAGCGGTCTATCAATTTTGTTGATCCTTTCAAAAAACCAGCTCCTGGATTCATTAATTTTTTGAAGGGTTTTTTGTGTCTCTATTTCCTTCAGTTCTGCTCTGGTTTTAGAACTTTAAAATTGTGTAGCATCGCTTTTCTGACATCATTCTTTTTTCTACCTTTTAATCTTTGCATGTCTTTTAAAATCAGATTACCTGATATACAATATATCCTTTGGTGGGATTTCGATGGAGTTGTATTAAAAGTATAGATCAATTTGGGAAGAATTGAAGTCTTTATTAAGTATTTCTACCCATGGATCCATGTATTTCTTCATTGATTTAGGTCTTCTGTGATTTTGTTTACAGCATTTTGTACATTTTCAGAATACAGATCTTATATAGACTCAATCATTTCATTTTTTCAGAGATAGTACAAATGCAATTATTTTAAAATGTTGATTTTCTGTTAGTTATTGTTAGTATATACAAATTAAATTGAGTTTTGTATTTTGAACTTGTGCTACTTTTGGAATGTGTGTGTGTGTGTGTGTGTGTGTGCACGCATTTATGTGGTCCTTGGAATACACCATAACCAAGTGGGTTCTTCCTGGGAATGCAAGACTGCTTCAATACTTGAAGATCAGTCAATGTAATCTGCCACAGTAATAATCTAACAAGAAAATCAACATGATCACATCAATTGATATAGAAAAAAAATTTACAGAATTCAACATATTTTCCTATTACAGATTTTCTGCAAACTAGGAATAGAAGCAAGCTTCTTAACCTGATGTATGGCACCTTCAAAAAGCCTACAGCAAACATCTTACTTAGTGATGAAAAACTGATTGCCTTCCCCATAAGATTGAGAACCAGGCAAGGATGTTTACTCTCATCACTCCTATCCAACATGGTACTGGAAGTCCTAGCCAATACAATAAGGGAAGAAAATGACACAAAATAAAGGTAGTAAGATTAGAAAGAAAGAAATTGTCTCTATTCACAAACAAGGTGATTTCTTTTCCTTTTTCTTTTTTTTTTTTTTTTTAAGAGACAGGGTCCTTCTCTGTCACCCAGGCTTAAGTGCGATCATGGCTCATTGTATCCTCAAACTCCCGGGCACACACAAACAGTCCTCCTGCCTCAGCCTCTCAAGTAGCTAGGACTACCGGTGCATGCTGCCAAGCCCAGATAATTTTTTTTATTTTTTGGAGACACAGGTAGTCTCATTCTGGTTTCAGCTCTGGAAGGGGCAAAGAACAAGTCCCCAGAGCCCATCCTGTCCCTCGTGGATGACATACTGAGGGCTCAGGAAGACGCTCCCTCACAGCCTGCCCCAGTTTCCAGGCTGAGCCACCTGAGCAGCTGCTTCGGAAAGCCTCTTGTGCCATAGCCATGCTTAGGAAAAAGCATATCTTCCATTCAATTCACCAAGAAACACCAAAAAATAACTGGATACAAAGAATAAAAAATACTCTGCCACACTGGCAGGGCAGGAGGGTGAAAATTGTGCCCCCTGCAAAGGTAATGCCTATAAAAGGATAACTAAGGCCAGCGCCAAAGTCCACCTACAGAAGGCGGGTCTGTCTCAACCCCAGCTGTCAGTCACTGTGAACCTTTAGAACTGGGGCTGAAGCTTCTTCCAGTTGCTTGCTCAGATGTCAGTGAGACCGCTCCACAACAGATAAGGGGAGCTGTGTGTCAGGGAAGTCCCAGCCACTAGGACAAGCTGCACTCCAGGCAGCTGTTTCTGTTCTTGTGCAAAGAACAGCGCAATCCATTCAAGTTCACAGGGGCGGGTGGCACTTGAAAATGTCAGGGTCAACTTGCAGGGCAGAAGTTAGCAGGGAAGTCTTCCTGGGGGAGTGGGAGAGCCCAGCAGAGTTTAGGAGGAGGGAGGGGCGACATCGGGGCAATCCTCTGAGTCTCTCTTTCCTCCTCAGGAACTGTCCAGGAAGACCCTGCAGTCTCTCTGCAGGCTCATGGGAGCTCCCAGAACTGAGACAACACACGGATCCAGGCCTGCTTCGAAGTCAGTGGGATGAGGCCCTTGAAAGTCGATGTATTGGGTTCCTAGGGCTCTCGTGAAAACATGCCACACCTGGCTGGTTTTAAACAACAGGAGTTTATTCTGTCAGTTGAGAAGGCTACAAGTGCAAAATCAAGGTATTGATGGGATGAGTTCCAACTAGAGGCTGTGAGGCAGATCAACTCCATGGCTCTCTCCTGGCTTCTGCTGGTTTCTGGCAACCGTTCACTTCCCATGCCTGGTAGACACATCACTCTAACCTCTGCCTCCCGTTTTCACGGGCACATTCGCGTGTGTATGTTTGTGTGTGTGTGTGTGTGTGTGTGGATGTGTGTGTTAAGGACAGCAATCATTAGACTAGATGGGGCCCACTCTAATCCACTGTGAGCTTCTCTTACTTTGGTAACATCTGCAAAGACCCTATTTCCAAACAAGGTCACATTCCATGTTCTGGGACTGTCTTCTGAGAGATGTCTCCTCCAGGATCCTTCCAGGTGGAAGGATGCCCTTTGACTTGCAAAGCCAGGCAGAAAACCAGGATCAGGGCAGGACAAGAGGATGCTAGCCTGTGATGGCTCCCACTCAGGTGGGATGTGAGAAGTGCCTGTGGCCTGGGACACACCAACTTGCTCCCATTACCTCATCTGAGATGGATTGCACAGTGTATGTCCAGGGCCCATCCCGGCACACTGTGCCTTTGCAATGCTGTCTCTGCGCTTTGGAAATTCACTCAGCCCACTGCGTGGGGTGGTCTGAGGCGGGCCACAACCATTTCTCAACCATCCCTGAGTACCTGACCAGTATCCCTCGGGGGTGACGACCGGCTACATCTGGAGCATGAGGAGCGTGTTTACCTGGTGAGTAAGGATGCAAGCATAGGACGTCCTGGCCGATCCTCTGCACAAGCAATGCCTTTGCTCCAACGGGATGGGCAACGTTGGATTAGGCCTGAGGCAGATTTGATCTCGGAAGATACATTCGAGTCTATGTGTTTTGTGCCTTTATTTTTGTTTCCTTGAATTAACATGGAGTCCATTTCAACTTTCACTTAGTCTCCTTCTTTCTCTTCCCCCACTTCTTTCTCTCTCTCTCTTTCTTTGTATGTGGAAGAATTGTAACTCTGTGTTCCACAATGTCTAAATACTCAAATTTAGAGTTGACAGCCATACAGCAAATTATTCAAGTTGCTGTCAAAAAAAAATCCCTGTGTTTTCTAGGATTAAAACTGTGAAAAGAGTACTGGAAGAAAAAAAAGTCATAGACTCAGATGCAAAATGACAACATTTAATGGGATGATAAGGAAATAAGACTTGACAAGAAACCATAGCCCACTGCAAACTGTTCACGATGTCAGATGGTTCATGATTTTTTTCCAGGTTTGATACAGAAGAATCGGTTTGTTACAAGAAATGCTTTTCCACCTGGGATTTAAAACATCGTTTAAACAATAAACACGTTTGTATGTATATATAAATAGATATTTAGATATAAAATCATGCATATATAGGCACATAGACATGTACATACACACACATATGTACAAATATATATGCCTAAATTTTTACTGACCTGTCAACTTACAAAACAAAAATGAGAGATTTATAAAAGGTACATATATAGCTGTGAATTCTTTAAAGCTATTTTTAAAGAAATTAATATAATCTTAATGATTATCAGATTACTCATGCAGTACACAGCTACACAAGTCTAATGAAGTACCAGACACTTTTCTTTCTTCAACTACTGTCCTATCTTATTCAGGTTTTCATTTTCTTACTAGATGTGTTTTCAATGGTTTATGACGTAATAAAATTTCTTCACCTCTTCCAGTAATTGCTTTGTCTCACTGGGAAACTGAACTACTGTCGATGTTGTAAAAAGCTAGGGCATATTCTTCTGAAAAAATAAAGGGAACATGTATTTTTATTAAATAGATGATATAAGCACATTAGATCTAATCCTTCCAATAATTTTGAAATAGAGACAATTACTTTCCCATTTTATACATCCAGAAATATGCTAATAATATTTAAGACACTTGATGAAATATATTCTATTAGTAAATGATTGATAGAGACAGAATTCAAACACTCCACAAACTTCACACAGCATTCAACAAGAAATAAATAGTACCAACCTTCCAGGGAACAGTTGTGTGGTCTCTACAACATCTTTGTATATGTTTTAGAAATTAATCTATCAAATTTTTAAGTTAGCATTTCAGAATATTCCCCACTCCTCTTTTTAAGTCAAAGTCCACAGCAGTAGCTTGGAACAGTCAGTCTTAGCATGAACAACAATGACAATAACAAAAAGACCTGGAAGCTTAGTGTGGCTTGTATTTCAAGTTCAAGTGGAGCCCTGTCAGGTTATATTGCAAGGATTCTGGTGTTGAAAAACTCTGGTAACTGGAAAATGGGTTCAGTCAGAAGACACATCATGGGATAAAGAAACCAGTATACAAAGTAATGCCATCTATTGTTTACTCTGTGAAGACGGAGGTTGATTTTGGAAAGTTTAGTAGCTCAGGGAATGTTATATATAAATAACACATTCAATAACCTTAGGGCATGGCTGTTGCTTGCCTACCTTTTTCGTAATAATCGTAGACCATGGCTGGGGCTGGCTGAATGTTGAACACAAGGTTGCTCTGCTCAACAGAAAAAGGGAAACTGTCTGCTCGACCAAAACCCTATCATGACACAAATTATAATTACATTGTAGCAGGTCTGAGAAAAGATAATCACTGAGAAAATTATCCGCAGAAGTTTATGATCTACATAATTAAATAGATCTAGGGTATGATTAACTTACATATTGGCAAAGTAATGAGTTGTTAACCTTAAATCATATAAAATTTCAAGTTCCTTTGCTTACATTGAGGTGAGAGGAATTTAGCTGGAAGTCTTAGAGGAATGTAGGCATTTATGTGAGTGGTAACAATACACATAGAAAGGATGTCCCTAAAGCGCATGCCACAGTTTGGCGTTTCCTCAGTAAAATAAAAATAGAACTACCCTATGATCCAGCAATCCCATTTCTGGGTATGCATCCAAAGAAAATGAGATGAATATTTTGAAGAGACAGCTGCAGTCCCATGCTAATTCTTTCATTAATCACAATAGCCAACATAAGGAATCAACCTAAGTGTTCGAAACAGATGAATGGATAATGAAACTGAGGCATATCCACATACAAATTATTCGGCCTTCAAAAAAGAAAGAATTTCTGCCATTTGTAACAACACTGAAGAACTTGGAGGACATTATGTGGAATGAAACAAACCAGATACACACAAAAAACACTGCAGGATCTCACCTGTAAGTTAAATCTAAAGTTGAGTTCATAGATGCAGAGAGTAGAATGGCAGTTATCAGGGATGGGAAAATGGGGAGATGCTGGTCAAAGGATAGAAAGCTTCAGCTGTGCAGGATGAATACATTCTACAAATCTCGGGTACAGCGGTGGCCTACAGTTAACAATGCTGTACTGTATATGTAATATTCCCTAAGGGAGTAGATCTTAAGTGCTTTGTCACAAAAAAAGAAGAGGTAACTGTGTGAAGAGAGGGATGTGTTAGTCAGCTAATTCACATATAGTCACGCTAGATGATAACAGTCAGCTCACTATATATATCAAAACGTCACACCACATACCTTCAATACGCAATTGTAATTTCAAAAAATTATGGCAAACTTTGTAAGAGTTTAGTCAAATTATAAAATAATTACATATCTACTCTGTGACCAGACTGTGTTTGATAGGGAGATGATGTTTCTAAAATGGAAAGCTATCTAGTCACATAGCCAGGGCATATATGAAATAGCCTTGGAACTAGCAAGGAGAAGATGATCAGTGGGATAAAACACTGGTAATCCTTAACGTCCCTTATTTTTTCCTTTTACAAATCCTATCATACATATCTATAAGAAATTGAAGCATCCAATTATCCTTGGAAGGAAAAAAGAAAAACTTTAAAGAAAAAAAAATATGGCTAAACTTACATTTTCCAAGTAGAAAAGAACATGGTCATTCTTGACTTCAGTCTTCATCACTTGGCCCTTGTTTTCAAGCTTTGAAGAAATTGTTAGGGAAGGATAGAGAATAGATATTAGAAAAAATGACAGCGCCACTGCAGAACTCAATGTCCACTCTTTTCTACGTCACGTTCTGTTTTATGGAACATTCCTTGGTGCCGTGATGTTTTCATAAACACAGGTAGCAACTAAAGAAAAATATATGATGATCCATGGGAAATACTGACTGCTAATTGGTACAAATTAAGTAAACCAGCTCTCCAGTGTTAGCGCAAAAATACAAAGGTGAATGTTGAAGAAGAATTCTATAGTTTTGTTTTGCTAAACTATGGCTGAACAAGTATTTATTTTATCTTTATACTCTATGTAGCTGTCTTTGTGCTGAAAGATTAGGCTTCTATTATTTACCTCTTCAATGGATGACATGGTTGGAGTAAATCCTGATAGCATTTTTACATCTATAACCACCATACTGGATTTATTGCGAATTCCAGTGTATCTGAAAATTTTAAGAAAACACTTGTTTAGATATCAATTTTAAAAAGTGACTTATCTCATAATGAGGGTGCCAGGTGGATAAATACTAATTGGCTAGAAATCTGGAGGACAGGTAAAAGCTGAAGAGAGAACATCGGAAGAAAGTCATTTTCAAGCATCTGTGAATAGGCACGACCAGAATGATAATGAAAGAGATGATACATAGCAACAGAAATTGGAGTAAATAATGAATTATCTGGACATGAAATCTTCCCCAAACCCTGCTTTTAAGCTTACCTGCAGTCTCAAAGTTTGAACTGATAAACAGAGCTTCTAAATCTTTTACATATACTTAGGTTAGTGTTAGAGTTGCATAACACTTAGAGGACATCTTTGCTTAAAAGGTGGTATATGAGCATAATTATAGAGTAGATAGGTCCCCAGGAGAACTTCTAGCTCAGTTTCCTGCTTCTGGATAAGACTATTGGGGTGTTAAGAGTTCCATAGTTCATCAGGGCATGGTTGCTCACACCTGTAATCCCAGCACTTCTGGAGGCCAAAGTGGGTGGATCACTTGAGGGTCAGAGTTCAAGACCAGCCTGGCCAATATGGCAAAACTCTGACTCTACTAAAAATAGAAAAATTAGCCAGATGTGGTGGTGCACGCCTCTAATCCCAGCTACTCAGGAGGCTGAGCCATAAGAATCCCTTGAACCCAGGAGGTGGAAGTTGCAGTGAGCTGAGATTGTGCCACTGTGCCACTGTACTGCAGCCTGGGTGACAAAGTAAGACTCTGTCTCAAACAAAAAAAAAAAGAAAGAAAAAAAAAAAAGAAAAAGAGTTCCCCAATTCATTGAGTTCTTAGCCCTGGAGCTCAAGCGATTTTTATTTAGAAATTCTAAAAAATATCTCCCAAACTAATTTTACTCAATGTTTTCCACATATTAACTAAGGCTAAAAGCCTTTAGCATCTATAAATCATGCTTGAATTCAAGAGGATCATTTTGTTTTTCTATTCTGAAAAGTAAAAATCTAAAATGTTACTCTTTACAGTTACAAAAGAAACATTTGTGGGCTTGCTACTATATGACCATGCATGCTTGTCTTGAGAAAGAAATATAGAATCTCTGTTTTTCAAAACTAGGAGTACTTCCATACAACAGAATAAAAAGTATCATTGAAACATCAGTGCAGTGAAAGCTTTCAAATCCTGCTCACATAGACTGCATGTTTTCTTGCCTCATTTTAGCTCTGATTTAGCTGAAGATGTACTAAATTGTGGTGTCCGGACAGAGGGCTAAAAAGTGACTGTGCTGTAGAATTGTCACCACCAACATGAGAACTCATCATATTACCATGATTTATATTTTGTTATTTCACTACTGTTTGAACTTTTAAAATATTTTACCATCTTGTTCACATGGGAGTTACTGTCAAAATATGACACTTACTTGAGGGTCACTGTGAGGTCAAAAGCAGTCGAAGAGTAGTTCTTTACTATTTCCAAGGAAAGAGAAAATCCAGATGCCTTCTTAGGTAGGAGAACATTGTACTTAAGGGTGGCCTAGAAAGGATAGCAAATTATAAGAAAACTCATCCTGTATTAAGAATTATACAGTCTGACTAGAGTCAGTAGTAATGTGATTTTACATTTTAAAATAACCAAGAGTATACTTCGATCATTGGTAACACAATGGATAAATGCTTGAGGTGATGCATACCCCACTTGCCCTGATGTGATTCTTACACGTTGCATGCCTGTATCATGCACCCGGTAAATATTTACACCTACTATGTACCCACAAAAATTAAAACATTTTTAAAAAGAAAGAACCCATTGTTTATTTCTATTACTAATGCAGTTTACATCTTTATCATCAGGGAATCAGGTTAAATTCTTTAGTTTTCAGAATAATGTAATTTAATGAAGATAGAATACTTTCTAATAGCAATATTCCTCAAGAAACTTCTCTTAGACAGCTGAGTAGCTTTTCAAAAAGTAACTTGCAATTTTGGCTATTGATTATGTAAATACACAAAACGGTCAAATAACACTTCACGTAGAACTGAACAGACAGTCTGACTCTTTTACTGGCAAACACTCATCACCCTCTTAGGCAGATTTCTGTTACCTGGATAAATGTACAACCGTGTCCTTCCACATCTACTGTGTATTCTCCAGGTGCCTGTGTTACTTCTGAACGTTGGACCAGTAGGCGGTTATGACCGTTAACCTGGAAAATCTCACTGGATCCTTCACTGCTAAAGGTGACAGTGTTTTGATCCTTAGAGAAGAGCCCCTCTTCCCCCCGGGCTCTTAGGATCGCCATCGCAGGGCGGGGAGGCACCCACCGCGAGGCGGAGACTGAGAGCCAGTCCCTCCCACCCCCGGCTCTTAGGACCCCCATAGCAGGGTGGGGAGGCACCTCCCGCGAGGCGGGGACTGAGAGCCAGCCCCACTTCCACCCCTGGCTTTTAGGACCCCCGTCACAGGTGGGGGAGGCACCCCCAGCGAGGCGGGGACTGAGAGCCTGCCCCTCTTCCCCCCTCCAGGCTCTTCGGACCCCCATCGCAGGGTGGGGAGGCACCCCCCGCGAGGCAGGGACTGAAAGCCAGCCCCTCTTGCCCCCCAGGCTCTTGGGACCCCCACCATCGCAGGGGGGGGAAGGGACCCCCATCGCAGGGGGGGGAAGGGACCCTCATCGCAGGGGGGGGAAGGGACCCCCATCGCAGGGGGGGGAAGGGACCCCCATCGCAGGGGGGGGGAAGGCACCCCCATCGCAGGGGGGGGATGGCACCCCCCGCGAGGTGGGGACTGAGAGCCAGCCCCTCTTACTCCCCTGGCTCTTAGGTCCCCCATCGCGGGGGGCGGAAGCACTCCCCACGGGGCGGGGACTGAGAGCCAGCTCCTCCCACCCCCGGCTCTTAGGACTCCCATTGCAGGGAGGGAGGCAAACCCCGCGAGGTGGGGACGGAGGCAAACCCCGCGAGGTGGGGACTCAGCCAGCCCCTCTTCCCCCCCTGGCTCTTGGGACCCCCATCGCAAGGTGGGGAGGCACCCTCCGCGAGGCGGGGACTGACAGCCAGCCCCTCTTCCCCCCCGGCTCTAAGGACCCCCATCGCAGGGGGTGGAGGCACCCCACGCGATGCGGGGACTGAGAGCCAGCCCCTCTCCCCCACGCGGCTCTTCGGACCCGCATCGCAAGGCGGGGAGGGCATCGCAAGGCGGGGAGGCACCCCATGCAAGGCGGGGAGGCACCCCATGCGAGGCGGGGACTGAGCGCCAGCCTCTCTTCCTCCCCTGGCTCTTAGGACCCCCATCGCAGTGGGGGGATGCACCCCCCGCGAGGCAGAGACTGAGAGAAAGCCCCTCTTTCCCCCCTGGCTCTTAGGACCCCCATCGCAGGCGGGGTAGGCACCCCCCGTGAGGCGCGGACTGAGAGCCAGGCCCTCTTCTCCCCCTGGCTCTTGGGACCCCCATCGCAGGGCGGGGAGGCACACCTCACGAGGCGGGGACTGAGAGCCAGCCGCTCTACCCCCCCTGGCTCTTGGGAACCCCATCGAAGAGTGGGGAGGCACCGCCTGCGAGGCGGGGACTGAGAGCCAGCCACTCTTCCCCCTCTGGCTCTTGGGACCCCCATCACAGGGGGGGGCACACCTCGCGAGGCAGGGACTGAGAGCCAGCCCCTCTTCCCCCACTGGCTCTTGGGAACCCCATCGCAGTCGGGGAGGCACCACCCGTGAGGCGGGGACTGAGAGCCAGCCCCTCTTCCAGCCCTGGCTAGGACCCCCAACACGGATCCGAAGATCCTTAGGACCCACCTGGAGGACTGTGGGTATTAGGTGTCCAAGAAGAAAGCTCAGATCTGCCGACGGTAGGTACATTATTTGGAATTCACTATCCGACAGGGGTCCGAATGCAGCCCGGGATCACAAAGAAAGCATGTCCTTTGCAATCTACGGGAGCCTAAGGGCAGAAGGCAGGTGACAGAATTCTTAGGAGCTGTGGGGTTTTGGAGACTGTGGATTCCAAACTTTGCAGTATTAGCCAAGCCTTTGTATGAGGTCACAAAAGGGGCAGGGACCGGGAAGCTTTGGAAAGGGGATGCCAACAACAGCAAGGCTTTCATGAGTTAAAGGAAAAACTTCTGGCAGCCCCAGCCCTGGGGCTACCCGAACTGACAAAGCCTTTCCCATTGTATGTGTCAGAGGGAGAAAAGATGGCAGCTGGACTTTTAACCCAAACTGTGGGGACCTGGCTGAGGCCGGTGGCCTACGTCTCTAAACAACTAGACAGGGTTTCTAAGGGATGGCCCCCCTGTTTGAGGGCCTTGGCAGCATCTACCCTGCTAGTACTAGAAGCAAATAAGCTGACTCTTGGGCAAAACCTGAACATAAAGGCCCCCCATGCTGTGGTGACTGAGAGCCAGCCCCTCTTCCCCCCCTGGCTCTTAGGATCCACGGTGGACTCACAGCCTGTTTACCATATTGTGAGTAATATCATCTCCCCCTCTGGAGACCTCTGGAGATTATGAACTGTTTCACAGACGGGTGTACACCCTCAGTGTACAGAGGGCGTACACCCATCTGTATTGGGAGTAATATCATCCTCTTCCTCCCTGAATATTAAGAACAGTATCACAGGGGTGTTTCTACTCCCTGCGATATCGCGTGTCATATCCTCCTCTCCCACGTTGCAATTAGAAACAATATCAGTGGGGGCGTGTCCACCTTCTGTCATATTGAAAGTAATATCATTTTCTTCCCTCCAGGACCGTGGGAACAATATCTCAGGGGGGTTTCCACTTTCTGCCATATATGTAGTCACATCACCCACTCCGCCCTGGAATATTATTAAGGACCATCTAACACGAGGGTGTATACGTCCTGCGATATTACGAGTAATATCAACTTCTTGGCTTCTGAATATGAGGAAGAATATCACAGGGTGGGTGTACACCTCGTGCTCTATTATGCGGAGTCGTATCTGTCTATTATGGGGAGTAATATCATTCTCTCCCTTTCAGGATATTAATAATTTCACAGGCTGGGTGAACACAGCCGGCGATGCTGAAATTAGTATCATCCTCTCCCCCTCTTCCCCTCCTGGCTCTTAGGACCCCCATCGCAGGGGGATGAGGCACCCCCCCGCGAGGCGGGGACTGAGAGCCAGTCCCTCTTACCCCCCTGGCTCTTAGGACCCCCATCGCAGGGGGGGAGGCATCCCCCACGAGGCAGTGACTGAGAGCCAGCCCCTCTTCCCCCCCTGGCTCTTGGAACCCCCATCGCAGAGGGGGGAGGCACCCCCCGCGAGGCGGGGACTGAGAGCCAGCCCCTCTTCCCCCGCTGGTTATTACCCCCATCGCGGATCCTAAGACCCTTAGGACCCAAGTGGAGGACTGTGGGTTTTAGGTGTCCAAGAAGAAAGCTCAGATCTGCCGATGGCAGGTACCTTACTTGGGATTTACTGTCTGACAGGGGTCCGAATGCAGCCGGGATCACAAAGAAAGCAGGTCGTTTGCAATCTACCGGAGCCTAAGGGCAGAAGGCAGGTGAGAGAATTCTTAGGAGCTGTGGGGTTATGAAGACAGTGGATCCCAAACTTTCCAGTATTAGCCAAGCCTTTGTATGAGGTCACAAAGGGGGCGGGGACCGGGAAGCTTTCCAATGGGGATCCCAACAACAGCAAGGTTTTCATGAGTTAAAGGAAAAACTTCTGGCAGCCCCAGCACTGGGGCTACCCGATCTGACAAAACCTTTTCCATTGTATGAGTCAGAGAGAGAAAAGATGGCAGCTGGACTTTTAACCCAAACTGTGGGGACCTGGCTGAGGCCGGTGGCCTACGTCTCTAAACAACTAGACAGGGTTTCTAAGGGATGGCCCCCCTGTTTGAGGGCCTTGGCAGCATCTACCCTGCTAGTACTAGAAGCAAATAAGCTGACTCTTGGGCAAAACCTGAACATAAAGGCCCCCCATGCTGTGGTGACTGAGAGCCAGCCCCTCTTCCCCCGCTGGCTCTTAGGATCCACGGTGGACTCAGCCTGTTTACCATATTGTGAGTAATATCATCTCCCCCTCTGGAGACCTCTGGAGATTATGAACTGTTTCACAGACGGGTGTACACCCGTCTGTATTGGGAGTAATATCATCCTCTTCCTCCCTGAATATTAAGAACAGTAACACAGGGGTGTTTCTACTCCCTGCGATATCCCGTGTCACATCCTCCTCTCCCACGTTGCAATTAGAAACAATATCAGTGGGGGCGTGTCCACCTTCTGTCATATTGAAAGTAATATCATTTTCTTCCCTCAAGGATCGTGGGAACAATATCCCAGGGGGGTGTACCCTTTCTGCCATATATGTAGTCACATCACCCACTCCGCCTTGGAATATTATTAAGGACCATCTAACACGAGGGTGTATACGTCCTGTGATAGTGGGAGTAATATCAACTTCTCGGCCTCTGAATATGAGGAAGAATATCACAGGGTGGGTGTACACCTTGTGCTCTATTATGCGGAGTCGTATCTGTCTATTATGGGGAGTAATATCATTCTCTCCCTTTCAGGATATTAATAACAATTTCACAGGCTGGGTGAACACAGCCGGCGATGCTGAAATTAGTATCATCCTCTACCCCTCTTCCCCTCCTGGCTCTCAGTCCCCGCCTCACGGGTTATGTAGCGGGTTATGGCAAGAAGACAAACTGCAGTTTCCTGCACAGAACAGCACAAACAATGATCCAAGCTCAGTTACAACACAATATTGGTCATCATTTGACAATGGACTTCATATCAACCCTTAGAAATGTTCCTAAAACAGGTCAGCAAAACACCAAGAAGCAATATCCTGAATGGTAGGAAAATATCCTTGCTTGTGCAAATTGTTTCCACTTAAATTAATTTTTTTCAACAAATGTTAATTATATTTTTACTTTCTAAAAATTTTTAATAAAATATAGCCTCCTTGGTTAAAAATGGTGTCAAACCTTTTCTAAAAGTTAAGGCATTACATAATTCAGTGGCCCCTGTGGCTGCCATGGATAATTCTTTTTTTTCTGTTCATCTTCAAAGAAGGGAATTCAGAATCAGGAAAAGATCTTTGGAAATTCATTAGCATATGGTTTTACTCCGAAACTAAGACCAAACACAAAGAGAAATGAAGATTTTTCTTATGGAGATAAAACTGCTTTTTTGCATTTTCAATTTGTTTCCAAGTAAGGAAAAACATGTCATTGTTTCTCATACCCCCCATTTCTCCTGTTTTCCTTCTTTTCATTTGCTTTTCCCAGTGTATAGCCCACAGAACTAGAGCGAAAGCTTTCTTTTTGGCCCGTATATAATTTGAACAGAGTATCATCAGGTGTCTAATGTACCACCAAGAGTGGTGCTTACGACAAAAATGTCCTCTAGACTTATTCTATGTTTGCTGTGTGAATGAAGATACAAACGGTCATAAATTCCTGGAACAGGAGACCTCATTTCATTCATTTCTATTTAGAGGCTTCCTAGTAGAGTGCCTGATACACAATAACTGGCCAATAAATAATTGTTGAGGAAATAAAATAAGATTAATAAGATAATAAGAATCTTATTACCAAAGATTCTTCTTCTCAGAAAGGGTTTGTTGTGATAGCTTTACTATTAATATCTCACTCGTCACAGAGTTACAGCTTCTGCATTAAACATATTGCTATTAATATCAGGCCTACATTAATCACCTGGTTGGAAGAAAAGCCTCCATGGGAATTCATCCGTTGGGCAAGCCACTGCACAATCTTACTAGCATAGGTGAGGTCAGGAATTTTCCGGGAAATGACAGCCAACAGCACGTAGCAACTCTTCTCAGTCTGAGCAGAAGGTGCCCAGGGAATAAAGGATGGAAATTCTTCTGTCTTGGGTTTCCTTTCTCTTTCCCAGTAGATGACATTATCTGAGAAAAAGGAAGAATTTTCACATAGTCTGTATAAAAGTCATGGGTTACACATAAAGAAGGATGAAAATTCCATTCCCGACCTCTGTTTGTGCTGAATTGTTCCCCTAAAATTATATGTTGAAGCCCTAACACCAAGTACCTCAAAATGTGGCTGTATTTGGAGATAAGACTTTTTAAAGAGGTGATTAAGTTAAAATGAAGCTTATGGGCCACAATCCAATCTGACTGGTGACCTTATGAGAAGAAAAATTTTGGACACACAAAAGGGAGAGCAGGGCTGTGCACACACAAAAGATCTTGTGAAGACAAAGGAAGAATGTGGTCATCTGCAGGTGAAGAAACCACACTTTCAACACCTTGAACTTAGACTTCTAGCCTCCAGAAGCATGAGAAAATAAACTTTTGTTGCTGCAGTCATCCAGTATGTGGTATTTTATGACAGCTATAGCAAACTACTACAGCCTTAAATAGCAACTTTCTAAGTAGCAGGTGATTAAGCTTCCCCAGCAGTTTCGATAGCCTATGGCTTGGTCACCAGGCTTGATTCCCCTGACATCACTCATTTGAGAGGAAGCTAGCATAAAGCAAAAGAGGAAAGTCTAGAATATGTAGCGTTCTTGAAAGGTATAAAGGCCACTGATAAATTCCATAAGAGAAACAGAAACATACTCGTCAAGAGGGAGCTCCTATGTGACTGCTTAGAACGCTTCCTCACTGTGCTCCAAGATCACCTCCATTAGCAACAATGAATAATAACGCTTACTTAGTTTTGGGGCAGATTGATCCAGGGTTTGGAGTAAAGATTCCACTTGCTTCTCTTTTCCAGCTAAGGCAAAAGCATAAGCTAGAATTGCATGATTATAGCCATTAGTGACACCACTGTCCAATGCCGCTTCAAGGCAAAAGAGTGCGTTTCGTAGAGCAGGAAACTGTTGGTCAGGAAGAAGAATCATATATTGTAAACTGATACCCGAACATTCCATGAACTTGTTGAACATTTAAACTAATCATTGTTTATAATATATATAATATATCCTCAAAGTATATTTTACATACAAATCCATTTATATATACACATATATTTTATCCTTCAAAAATATCATTAAAATAAATTTATAATGTCATTATTAGTACCTAAGCAATAATTTTTTTTTGAGATAGGGTCTTGCTCTGTTACCCAGGCTGGAGTGCAGTGGCATGATCTCAGCTCACTGCAACCTCCACCTCCCAGGTTCAAGCGATTCTCCTGCCTCCATCTTCTGAGTAGCTGGGATCACAGGCATGCACCACCAAGCCCAGCTAATTTTTGTATCTTTAGTAGAGATAGGGTTTCACCATGTTGGCCAGGCTGGTCTTGAACTCCTGACCTCAGGTAATCCACCCACCTCAGCCTCCCAAAGTGCTTGGATTATAAACATGAACCACCATGCCAGGCCCAATGAAATTTAGTAAGAAAATGGCAGTTTTTATATTTGATCAGTGATATTTTAGTTATGAATGTCTTCTATGCGGCAAAGCATCCAAATTTATCATAGGCCTAAGAGTTTTTTTTTTTCTAGTGCCTAAAATAGAGGCTTACATTTGTGAAGATAATTTTCAGGGTATACTAATGACCCTGACAATTCCTAGCATCTTAGTTCAGGAATAGATTTTGGAAATCTAATCTATGGATTGGGAGGTGGCTAGGGTGAGCCACACTTAAGTTGAAAATGTTTACTCACTTATTGTTTAGAGAGAAACAGAATACTAGGCCACGGCTTTACTTAGAACAGTGGTTCTTAATCTGAAATTCATGGCTGAACTTCAGGAGAGATGTGAATGCCTGCAATTGTGTGAATAACTCTTTTTTGTGTGCATATGTGTATTCTCCCTAGGGAGAAACCCAATCCTGTTTTTCAAAGCTGTCTATGAATGAAAAACAGTTTGAACAGCATGAATTTAAAGGGTGGTAATAAACTAAATGTTATCTCGGGGTTTCATCCAGTCTTAGAATCTCAAGTGACTCTGACTCTACAGTCTATTGAATGTGCATTCAGCTGCCTGAAATCAGAAATGACGGGAATCCATACAGTGAAATTGAGCCCAGCTTCAAAGAACATCCCAACAACATACGCAGTGAGTGAAATGTCCTCTTCATCTCCACCCTGAAAACAAAGGAACAATGAGTCATTCGGGACAGCAGAGCACAAAATAGCAAGTATTCTTTTGAAGTAAAACTAGGTATGAAAAAAATACTGGAACAAATACCATTATTCATAAAAACACCCGAACATGTGTAGTTTTTAAATTAGATGGTTAATAATCATACTATCTAAGCAAGAATTCATTCAGACTCTATGCAATAATTAAATCATAATTATTAAGTTGTTATAACAATTAATTTCAATCGTATTTATGTGGCCTGGTGTTAAGCATGCATTCTAAGGAATTCACAGGACTCTATTTGTCTCCGCTTGGTATAAATCTGAAAAAAGCCAACAAAGAATTTCTAATGAGGTGAAGCAGAAAGTTGCCGTGAAGATTCCTGGAAATTCCTGGAAAAGCACCCTAGGAGATCACCAGAATCAAGTCTCAGATTCTTACAGTGTAAAATGAGAAACTCATTTATAAATCATGTGGTTTGCAAACTGACTGTGCATAAAAGTCCCCTGGGGTATTTAAATCAACCAGTGTCTACACAGAGATTCTGGTTCAAAAAACTTGGGAATACGACAGCGAAATGCATTTTAATGGGTGCTCTAGTGACTCTGATGCAAATAGCATTCAGAATGGCATCTGGGATCTACTGATCTTGTAGAAGCTTCCCATTTTATCTATTTAAGCAAAGGACAACTCCTGTCTTCTTCAGAAAAGAAATACTTCTGAGAAACCAAGTGTTTAAGATGGAAATAACAGCATATGGTAGACACTAACATGAGGTACGAGGACTGTCAGTACATCTAAATTACAGCAAGTAGGATCACCATTCCTCTGCAGTGTAAGCTTTGATTTTTCCCTTGCATTTTTATTTCTCTCAACTCAAAACACACACAGACACCCACCCACACAGATATTTAATTATAGAGAAAATACTAGGTAAGATCAGACAAACTGTAGCAGTAATCAGCAATGATTCACCAGTAATGAATCCAATAAGAAGAAAGATGTGAAGATGTTTTAGAAGAGAACGTGGGAAAGTTTTTGATTTTTCTATGAAGGAGTAAGAGCTCATCTCCATCAGGGTCCTCCTGTTGTAAGGAATAAGTTTGGAATACATTAAAAATACCACAAAGCAATTTGAATACAATTTGCATGCAAATTAAATATCAGAGTGTGTGGATTAGATATGCATTCTGGGTTTCAAGAACAGGAGTGATGATTATGAGGAAGGATGCTGAAGAAAAGCTCAGGGTATTTCAGGGGCCATCAGAGCATGCTAAAATGCCATGATAGGAGATTTTGAGCAACCACAGGGAAAAAAAGGAGGGGAAAGGAGATAGAAAATGGGCTGGAGATGGACAGGTATCTGCAAAGAAAGGAAGTTGGAAGGGAGGGATTTACGTAAATATGGACAGGAAAAGGGTTGGATTTTGCCAAGGATATACTTCACCTCATTTGTACTTTGGCCCCGGGGCAAGCTTGGCCTTTGAATTTTTCCTTGAGAGGGTCTTAGAAAAACTTGCTTCATTGAAACAATATGAATTACTAGATATTCTCCCCAGAACTTTCTTGCCATTCATGGACAGGAATAAACTTTCCTTCCTCATACACTCACAGCCCCCTCCCTTTATACATTGACTGTCTCCAAATTTATGAAAGTTTCTTTTCTAGGTTCCCTTTCTCTCCCCTCCCTTCTATTTCTAGTTTAATTTCTGAAGAGGACTGACTCGGGAAGGACTAGAGACTGAATAAGGCAGACAAGAGACTCAGAAGAAGTCACATCCAGGCTGTAGTTAAACATGCACAAAGCAGGAATGGTGCTGCTGACCAACCCACCACAGGCCCAGGACTGCAGTGCCTCAGAAGGTTTCATATGCACAGGAAGAATATTCATATTCCAGATCAGGAAAGCCAGAGGCAGGGCAAGGCAGGCAATGCCCAGGAACAAGGAAAGCCTGGTGCTTCTCCTCTCTCACCTCCCAGGCGTGGTTGAAAAGCTGGCCATCATTCTTAAAGCAGCCGCTTGTTTTCTGTTGGCTTGAAAGCCAGATTAAGGTCTGTTTTTGAACATTTTCATCAATGAATACATATTTTTTCATTCTCTCCAATGTCTTAAAAGTAAGAGCACTGAGTCTGTAATACAAATCACCAAAGCAAAATTAGATAAAGAGGAAGTGACAATGTCAGCAATTCCACAGGTTCATCACCACTGTTCCCTTTGAGTAAAGGATGCATTCAACTCATCTACTGTAAACCATCTTTATTGTTAGTGGCCCTTTCCTTTGGGTCAGGAAAATATTATGACTAGCAATAAGTGGAAATTAGAGTAGGTAATTTTCAGCATGTTTGCACCCAAAGGTCCTGTTGTATATAGCCCATTAGATTATCTGCACATGGAGAGAGAAATGATGTAATTAGGTATTTTGGGTCCTTCTAATTTCACTTTCCCGAATCTATATGGGACTCTGAGAAGCACAGAGTAAGACGTGCCCTCTTCGGTGGAGTTAACCAGCGGTGCATGTATAGGGGCTGTCATGAGGGATCAGACTGCTAAGCAAATCGTCATGAGACTGAAGGAACATTGTTGCATTAGAATTGGAATCACTAAATCTTTAGTTTTATCTATTTCTCTTCCGTAAATTGACTTTGAAACCCACTTTGCTTCTAAATCCCCACTGAACTCTATCCTCCTTCACCTCCTTGCAAGCCCTCCTCAGGTAATTCCTATATTATATAAAATAAAATTTTTATGTCTCACCATATGCTTCCTTTCTGACTCTGCTGCCAAAACACACTATAGGAACCATCAGAGTTTTTGAAAGATAATTGCCTTTGATAACCTAAAATAGAACATTGTAGGAAATTATTTTTTAACCTAAGAAAGTTAGAAGAGAAAGAATAGTGCAGTGCAAGCCCTAGGTATTGGTGTTAGACACAAATCACTAGGATGATCATTTCCATTTGAACTTCTGAAACTCAGGTTCTGTATTCATAAGGGAGAAAAAATAACTCTTACTTTATAGGATTTTGATCACAAGATAATACACATGGATATGTCTGGCTCAGTAATTGCCTCGTCATTGGTACCTACTAACTATTCAGTATATTTCCCCTAAGGTCATTTTATTTCAGTGTTATCTTTCTGAGAAGAAAAACCAAAGAAGATTATTTTATGCTCCTGGACTTGTCCTTAACCTCACATTTCACAACATTGGCCCTCTTTCTGTATACAAAGCCAATCACTTCACTGCAACAGACCACAGCTGAGCAAACAAATACAGACGCTGATAGATGAACCACTGACAACAACTCCTAACAAAAACAACAATAATAACAACAATAAACAAGGTAGCTTGCAAAATACCAGACATTAAAAAAAAATTAAGTGCATAGCTTGAAAACTTTGCAGCTGTAAATTATGAAGCTAGCTGACCACACAGATTTTGAAGTCAGACGGAAAACAGCGCTAGGACTGAGAGTTCCTCGGTTCAGGTTCACTTTTCTTTCACCAGACTACTGCATAAAAACAGCTTATGACGTCTTGGTATGAGTAACAATTGCTTTCAACAATTATGGGCAGAAATTACTTAATTCTTCTCACCATTAGATAAGAGAAAGAAAGCCTTAGATTGAACTTCCTCTGTCAGTTGCTCAGTAGATTTCAGATAGTCCAGAACATAAGTATCAGATGCTAGTAGGGCAGCATTCTGCTCTCCACTTCCATAGGGCATTTGGAGAACAACCAGATTCTGCAAGGCAAGTCCTAGAATATCCCCTAAAAACAGGAAAAGCAGAAAGCTGTATTGTTTATAGTTGCCATCTCAGCATTAATAACTATAGACAAAAGAGGCATAGTGGAATAGGTAACATTTAAAATTGAGTCTAAATGGTGGAAACAAAGAAAGTTTTATGAAGCAATTTGAAAGAAGAGACAGCCATGAAGGGTGAAGTTAAACTGCTATGAAAAATATTTCTGAAAATCTCATTACTAGAGAGAGGAGGAAGTTAGGAGAATGCATTTGTTTGCTTGTTTGCTAGTTTTTTTTTTAATCAATCAATCCTATGAATTACAAAGTGTAATCCATCCCTTCCAAGAGATGTTCATGTTAATAACAGACAAAGAAGTTTGCCTTTCGTATCAACAACAAACATTTCTCCTTTTATTGAGAAAACTCCCAACATCATTAACAGGCAACGTTAATTCGATTCTCCAAGAGGTGAATTTCATATTTCAGATTAATGATTATAAAGAACCTCTTGCTTTCTGAACACTAGTTACCATCTACCCAAGCTAAGGTTTCCTGGGAATACAGGTCCGGAAACGGTACTGTAATCCCTTTAGATCCCATCAGGAAACATAGAGGATGATCTGAACAATAATTCCCTCCAATTGATAGCTTAGGAAGATCTCTCCATTCTGTTATTTTAAGGATTTTTAAAGACCACCTCAACCAAGATTTTCAAATCATAGTGAAACACAAAATTTAATCAACTTACCCACAACAGTGAAAAAGCCTCTGGCTGACCCTTCTACTACATCGTTTGGCAAGTCCAAAACTCCCTGCTTGGAGGCTTTGGCACCTAGAATGAAAATACTGATTTAAAAAATGTGATGGCTTCTTTATATCAGCAGATTTGGGGGATAAACATATTGGAAATAAGATTCCATTACTTATTTTTATTTTACAAGTTGTTTATTAGAGGAGATGAATTTGGAGTTTTGACCCAGTTTAGGATAATAGTACATTCAGAAAATGGCATACAAATCTGTGTGTTAGATTGTGGCCCCCGTTCTTCACTGGTTTAGTGCCTGAACTATTTATGTATGAAAAAATGTAAAAACTACACTGACTGTAACACATAAAACAACACACACAAAAGGTAAAGCTTGAAGACTCTGATAAAGGAGTATAATCAGATCACCATCAACCAGGTAAAATAATACCCCTCATGGCCATAAAACCGGAGACTGAGGGGCAGGGGCAGTGAAGTATCTATGGGTTATTTTCTCCTAAGAGTACAAAAGCCAAGATTATATTATGTGCTATTGGGCCTCAATCCTAATATCTCATTGTCCAATATTGTGTGACAACCATATCATAAGAGGAGCTAAGAATACACATGATGGAAAAAAAAATAGATAGGAGCAGACCAGCCTCAGAAAGTGAACTAAAAACCACCTCCTGAATATTCTTTTTGATGGATAAACTTATACCATAAAGATAAAGCATGAAACACAAGAATCCTCCATGAGTTATTTAAAGTGAAATCACAGGGCACATGGACTCATGTGGAAGGAGAGGACATGAACTGATTCTTTTGGTGAATTTTATTTAGGACTAATTTGACTCCCTAAAAGATCCTCTTACCTTCTGTACAGATAAGGAAACTCTGGGTCCTTTCCTTTTCAATACCTTCAGGCTGTCAAAGAATAACACAAACAAGCACAGAAGAATGAGTCTAGATCCTCTGTCCATGAAGGAAAAGTGATTAAGCACCAGCTCACTTAAGCATGGCTGGTGCAAGTTTATCCCTGAGAGAAGATCCAACTCATGGTCCCCTTTTGTTCATATCTGGAAGGCACGGGACATCACTGGCACCCATTTTAGCCTCTGCGTTCTGTAGCTTGGACAGGCATTATCTTGATGTCACTGTGGGACACTCTCAGCTCCTCTGATCCTGTATAGCATCTCCAGTAAACAACTAAAATTGCTTTGTGGAGCAGGGATGTGCCAAGAGGCAAGTCAAGAGTGTTCCTCTGACAAGCGCTGATTCTTGTTGAGGATGACGGGAACTGCACGGGAGTGCAGGACAAGTAGATTTGTCTCTTGAATTTGAGAATCGGAAAAAGAGAAGGAAGAGAAATAGGTGTACAGGAAACATCTTGACTCAGAAACAAACAAAAAATTGTCAAGTCTGTTTCAAATGTTAAGTTTTACTATCCTGGGTGAGGTATTAATTAAAGAAAGGATGAACTTTATGCTGTTTTAATTCATTTAAAATGGCATGTCTTGTGTCAAAAGTAAATGTTGTCAACTAATTAAGTCTCTTCAATGAGAAGATCTTTTAGTACAAAACCTCTTAGATGTCTGTTTCTTTTCAGGAAAAGCTTGACTGTTTGCATATCCATACCTCTACTAAGAAGCTTTGGACCACAGTGTCTTTCCAGTTTAGCTTTTGCTGCTCCATTCCTTCATTTGGGCAAGCACTGCTTTGTTTGGACTCAGCAACTACAGTGATATTCACTTTACCTGGAAGACATTCCCAAATATAAATTAAATTGATCATTGGTCCCTTCTGTAATGAGAAATGACTAGAGTCTGTGAACCATGTCTTGAATTGGATTAACCAAATTCTATCATTAAGTTAATGCTTAGAACAAAATAACTTATTTCTTCTCCTTCCTAGGTATAATGTGGTATCTTCCATTTCACCTGTTCCATGATTTTCATGATTCCTTACATTAAATGATAAATTTACTTAATTAAAACTTAAGAAATTTTAGGAAAAGTAACATTTTACAAAGTTGTCTGAGTCAATTTCTTGATATTGATTGTTTATAAAGGTTACTTATGACAATATAGGCTAATAATGTCAGCGAACTAGGGCTCCTAACTTCCCAAAATCAAGCAAGCATAGTAAAATATGATATAGTAGATAGGCACTGGATTGAAATAATGTCCTAGCAAGGAATCCATTGTTTTTAAACTTCCTGATTTCACATTATGTAATTAGAACTGATCTCCAGTTTCCTTGCTTGTAAAAATTACAGGATTGAAAACAATCATTCTTTAAGGTTATTATTATTTACGTGACTATATACCAATATACATAACCAATATATTGTTCTTTTTGTTGTTGTTGTTGTTGTTGTGTTTTATTGTTTCTCTGTCTCAGGAAGCTTGCTATTTCACTCTTAAAACTGTGTCTTCGACTTAATGTCATAAAACTATACAAGTTGGTACAATATTCTGTCTCAATTGCCAAGGTAGGATTTTGAAGATCTTGTGCAGTAGAAATATTGAGAAACTTCAAATCTAATAGAAAAATAGTCTGAGAACAGCATCACAACTGAGCTAAAATAATCTCATAGATATATTATTTGCTGTTAAAATAATACAATGAATATAGTACATTAAAGAAAATTTGAATGACCATTTTTTAAAAGTAGTGATTAAAAGTGTCACGCACATTGTATCTAGCATTCCTTGTTTACTAGAGTTTTAAACTTTTTCCATTCCATGTATTTTCAATATTTCAATAGGAGACAAGTTTATTTTTCCATCTTGCAGATAGCATAGGCACTAAGACAATATTCTCAGTTTTTGATCTCAATCCA
Source organism: Homo sapiens (assembly GCF_000001405.40). Taxonomy (NCBI): domain Eukaryota; kingdom Metazoa; phylum Chordata; class Mammalia; order Primates; family Hominidae; genus Homo; species Homo sapiens. The sequence goes on along the minus strand of NC_000012.12, from coordinate 9,555,610 downwards.
ATCATTTAGTGATTTTGGTATCCCCATGGCACATCTAGTAAATTTACAAACCTGACAATTCCCTCATTGGTCATTGTGATGGAGCAGCAATTTTCGTGAAGGTGGCCTGGGTTCATGATGGTAGGTGAAGGACCCAGCGAGAAGTCAAATAATTAAGGTGGCATTAATGATAACATGGCCTTCGTTTGGGATATGGCATATGCCAAACATATAGTCCGTGATAGGTCATGCCAGTTAGCATTTATATTGTATTTTAATTACATTATGCTCTTGTAAAAATGAATGGTGGTTTTGATCTACACAGCATTAACAACCAGAAATTAGATTACTATAGATTAGAATTTCTAATGGAGAATTTACAATAAGAATTTTAAAAATGTGAGGGAGAAAATCACGTTTGTATAGACAATTTAAGGAAAGTAAATGGAGACAATAAATATGGGCTGGTTTTCCATGAGTGACTGGTGTAGACAGATAGCTGCTTACCCAATTTCTTAGGTATAATAGTCCAGACGTTTGTTTTCCTCCCTCCAGCTTGAATAACCTCACTGCCATTGATTTTCAAGGTATGAATATTTGCTTCATAATTCTGAGACTCCTCCACTTGAACAGAAATCTAAGAAAACAATCATGGCAATGAGGATAGCACTGGAACACACATCACTATGAAACACCATGCTCAATACACTGTTTAAACTGTCACTGTGAATGAAAGCAATTGTATTTGTTTGAGGAATACGGACCTAAGTCTTACACCTTTATAGTAGCATTTTGCATTTGAGGATAAAGAGAATATGGAAATATTAAGAAATATTTTAGCTTTGTTAGATTTTTGCCTCCAGATCAAACAGAACAACTCACCTCTACACATGTATTCCGGTAGCTGAAGACATTGACAATCAAATCAAATTGTTCATTTTGAACAACCGAAAAGGGTGAGGCAATCTCAATAAAGAAAGGTTGGGAGACTTCTAGAGTGGTTGTAGAGGAAATGCCAAATCCAACGTCACCATTCACACAAAAGCCACTTGCCTCCCATTGGGTTATCGTATCAGGAATGAGGAACGAAAGATTGGCAGAGCCTGAGGAACTGGAAGAAGAGGTTATCGGTAAAACACATTCTTTGTCTGAACCAAGAACTTAAAATTAAGTGCAGAGCAAGCAGAAAAGTATTGACTGAAGCTCAAAAGTGAGTTATATTGTTTGGATGGGGCGTTAGATAAAAATAGTGAGAGCTGGATTTTTATAAAATTTGAGTATGGAAAGGTCATTTTTCTTTAAACGCCACATTTTTTTTTAATTGGGGCAGGTTAAATCTGTCTGCATAAAATGAATAGAAGAGAAACTCTTGGTGAAGGGAAAACAATGCTAGAGAAAAAAATAAAATAAAATGTATGATAAGTACATGCAAATCAATGATACATATTTTACAAATATGGTACTGTTTTATATACCCAGGAATAAACATGAAGAAAGAAAAAGAAAATAGAAATAAAGACACACAGGAGAGAAAATGGTTAAAACTCACTCGACACTGACGAGGTCCCACATCCATGTCTCTGGGAAGTTTGTTCTTACTGTTTGAATTATAGCCTGTTCTACATAGTCAGCATTCTCCCCTCTGATTCCACTAGCTAAAAAAAAAAAAGGAAGAAGTACCTTATTTAGCCTTTGGACTCTGCAAATTATGGTCTATATATTATCAGGGTGTAAGGTCTCCATAAAACACCTCACTTTCCTGTATCACAGTCACTTACTATGACTGTTTTCCTGTATCACCATACATTGCCTGTTCCTCTACACAGTCAGGTACCACATAATGACATTGTGATCAATGACAGACCACTTAGACTACAGTGGTCCCATAAAGTTATAATGGAGCTGAAAAATTCCTACCACCTATTGACATCAAAGCCATCATAACGTTGTACTGCAATGCATTGGTCATGGGTTTGTGGTGATGCTGCTGTAAACAAACCTACTGCACTGCCAGTCCTATAAAAATATAGCAGACACAATTCTGTACAGTACACAATACTTGATAATGATGACTATGTTACCGGTTTTTGTGCTTACTATACTATACTGTTTACTGTTTAGAGTGTACTGTTCTTACTTATCAAAAAAATTAACTGCAAAACAGCTTCAGGCAGGTCCTTCAGGAGATGTTCCAGAAGAAGGTATTGCTGTCATAGATGATGACAGCTCCATGCGTGCTACTGCCCCTGAAGAACTTTCAGTGGTACAAGATGTGGAGGTAGAAGACAGTGATATTGATGATCCTGACCTTGTATAGGCCTAGACTAATGTGTGTGTTTGCATCTTCATTTTAAACAAAAAAGTATAAAAGTTAAAGAAAATTAAAAAATAGGAAAAAGCTTATAGAATAAGAATGTAAAGAAAGAAAATATATTTGTACCCTGACTCACTCAGAGTAACTTTTAACCTTGCAAGCTCCATTCAGGGAAGTGCCCTATTTAAAAGTATAACTTTTTTTATCTTGTATACCACATTTTCACTGTGCCTTTTCCATGTTTAGCAATGATTAGATACACAAATAGTTACCATTGTGGTACAACTGCCTACAGTATTCAGTATAGTCACATGCTGCGGAGGTTTGTAGCCTAGGAAAAATAGGCTGTACCACATAGCCTAGGTGTGTTGCAGGCTACAGCATCTAGGTTTGCGTAAGTACACTCTATGACGTTCGCACAACAATATCACCTAACAATGCATTTTTCAGAACAAATTCTCCATCACTAAGTGAAGCATGATTGTATTTCTGACATTGTATTTTATCAATAAAAATAAACTACATCTCACATCTGAAGCTAATTTCTTGTTATAGCCAAAAGCACGTCTAGTCTGTCTTATTCTGCTTTATCCAACTATAGGATGTCTAATTGTAGCCAAAAACATGGCATAATTCACACATAAAATTCCAAAATTGTATAGTTTATCCCAAATACACTAAATTCCACAAAGCGGTTTGGTCATCCCCCAACAAAAAAATGTAAGATTACCTACATGCAATTCTAGACGGAACACTACGCATTGGACCATAATTTTCTGTTTCCAGATAAAGCGGCTTAGGGAGTGGCAGCCTTCTCTCCATCACACATACTTCTGGTTTTCGGTAATGGAGATTGGTAAAGACTTTTAGACCCATGTTCTTTAAAGAAACAAACAACAAAAATATTGTTCATTCTTTTCATGCAAGAACTATAAAAGGCCTATTATTTATATTGCAAAGATAAATGGATCATAAGTATCCATATTTTCTGTGTTAACAAAGGTCTGAGAAGTTACAAGTCAACTTACCTCTATTTGACTTATGGAAAATCCCTAATTTAGAGAAAAAATTATAATCACTATGATTTATCTAGCACTTATTATGTGCTAGCATTTTTCTAAGTATTTTCCATTATTCTCCATTTCATCCTAAGTGGAAAATACTTATGAGATCAGCACTATCATTACCCTAATTAACATCAAACACACACACACACACACACACACACACACACACCCGGCACACTCAGTAAATTAAAGAACTGGAACCTGATAAAGTTTGTCTGATTCAATACCCCTTTTCTTACACACTTGTGATGTTAATTATAAAGATTATTTCATGGAAGGCTCAGCATGTCTCATTAATGGCCTAGGGATATCTGGAGTCCACACTCTCTTAGCCTCTTGATTTGACAATCTTTGCATAAGATTTATTGTATTAATTGGAGACTGTCTTATTTTTTTAAGTGAGGTTTTGTAATTATAGCTACATGATTTATTTTCAGCAGAAAATTTTAAAATCAACAAAATTAATATCTCCTTTTTATAAGACAATTTCTATGTACTCTATTGGCAGATTACAGACACGAATCTCAAAGTATAGGAAGAAAACTACATAATTAAGAAAACATTAATATGCATTATGAATACTAAAAATTGCGATGAAATATTTTCCAAAATCCTTAGTGATCTTACCCTGACAATATTATAGATATCTCCATCCCCATAGTTGCTTACAGGTGTGTAATATAAACCATTGTAGAACATATCCCTCTGAGGAATGCAAGGGTCTTCCTTGCCATCATCAAGATTGAGGCCATGGTAGAAATAACCATACGGCTCTATACTTGGAACCATGTTATACACCTATGAGAAAAAACATTTCCCAATAATTTTAAGCACTTCTTTTAAAATTACAAAATTGGCAAATTGTCTACTGTACCATTTATTTTTGTTCTTTTCTTTAAGAGGACGGCCATCATATTTAATCCAGTATTTTCACATAAGCTCTTCCTTTCGAAAGAGCAAACCAGTTTTGTTTTAGGCAACTGATGTCATGTTCACAGAATTTCTCAGCTTGGGCGCAGGATTTAAGAGAGAATGTAAGAAAGCAATGCCTGACTATTGATTAATCCAAGGCCCATTGTACAGACAATCAATTATAATGCTAGAATTTCTAAGTCTGGAGAATAATCTTAGCTGCCTGATTTTAAATCTTCTTACATAATCTTCTGAAGAAAACATAAAATCAACAAAGAGAACAAGTAAGGATACTCATGACTAATATCTCTAACATTACTACAATTCAGAGAATACCATGATCTTCAAATTATTTCTTAGTAGAGAAACAAACACCAAATGCCAAGAGAGCTTCTACTGCTATTGCAGAGGGAAGGCTTAAGAGACTGCAGAGAAAAACAGAGCAGAATGGCATGGAGAAATGAGAAGAAACACACACCAAGTCAACTCCAGGTAAGAGAAAGTCTAGCATTGTTAAAAATACAAATTATAGTTTTCGGACTCAACAGTTCCCAGTACAGCACACAGGGAAAGGGCTTGGAGTGAATGGGCCTGGAAGTGGAAGCTTCCAAAAAACATGGCTAAGGGGAAATAATCAGATCACAAGAAGAGGTATGCAGATCCTTGGATACAGGGAATTTAAAAAAGGAAAGGATGTCATAGGATAAAATAACTCCCTCCACCCTCATTTCCATCACCAACATTTTAAAAATAATGCATTTTACTAAAAAAAAAAAATAGAAAGGGCGCTCTTCACCTATGAACACCCTGCACAAAATATCAAGAACTAGAAAAAATCAACTCCATACAAAGCTGCTGTAAGAGAAAATAGGAAATGCAAGTCAAAACACTTCAGCTAATGAAACCTCTCCACTAAAGTCACTAAGTAAATAAATAAGTAAACAAAGAAAAGCCATGCCAAAATAATTTAACATGAGTGAAATATTCTCAAGCATGTATTTGAGGTATTTAAAAGGCACCATGAGTCAGAAATTCAATTAAGAAAATACAGAAATGGACAAAACCCAAGAAGAAATAAAATGAGGCTTTATTGAACTCAGGAAAACTAGACAAAATTATATCATAAATAAACTCTAAAGTACAAGGACATCAAGAGAAAATTGTTCAGAGAAAACTTTAAAAGCAGCATAGAGGAAAAACAAAAGAACAAAACTGAAAAAGAATGAATTAAAACAGGTCACAAAGTGATTGAATTGGAAAGCAGGCAAGGAAGATCCAACAAATGTACAGAGATTTTTTTAGAACAAAAAAAATGGAAAGACCAATATTTACAATTATAATTCAGGGGAACTATCTGAAAATAAAAGAAGATTTGAGTTTACATATTGCATGACTCCACTGTGTACCTGGCAAAACTTCTACAGAATAACACATTCTTACTGAAACTAAGTATAAAGGGGAAAAAACATTCAAGGCCTTCAGACATAGAGATAAAGTAGCCCATAATGGAAAATGAATTAAACTAATGTCAGCACTATTAAAAGGCATATTCAAAGCAAGTCAATAGTAAGGTAGCATTTCAAAAAATTTTAAAATGTATAAACCAAAGATTTAATATACAAATACCTGTCTTTCATTTATTAAGGCTTTAGAAAAAATAATTCTGAATATGAAAATGTCAGAGAATTCTATACTTATGTGATATCCTGAGGACTCTAGCAGAGAATGCACTTTTTAAAAATTTTTATTTATTTATTCCTGAGACAGGTTCTCATTCTCTTGCCCAGGCTGAAGCTCAGTGGTATGATAATGGCTCACAGCAGCCTCGATCTCCCAGGCTCAAGCAATCTTCCCGTCCCAGCCTCCTGGAGAATGAGCTTTATGTAACCAAAAGATGACTCAGGAAATTAGTAAGACTTGATGAATAGGAGAAACAATACAGAATGTAAACATTATATATTCTGACAAAAAAGGAAAAATGCAACAATAAAATGAGAGAAGAGGGAGAGAAAAGTGGAAACTAGAGATTACTGACTGTTGTGCAGGTAGCAGTTAAGACTCAAAGATTAAAAATAACTGACTAGATTTTTTTTTTTTTTTTTAAATGGAGTCTCGCTCTGTCGCCCAGGCTGGAGTGCAGTGGCGCGATCTCGGCTCACTGCAAGCTCTGCCTCCCAGGTTCACGCCATTCTCCTGCCTCAGTCTCCTGAGTAGCTGGGACTACAAGCACCTACCACCACGCCCGGCTAATTTTTTAATATTTTTAGTAGAGACGCGGTTTCACCGTGTTAGCGAGGATGGTCTCGATCTCCTGACCTCATGATCCACCCGCCTTGGCCTCCCAAAGTCCTGGGATTACAGGCGTGAGCCACCGCGCCCGGCCATAACTGACTAGATATTAAGGTTAAGCAAGAAAAAATGAGATTAGGATATTAGGATATTATAAAATATGTAAATATAAAAATAACCACTAAAATAAAAATTCAAGCTAGCCTGAATACTCAAAGAAGCTTTAAGCAAGATAGCAAAAAACAAACATAAAAGCTAAAGAAATAAAGTAGCTTTAAATACAATACAGAATCATAAGAAAAATAGTATGATAGAGCTGAGGCCTAACACATACATCATATCAATAGAGTGAATAGACTTTATTCTCCTTTAGAAGACAAAGATATGCATAGTTAAAACAAAACACAATGCTGTACTTCATACAAAAAACAAGTGAAGTGCATACTTCAAAAGGTGAAATCCAAAGGAAAAGTAAAGGAAAATAATAAGAATGCAAAGGCTGCAATCCTCCTGTTATCGGAAATCGTAGAAGTAAGGCCAAAAGACATCAAACAAGATAGAGAAGAATACTTACTGCTAAAAGCTGCAATTCATAATAAAGGCACAACAGTTATGATTATCTATGCAGAAACTACAGAAGATGCAAGAAGAAACAGAGCACTATTTGTAGGGTATTTTAACACATCACTCAGCAGAAGAAGGTTAAATAAATTTTACAAAATAAGTAAGAATACAAAGGATCAAAATAATCCAACCTCGTGGATAGAAAACAAACTGATAATAGAGACTATATCTTCTCAACACATGAGATATATTCGCAAAAACTCATTATATATTTGGGCACAAAAATATACTGGTGGAAATATTGCTGACCATGAAGATATAGAACTTGAAATTTAAAAGAAAACTCTAAAATAAATTCCTTTTTATATGAAAATTATAAAGTACTCCAGTAAGTAAATTTTCAGTGAAAGGGTTAATACAAACAGAAATTACAGAATTTCTGAAAAATAAAAATGGTGCAATTGCTATGTATCAGGATCTATGAGATACTTCAAAAGTACAAATCATGGAAAAACTTATAGGCTTAAAAACACCTAGCCCAATAAAATAAATTAATGAAAATGAAGTAAATTTCTAAGTGAAAAAGCTAAAAATAACAACAAAATACAGCACCAGTAAGGAAATAATGAAGATAGAAATAGAAATTAATGTGATGGAGTAGCAAAAAACCTCACATCATATTACATCACATTAATAAATTAAAATTATATGTTTTTGGAAAACTCGGCAAAATAGGTAAACCACTAACTAATCTAACAAGGAAGAAAAAGTAGCTATCTGCTTAGGAACAAAAGAAAAACAACTTCTTCCATGACTCAGTTTTCAGCCTCATTTTTTGTCCTTTTAGCATCGTGAATTGGGGTCCGGAGTTGTTTGTATTTTTCTTTCACAATAGACTGATGTATGTAACCTAGTCTCAAATGATTCAGAAAAAACTGAAATGCCATAAACTCTCTCTCTCTGTGTGTGTGTGTGTGTGTGTGTGTGTATGTATGTGTGTGTGTGTGTAGGGGTGGAGAGAGTGAGAAAGAGAAAACAAGTATGGCGAAATGTTCACAAACTGGTGAATCAGGCCAAGGGTACATGGGAGTTCTCTGTGTAATTCTTGCACTTTTAAAAATTATTTAAAACTAAAAACTAAGCTTACATAAGATAATACAAAAAATAACACAAACTTATAGAATATAAATTGGAATTCACTCATTTATAGAACTTCACTTGATTTATACTATTAATATAGCTATCAATAATAAACAAGGGCAATCTCTTTTGGCTCTGATATATTCTGAGACCCCTGAAAAATGCCTCTAGAATTTTTTTTTTGAGGTCCCTTGATGGTCTTTTCTTGAGGCAGTTTTCCTAAGATATTGCCACCTCCAACTGTAGAAAGAATGAGCAGAAGCTATTTACTCTGAATCCATGAAACTCTCAAGGGAAAAAAAAGGTGTGTGTGTGTGTGTGTGTGTGTATGTATATAAACATATATATGTACACACACACACACACATATATATACATATTCCTTTTTTTTCTTTGAGACAGGGTCTCGCTTTGTCACCCAGGATGGAGTGTAGTGGCACGATCTTGGTTCACTGCAACCTCTGCCCCAGCCAGGGCTCAAGTGATCCTCCCACGTCAATCTCCCAAGTTTCTGAGATCACAGGTGCACATCACTGTGCCCTGCTCATTTTTTATATTTTTGGGAGAGACAGAGTCTCATCATGTTGTGCAGGCTGGTCTCGACCTCGTGAGCACAAACGATCTGCCCGCCTTGGCCTCCCAAAGTGCTGGGATTACAGGCGTGAGCACAGCACATGGCCATATTCCATATTTATAGATAAATTTATCCTTTATTTGTTGATGCCCCCTCAGATTCTGAAAGCTTCTAACTAAAAGTATTTTTGCTCCCTGTAATAGAAAACTTAAATGTATTTATGTTTTGCATTGAGAAAAATATGTTTTATATAATGATCCATAGTTATTCAATATTATTACTGAATTCTATAATTTTATACTTAAAACTGGACTTACTATAGAATGTTGAAAGCAAAATACAAAACTATTTTTTGGTGAGATCTCAAGTTTGTAAAATATATATGCCTTCAGAAAAGAGACTTGAAAAATTACAGCAAAACTATAAAGATGCCTAAGTGTTAGGACTATAAATGACTTTAAAGATTTCCTTCTTTATGTCTTTGTATACTTCGCACATTTTCCAAATTATACAGGTATAATATTAATCAGAAAAAATTAAATTATTAAATTAGATTTAAATATGATCATAAATTTCAATAGTTATTTATATGTAATTGTGTTAGAAATAAACGGAAAATATCCAACAATTGTTAACCGAAATAAATTGGATGTGAACTTCTGGAATTCCAGGTCTGGAAATGTTTAAGAAAATACAATATCCATTTATAGATAACTTTACACTGAATCCAAGCATATCCTTGAACATAGAGATTTCATTTTATTCCAAGTTTCCACATCTGTGATTACACCTATGATTTTTAAAAATCACAGTTGTAAAATTCCTAAACTGTTATAATTATCTATCAAATTCTGTATTGTTATAAGCATGTTCTTAGGATAGCCAAGAAAAATAAGTATATAATCCATGAAGGAACAAAGGAAGAAAACATTCAATATTTTCAACATGTTCAAGACATCATCTGAAGGATAAGACTTCTGGTAGTCCAGAGAAACATGAAAAACGAGGAAGTCAGAGAGCTTACACTTTCAGCTGACAGCTGTTGTTCAGATTTCAGTAGAAGGACATTCCTATCCACAGCCCTGAGGGCACAGAATAAGACAGGCGCCGCTTGAAGACAGAGACTAGCATTGGAACCAGGTAAGCCCTGCTCGTTAGAGAACTTTATGTTAACCTAAAGTAGAGAAAAAAAAGAGATGAGAGTAGAGACCATTTTATGTAAAGATGATCTGAATACATTTAATCTCTCCTGAATAAATCCTTATAGATTTCTATACTGTATTTCCCTTGCCCACTCTCACCCTCAGCTTTCTTTGCAGGAGACCCCCTTCACCACCCTGCTGCCGTCTCAGGATTGGCACTGCTGCCAAGGATCATGCATTGTGTTTGGTGATTCTCACATCCCCTAATAATTCAATTATGCCAGCACTGAGTGTGAGTTTCCCACGTGAAGGTGATAGCAGTCAGGCGAGAAGACAGCAGGGAGCAAACTGTTCCCACTTCTCAGGCCAGAAATAGGAGAAACATCACCTTGTGTTTAAAGCACTTGTCAACCTGGAATCTGACACTGTCAGCCACAATTTCCCCACTGGGGTGAAGGGTATAGACAAACAGGACGGCTGCAGGAGCCAGATCAGCACTGATGCTGATTGGGAACGAGAAGTTTCCATTCCAGGCTGTGTAAATAGGAGACGAAGAGATACGATGCTGAAAGTTTCCTGAATCACTGGTACACTTAGATAAAAGAGAATAGCTCATGGACAGAAAGAGTAAATTGGGCCCTGTTTTCAAGACAAATAAATCAAATAATAGGAAGTACATATACAAATAAAGAAGACTGCATAATTTAGATAATAACAATACTGGGATTTTGTACACCACTTTTCTTTTTTTAATTTATTATTTATTATTATTCTTCTTCTTTAAGTTTTAGGGTACATGTGCACAATGTGCAGGTTAGTTACATATGTATACATGTGCCATGCTGGTACGCTGCACCCACTAACTCATCATCGAGCATTAGGTATATCTCCCAATGCTATCCCTCCCCCATCCCCCCACCCCACAACAGTCCCCAGAGTGTGATGTTCCCCTTCCTGTGTCCATGTGTTCTCACCATTCAATTCCCACCTATGAGTGAGAATATGCGGTTGTACACCTCTTTTCTAATGTACTCAATGATCTGACAATAAAAGAAACAGGTAGAACTCTCCTTCGTCAAGACATTTAGTAGCTTCCCTCAGGCTGTGCTAACTATTACCTTCATCCACAAATTGAAATAAGTGCTCGTTCTAACTTCTTTTCACTATATATATATATACACATACATATATACACACATATATATACACACACATATATGTTTGACTAAATATATTTTCTTAATATATATAATTCCCATATATATAATGTCTATATATCCTTAACAAGAAAAAATGAAGTTAGAGCACATATTTTAAAAAGAATACATTATGTATACCTTTGTTTCTGATTTCCTTTTGTCCACTGAGTAAGATAGCTCCTTTTACCATCATCTGTGTGGAACAAAGAAAACATAACATGCAATATATTATCTGATGTCATCATATTCTCATATTGCGATTAGGTAATTCATTACTTAATGGTAATTCTGTTCCATAAGATAGGGTAGCTTCCACAAGCAAATATTAATAGACTTTGCATAAGTTGGAAAAGAGCAGAGAAAGTGACTAAAACTGATTGAGATTCTATCATGTACTGGAAACTTTGTGAACTATGTGCAATGCACTGTGCAAAGTGGCACATAAAGCTCTGAAATTGTCAAGGCTGTCTGGTTTCAAATACGCCTTCATCTGCTCATTAACTTTGTGACTTAAAACATGATGTTTTACCTGTTTGCCTCTGTTCCATTATCTGTAAAACGGAGATATCTATAAGGCTAATTAAATGAGTTAACACATATACAATCCTTATAACAGTGCCTGACACAGAACACTTACCCTAAGAGGTAAGTCTTATAATCTCCAATTACACTGTACACCTGAGGAAGCCAAGGGTTAAAGAGTTCAAACAATCCGTCCAAGATGCACTAACTTGCATGCTAACTAGGAGAGGGTGGGGGATTCAAGTTAATGTCTTAATTTCCAGGTCTGTGTCTTATCACTCTTCAATAGCCCTTAGAGCAGAAGGCCCCAGTCCCCAGGCTGTGTACCGGCAGGTACCTGTCCATGGCCTGTCAGGTACTAGGCCACACAGCAGGAGGTGAGCAGTGCGGCGAGCAAGCATTACCACCTGAGCTCCTGTCAGATCAGCAGTGGTATTAGATTCTCATAGGAGCACAAGCCCTGCTGTGAACTGCACATGTGAGGGATCTAGGTTGTGCGCTCCTTATGAGAATCTAATGCCTAAAAATCTGTCACTGTCTCCCATCACCACCAGATAGGACCATCTAGCTGCAGGAAAACAAGCACAGGGTTCTTACTGATTCCACATTATGGTGAGTATGTAATAATAATAGAAATAAAGTGAACAATAAATGTAATATGCTTGAATCATCCTGAAGCCATCCCACCATCCCCACCCCATCTGTGGAAAAATTGTCTTCCATGAAGAAAGTCCCTGGTGCCACAAAGGTTGGGGGCTCCTCCTTAGAAAGACAAAATGGACAGAACCAAGAGAATAAAGTCCTTTTACTGCTTATCAAAATAAGCTTTCCACCTTACTTTCTGGCATCTGCCCAATATTTTACTATTACAGAGTGTCATAAATACTTGATATGAGTTACATTTGAATGCTTAAACAAGTGGACTCTGAACAGCAAGTTCTTCAACCTTAGGGAAACTTTAATTGCCTTAGATCGTTCTATGTGTTTGTTTGTTGTTAATGGATCGAACAGTATTCACCAGCAAAGTGAGAAGGCTGCCCTTACTCTGGTCACCGTGGCATGACTGATGCATGCTTTCTAAGCTGTGCTGGGCTAAGCAGACGTGCAATTGAACAGGATTCCAGGAACCCACTGACTGAGACTTACCAAATAGAAGAACTTTACATTGGAATCATCCTCATATGCTTCACTGTTTAGGGAGTAATGCACAGTAACAACCTTCTGTTGATTACATTCAAGCTGCTTTGGTTCTGGAACAATCTTCAGGAAGCTGTTGGTTCGGGAGTAAAAGCGTGAGACTAAGAAGTGAGCATCCAAGTACTGAGGCGTCAACCAGCTGGGAAGATAGCAGCTCTCAGGTCGAACATATGTGGCCTGAGATGACAAAAGAAAGTGAAGGGTCTTAGTATCATGACATCCGAAGACAGTTGTTACTGAGAATGGAGGCTTCTCAACTCTCCAGAGTAGGGAGGAATCTCAGCTTGTGGCTGACGTTTTAATGTTAAGTTATTGGAATCAAAATAATAATAGCACCTGCTCTTTGTATACAAAACGTGACCATGAAAGACTGTGTAAATATTTCATTAGACTGATGGTGAATTGTTATGTTTTTTACACTTTAATTGAAGCCACAGAATTGGGTTTCAGTTCTGTTTCTTTCAGCTACATGTGAACACTGACAAATTATTTAACTGCAAAATTCTGTTTAAGCAGCAGAAAATAAACAGAAAGTATAGGATCTCCCCTATCTATGCATGAAATGATCTGAGGAAGAAAGTCAAATCATCCTCATGAGCTACTTCTTGTTTCCTAAAGGAAAATATTAGTTGTTAGCAAATTTATAACAATCGTGATAGACTTTTAGCTTCCCATCCTCTTGAACAAGTATTCTCATGTATTATTTAGTGAACAAGCAAATTTATAAAATAAGTTACATTTTAAATTTTCTTTAAAATATATTCTGTATACAAGCTATCTTTTGAGATATTCCTAATGTTTAACATTTCTGATATCCAAATCCTCTGTGGGATGTCTAATGGTCTTCTTCTGTTCTTTGATGTCTTACTTTTAGGTTGAACTCTGGATCAAATATGTCTGAAGTGTCAATGGAAAATTGAGCTTCGCCATTCTCATCCGTAGTGTAATTTCCTATAAATTCATCATTGAGCTCCAGTTGCAACAACTTGTTCACCATAGGTACATTATTGGGATCCGAAAATTTAAGCTGTACGAGAAAAGAATAATTAACATGACTTAAAACACAAAATGTTTACATTTTTACAGAGAAATAGTTTTCTACTCATAAATGTGATCCCTAGTCATTTTCCTAAATTCCAACAGACAGAAAGATGCTCTATTAAATACATAGATATATAATATAAAGTATGGAAAAAACAATACTGTTATCTATTGCTTCTTTCAATCTAGGACACTTTCTAGCACCTCAGACATAGTAGTGCTTAAAATGTATTATAAAAGTAGGAAAAAAGTGACCAGAAATTTTCAAAGGGCAATCTATGATCCAAGAAAATGAAATGGAAGCATGTATTCTTTAGTCACACCCACAGTTCCAAAATAAGAAATCCCTCTTCTATAGAATGTATCCATGTTCTCAAAGTTTACAGTTCCAAGCAATTGAGTGATAAAAACTGAGGTCTTCTCGCTGATCTGCATAACTGTAAGGAATGATGAACACAGCAGAGTGAAAATGTCTAAGTTACCATCCACAGCAATATAAATGTGACCAGCTTGCCCAGAGTGAATAGCATCATGATATTGATCAAGTATGCTTATATAGAGCACTTTACAATGGCATCATCACAAACTCCTTTATAAATAACAAGAAATAATTAGTAGTTAAATCTGATTTTCCCACTCCAAATTAAATAATTAATCTCTTTCTCCCTTCTTTCTGGTTTTTTTTTTTTTTTTTTTTTTTGAGACTGAGTCTTGGTGTGTCACCCAGGCTGGAGGCTGGAGTGCAATAGTGCGATCTCAGCTCACTGCAACCTCCGCCTCCTGGGTTCAAGCGATTCTCCTGCCTCAGCCTCCCGAGTAGCTGGGATTACAGGCATTCACCATCATGCCCGGCTAATTTTTTGTATTTTTGTAGAGACAGGGTTTCACCATGCTGGCCAGGCTGATTTTGAACTCCTGACCTCAGGTGATCCACCTGCCTTGGCCTCCCAAAGTGCTGGGATTACAGGCGTGAGCCACCGTGCCCGGCCTCTTCTTTCATTCTTTTAACAAATACTTATTGAACACTCACTTTGTGCAATCTTGTAAATTTTTCAGTAATAATTTTTGCACTTGCAACTATTCCCAGTTGTATTAAATTAGAAATAATCTGAATTTTGTACTTAGTGCTAACTCAACAAGCTTCTCCCAGTAAGTTGCCATACATATATCCCCAGGTCGTCCAAAAAATACAGTAATTACCTGTCCCAGATTCTGTAACAATTACAGCGACATGAAATGTCATGAACAATCCCGAACGGTAGAGTTGGAAGACTTTTGTATTTACAATTTGAGAAACACAACCATTTTCCAACTGAAAAATAAAGAGAAGGTATAATTAAAATGTTAGCGATCCAAGAGGTTTTTTTAAGTGTCTTTTAAAATATGGTTTTTGCACAAATATATTAACATCCCCACCCCGTGCCACGGCTCTACCTCATAAACTTGTTGAAATGGCCAAAGAATTAAAGGAGGAGTAGGAGGAGGCGAATATTTACATCAGCATTTTAAATAAGGGAAGGAGGTAATCTGTATTTTACAGATTTCAAGGAAATTCTCCTGGAAACATTGTAGATGAGAAAAGATTAAAGGATGGAAATGAAGCTGAATGGTATTGTGAAAGGAAAGTAAATCTCAGGAGCCCAACATCCCTAAGCTAAAGGGAAAGGGCAAGCTGGGAACAGCTGGGCAAATCTGTCTCCCATTTTATTCCCAAATAAGGTAGCTACAAAGATAAAAACTACATACCTCCCTCACAATTTGCCCACAAGGAAATTCTTTGTGGGCCTGAAGAACTTTTCCTTAAAACAGTTCTTTGGAAATTCACCCTGGCAATATAAATTCATAGCTTATCTTTACAGGCGTGGGACAAAAGACAGACTCAGTCATCCCTCTGCTTACCTGAGACAAATATGTATCTGATTTATCTGATTGCTTCCTCTGCCTAATAGTTTATGTAAAAATGCAGATTTACTGAGCCACACTAAGGCATAAGTGACTATTCCTCTATCCTCCTCTCACATGTAATTTGTGTATTCAGTGAAAGGCTGATCAAAGACAAAGACTTATTCTTTTTTTTTTTTTTTGAGATAGAGTCTTGCTCTGTCACTCGGGCTGGGGTGAAATAGCCCAATCTTGACTCACTGCAACCTCCGCCTCCCAGGTTCAAGCGATTCTCCTGCAACAGTCTCTCGAGTAGCTGGGATTACAGACACCTGCCACCACGCCCGGCTAATTTTTGTATTTTTAGTAGAGATGGGGTTTCTCCATGTTGGTCAGGCTGGTCTCAATCTCCTGACCTCACGTGATCTGCCCACCTCGGCCTCCCAAAGTGCTGGGATTACAGCTGTGAATCACTGCACCCGGCCTCAAAGACTTCTTCTTTATGCAACTGTTTGTCTCTTATCTACCTATGACCTGGAAACCCCCTTAGTTTGGATTGTCCTGCCTTTCTGGACCGAACCAATGTACATCTTACACATATTTGTTGATGTCTCACATCTCCCTGAAATGTATAAAAGCAAGCTGTACCCCAACCACCTTGGGCACATGTTGGTAGGACCTCTGGAGGCTGTCATAGGTACATCCTTCACCTTGGCAACATAAGCTTTGCAAATTGATTGACATCTGTCTCAGATACTTTTGGTTCACAGTGTTTTAAGAGGAAGAAATTCTAATCATCTAGAAAGGCACTAAAACAGATGGAACAGAAGCGCTCAGCACATGTGTAACAACAAAACAAACACTTTTTAAGGTATATTGCTTATTTAAAATAACAAAAAAAATCTATAGTTAATCTATCATCAGTAATGTCAATAATCAGAGAAATATAAATTTAGTTATATTTTACAACACAGTGTTTATTCCAGATTTAAAATGTTATAAGGATATATCAGTTTATTTGATACTCAAAACTATTACATGAGCTAGGTACTGTTATTATCTTACTATATAGATGAAGAAACTAAAATAGGTCCATCATGTAGCCTGTCCAAGATCTCACAGCTAAGAGACGGTGGTGCTGAGGAGCTGCTCTGGCTGCAGAGTATGTGCTTCTCAATCTTAAATTAACAGCTATTACATCAACAACAAAAGCAATTTTACTTTGTCTAATGATAATATAGTCAAATTAAAATGAAATCATAGAAAGTGATCAGAAGAACCTTAATTATTTCGAAAATAAGAGAAAAGCCTTTTTTCAGGAATCCTTGAAACAAAGAGAATACATAAAGTAAACCAATAAGAATCCAGATATTAGAGTAATGAAAAAATGCTTTGCATCAAAGTCAACGGTTTTCAGCTGTAGTTAAGAAGAAATGTAAAACACTGAATGTGCTTATTACTAAAAGAAACAGCTAATATATTTTTTAAACCCCAACAAAATCAACTACAAATATTAGAAAAAAGAATTAATAAGATGAAAGAGAAAATAAATTATTTAGGAACACAAAATAATATAAGAAAGAAAATAGTAAAAATAAGAACCAATAACATAGACGAAACTTTCGTGGGCATGATTTAGGACAAAGAGTGAGAGAGAACAAAATTGTGAGATAGGTGCTAACACAACACAGCCCACATCTGGAAGAAAAATTCCCATTTTAGAACATCATTGGAAGTGAACTTTTTGTCTATTAGAAAATTGTAAACGATCTTAAGAGCATACTTAGATAGCCACATGTACAACACAGGGGCCAGTGAGATTTTTTTTCTAAGGCTGGAAACCCAGGAACATAAGGAAGGTGGGTATGTCAAAAATATGACAAAGTAAATGAGTTGCCTATTTAAATAATGGGCTTAAAAAAAAAATGCTTGGAGGATGGAAGGCAGTACTTACAATGAAAGTTTCCATTTCACATGAACAGAAAAACATGGGTAATTAAGAGTTCTCAAATCCAAATTGATAACAAAAATATGAAAAGTTGCTCAAACTAAATAGAAATTAGATAGCACAAGTTAAAACAAGCTAAATTTGTGTCTATCAAAATGACAAAAACTTTTAAAACTTCTAAATATATTGCTGAAAGTAATTTGGAAAATATAGTATTCTCATGTACTTCTGACAGGAATTTGAATGCCTAAAAACTTTTAGGAGAGCAATATGCTAATATTTATTAAAATTAAAATTATCTGTCTATGAACATTATCTATATTTCCTTTGACTCAGGAAACTCACTCTAAGAAATTTATTTCAAGTAAATAAAGCCTCTCATATATAAAGATAGTTCCACCGGACAGATTTTTTTTTTTTTTCTTTTTCTGAGGCAGGTCTTGCTCTGTTGCCCAGCCTTGAGTACAGTGGTGCGAACACAATTCACTGCAGCCTTGACCTCCTGGGCTCCAGTGATTCTCTTGCCTCAGCCTCCCTGTAGCTGGAACCACAGATGTGCACCACTGTGCCTGGCTAATTTTTGTAGAGAAGGGGCTCACTATGTTGCCCAGGCTGGTTTCGATCTCCTGGAGTCAAATGATCCTCCCGCCTCGGCCTTCCAACATGCTCAGATTAGAGGTGTGAGCCACTGCTCCTAGCCTCTACCAGATTGTTTATGGGTATTTTTTTCACATGGGGGAAAAAAATAAACCATTTGCTGAGGGAACACCCATCATTGTGTAAAACAGTTGACTGAACTCTATCAGAATGTACTGCTGACATGGAGAAATTCCACCCTAGTTTTCTTTGCCTGCATTTCCTATGTAAAGGTAGGATTCTGCTTGTCTTTGTCAATTATTGATATTTACCTAGAGGATGTTCACTAAATTTGATGAGTAACTTTAGGACAATTGGACTTAAAATATGAACTATGTGGCGTACACAAGCTTCACTTTGGGGAGTCAAAAGACAATTTCAAAGAGATAGGAAGAGTTGTTCACTTAAGGTTAGGATGCTGCAGATAGAGCAAATGATGACTTCACATATGAACTGCAAGTCTAAAGTAATATAGTGGGGGTACTCTGAATTGCAGTTGATTGCAAGTAAGCTGTTTCCACTAAAAAAAAATCCAGGTGGCATGGAGAGTAATATCACAGACTCATTTAAAGGATGATTAACGATTCTCCAAAGAAAAATCAGGAAGGCCACCTAGGCGATATACAAAACAACAAAGCCCACGATACCTTTCATATTCTAAAAATCCCATGAATCTATAGGTGGAGAACAATTTACATGGTCTATGGAATAAAAAACTGCTTTAAGCACTGTATTTTCTTCTCTTTCTTCACTTTATTTAGCTGCAAACTCCATTATCAATAAAATGAAAATAGTATTGTTAAGTTCCCCTTATAAATGAAATCAAAGAAAGAATAAGAATGAAAAATGAGTGAGAACTTTTTTTGGAGTAAAGATCATGGTCTGTACCTGTGCAATAAATTGCTCACATATTTCATTTTCATTTTTCTCACAATTGCTTGAAGAAAAATACTCTCTGCACACCCGGATTTGGGTTTCCCCTTGCACAGGTTGGCCAAAGTTGTACCTAATGGGGGAAGGTGTAGTTATAATTACAGATAAGCAATATCATAGCAATATTTTATGATCTTCTTCAGAAATTATATAGGAAGTCTCTAAACTGTGAGTAACCCAGTCTAAACAAATTGAATTAGGAATTCTCCCTATTGGTGAGGGTTTAGGTTCCCCACAGAATTCAGGTTAAACTGGGCATTTGATGTCAGGAGGATTTGGCTGCCTTTAAAAAATCGAATTCAGGGTAAGGCAGAATCTAAAATAATCTAAAATCTCATTGAATATGATTTAATGCTTAAATTGAGTTTTTTTAAATATATTTTAATCTGATAGAAACATCATAACATCGTAGCACTTTCCCTTTTATCAGAAAAATATATATGTATATAAAACTTGGATGATTCAGGATCTTGAAACATTTCCAGATCAACATTTTAAACACAAGTTTTTATTTACCACTCAATAAATATAAAGGCTATGGGGCTGGCATGAACTGGTTCTGCTTTGACCAAAAATATAATACCTTACAGGGTGGGTTTGAGTATCTCATTTTCTCCTAAAACACAAAACTACAACACAAGATTTGTAAAGGTTCAACCAAAGGCAAATCCAGTCAATTGGAGTTTTTTGTTTTGTTAATAGACAACAAATGTAAAACTAGCATATAATAAAAGTGAATATTATTTTCACAGATTATAATACTTTTTTCTAACTGTTGGACACTGATATATATCATTTATTTTTCCCAGTGACCCTGATTTGTAAAATGAGGTCAAGTAACTTCTCCACATTGTAATTGATGAAACTAAAATTCGAACTCAGATCTGCCTCACTCCATAGCCTGTGCCCTTTTCTTTCCACTCACCTTTTTCTCTTTCTATTTAAAAATTCCTAACACTTTTGAGATTCTGAGTCAATTCATACCAATAAAATCATGTGTCAGGTTTCATGATTATATAAAGGCCAGACTTAGATCTGGCCACACATATTATACCTGAACATTTCTTCTTATTTCTACTTAATGTTTTTTATTTATAAAATAAAAGTCTTATTGTATTATCTGTAAGCTAACATATGCCTATAAGACATGTAGCTTAAATTTTAAAAACAGGACAGAATAATCCCTTCGTGATTTGAAAAGCTTTCAGTGAATGCTAATGCAGTGTATTAAAATCTCTTCGTCTGTAGGTAAATTTTCTTCCCTCTTAAAAGCCTAAGTCATCTCTGACTTTGTTTGCTAAAATAATCCAATTTTTTTCTTGTTTTCTCTAGCCATTCCAAGCTAAATCCCAGAAAAGGCTAAAGAAACACAGACACAGTATCATACAATTTGAGACACAGTATACAACTGACGTGAACCTTCTAGAAACAGTGCTCTCACAATCTGCCCAGAAATAACTTTGTAGCAAGCACAGCTCCAGTCTAGCTGCCTGGCCTCCTGGCAGGATATTATTATTGCTGATACTGATTTACTCCTTAATATAACTCTATCCAAAATACAACATCAAAGAAATTTCAAGAAATCAGGATCATGGATTGTAACCTGACATACTGCTAAGGAACTACCAGTTCCATGTTAGCATGAGGTTTGCAAGTATTTTCCAAAGGCCATGTTTGAGAAACATTTTTGCTCTTCCAATGTGTTGTGGGTTTTTTTTTAGCACACTATTGTGCAGATAAATAAATGAGATGTTAATGCCACTGAAAGCTCTGGCTTTGCGTTTGGCTTTTCTAGTGAAACCTGTTTAGGATTCTGGATTTCTTCCAGCTTAAATTTATCACCTCATCATTTTTAACATCAGTGATCTACAGTCTCTCATCTATTACGTATATTAAATTCTGGTATTTTCAACTACTCTTCATTAAAACTTAGAAAAAAATTTATAATCATTTCCTAAAGTCAAAAGAAGATTTGAAATGCTACTGAAAAAAAAAAAAAAGAAGGCTGAAAACTGGTTTGCAAGATTCTCTGGGGCATCAAAGGCATCTTAAGAACCACCCTTGCACGTTCATTAGACAGCCCTTTAATCAATGTATCTTTAATAGACTGCTGGAAATACTCAAAGGCAAGTAATTTTCATGTCATAAATTAAACAAAGTGCTTAACAAATATGGCAAATATTAATATTGTTAACTGTTTTTATAAAGTATATGACAGTTATTGATTAGGAGAGTAGCTTTGAAGCTGAAAAACCTAGGTCTAAATCCTAGTTCTGCCATCAACAAGCTCCATTACTGTTGATAAGTTATTTTAATTCTCTGTGTCTTATTATCTTTCTTTATAAAATAGAGATGACAATAGCTCCTATCTCATAGCACTGTGGTAATGATATATGCAGAGCTTAACAAACTAGTTGACATTCAAAAAACATTTATTTTATTTTTTATTTTATTATTTTTTTTCTGAGACAGAGTTTCACTCAGTCGCCCAGGCTGGAGTGAGGTGGCATGATCTTGGCTCACTGCAACCTCCACTTCCTGGGTGCAAGCAGTTCTCCTGCCTCAGCCTCCCGAGTAGCTGAGATTACAGCTGCCTGCCACCATGCCCGTCTAATTTTTTGTATTTTTAGTAGAGACGGGGTTTCACTATGTTGGCCAGGCTGGTCTCGATCTCCTGACCTCGGATGATCCCCCCCACCTTGGCCTCCCAAAATGCTGGCATTACAGGTGTGAGCCACCGTGCCTGGCCAATTGTTTATAAATTATTATTAGAAATTTGAGAAAAGGCAGTAAAAAAGAAAAAAAAATTAAAAATAATTTTCCAAAAACAAAATACAAATTCTGAAATCGTGTAGATTTTTTTACATTAAGAGAATTCAAATAATTCAGATTAACTTGATAAGATGCTTTATCTTCACTTTGCCATTTCAATAGCTCATATTCTAATTTTAATGAAAATATGCCATGATAGTAAAGATTCAATGAGAATTTCACACCAGCTGCTAGAATTCTACACTGGCACAACATGTGTAGTGAGGAGTATGGCAATCAGAAGACTAAAAGAATGTTACATATTTTGTCTTGGTAATTCCTTGTCTGGAAATCTTTCTTAAGTAAATAATTTTTCATTCAAAAGCTACCTATTATATGTTATACACAAAGACATATACTGCAAAATTATTAATTACCAGGAAAACAAAATGAAACAGCCGACATATTATATAATAAAATAATTAAATTTGGTATAGTCACATAAAAATATGTGCAGCAGAAAATTGGAATTCATGAAAAGATTGGCATAATATGAAGGCATGTTTTCTTAATTATTATAAATAGAAAAGTATGATTGCAGTCATGGAAAATATTCATTAAAATTAGAGGAAACTTACAATGTTAGTGACATTACAATGTTAATGGCAGTTGGTCAAATTAATAATAGGTAATGTCTTGTGTTTTTCTCTATATTTTTCAAATTTTCTACAATGAGGATTCATTGCTTCTCTAATAACACTAATGTAAGCATATAAATAATTAAAGTTTTATGGTTAATCTCACTTCTCATTCTCTCTGAGCTTTGTGTTTTCTTGTGAAGGTAAATCTGAATAAATACTCACTTAGCACATACATCCACTTGGAATTCATCATCTGAAATAGTTACTGTTTGTGGTGCATTGACTGTAACTTCAAACTTGGGCAGCACTGGAAACGAAGAGAAATATATGTTAGCCTGCACAATCACAGGCAAGCAAACCTTATTGCAGTCGTATAGCTTACTATGATTCCTTGTACCCTCCATCTGTATTAGCTATGTATCATTTGCCCCAAATTGTGTGGCACCATTCTACATGGTGGTGTCTCACTAATGATTAATTCTTCCTCTTTCTTTTCTTTTCCCTATCTTCAGAATTTCACATTTTGTTTCTTTTTGTTTGTTTGTTTGAGACGGAGTTTCACTCTGTTGCCCAGGCTGGAGTGCAGTGGTGCAATCTTGGCTCACTGCAACCTCTGCCTACGGGGTTCAAGCCATTCTCCTGCCTCAGCCTCCCGAGTAGCTGGGATTACAGGCATGCACGACCACGCTGGGCTAATTTTTGTATTTTTAGTAGAGACTGGGTTTCACCATGTTGGTGAGGCTGGTCTCGAACTCCTGACCTCATGATCCACTCGCCTCAGTCTCTCAAAGTGCTGGGATTACAGGCGTGAGCCACCACACCTGGCCTCACATTTTCTTTCTATTGCAATCTCTTAGATCTCTCCTAGAAGACTGTGGGGATTCTAGAAAAAATGTATATTTTCTAGGGGAAAAAGAAGGCAGGAATCAGAATAAGGATACTGGGGAAGGAGAGAGGAGCAGCAAAGTGCTGATGACGAAGCCAACCAGGTCAAGGAAGGGAGACAAAGAAAACCAGTTCTAGCTTCACCTACTCCTGCCTAAGTCTAACATAAATGTTGTGTTGGTCCATCCTTTAAACTCTTCATCTACACAGGACAGCTACAAATAGCAACTGGTTACCATATCTTTTAACAGCAAATTGGTGTGTCACTGTCTCCCTTGAGTTTCTTTTCACAACAATCCAGTAATCTCCAAACATTGGTTCTGAAATCAGTTGGAACGAGAGTTGGGTAATATTTCGGAAAGAAGTCACATTTTGCCTTTGAAAAATCCGATTGTTTTGAGGATCCTAGAAAATAATGAAAAAAATATAAACAATCAGAATTTGTATGAGAGTATTACCCTTTGCTGCCATATTTCGGATAGTTTCGGATAGTTTCACAAGGGTTATTTTAGGCCAATATTTTCTCTTATGAAACAAACAAGTAGCTTTTGGTAGAGCCTGTGAGGGCTTAAGAACCCTAATGTCTATAAATCTTAGAGGATTATACACTATGCTTTGGTCATAAAAACTTGTACTGCCTTTATTCTTTTTTCTTTTTTTAAAGTATTGTAATTGTACATACTTAAAGGATACAATTGGCGGGGCACAGTGGCTCACACCTGTAATCCTAGCACTTTGGGATGCCAAGGTGGGCAGATCACTAGAGCCCAGGAGTTCAAGATCAGCTTGGGTAATATTGTGAAACCCCATCTCTACTAAAAATACAAAAATTAGTTGGGTATGGTGGCGTGTGCCTCTGTAATCCCAGCTACTTGGGAGGCTGAGGCAGGAGAATCGCTTCAACGTGGGAGGTGAAGGTTGCAGTGAACCGAGATCATACCACTGCACTCCAGCCTGGGTGACAGAGTGAGACTTTGTCTCAAAAATAAAAAAAAAAGTGGGGGGGTACAATTTGATGTTTCAATACACACACACACACACACACACACATAATCTATATATGTAGTATAATGATCATATTGGGGCAGTGTTACCAGTACTTCATCCATTTATCTTTTTTTTTTATGGTGAAGACATTCAAAAACCTCTCATCTAGCTATTTTGTAATTTGCTAAATCTTACTGTAAACTATTGTCAGCCTACTGTGCAATAGAACACCAGAACTCATTCCTTCTTCATTCTTTTCAAATTAAATAAAATTTTAAAACACTCGTAGAGTGTCAGATGTGTTCCAAGGACTGATCCAAATGCTCAAGGCACAAAAATGTATATGACATGTTCACAGCCCATATTAGCTTAAAATTTTAAGCCACTGTGCTCCTTGTTATTATAGTCATATAATTTTCTTGCATTATGGCTGCAATTCACATTCTGTAATCAGGGTATAGATGTCTAAGTAAAGTGTTGGCTTAATAATTGTTGTTCTAATCAAATTGAATTACACGTTAACAAAACTTACTTAAATTTTCCTTGTATATTTAATTCTATCTCTTCCCAGGCCAAGTCAAAAAAAATATGAACCTTTGGAACAATTACATCTAGAAGTGACCAGTCCTAGTCTAAATATTTAAATACATAACATGAGGAATTCAGGCCAAAAGTTTATTCTGATAGGTCTATTTTTTGATGTACTAATAAAACTGGCCATCTCTGCTATAGTTTTGCTAACTTGTTGCAGAAGTAATCTCAAGAAGAAAATAGCCCTATTAGATTATGTTTAGGATGGATAGTTCAATATATATTTTGCCAAAATGTTATATTGAGTTTACACAAATAAACACACACAAGCTGTCATAATAAGTTCATTTAGCAACTGTTTTAGGGTAGATTTTTATTCTGGAAGATCCATAATGAATTATATTTTATATGAAGACAGGGCTACCTTTTGCGTCAATATTTTGATAGTGAAGAGTGCTGGTACATCAATAAAGTACTTGTATAGTAAACAAATTAAAGATGTTTTGTGAACTAGCTAGGCCTTGAAGACTCACAGGGTTTGGTGTGTAATACTGTCATTCTTAGAGATAATTAGCTCCAGGTTGTTCTTTCTGCTGGAATTGTGAATTGCAAATCCATTCTTATCAGAGTGAAATCAGAACTTCAACCCTAATCAAAATTGATTGGATGAATTATTGAGTGTTACAAAAGTTATGCAATGAAGGGCCCTCATATTTTTGACATTCATTTTTATTAGATCCTTCTTATTTGGAGATTAGGTATGTGAGAAGCTCGGAGAAATAATCTTAGAAGAGCCAAGCAGAATTTTTATATCTAAATCCATGTTACTTACATAGAATATATTGTTCTTTAAATATAAAAATCTATAAATCTGTACAAGACCAATCGATACAAGCAAAAAAAAAAAAAGTCTGATCCTGCTTGAAATAAATTATCAAAGCCATCTACGTTGAGAGATGAAATGTATTAGGTCTCTCCTGTTAACTTGAGGAGTAAAGGAATATATTAAAAAGTTACTAGGATGTTTTTATTCCTTTTCTTTTTTTTTCTTGCAGTGAAGCCTGTAGATCCTTAAGATTCTTTACCAGTTGTGTGGTCTTAATTTCACAAATTGAGGAATCTGATCCATAGATGGTTCCACTTGAACGTGGTGGGAGAGTAACATTCTCCTTCCATGAAATGTAAAGACTGCATTGTGGGACATGGAGGGGCTCCATGAGATCCATTTAGTTGCATTCATCCTCCTGTCCCCAAAGTATATCAGTAAATGTATTGTTTCTTGACAGTTTGGCTGTGTTATCCCAGACGCCTGGATGTGGGAATCTCCAAATGGCCAGATAATACTCTCAGCTTCCAATTCAGTGAAACTATTCTTAAGCATGTTAATGAAAATATACTTCTTTCCTGGATCCTAAAAGGTCTAAATGAAAACAACTCCTATTCTTAAGGATGGAAAACAAGTATTCTGCAAAAGCCACTACCAATCCGTACCTTGGTTCCCAGACATATCTCTAGAAGAGACAGAAACAAGCCCTTTAATATAATTTCATTCCTCAACTTCCTTGGAATTAGTCCCTTAATGTGTCTTGTTCTAAATCCCTGATCATCTTGCCACACATTTGTTAAGGCTTATAAAAGAGTGTACATCTTTACCTCAGGCCATTTGTAGACTTGTCATATACTTTGGTAATTTCCCAACATATGCGTTTCACTTCCAGTAAAGAAGTTAGAAGACTCCATTCCCAGATTACCTTGAATCCAGGGGGCAGGTAAATGACAGGCTCGACCAGTGAGATGCTCTGTTCTGAGACTGGGAATCAGAAGGGAGTGAAATGGGGAGGCCATGGAAGAGTTTATTTTCAGGGAACTGTGAGTATAATGGCAACTTCTAGTTCATTGAGGATAAGATAGGCAGAACCTTTTCACATCCACTCCAATGTGTTTATTCCACACACAAGGAGCCACAGTGGGAATTCTGATCATTGCTAGACTTGTCAATTATACCTACACATTTGGAAAATGAATAAATAACCAGAAGATGGATCCGGTCTCTGTTAGACCTACAATGAAGACAATTTGGCCCCAAATTCTGGTTATTCCTGATAGTCATAATCTTTGCCTCTCATCTCAGATGTTATTAGTGAGGTAATATTCAGTATTTTATAGAATATTTAGATATTTATCTTTCCAGGAGCTCATGTGCTTTGGTAATGAGGCAGAATATCTTTGAGAAAGATAGAAGTGAGACCTTAGGGATGGGTGTCTGCCTAACTGAAGTGGACTCCAGTGAAAATTATATAAATATCAAGGCATGAAAATTCAGCACTCCCTATCATGCACTGGTGAAAAAGATAATCAAATAATCTCCTGTTCACCATTGACAAAGTGCCTATTGACAGCAAGCATTTGGGGACCACAAATTTCCACTGCTATAGAACGATACCAGGCTGATTACTTCTAAGAGTTCTGAGAAAATTAAAGAAAAGAAAAACAAGCTAGGAACTTTAAATTAGCCCTTATCATCCGGAGTTCTGTAACAGAATTATCTTTAAGTCTCCAATACAGCTACTGAATGTAATGAATTAACATTACATTTATTGATGCATAAATAGTACCATTCTCTCCTATATATCCTGAATGGTACTATTTATGCATCAAATGGTCTCTCGACACATTCTCTGTGGAGTTAAACAATTAAGCAATTTTCTTATATAACAGTTGAGAAAGGTTGCTCTAAATTTTTGGTTGAAGATATACATTGAAAAGTGAGTACTTTCAATTTTTATGTTAAAACTCTCATTTATTGCAGAGCAGTTCTGTAATCAAAATGCCTCATTATTGTATGTGCTTAGATAGAGGCTGATAATTTACCTGTGAGGGATTTTTAAAAAAATTGACTGTGGAGGGGAGGAGCCAAGATGGCCGAATAGGAACAGCTCCGGTCTACAGCTCCCAGCGTGAGCGACGCAGAAGACGGTGATTTCTGCATTTCCATCTGAGGTACCGGGTTCATCTCACTAGGGAGTGCAGGACAGTGGGCGCAGGTCAGTGGGTGCGCGCACCGTGTGCGAGCCGAAGCAGGGCGAGGCATTGCCTCACTTGGGAAGCGCAAGGGGTCAGGGAGTTCCCTTTCCGAGTCAAAGAAAGGGGTGACGGATGGCACCTGGAAAATCGGGTCACTCCCACCCAAATACTGCGCTTTTCCGACGGGCTTAAAAAACGGCGCACCACGAGATTATATCCCGCACCTGGCTTGGAAGGTCCTACCCCACGGAGTCTCGCTGGTTGCTAGCACAGCAGTCTGAGATCAAACTGCAAGGCGGCAGCGAGGCTGGGGGAGGGGCCCCCACCATTGCCCAGGCTTGCTTAGGTAAACAAAGCAGCCGGGAAGCTCGAACTGGGTGGAACCCACCACAGCTCAAGGAGGCCTGCCTGCCTCTGTAGGCTCCACCTCTGGGAGCAGGGCACAGACAAACAAAAAGACAGCAGTAACCTCTGCAGACTTAAATGTCCCTGTCTGACAGCTTTGAAGAGAGCAGTGGTTCTCCCAGCATGCAGCTGGAGATCTGAGAACAGGCAGACTGCCTCCTCAAGTGGGTCCCTGACCCCTGACCCTTGAGCAGCTTAACTGGGAGGCACCCCCCAGCAGGGGCACACTGACACCTCACACGTCCCAGTACTCCAACAGACCTGCAGCTGAGGGTCCTGTCTGTTAGAAGGAAAACTAACAAACAGAAAGGACATCCACACCAAAAACCCATCTGTACATCACCATCATCAAAGACCAAAAGTAGATAAAACCACAAAGATGGGGAAAAAAACAGAACAGAAAAACTGGAAACTCTAAAAAGCAGAGCGCCTCTCCTCCTCCAAAGGAACGCAGTTCCTCACCAGCAACGGAACAAAGCTGGATGGAGAATGACTCTGACGAACTGAGAGAAGAAGGCTTCAGACGATCAAATTACTCTGAGCTACAGGAGGACATTCAAACCAAAGGCAAAGAAGTTGAAAACTTTGAAGAAAATTTAGAAGAATGCATAACTAGAATAACCAATACAGAGAAGTGCTTAAAGGAGCTGATGGAGCTGAAAACCAAGGCTCGAGATCTATGTGAAGAACGCAGAAGCCTCAGGAGCCGATGCGATCAACTGGAAGACAGGGTATCAGAGATGGAAGATGAAATGAATGAAATGAAGCGAGAAGGGAAGTTTAGAGAAAAAAGAATAAAAAGAAATGAGCAAAGCCTCCAAGAAATATGGGACTACGTGAAAAGACCAAATCTACGTCTGATTGGTGTACCTGAAAGTGATGCGGAGAATGGAACCAAGTTGGAAAACACTCTGCAGGATATTATCCAGGAGAACTTCCCCAATCTAGCAAGGCAGGCCAATGTTCAGATTCAGGAAATACAGAGAATGCCACAAAGATACTCCTCAAGAAGAGCAACTCCAAGACACATAATTGTCAGATTCACCAAAGTTGAAATGAAGGAAAAAATGTTAAGGGCAGCCAGAGAGAAAGGTCGGGTTACCCTCAAAGGGAAGCCCAGCAGACTAACAGCGGATCTCTCGGCAGAAACCCTACAAGCCAGAAGAGAGTGGGGGCCAATATTCAACATTCTTAAAGACAAGAATATTCAACCCAGAATTTCATATCCAGCCAAACTAAGCTTCATAAGCAAAGGAGAAATAAAATACTTTACAGACAAGCAAATGCTGAGAGATTTTGTCACCACCAGGCCTGCCCTAAAAGAGCTCCTGAAGGAAGCGCTAAACATGGAAAGGAACAACTGGTACCAGCCGCTGCAAAATCATGCCAAAATGTACAGACCATCAAGACTAGGAAGAAACTGCATCAACTAACGAGTAAAATAACCAGCTAACATCATAATGACAGGATCAAATTCACACATAACAATATTAACTTTAAATGTAAATGGACTAAATGTTCCAATTAAAAGACACAGACTGGCAAATTGGATAAAGAGTCAAGACCCATCAGTGTGCTGTATTCAGGAAACCCATCTCACGTGCAGAGACACACATAGGCTCAAAATAAAAGGATGGAGGAAGATCTACCAAGCAAATGGAAAACAAAAAAAGGCAGGGGTTGCAATCCTAGTCTCTGATAAAACAGACTTTAAACCAACAAAGATCAAAAGAGACAAAGAAGGCCATTACATAATGGTAAAGGGATCAATTCAACAAGAGGAGCTAACTATCCTAAATATATATGCACCCAATACAGGAGCACCCAGATTCATAAAGCAAGTCCTGAGTGACCTACAAAGAGACTTAGACTCCCACACAATAATAATGGGAGACTTTAACACCCCACTGTCAACATTAGACAGATCAACGAGACAGAAAGTCAACAAGGATACCCAGGAATTGAACTCAGCTCTGCACGGACCTAATAGACATCTACAGAACTCTCCACCCCAAATCAACAGAATATACATTTTTTTCAGCACCACACCACACCTATTCCAAAATTGACCACATACTTGGAAGTAAAGCTCTCCTCAGCAAATGTAAAAGAACAGAAATTATAACAAACTATCTCTCAGACCACAGTGCAATCAAACTAGAACTCAGGATTAAGAACCTCACTCAAAACCGCTCAACTACATGGAAACTGAACAACCTGCTCCTGAATGACTACTGGGTACATAACGAAATGAAGGCAGAAATAAAGATGTTCTTTGAAACCAACGAGAACAAAGACACAACATACCAGAATCTCTGGGACACATTCAAAGCAGTGTGTAGAGGGAAATTTAAAGCACTAAATGCCCACAAGAGAAAGCAGGAAAGATCCAAAATTGATACCCTAACATCACAATTAAAAGAACTAGAAAAGCAAGAGCAAACACATTCAAAAGCTAGCAGAAAGCAAGAAATAACTAAAATCAGAGCAGCACTGAAGGAAATAGAGACACAAAAAACCCTTCAAAAAATTAACGAATCCAGGAGCTGGTTTTTTGAAAGGATCAACAAAATTGATAGACCGCTAGCAAGACTAATAAAGAAAAAAAGAGAGAAGAATCAAATAGACGCAATAAAAAATGATAAAGGGGATATCACCACCGATCCCACAGAAATACAAACTACCATCAGAGAATACTACAAACACCTCTACGCAAATAAACTAGAAAATCTAGAAGAAATGGATAAATTCCTTGACATATACACTCTCCCAAGACTAAACCAGGAAGAAGTTGAATCTCTGAATAGACCAATAACAGGAGCTGAAATTGTGGCAATAATCAATAGCTTACCAACGAAACAGAGTCCAGGACCAGATGGATTCACAGCCGAATTCTATCAGAGGTACAAGGAGGAACTGGTACCATTCCTTCTGAAACTATTCCAATCAACAGAAAAAGAGGGAATCCTCCCTAACTCATTTTATGAGGCCAGCATCATCCTGATACCAAAGCCGGGCAGAGACACAACCAAAAAAGAGAATTTTAGACCAACATCCTTGATGAACATTGATGCAAAAATCCTCGATAAAATACTGGCAAACCGAATCCAGCAGCACATCAAAAAGCTTATCCACCATGATCAAGTGGGCTTCATCCCTGGGATGCAAGGCTGGTTCAATATATGCAAATCAATAAATGTAATCCAGCATATAAACAGAACCAAAGACAAAAACCACATGATTATCTCAATAGATGCAGAAAAGGCCTTTGACAAAATTCAACAACCCTTCATGCTAAAAACTCTCAATAAATTAGGTATTGATGGGACGTATCTCAAAATAATAAGAGCTATCTATGACAAACCCACAGCCAATATCATACTGAATGGGCAAAAACTGGAAGCATTCCCTTTGAAAACTGGCACAAGACAGGGATGCCCTCTCTCACCACTCCTATTCAACATAGTGTTGGAAGTTCTGGCCAGGGCAATTAGGCAGGAGAAGGAAATAAAGGGTATTCAATTAGGAAAAGAGGAAGTCAAATTGTCCCTGTTTGCAGACTACATGATTGTATATCTAGAAAACCCCATTGTCTCAGCCCAAAATCTCCTTAAGCTGATAAGCAACTTCAGCAAAGTCTCAGGATACAAAATCAATGTACAAAAATCACAAGCATTCTTATACACCAACAACAGACAAACAGCCAAATCATGAGTGAACTCCCATTCACAATTGCTTCAAAGAGAATAAAATACCTAGGAATCCAACTTAGAAGGGATGTGAAGGACCTCTTCAAGGAGAACTACAAACCACTGCTCAAGGAAATAAAAGAGGATACAAACAAATGGAAGAACATTCCATGCTCATGGGTAGGAAGAATCAATATCGTGAAAATGGCCATACTGCCCAAGGTAATTTACAGATTCAATGACATCCCCATCAAGCTACCAATGCCTTTCTTCACAGAATTGGAAAAAACTACTTTAAAGTTCATATGGATCCAAAAAAGAGCCTGCATCACCAAGTCAATCCTGAGCCAAAAGAACAAAGCTGGAGGCATCACACTACCTGACTTCAAACTATACTACAAGGCTACAGTAACCAAAACAGCATGGTACTGGTACCAAAACAGAGATGTAGATCAATGGAACAGAACAGAGCCCTCAGAGATAACGCCGCATACCTACAACTATCTGATCTTTGACAAACCTGAGAAAAACAAGCAATGAGGAAAGGATTCCCTATTTAATAAATGGTGCTGGGAAAACTGGCTAGCCATATGTAGAAAGCTGAAACTGGATCCCTTCCTTACACCTTATACAAAAATTAATTCAAGATGGATTAAAGACTTAAACGTTAGACCTAAAACCATAAAAACCCTAGAAGAAAACCTAGGCATTACCATTCAGGACATAGGCATGGGCAAGGACTTCATGTCTAAAACACCAAAAGCAATAGCAACAAAAGCCAAAATTGACAAAGGGGACCTAATTAAACTAAAGAGCTTCTGCACAGCAAAAGAAGCTACCATCAGAGTGAACAGGCAACCTACAAAATGGGAGAAAATTATCACAACCTACTCATCTGACAAAGGGCTAATATCCAGAATCTACAATGAACTCAAACAAATTTACAAGAAAAAAACAAACAACCCAATCAAAAAGTGCGCAAAGGACATGAACAGACACTTCTCAAAAGAAGACATTTATGCAGCCAAAAAACACATGAAAAAATGCTCACCATCACTGGCCATCAGAGAAATGCAAATCAAAACCACAATGAGATACCATCTCACACCAGTTAGAATGGCAATCATTAAAAAGTCAGGAAACAACAGGTGCTGGAGAGGATGTGGAGAAATAGGAATACTTTTACACTGCTGGTGGGACTGTAAACTAGTTCAACCATTGTGGAAGTCAGTGTGGCAATTCCTCAGGGATCTAGAAGTAGAAATACCATTTGACCCAGCCATCCCATTACTGGGTATATACCCAAAGGACTATAAATCATGCTGCGATAAAGACACATGCACACGTATGTTTACTGCGGCATTATTCACAATAGCAAAGACTTGGAACCAACCCAAATGTCCAACAATGATAGACTGGATTAAGAAAATGTGGCACATATACACCATGGAATACTATGCAGCCATAAAAAATGATGAGTTTCTGTCCTTTGT
This sequence comes from Homo sapiens, assembly GCF_000001405.40. Lineage (NCBI taxonomy): Eukaryota > Metazoa > Chordata > Mammalia > Primates > Hominidae > Homo > Homo sapiens. Next base: position 9,521,866 of record NC_000012.12, on the reverse strand, counting down.
AGGGACATGGATGAAATTGGAAATCATCATTCTCAGTAAACTATCGCAAGAACAAAACACCAAACACCGCATATTCTCATTCGTAGGTGGGAATTGAACAATGAGAACACATGGACACAGGAAGGGGAACATCACACTCTGGGGACTGTTGTGGGGTGGGGGGAGGGGGGAGGGATAGCATTGGGAGATATACCTAATGCTAGATGACGAGTTAGTGGGTGCAGTGCACCAGCATGGCACATGTATACATATGTAACTAACCTGCACGTTGTGCACATGTACCCTAAAACTTAAATTATAATAATAATAAAAAATAAATAAATAAAAATAAATAAAATAGCATCCTGATGTTCTGCTCTTTTCCTTTATCTTGTTTTATTTTCCTTACAGTAGTTCTTTGAGAGATAGTAACTCACGATAGAGAAACATGGTCTTTGGGATCAGAACGTCTGGATTATAATCCCATCTCTGTTACTTAGCATCTGTTGCATTGGACAAGTTACTTAACCTGCCTAAGCTTCATTTTTCTCATTGATAAATTGCAGATAATAGCTTCTAATCTATAGACTGTGATGAATAAATGGGTTGACATTTGTAAAATGCTTAGAATGTTGCTTGGTATGTAGCAATAATTCAGGAAAGATTAACTATCAGAGCACTTAATACCATCTGAAATTATGCCATTGATATAGTTTGAATATTTGTCCCCTCATATCTCAGGTTGAACTGTTATCCCCAGTGCTGGAGGTGGGGCTTGGCAGGAAGTGTTTGGGTCATGGGGGCAGACCCTTCATTGCTTGGTGCTGTTCTTGCAATGGTGAGTGACTTCTTGTGAGATCTGATTGTTTAAAAGTGTGTGACGCCTCTCCTCTTCTTGCTCCCATACTGGCCACGTGAGACACTTGCTCCCCCTTGTCTTTCACCATGACTGTAAGTTTTCTGAGGCCTCCCCAGAAACCGAGCAGATGCCAGCACCATGTTTGCTGTACAGCTGGCAAAACCGTGAGGCAATTTAACCTATTTTCTTCCTTTCTTTTTTTTTTTTTTGAAAAGGAGTTTCACTCTTGTTGCCCAAGCTGGAGTGCAATGGCACAATCTTGGCTCACTGCAACCTCTGCCTCCTGGGTTCAAGTGATTCTTCTGCCTCAGCCTCCCGAGTAGCTGGGATTAGAGGCGTGCGCCACCACACCTGGCTATTTTTTTGTATTTTTAGTAGAAACAGGGTTTCAACATGTTACCCGGGCTTGTCTCAAACTCCTGACCTCAGGTGATCTGCCTGCCTCAGCCTCCCAAAGTGCTGGGATTATAGGTGTGAGCCACCGCACTTAGCCCCTATTTTCTTTGTAAATTACCCAGCCTCAAATATTTCTTTACAGCAACACAAGAAATATACAAATGACAATATGCAGCCATTTGTATATTGTCTGCATCCCAAATTCAATGTAAACTTCATGAATATAAAGATTTACCTGCATTATTCTCACTGTATTTCTAGCATCTGACATGACAGGCACATTAAATGAATTAAAAGACAAAGCAAAAGAAAATAATCATCTCCCCTCTTTTCCCAATCAGTTTAAAAGCATTAAGAGATTATAACCTGTCACCTGCCCTTCGCATTATACTGTGACTTACCTAAGGGTATGTAATCAGTAGAGTCAAGATGGTTAGAATCCTTGCACAATACTGGTTTCCGGAGGTGAGAGTTGGTAAAAATCTTTAATCCTGTTGCCTTTCAAGATAAAATCAATTTTAGATCACATAACAACATAAGACTAGCAGTCTGGACTGGTTTTTTGTTCTATGTATATTTTCAATTTCCACTTATTTCTTTCTCCATCTCTGATTGTCATATATTTAGAGATACTTCACTGACGTTTCCTAAATTTCATGTCTTTGAGTTCCTTAGTTTCTCTAATTCTAATGGCTTTTGCTCTATTTTCCTAATTAAGAGCTGTTGATGAAAACCTTTAAATAAGAGAGGACAAAAAAAGACATCTCATATCATACCCCACTATACTTTCACTACTTTGAATTTGGCATTTTTGTTGAACTAGGGATAGTATCTCACTTATAAACACTTTAAATATAGTAGAATACTTTAAAATAGTAGAAATCAAATTCGAGGGTAGACGTAAGAGCAAAATGGGGATTTATATTAGACACCAGTATATAATGTACATAATATTATGTCAGGAAAGCTGATAATTCCCTCACATATTAGTTCTTTTCCTAATATTATAATATTATTAGTTATTTAAAATATTATTATAGTTTTATAATGAAGTTCTAATAACCTTATAACTTAACCTTATTATAACATTATAATAACCTTATAACTTTATAACTTTATAACTTTTAAATAAAATTATATTAATACAACTTTAAAAAATATATTATAACTTTATAATTTATTATAACTATATAGAATAACTATTATAGCTTTATAATATTATAACTATTATATAATTATAACTATAATATAATAAGAACTTTATTAAGTCTTTTTGCTATTACAACATTATTTGAGATATTATTTCTCAGACATTAGTACTAATTGTAAATTTGTACTCTAAGAATTCTGAGATTAAAAACCCACAGCATGAATATTTCTATTTATTTATATATTGTCACATATATTCACCATTTTAAGACTTAGTTGCCTTACCTTCACAAGGTCATAGCCATCTTTTCCAAAGTCAGCCCATGCAGGTGTGTAATAAATTCCATTGTAAAGGATATGTTCATCTTCAAGACACGGCACTTTAAGGCCATCTTCTAAGTTAAGTCCTCTGAAGTAATAGCCATGTAGTTCCCTGGAATATAGCTGACTATACACCTAGATGGTAGAAGAGAGTCAACTGTATTTTTTCATAGAAAACAATTCATTTTTCCCCACAAGCAGTATATAAATAACCTATATAATCCTATGAATATCCTATGTAGAACTGTCATCATACCTATACCAAATAAACACATATTGAGAAAGTATAGGATCTTAGATCTGTAAAAACTTTGAAATACTATTTAATCAGTTAAATAATTGCTGGCTAAATCACATTAAAACTAACAAAAAGTCCATGAGGCTCAACTGGATTTTAATACATTCCAGATAAAGGCACTGCTCAATACTCTTTGAGGACTCATTCAAGGACATTGTTAGAGAATGTTCTCGGTTAATTTACTAAATCTCCCTGAGCCTAAGATTAGACATTAATCAAAATGGGAATACTGCATTAGTTCTATAGGGTTTATTAATATGAGAATAAAATTAAATAATAGATACGGGAATACTCAGTAGAGCAAGTGTCAAATAGTAGACCTTTAGCAATTGTTATTTATTTTTAAAAGTGTTGGTCATTTTTTCCATAAGAGAATCAGTATAATTGGAGTAGAGTCATTTTACATGATTTCTAACCTAAAATATTTTTTATGCCTAGAACTCTGGACAATTTCTTTCTCCTCTAGTTTATTTAAGGTATCCTGTTTTTATCCAAAGGTAAAGACATAAAACTATACTGTTGGTGGTAAACAAAGATGGTTTTAATCACTCACAGTTTGTGCTGACAGCTGACCATAATTCCTTAGTAGCAATACACTCTGGTCTACAGCCCAAAGAGCACAAAGAGAGTTTGAAGCAGCCGAGACTTGAAGATCAATATTGGATCCTGGTAAACTTTTTTCTTTAGAAAAATTTAAGTTGACCTGAAAATGAAAATAAAAGGGCAAAAGGACGGCAAGCCATATGAGAAGAATCATCTTTTAGACTATTCTTAACTTTTTTAAAAACACACATAAGTTAAAAGGGCTTTCTGTGCTTTACCCACCTAATAATATTATTATTAGGAACAACCGGATTTGGAACAACATCCAAAGTGAATGCTATAATCCTGCTACTCTTCAATCATCCAACATATTAACTTCTCCATAGCTTTCTTTTATTTTTCATTTTGCAATTCTATGAAAAATTGGGAGTTTAAACCCAACAGTCTCTTAAGTTCTCCTTAGTTTTCCCCCAAATTAAAAAAGAATCATTTTTGGCACCTACCTGATTTTCGAAGCATTTCTCAATTCGGAATTGGGTGCTATCAGTGACCATTTCTCCTCCAGGATGCAAGCTATAGACAAGCATATCTACTGAGGGCGCTAATTCAGGGTTAATGTCTATAGAAATGGAAAATATGCCCTTCCTCCCTGTGAAAAGAAAATTTCAAACCGAAAAAGTGCTTTGGTGAGATAGCTGACTGTCATCTTGCAGAAACCCTCCACTGAGTTTCTAGCCATCCTACCCACTGCCAAAGAGACTGCCCCAACCCACCAAATTTAATTTATAAGGCATTTCTAGGAGGAGTTCATAACCTATTCCATAAATTATAAAAGAAAGAAATAGTTGAACATTTCTTATTACGTCAAACTTCAGTCTACTTTTGTTTCTTTTTAAAAATCCCTTCTTGTTTGAATGTAAAAATACTTACCTGTCTTTCTTGGAAAAGAAAGGGAAGGACAATGGCCCTTTCCCATTATAGTAGTGTTTGGAATATAATTAATGCACTATTAATTAAGTAATTATTTTTTCATTTGGCATTGTGCCTATTCACATGTCTTTACATGTTCCCCAAGGGTAGTTTAGGGGGCAGTAAACAGTCCTAAAATGGGAGGATTGTGACTTTTAAAGAAAAATGTAAAATATATCCCAATTAAAGCATTCTATTTGTATTAAATTATATGCTAAAATTAGAGGCCTCACCATTTTCGTTGATCTCAATTTTCTGTTGCCCATGAAGAATGATTACACCTTTTGAAATCACCTAGGAAAATGAAAATATAATCATAAAGTTTAGAGGATAGAAACTAAATTTCATTTAATTATAAACGAATGTGATTTACCTCCTTTTCTTGTCTGAGCAATACTATTGACATGTTTACTAGTAAACTCAGGTTACCAGTAAACAAGCATATGACTCTAATAGCTATATTCAAGAGAATTTAGGAGTCACAGATAAACTTGCTATAAAGCAATTTAATGTTCCACATTCCAAAACAGTTTTCTAAGACCAATAAACAACTTTTTATTCATATTTGCAAATGCTAAATTACATCTAAATTTATTTAGTTCAGTGAAACAAAGTTACACAAAGGCATTAAGAGTCTCCCAGTGCTTGTCTGGTTTTCTGAAAGGTGTGTTTGATATGCAAGGTATAAGCAAGGCCTGTTCATCCATCTCCACCCAAAATTTAAAGAAAAGAGAATAAAGTAGCAAGCTGGGGGTGCTCCAGAAAAAAGCTTCTCTCACTTCACCTTTATCAGCAACTGTGTGCAAATTTGCATCAGCAGACTTTTGTTATGATCTCTAAAGTGCAAACAAAGGCTGGAGACTTGAAATCTAGTACAAACTCCTTGAATTTTTAAATTACAGTTTTAGAATATTATTTTAAAAGATGCTGAGACTTGCAGAAAATTTAAAGCTTCCATAAGATCTTGCAGCTTGAAATTGCAGGAGCTGGTACTCCTAGTCCGTTTAATATTTCACTGAATATTAAAATTGCTTTAAATCTCTGAAGTGCCAAGTTTGGGTTATTAGTTCATAAAAAAAGAACTGAGCCTCAACTAGCTGGAAAATATTGTTTTGGGAACTAGAACATTTGCAAAAAGGCATAAAGCTCAAAGTTTAATGAGCCTGAGAGGTCTCAGCACTGTTGGCTATATTAGCTCACTGACTTCTCAAAACAGAAAGCCAGCTCTCGTAACAGATGAGTAAACTGAAGAGACACACAGAGGTACTGATATTTGTCAGGTCACACAATTAAGAAAAAAGCTTAAAAGACTGAGTATCAAATTACTTACTGAAAGCCTGAGAATCAAATTAATTCAGGCTCTATCCATTCATTCTAAAATATGATATTGAGGGTTCTCTCTGTGATGTGTACCCTGCTAGGCAGAATTAAAGTCCACCCAGCCTATTATGAAAGAATATGTAGAAGACTGGAATTGTCTAGGAGATTAGAAAGTTTCATTTAAGCCAAGAGATGAACGCTGAGGAGGAATCAGCTTGGAAAATCAGGTGCAGGCAGGTTGGGAACCGCGGTAGCAAATGGGAACGAAGATTATTATGGGCAGAAGGGAAAACCTGTGGGAGGCTTCGGAGCCAGAAAAGCACATGGCTTGTCCAAGAAAATGAAAGCCCTCTGTGTCTGCAATGAAGAAGGCTGAAGTGTAGAATGATGCAAAATGAAGCGGGCGAGCTTCACAGGTGCAGAGCAGATACAGAGTTGCAGGCAAAAGAAAGGAGTCTGGTATTTGTTTTAATAGAAATAGGCAGTCATTAACTGTATTTCAATTAGGGGACTGAAATAAATAATCCTAATTGCTTTTTAAAAAAATCACTCTAGATTTCCAGAATAAAGAAAGAAAGAAGAAAAGGAGGGAGGAAGGAAGTAGGGAGAGAGGAAGAAAAAGGCTATTAGCAGACTCATTTAAAATGGAAATGAGGTAAAGTAATTGTAAAGGCCTTATCAGATCAGAGGGGGGCAAACCTAAGCTATTTCAAGAGGGAAGCTGATGACAAGTAAATCAATTCACACCACAGACCTGCAAAATGGCTCAGCTCTGGATTGGGAAGTACTGGGTATTAAGTCGAGCAGAGGTGTGGCCAGAAAAGAAGGCAAAAGTCAGGAGCATGTGGGAGTGTCTTTATAAAAACTAGTTAAGAGGTTCAGCTTCCCTGTAATCCCAGTACTTTGGGAGGCCGAGGTGGGCAGATCACGAGGTCAGGAGATCGCGACCATCCTGGCTAACACGGTGAAACCCCGTCTGTACTAAAAAAATACAAAAAAATTAGCCGGGCGTGGTGGCGGGCGCCTGTAGTCCCAGCTACTCGGGAGGCCGAGGCAGGAGAATGCCGTGAACCCAGGACGCAGAGCTTTCAGTGAGCGGAGATCGAGCCCCTGCACTCCAGCCTGGGCGACTGAGCGAGGCTCTGTCTCAAAAAAAAAAAAAAAAAAAGAGGTTCAGCTTCTCACTCAAGGATGCTTGGTATTTCTCACACCCCAGTACGGCAGTATTATTGTTGACATGTTGAAGGATTTCTGTACCGGTTGGCAAAGAGCCACTTCCCTGAGCTCCCCAGAGTCCCCTCCCTGCTGCCCTAGAACCTCTCCTCCACAACCAGCTCCTCCCACTCCCACCACTTTGCCCCCAGTCTAAATGAGCCATGCTTGGCTTAGCTAAGGGCTTCAGTGGAATTATGACTCATACCTTTTCTGATGGTTTGGTGTCCATACCTTGCTGGTTTGAAATATTTTAATGTTTATGGAAATGATGAAGGAAAGAAAAAATGCAAGAGATAATATAATGAAAAAGTGATAGAAATTGGTGACGCAGTAAATAGCATGAAAAAAAGAAGTATCAAAAGACTATTCCAGAATTCTAAGTTTGCAAAATGTGAGAAATCATGTGGTACTACTTTCATTCTTCGCATAGATAGACTCAAACACCTTTAGTTCTCAGAATAATACACTTCAGACATCTTTGACCTCTTATATTATTTCCTAAAATAAGCTTAAATGTGTTTCTCATATCCTCTAATCATCCAGAAAACTCCTATTCATCCCACAAAACCCTATTTAGGCATATTCTCTTTATGTATTTTTTCCTTAAAAATATGTATATACATATAAATGTAAATATATACGCATATATCTTTTTCCTAAACTAGTGGTTGTCAAATTTTAATGTGCTTCGGAGGACAAGATTTCTAACTTATTCCTAGAATTTTTTTTTTTTTTTTTTTGAGACAGAGTCTTGCTCTGTCACCCAGGTTAGAGTGCAGTGGCACCATCTCCGCTCACTGCAAGCTCCGCCTCCTGGATTCATGCCATTCTCCTGCCTCAGCCTCCTGAGTAGCTGGGACTACAGGCGCCCGCCACCATGCCAGGCTGATTTCTTTTTGTATTTTTAGTGGAGACGCGGTTTCACCGTGTTAGCCAGGATGGTCTGGATCTCCTGACCTTGTGACCCGCCCATCTCGGCCCCCCAAAGTGCTGGGATTACAGGCGTGAGCCACTGCACCTGGCCACTTATTCCCAGAATTTCTAAATTATTCCCAGGTGATGCTGATACTGCTACTCTAGGAAATATACTCTGATAATCACTGTCCTAAACTCTAGCTAAAGTTAATCATTCATTTTTCTGTAACACCTCAGTGGCCATACATGTTTCATTTGTAACACTTACGTAATTCTAATATATGTTTTGTCCCCAGTTATACTTTTTCTATTTCTTCTATTGTGACAATTGCTAATACAGCACCTGGAATATGAAAAACATTCAATAAGTGTTGGCTGATTGAATTAATTCATGTTTCATTAATTTTATATCATCTTCATAAATCTCAATGAAGTATCATGCATCTATTTAGACAGTGTAAAATAATCCATAATAGCAATATATTAAAATCAAACTAATACTTAATATCTTCTGTGTGCCAGAAGTTGGGCAAAGGGCTTTATATGTATTATTAAATAATTATCTTGATGATTAGACAATATATTACAAAAAACTAAGATTCTCTAGGGTTTAAGTGGCTTTCAAAAAGTAACACAAAGCTAGTACATATCAGAACTCTGGTTTGATCCCAGCAATGTCCAAATAGAAATGGGTAACTCTGAAGAAAGGGTCTGAGAATGACAGAGTGCATATGGGTTGTGGTGGCATGGCCTTTTCCCTCCTTTCTTAAAAATAGATACCAGTTATATAAGTTTTATCATTTATGTTAACTTTGAGCTTCCTCGTGGCATATAGGTACAGGGATTTCATTAGGTTCAAAGAAGTTTTAAAGAAAAGAAACAATTTTGGTTGTGGAAGAATGTTTTCAGCTCATACCAAATAATTGAAGTCTGCTGTGTAGGTTTTGTCTTCAAAGTCTTCCATATTGAGAATGCAGTGCACTAGCACCCTCTTCTGCTGGTTGCATCTCAGTTCTTCCATCTCTTGGACAATCTTTAGGAAGCTATTCGTCTTGGAGTAAAATCGATATGCAAAGTACTCGGGCTGAGGGTATTGAGGCAACACCCAGCCATGAGCCTGGCAATTTTCATTGGCCTTGTAGGCTGCCTAGACAAAAAATCAAAATTACGGGTATTTTAGGATAAAGAGAAAGGATGAGTGAAAGAATATTTGATAAGATGGTTTATCATCATGCTGCTTTATCTCTGCAAGAAGATTTTATAGCCATTCTACATTAAATCTAACCCAATTCCCCATTTTCTAGTTATACTCTAGAGCGACCACTATGGTTTTTACAATTTAGTCTATTCAAGTCCTACTTCAATAATATTACATTAAATATTTTACTGTATTCTTTACTATAATTATTACTTTTGCTAGCATGTAGATTGCTATATCTCCCTCACTATAATACGAAGAACCCATGAGTGCAAACGTTTACCTTGCTACTGATAACATAATATGAAGTTTTGCTGAAAGATGGGAAAGTTTTTATGAAATACAGCAAGGAGTTTACTCTGACCATAGTAATTTACCATTATCAACACAAAAAGTCTGAGGAGTCCTTTAAAAATATCTAGGAAGGATTGATATTTAATTATTACAGATAGTAGTTCACTTCTCTCTTGAATATATCCAGAGAAATTCTTTACATTATTCCAAGGTAATAGATTACAGGGTTTCTCAAATATTTCCTTCTATAAAAACACAATTCTCTTTCTATTTCCTTAATAAAAGTGAAGCGTTGCTTATTTTCAGCTAATTCTCCTTTATACAATTTAGTATGTATGCTATCCTTCTGTCTTTTCCCGGGACTCTTAAAATAATTTTTAACCTACTTTTCATAGGGCCTATATTCTTAATATTTAACTATTTTTCAGTACTCTAGATTCACACCAAGGTGTAACTTTTCATTTCTGTTCCATAAATATAATTTCGCACAGACCTAAACCTTAGCGAGCCAGTGCAGTTTTTTGTTTGCTTGTTTGTTTTTATTTTACTTGCCTTTCGTTTAACTTACTTTCAAAGTGATATTTGGGTATGTAAACGTATATGTGTCCAAGAAAAACTGAGCGATGCCATTTACATCTGTGGTGTAGTTTCCCACGATTTTGTCCTTCAGATGCAACTGGACAACTTCATTTGGGATTGGAGAGTTGTCTGGATCAAGCAATTTAATCTGTACAAGAGGAAGAAAATACATTTCGGAAGCATGTAGTAAATTTGGGAATCCATTTTGATGGCATTTGCCAAGCTTCTATCATGGGGACCCCCGCTCTCCTTCGTACGTATGCACTTCCTGCGTGGTTTCATCTATTCCTGTTGAGTGTATGACATGTACCATTAATATACTAATGAGCCTAAACTCTGTTTCTCCTGCCCACGAAGATCTCTGAAAACTCAGGCCCATAGAATTAATCATCCTGAGTATTTTTTATAATAAAAATGCTACAGAAACCCTCAAATTGGAATGATTTATTACTGTGCCCAACCTTCCTTTTTTTTCTCTTTCTCTTATTTATCTCAGTGAATACCTCAACCATTCACTTAGTCACTGAAGTCAAATATCTAGAGACATCTTAGACTTTTTATTTTCCTTCTCCTATAATTTTCAATTGTTGATAAAATATTTTCAATTGTATCTTTTTAACATTTTCTGTTTCCAGCTTATCACATTTGTTCCTGTTGCTATTCCTTGTATCAATAGCTTATCTTTTTTCCCTCATACATCTTCTATTTTTTTCTATCCAGTCTCTCTCTCCTGTATTGCTTTTGCTTGTTCTTTCTCTATACTGGCATCAAAGCAAATTTTCTAAAATGCAAAATTTAGCATTATCCTCCCTAAAACATTGTAGTGACTGCTCTGATAGGCCATGGTTATTTGCTAGAAATCTCTTTCTCATTCTCTTACTAGTACAGGCAATGATTGCTTTAAAAAGTCCCTTCTGAAATTGTATGATTTGCAGTAGATACAATGCCTGCATCAGTATCTATGCCAGTTTGAAGCCTTTAAAGGCACCTTCTTAACAACATCTAAGGCCACAACAACCAGAAGAAGACTGTCTGAGACATCCTTTTTTTAGCTCAGTCAGTTTCTGCAAAACAACTTCTGCTTTGAGCCTTTCATCTTATTTCTGCCACTTATCATTTTCCTGCTGGTCCAGGCAAACACAATCCTTTTTTCTTGCTCAGCATCTGTAGACTGATGCCTTATTTGCACCATCTACGCAGATTTTGAACTTAGTTTCATCTCAAGGCTTGATCTTGTAAGAAAAATTCAACTTGTCTCAGCAGTCCACAGGCCACAGACACATGACACCATGCCTTTATGATCACACAGAGGTTTGCTCTAATTTTAGTACACCTAGACTAGAAAGATCCTTTGAGTCCCTTCCAGTCACAGAAAGATGAACAAGCCATGTGATTTCTGGGCACTTTCCTTTCTTTCTTTGTCCCCAAACCCAAATAGTGCCCCAAGTGATGACACCAGGCCCATTATCAACTGCCGGGGCCAGGCATGCAACACTTCATTAGCAGATGTTTCTTGTGGCAAAGGTATTTGTCGTATATCCTACAATTTTAAACAGTATCATTTCAGCCATCCACGGATGCTGCTACTGTCACTTATGAAGAAATACCCTTGTTAGCCCACCGCCTTGCCCAGCTTCCTATGTTCACATATGTTACTCTTGGAGTCATAGCTCTGAGGTCTTGAAATTTGTAGGGGACACTAAAAAAGCAGATAGTATCTTCATTCTGGAAATAAAGCTTACTCTTTAAAAGTGCTCCCTAGCAATACTGAGCCACGTGTTTGATGGCCTTATGACACAACACATGGCCAGATAAACCATTTTTAATTTCCAGTAATGCAGCTACTGTAGTGACTCACTATATCACAGAGAAACCAGTCCCTTTTCCAAAAGTAGAACAGGAATGACTTGTTTCTCCTGGCACATCTCCCGGAAGTGATCAGAGCATTCACCACTGTGAAATGGCCAAAAACCCAAAAGATACCACTTTATACAACCATGTTTTTGAACTAAAGCATTTTATTGTTTGAGACTCACATCTGTTTATAGCTGCCACTGGTCTCCCTAAAATGATCAAGGAAATAAGAGCTCTTATATATGAGTTTTCAGGAACTAATTCTTTCAAATGCTAATGAAGAGGGTGTGTCCAGGCAGGAAACTGTACTGTATTACAATATATTAATAACAGACTACTTTGTCCACGGATGCCTGATTCATGTAGGTACCACCTATCCCCTACCTCCCTGATAAACTATTACCAACCTCAGCTAGTTTTCCCAGCTCTCCTCTATAGGAAAAGGTGTCTTGGAGTTCCTGATTATAGGATAAGATAATACTATACCTTAAAGTGTCAAGAAGCTTTGAGAGGGAATGGGAAGGAGCTGGGCCTTAATGACTAGGCTAGGGCTTAAGTACACACATACACATACACATACACATACACACACACACACACACACACACACAACACACACACACACACCCCTCTCAACCATGTCTTATGCTAGAGAAGACAGAAATAAAACCCCTGAGTTAATCTGGAGCATGATTGACTGGCAGATTTCAGTGGATTATTGCTAATTTTTTAGAGGGGATAATAGGATTTAGGTAATCTTTTTAAAAATATCTCAAATCACCCTTCATTGAGAATCACTATTCTAAGAGTGGCAAAATTCTAATTTATCACTTTTTAACTTATTAGCCAATAAATTTTGCCATTTGGCAATGTCTGCAAACACTTTGGGCTATCACAAATAGGAAGGGGATGGTGCTACATCCCAGGTAGAGACCTGGGATGTTGCTAAACTCTTACCATGCACAGGGTAGCCCCCACAGCAAAGTATCATCTGGCCCAAAATTTCAGTTGTGCCAAGGCTAAGAAAGAATGGTTTAGAGAAACAATGCATCTAAGTAATTATTGTCAATGTCTGCTAACATCTCAGTAAGAGAGGAAGAGTGCTCTCTGTGAAAAGTACATGACACTACCTACATTATATTCTTGCCTACTGCACCCACCAAAAATGAACTTGAATCTGATCAAGCTTCTGAACCTCACTACTGGTTTATAGGAAACACAGTGGACTGAAAGTAGTTGCTTCTGGGGAAGTATTCACGAAATGAACGGATTAGAGGGGAGAGGTGCTCATTGTTCTTCATACTTTAATTTACAGTGTTATTTTTCTTGTTAATATATGTGTTGTCCGCAATTTAAAAATTACTTATTTTCCTTCCCAGTCATGGTAGCTTTGACAGAGCATAATGGCGGTGACCACGTCCACAGGGGTGCTGGCGAACTTGTCAGAAAAGCAAAGAGTTTTATCAGCTTCTGAAGAACCTGATCAATCCAAGCTGTATGGTGCGGAGGCAAGCAGAGGAAATCTGTGAAAATATCCCAGGATCCTCATCTAAGGGTAAGGGCTCCAGCCTGTACTACACTTGGACAGATGGCTACAGATTTTGCACCCAATTTCCAAAAGACATTTCATGAAACAGTGATTCCAGCTCTGTTACGTACCATGCAAAATCAAGGTAATCAGCGTGTGCAATCACATGCAGCTTCTGCTCTTACTGTTTTTATTGAAGACTGCCCCAAATCATTCCTAGTTCTATATTTGGATAGTATGGTGAAAAATCTACATTCTGTCTTGGTGATTAAGCTTGAAGAGTTGATTCGGAATGGAACTAAGTTGGCCCTGGAATAACTTGTGGCAACCATTGCATCGGTTGCAGATACAATAGAAGAAAAATTTGTCCCATATTATGATATATTCATGCCCTCACTAAAGCACATCATTGAGCTTGCTGTTCAGAAGGAACTCAAGCTTCTGAGAGGAAAAATTATTGCGTGCATTAGCCATATTGGTCTTGCTGTTGGGAAGAAAAAATTTATGTAAGATGCATCAAATGTGATGCAGCTCTTGTTGAAGACACAATCAGACTTAAATAATACGGAAGATAATGACCCCCAGACCTCTTACATGGTTTCAGCATGGGCTAGAAAGTGTAAAATTCTTGGAAAAGATTTTCAACAGTAGCTTTCCCTGGTTATCGAGCCTCTTATTAAGACTGCTTCAGCTAAACCTCATGCTGCTCTCTTAGACACACAGGATGTGGAGAATATGAATGATGATGATGGCTGGCAACATGTAAATCTTGGAGACCAACAGCGTTTTGGAATTAAAACTTCAGGACTTGAAGCAAAAGTAACTGCTTGCCAGATGTTGGTTTACTATGCTAAGGAGTTAAGGGAAGGGTTTGTGAACTATACAGAACAAGTTGTGAAGCTGATGGTTCCTTTACTGAAATTTTATTTCCAAGACAATGTTCGAGTGGCAGCAGCAGAGTCCATGCCTTTTCTCCTGGAATGTGCAAGAATTTGTGGCCCAGAGTATCTTGCACAGATGTGGCAATTCATACGTAACCCCTTAATCAAGGCTATTGGTACTGAACCAGATACAGATGTGCTCTCAGAAATAATGAATTCTTTTGCAAAGTTCACTGAAGTTATGGGAGATGATTGCCTTAATGATGAATACTTGGAAGAACTGGGAGGGACACTGAGAGCAAAACTTGAAGGGCACTTTAAAAACGAAGAATTGTGACAGGTTAAAAGTCAGGAAGAAAACTATGATCAAAAGGTTGAGATGTCTCTGCAAGATGAGGATGAATGTGATGTTTATATTCTGACCAAAGTATCAGATATTTTGCACACATTATTTAGTACTTATAAGGAAAAGATTTTACCATGATTTGAACAACTACTTCCATTAATTGTAAATCTAATTTGTTCAAGTAGGCCATGGCTAGGCAGACAGTGGGGACTGTGCATATTTGATGACATCGCAGAGCACTGCAATCCAACTTCATTTAAATATGTAGTCCAACTTCATTTAAATATGTAGACTATTTTTGGTGGCCAATGCTACTAAATGTGTGAGATAACAACCCTGAAGTCAGGCAAGCTGCTGCTTATGGCCTGGGTGTCATGGCACAGCTTAGTGGAGATGATTATCATTCTTTATGTTCAGAAGCTGTCCCACTGTGGTAAAAGTTATTAAGTGTGCAAATTCCAAAACAAAAAAAAAATGTCATTGCTACAGAGAACTGTATCTCAGCACTAGGGAAGATTTTGAAGTTTAAGCCTAACTGTGTAAATGTAGATGAAGTTCTTTCATACTGGCTATCATGGCTTCCACTGCATGAAGATAAAGAGGAAGCTATTCAGACTTTGAGTTTTCTCTGTGACCTAACTGAAAGTAACCACCCAGTTGTAATTGGTCCAAATAATTCCAATTTTCCCAAAATAATCAGAATAATTGCAGAAGAAAAAATTAATGGGACTATTAACTATGAAGATCCCTGTGCCAAACGCCTAGAAGATGTCGTGCCTCAAGTACAGACTCCTGAAGATTTATGGTTGGAATGTGTATCTCAACTTGATGATGAACAGCAGGAAGCCTTACAGGAGTTGCTAAATTTTGCTTGAAGCACTTTAATATAACTTGAATATTATCTACCATAAAAGTAACTACAAATAAGTGTTGTGAATGGATTTTATTAAAAATCAGTGAACTGTTTTCTCTCTGCTAAGCTGTTTATAGTTCTTCCTATGTTTCTCCAGAATTAGTCAATGTTAGTCCTCTGTTTATCTTGTATGTTTTATCTCCCAAACACAAACCTTGGTGATAACCTGTGCTTCAAGCTGTCTTACAATATTTGTCACCTTTCCCCTAGTTGATGTGAAGTATATAAATTGTTGCTATTTGTTTGAACTATTATCAATGCTAGCCAAGCAGTATACTTGATGTGAAGATGTCATGCTATCATGATATGCTAAGAGCTCATGAAAATAAGACAGAATTTCCAGGACAAACATCTTTGGAATTGTGAGTGAAGGATATAGTGGCAGGCTTGTCCCTCCTTGATTAATACTCTTGATATTTGTGGTGATGGGAGGATGCTGGAACTAGGAGAGAGTTTTGAGATACTGCAGAGGATGTGGGATGTATATAAACTTTTTCATGGTGTTCTCCTGGGAACTGGGTGGGACATATCCATATTCTAGTTCCCAAGGTGTCCAGCTGAGAGTTAGAGAACTTTAAATTTCTTTAGCCAGACTGGTCTCTATTTTTTTAAGTTATCCAGGACTCCAAGAACCATAGTTACTGAAAAGGGATTCCTGATTCATCTAACACTGGTAGCATGTAACAGTGTTCGACAAATAGTAAGTCATCAATATTCTTGGGAGTCAGTGTTGTGTGTTTCAGGAGAGTATTATTTTGTATATGTATGCCATTTCCCCCCTGCAAAGCAGTTCAACAAGAAGAGAAGCTCTGATTATAGGGCTTAAATTGATTTATATTTCAAAGAATTTCCTAATAGATTCTATAGTAGCACTGAAGAGTATTCTATTGTAAAACTCGGAGGAAAGCAAATGTAATTTTCTTTGGACATGAAAAAGAAAGCAACTTTGAGAGTAGTCATTTAGCAGTAGATGTGCATTATTATGAGAAAACAGTTCTATAAATTCAGGGTTAATTATATTAATTGGAATGTCGGTCTCTAATGTCTAGCTTATTATAGGGTAGAAAAGAGCTTTCTACTCAGCTAATCATTAATCATTGATCCAAAACTTAAATACATCTATCATTTCCTGGGGCTATTGTGAGTACTGTATATGTATTTAGCAAATATTTAAGACCTAGTAAGTGCTCAATAAATTGTAGCTGTTACTACAAAAGAAAAAATTACTTTTTAAAAAAATATACAACCATAATCACACATACTAGAGAAGAAAACTTAAAACTCTAAGTAATTCTTAGGTAAAAATAAAAATAAAAATAATGAAATCATCAGAAATGATTTTAATTGAACTTAAAAATTGTTAAGATGGTAAATTTGATATGTGCATTTTTTCATAATTTAAAAAATAAAAATAGTATAGAAAAACACCTGTGAGGAGGAAAGTAGTATTCAGGAAAAATTGTATAAATTTGAAAACATGGAAGTTTAACATAAGTATTTATAACAAGATGCTAGAAAAAAAAACCAAAAGAGGTAGAAGAAAAAATATAATAAAAATAAATGATGAAAGGAAAATCATTTAAAATAACATTAAAAATAAACATAATTAACAAATCCAAAAACTAATGGGAAAAAAACACAAACACAACTAGTAATAAAAAGGGGAAATAAATTATGATAGATTTATTTTTTCAAATCATAAGTGAACATATTTTTATGTCCTCTATTTTAAAACCTAAATTTAATAAGAAATATCTAGATACAGAAACTAACATATTATAGAAAATTCTTAGTGAACTAAAAAAGGAAAATTTTTTGACTTCATAAAGTATGTCTCACAAAATGCTACAGTTACTTAGTAGGTTTATGCATTACATTTTTAAAAGCATTCCCCAAAATATGCAAAATACAACCAGGAAGTCCACTATCATCTCTAATATTCAATTTGGAGATATTTGCCAATCGAATAAAACAAACTAATAACAAAAACCTCAGAAGATTAAGTTCAGAAAGGAAGCTAAAATATAACATTTTCACACAAAATGCTCTTTACACAGGAAACACTTTTAAATAGCACAGAAAAGATACAAGAGACAAATGGGAACCCAAGAAATCATCTTGGGTAACAACAACATAAGAGGGAGGAAATGGAGAATTCTCAAGTCTAGATAAAATTATTTTATATTCAGAAAAAATTTTATATTCTTTGAAGATATCTCTCAGTTTTATATATTTAGTAACAGAACATGGAAAGATATAAAGCAAAAATGTACAAAGTGAAGAGAAAGGTTAGAAAAAATTACATTAACATTATTCACCACTATTCAGTAAGTGAAATGAACATATATCAAATTTATCTATCTGCCAAAGCTGTATTTCAATCTAAATTTGTTCATTAAATGACTTTTACTGAAATTTGTTTCAGTAAGTCCTTTAGGTGATGCTGATGCCAGTTTGAGAACCACTGCTCTGTAAGATGTAAGCCAGGCTACCCACTTTTGTATTTCTTTTTTAGTGTTCTTGTGTCAACCTAAATATTACTTCCTCAGGGAAACTTTCCATGATCATTTAGTCCAGATTTTAGCAAACTTCTTTCGTAAAACACCATGGTCTCTCTCTCATATATTTTGTTATTTTTTAAATAATCTTTTAAAAATGTTAAAACCACTCATAGTTCACTGGCTGTATCAAGGCAGGCCTCTGTCTGATTTGCCTATGGGCTGTGGTTTGTCAGCTCCTGATGTAGAGTAGTTAAATGGTCAGTATTTCACTGACATAGCACCTATCACGACTACAATAATTCTTTGTAAAATTATCTGTTTAATGTTTATTATCTCTATTACACTATAAACTCCATAAAAGCAGTGATAAAAGTGCCTCTCTACATCACCATTTTATTCCTAATACTGATGTAGACTATATAATTTATTGTCCAAACTTGGACACTTTTAGAGTGAAGTGGTTGTAACTATTAACAGTTACAACTTGATAAAACATATACACCAGGACAGATCTATGAAAATCAACAGTGTAGGTCACCCTACAGTGCTTAGCACAGAGATTCCTACATAGTAATTTCTTAGGGAATAGCTGTTGGAAGATTAGTAGATAAATGAAAGAACAAATGAATGAATGAATAAGGTATGTAAAAAATGATTGCTTTCTTACCTGGCCAAAATAAGGGAGTCCCTGTTTGTAGGACATATCCATATTCTCAAAACTAATCTTCACCACTGATGAGTCTATGTATATGTACTTGGAGCCTGTAAGCTGCACACCTGCAGTCAATTAAGTATTATTGAGAAAATGTCACTTCCAAAAACAGACAAACAGAGCTTCTGAAAAAAACCACAAAAGCTCACCATTCCTTCTAATAGTTTCCCTTCCCTTTCCTAAGCAGTTTTAATATATAGGTACTTCAGATGTCTTTTATAAAGAAAGTTAATCAAGACGGCACAAAATGCTTGTGCCAACTGGTGTTGCTGCTTTTTATAAAATATCCAATTCACTTACCATTTCTTCATGATGGATTAGTAAACGTTGATTTCTCATTATTCCTAAGTGATTGTTTAACAACATTTCTTTTACTCTCTGCTTGCCTAAAACATATGCTTTAATTTATTAATAGTAAGAATTGTAATATATGTGTATTATTAAAAATGGAAATGCTTAAAAAAGAAAATACAAATTACCAAATATCAGATATCTCCAAGAGAATCAAAATTAGCATTTTAGGCTTTTTCCCACAAGTTCTATTTCTTTTTATATTTATCATTTATATTAATATGTTTGAGATTGTGTGTGTATATGTGTACATGCACACATACACTCAATATGTGCAAATGTGTATGTAGTTTTACATGTTTTTTATCATTATTTTATAAAGTTTTTGTAAAACCTTATAAAAACTTATATTTTTATTGCTACATTATTTCTCATATAAATATGGACATATGTTATCATGTAGCAAGCCCTTCCCTCCTTCCTTCCTTCCTGCCTTCCTTCCTTTCCTTCCTTCCTTTTCTTTCTTCCTTCCTTTCTTTCTCTTTCTCTCTCTTCCTTTCTTTCTCTCTCTTTCTCTCTCTCTTTCTCTTTTTTTTTCCTTGAGATAGGGTCTCATTCTGTTGCCCAGGCTGGAGTGCAGTGGTGCGATCATGGCTCACTGCAGCCCCAATCTCCTGGGCTCAAGTGATCCTCCCACCTTAGCCTCCTGAGTAGCTGGGACTACAGCTGCATGACACAACACCCAGCTAATTTTGTATTGTTTGTAGAGACGGGGTCTCACTATGTTGCCACCGAGGATGGTCTCAAACTCCTAGGCTCAAATAATTCTTCTGCCTCAGCCTCCCCAGGTGCTGGGGTTATAGGTGTGAGCCACTGTGCCTGGCTATTCTTTTATTATTTATTTAGTTCAGTATGACAAATATACCTAATTATCAATTAAATGTTTGTTTAATACTTGAATTTCCTCTGGATGTGACAGATACCTCTAAAACTTTGAAGACTGATATAAGTACATTAGTAATTTAATATTTCACGAACAGAAATTTTGCTGAAATATCAGTTACATATGCATAAGTTTAAAAGCACTATAGTAACACAAAGTGGTCAGCACAGAAAAAAGCATTTCAAGGATTAAGACTTACCATTTTGTGCTTTAGGAAGAAGGGGTATTAGGTCCAGGAGATACAAGAAATTAGTCATTAGAAATATTATTGGCCGGGCGAGGTGGCTCACGACTGTAATCCCCGCACTTTGGGAGGCCGAGGCGGGAGGATCACCTGAGGTTAGGAGTTTGAGACTAGCCTGGACAACATGATGAAACCCCGTCTCTCTACTAAAAATGCAAAAACCTAGTCGGGCCTGATGGCGGGCGCCTGTAATCCCAGCTACTCGGGAGGCTGAGGCGGAAGAATCGCTTGAACCTGGCGGGCGGAGGTCGCAGTGAGCTAAGATTACGCCACCGCACTCTAGCCTGGGCAACAAGAGCGAAACTCCGAAAAAGAAAAAGAAGGAAGGGAGGAAGGCAGGGAGACAGATTTTCCTGGATGAGATAAAGATTTTTCACTGGATTTATTTTCAGAGGCTCAGTAAAATATTCTCCCCAAACTATTTTACTTCCCATGTTCTAATTCTATGCTCACCAAAAAAATTTTATAATCGACAACTACATGTCTCAATTATATCTATCTGTGGAATGATTAAGGAAAAGGAATATGCTTATATCTAAAACCAGATACTCCCATTATAAATCAATAAATTGGCATTCTTACTTCTATTGTAGCCTTATTTGAATGTAATACTTGACCATCCATCAACATGTGTGTGAAAATTTTGGTTGATATATGAAACATTCAGAATTTGAATCAGATGAACCCAATGAAAAGCCCTCAGGGAAAAAATGATTGTATTAACATTGTATAGTTGGCAATCAGGTAACAATTCGAATGAGACAGTGATATCCATTGGGGTCTGGCTTCTTAGAGAGCATTACCTGTTCCGTTCTCTGTAACAAGAGCATGCACTTTGAGGAAACTCCAGTATCCTTACCGATTTAACTCAAAAGCACCTGTGTTAATGAACTTGGAGACACAGCCATCTTTCCCCAACTGAAAAGAACAATAAAAAAAAGTTATATTTTAAAGGAAGACTGTAAGAAATACCTATATAATATAATAGGGAAAATGTGTGACCTCACTGAAGCAACTTTAAGAATATTGTATTACCCAAGTTTTAGTTTTTTAAAATAATCCATTGTGTTTCTATAATTATATTTTCAGTTCATGTATTTACCTATAACTATTTATTTTTTAATAAATATTAACTCTTACAATATTGTGTTTTAAAAAACTCTTCATGGTGACATTATTTTGTTATTGTACAAGATAATAAACACATCCATCACTAGTCACAAGTATTCACACATGATATTTGCAATTTTGGTAATTTCAGCCATATTCTTTTACAGTTTTGAAACTGAGTTTTATACTATTTAGTTACCATGCCTTGGACATTTATGGGACTATTTACACAGCAGTTAGGAACACAGGCTTTACAGTCAAACACCAGAATTTGAACCCTGGCTTTACTACTTATTACTTCATACAAAATGAAATCTTAATAAAGAGCTTGTAGAATTGTATTACATTAGATAATAACTGGAAAGTGTTTATTTAGCACAGGGCCAGCACTTAGTAAACATTCAGTAGGTAGTAGATTTTTTAATTAGATTCCTTTACATTTCTCTCAGTGTCTAGTCAAGTGACAATGTCTCACTAAGTGAAATTTTTAAAGTGTCACAATTAGTAACCAAAATTTAAACAGGATGAATTGTCAAATATTTTTAAAACGTGGGATAAATTGTGCTCATAGGTTCCTGGACTATAATATTGGGGAAAAACTGTGTTCTTATTCTACTCCTTCATCTTATGATGATATGAGGAAATCTAGTCCTCAAGATGTGGTGAGATGTCAAAATCCTGTGCTACTTCAGGGGGTCCTTGAAACTATAAGAAGGTCTAGAACCATTTCCAGAAGCTTAAAGATCTAGAAAAATTTCCACTATACTAAAGGTGAATAATTAGATAAATTATTTAGTCCACACTCCTGCTTTACATGTGCATTTGATTATTTTAACTTTTATTTTAGGTTCAAGGGTACCTGTGCAGGTTTGTTATATAGGTAAATTGTGTGTCATGGGGGTTTGGTGTACAGATTATTTCACTATCCAGGTAATAAGCATAGTATCCAATAGGTAGTTTTTTTGATCCTCACCCCTTCCCACCCTACATGTACATTTTAAGTTTCCAGATCTCTCAAATCTCCTGAAGGGCATCTATATAATATAGCCGCCTTCGATAATGCATTCTGGGATCTACCTACCCTGTGCACTCGGCTTATATTGGTTTAGTCTCTTCTAGAGTGTGCATCTTTAAAGATTATGACTGCTTCATAAAGTGCAAAACCCATGAGGATAGTACCTGATCTGTCTTGCTCAACAATGAAGCTTCTAAATAAAATTATTCTTGCATATTAAAAGACCTCAATATTATCTGTTGAATGAATTTGTGGAGAAAATTTTTGTATCCCTGATATCCCTAAAGATACAGCCCCACTAGTTATTTAAATATTTATATGACTTGGTTGGGGTGCAGTGGCTCACGCCTGTAACCCCAGCACTTTGGGAGACCGAAGCGGGCAGATCACATGAGATGAGGAGTTCAAGACCAGGCTGGCCAACATGGTGAAACCCCGTCTCTACCAAAAATACAAAATTAGCTGGGCGTGGTGGTGCACGCCTGTAGTCCCAGCTTCTTGGGAGGTTGAGGCACGAGAATTGCTTGAACCCGGGAGGCAGAGGTTGCGGTAAGCCAATATCGCGCCACTGCATTCCAGCATGGGCGACACAGTGAGACTGTCTAAAAATATATATGTATTGACATGTATTTATGATCTAGTTTTGCTGCACCCATGACCTTGAGCAATGTATTTAACCTCTTTCTGCTTTAATCCACTCATCAGTAAGGGGGCGATAATAGTACCCCCTCATAGGGTACTATTTGTTTTGAGAATCAAATGCACATAAACTACTTAGCTCAGTGACTGACACACAATAAGCATCCATTAAATGTTAGCAATTATTATTATTATAATTGTTACTATTGTTAGCGTTTATTGTCCACATTTTTTTAATTTAAGAATTAGAAGGTTCTTCATTATTTCCAACCTAAAGTATTCTCTAAACGGGACAGGAATATGTGACACTGTGTGTGTGCACCTGTGTGTGTGTGCACACATGTGTGTGGATAAATGGTATCACACTATAGTATGGGGATTGCAGCTGGCAGTTGTATATTAGACAGTCAGATCTGGCATGATTATAGCTGAAAGCCTTGCTACATCCTAGACCAGCCTGTTTGTGTCCGTTTTCTGAATGTTGGTTCTCAAACCTTCCAAGTAGATCTTTTAGGAAATTCCTCCTTTGTCAGTTTGGAAAAGTTGATTCTTCTCTTTAGTGGTTAAGAACCTGACTGATAGGGTTCCCATCCGGAGCTCCTATATACACTTATTTCCAGTGAGAATAGGTTGAGAGGAAAATAATTATACATCTAATACTCTTGAATATGCAGAAACGTCACATCTCCCTGACTAAATTCACAAAGTATAAAATAAAGAACAGGACATATGTTCCCAGTAAATTGATAGGGTGTAGATTTTGATATGAAACCAAATGTATTTTTAATTAAGAATCGAAATTTACTACTCAGTTTCTGATACTATAATTTGCTTTTTGTCAGTCAATAGAAAATGAAACTTAGCATGACAAAAGAGGAATATAAAATTTACAAATAGGAATAGAAATATAGAATAAAAGTATATATTTTAACTGTAAAGAGGAAAACAAGAAGAAAGGAAGGTAAATGGAAGGTGAGGATAAAAAGTTAACGCAAACCTATTTATAATTTTGCTGATATACCTCTTACCTGAATGGTAAAATTTTTACAGAGTGAACTGATAAGATGAGCACATGAATGATAAGCCGTAGATTCTCTGCACACACTAAGTTGGACCTTCCCGTCCACAGGTTCACCATAGGTATATCTAATAGAAGAATATAACAATAACACAATTACAGAGGTCAAGGTCGTTTTTAATCTGTATAGGGTTTTGAAACCTTTATTTAGTAGCTGAAACCAGCACCGTAACAACATTTAAATAGCTAGTTAGCATAAATTTTATTTTCTGGAGGAAATCTAAAACAATGGTATGGACTAAAATTGAGTTGAATGCTTTAGGCAAAAATATATTTTAATTAAAAAGGTTGAAATAGGCATGTAGAAGTTATATATCTAAGTCACTAAAATACAATGTAAACAAAAAAACAAAAAAAATCAGTCATTATTTCATTAAAAATAATATTTTTTGCATACTGATAGCAATGGAGTATTGAAAAACAAAAAATAAAATAAAATAACATTTTGCTTCTTTTAGTTTTTTTGTTTTTAAACTGCTATTATGAGCATATTTTATGGTTTTTACTTTTAAAATGTAAATTATATTTATTTATTTATTTTTTATAAATGTCATTTTAAGCCATCAGATTTTGGGGTAATTTCTTTTTGTTTGTTTGTTTTGGAAAGAAGTAAAACTGTTCATTTTTTTTTATTATTATATTTTAAGTTCTGGGATATATGTGCAGAAGGTGCAGGTTTGTTACATAGGTATGCGTGTGTTATGGTGGTTTGCTGCACCCATCAACCCATCATCTACATTAAGTATTTCTCTTAATGCTATCCCTCCCCTTGCCCCCAACCCCCGACAGGCCCCGGTGTGTGATGTTCCCCTCCCTGTGCCCATATGTTCTCATTGTTCAACTCCTACTTCTGAGTGAGAACATGTGGTGTTTGGTTTTCTGTTCCTGTGATAGTTTGCAGATAATGATGGTTTCCAGTTTCATCCATGTCCCTGCAAAGGACATGAACTCATTCTTTTTTATGGCTGCATAGTATTCCATGGTGTGTATGTGCCCCATTTTCTTTACCCAGTCTAAAATTGATGGGCATTTGGGTTGGTTCCAAGTCTTTGTTATTGTGAATAGTGCTGCAATAAACGTACGTGTGCAGGTGTCTTTATAGTAGAATGATTTATAATCCTTTGGGTATATACCCAGTAATGCAATTGCTGGGTCAAATGGTATTTCTGGTTCTAGATCTTTGAGGAATGGCCACTGCGTCTTCCACAGTGGTTGAACTAATTTACACTCCCAACAACAGTGTAAAAGCGTTCCTATTTCTCCACATCCTCTCCAGCACCTGTTGTTTACTGACTTTTTAATGATCGCCATTTTAACTGGCATGAGATGGTATCTCACTGTGGTTTTGATTTGGATTTCTCTAATGACCAGTGATGATGAGCTTTTTTTCATATGTTTGTTGGCTGCATAAATGTCTTCTTTTAAGCAGTGTCTGTTCATATCCTTCGCCCTCTTTTTGATGGGGTTGTTTGCTTTTTCTTGTAAATTTATTTAAGTTCCTTATAGATTCTGGATATTAGCCCTTTCTCAGATGGATAGATTGCAAAATTTTTCTCCCATTCTGTATGTTGCCTGTTCACTCTGATTATAGTTTCTTTTGCTATGCAGAAGCTCTTTAGTTTAATTAGATCCCGTTTGTCAATATTGGCTTTTGTTGCAATTGCTTTTGGTGTTTTAGTCATAAAGTATTTGCCCATGCCTATGTCCTGAATGGTATTGCCTAGGTTTTGTTCCAGGGTTTTTATGGTTTTAGGTCTAACATTTAAATCTTTAATCCATCTTGAGTTAATTTTTGTATAAGGTGTAAAGAAGGGGTCCAGTTTCAGTTTTCTGCATTTGGCTAGCCAGTTTTCCCAACACCGTTTATTAAATAGGGAATCCTTTCCCCATTGCTTGTTTTCATCAGGTTTGTCAAAGGTCAAATGGTTGTAGATGTGTGGTGCTATTTCTGAGGCCACTGCTCTGTTCCATTGGTCTATATATCTGTTTTGGTACCAGTACCATGCTGTTTTGGTTACAATAGCCTTGTGGTATAGTTTGAAGTCACGAATCCAACTTCCAAGGGATGTGAAGGACCTCTTCAAGGAGAACTACAAACCACTGCTCAAGGAAATAAGAGAGGACACAAACAAATGGAAAGACAATCCATGCTCATGGATAGGAAGAATCAACATCGTGAAAGTGGCCATGCTGCCCAAAGTAACTTATAGATACAATGCTATTCCCATCAAGCTAACATTGACTTTCTTCACAGAATTGGAAAAAGCTACTTTAAAGTTCATATGGAACCAAAAAAGAGCCTGCATTGCCAAGACAATCCTAAGCCAAAAGAACAAAGCTGGAGGCATCACTCTACCTGATTCAAACTATACTACAAGGCTACAGTAACCAAAACAGCATGGTACTGCTACCAAAACAGACATATAGACCAATGGAACAGAACAGAGCCCTCAGAAATAACACCACACATCTACAACCATCTGATCTTTGACAAACCTGACAAAAACAAGAAATGGGGAAAGGATTCCCTATTTAATAAATGGTGCTGGGAAAACTGGCTAGCCATATGTAGAAAGCTGAAACTGGATCCCTTCCTTACACCTTATACAAAAATTAATTCAAGACAGATTATTAAAGACTTAAATGTTAGACCTAAAACCATAAAAACCCTAGAAGAAAACCTAGGCAATACCATTCAGGACATAGGCATGGGCAAGGACTTCATGTCTAAAACACCAAAAGCAATGGCAACAAAAGCCAAAATTGACAAGTGGGATCTAATTAAACTAAAGAGCTTCTGCACAGCAAAAGAAACTACCATCAGAGTGAACAGGCAACTGACAGAATGGGAGAAAATGTTTACAATCTACCCATCTCACAAAGGGCTAATATCCAGAATCTACAAAGAACTTAAACAAATTTACAAGAAAAAATCAAACAACCCCATCAGAAAGTGGGCGAAGGATATGAACAGACACTTCTCAAAAGAAAACATTTAAGCAGCCAACAGACACATGAAACAATGCTCATCATCATTGGCCATTAGAGAAATGAAAATCAAAACCACAGTGAGATACCATCTCACACCAGTTAGAATGGCAATCATTAAAAAGTCAGGAAACAACAGGTGCTGGAGAGGATGTGGAGAAATAGGAACATTTTTACACTGTTGGTGGGACTGTAAACTAGTTCAACCATTGTGGAAGACAGTGTGGTGACTCCTCAAGGATCTAGAACTAGAAATACCATTTGACCCAGCTATCCCATTACTGGGTATATACCCAAAGGATTATAAATCATGCTGCTATAAAGACACATGCACACTTATGTTTATTGCGGCACTATTCACAACAGCAAAGACTTGGAACCAACCCAAATGTCCATCAATGATAGATGGACATATACACCATGGAATACTATGCAGCCATGAAAATGGATGAGTTCATGTCCTTTGTAGGGACATGGATGAAGCTGGATACCATCATTCTGAGCAAACTATCTCAAGGACAGAAAACCGAACACCACATGTTCTCACTCATAGGTGGGAATTGAACAATGAGAACACTTGGACACCGGGTGGGGAACATCCCACACTGGGGCCTGTCGTGGGGTGGGGGCAGTGGGGAGGGATAGCATTAGGAGATATACCTAATGTAAATGACAAGTTAATGGGTGCAGCACAGCAACATGGCACATGTATACATTTGTAACAAACCTGCACGTTGTGCACATGTACCCTAGAACTTAAAGTATAATTTAAAAAATTTTAAATAGGTAGAAAGAGCAAAGAACAAAATTGCTTGTAAGGAATAACAGTAGATTCCTCTGGGCTACGTTTTAGGACAATTTCTCAATTTCATCTTCCAAATTACTAATTCTCTCTTAAGTATCATCGATCCTTCTAGTCAGCCTTTCTACACATATATTTTTAAATTAATAATATGCCTAATTCCAAGGTCTTTAATTATTTTTAAAGTTACACTATTGACTCATATCTGAGTATACACATTTTACTTATTTCTAAATCTTTTTCTGATTGATGTTCAACAGTTTTCTCAGGTATATATTGCTCTTTTTTTTGTTTATATTATACCTTGATTTCAAGTCATTAGAATCTTCAACCATTTAGTGATTCATGCTTATGTTTTGGGATTCCCAGCTGGCTTGTCCTAGAGTGCTTTATTTTGCTTATGCAATACTTCTCCAGTAAAAATGACACAGGAGCCAACACACAGCCACTGTGACAGGGAAGTACCTAGACATTTGGGCTTTGGGGATTTCTGTTACTCAGGGGATTTTCCAGCAATGCTGGCAATTCCCTGCCTCTATGACCCAACTACAATGAGACTTTTCAGTCTCTGCCTTTTCTGTATTCTTCCACCTCTGGAGGTGAAGCACAAGGTAGTGACATCAAAAAGTTAGCCATGCTTCTTCTTGACTCTTAAAGACTTCCAGCCTAAAGTAGACACAGGAAGGAGGGCAGGCAAAGCTTTCACCTTAAAGTTTGGCATGGAATTTTAGATTACTGTAATGAAGCTCTCCTAATAACTAGAAATTACCAGGTCACTTTTTATTTTTAATTATGCAAAATTAAAAGGAAAAGTAGTACACATGAGTCAGGGAAAAGTAGTACACATCAGGTCTGAGGAGACAAAGTTTTAATGTTTGTACCCTGGCTCTCTTTGCTGGTTATATAAACTCCGTGAATGTTGCTTACCTTAGTGACAAGAAGAGGGGAAAACAACCTGACCTGCTTCACTGCTACTCCTGCCACACGTTAATCCTCACTATTTGCCCCTAAGTCCCTGTCTGCCCTTAGTATCCTCCACACTGTGCCCCGCCATTACCCTAGAGCCACTTGTAACTCTTACAGCAGTTTTCTCTGTGATACATCTTGAGCTTCAGCTTTCTTTTATAATCATGTAATACATAAAGATTGAATTGAGAAATCGTCATAAACAGAAAATATTGTCCAATGGAAATTTCTGGGAGATGGAATGTTCTATGTTTTATGTCTATGCTCTCCAATTCAGTGGCCACTAGTCACATGTGACAGCTTGAAATGTGGCTAACGCAACTGAATATTTAGTTTTAATTAAAACTTAAATAACCACATGTGGTCATGGCTACTGTATTGGCTGGTGCAAAACAATATGTTATCTTATGATGTAAGAAAGACAGTAGTCAGTTGTCTTAAACTGTTACATAAAACCACGTGTCATAACATGCATTAAAAGAATTATAGATGCATGGAAGAATTCATAAAATCAGCAAAACAATTTCACACCTTCTTTTTCCCTTACCTTCTACACATTTATATTTTACTTCTTTTTAGCCATCTATCCCATTCTAGTATCTTTCTATGAATACATTATTCTATTGTGTACAATTTCAACTTACAAGGCACAGACATTCACTTTGAATTCAGAGTCCACAACTAAGATATTTTCTGGTGCATCCACAGTCATTTGAAATTTGGGTAACACTGCCAGTAAAAAAAAAATATATATATTATAATGTGTATATTATATATTATTAACATAAATACATATTAACATAAATACATTCATACAAAACAATTGTTTCTCCTTTACAAACCATCAACCTTTGCTTATGTTTGCCATTAATAAACAGTGTGAGGAGGACGCTGAAGTGCCTAAGACTGGATTTTGGAATTGGATAGAAAAATGCATATTTTGAATTCCAAATTCATCACTTTTCAGGTGTTGAACTTGGGAAAGTGTTTCTCAATATCTTCATCTTTAAAATAGTAATAAAGATACTACAATAGAAATTTTATGAAGATTTTAGGAGAAAATATGAAGGGACTAATGGCTAACATATGACTAATGTTAATTCCATTCTTCTCATAAGAAGTGCTTTACATCCCAGAAACTATCATATAAAATAGAATCCAGATACTACAAAAGGAAGATAGATAGCCTAGGTTAACAGAGAATTGCAGGAAGATTATGGGCTGAACTAGGAGATAAAAATCACAGTAGATGGAGAACCCTAAAATAGTAACAGAGGACAAGGAAAGAGGAAAGGAAGAGATACTCACTTGAAAATTCATTATTTAATAATCTTGCCCTTGCAAAATTGGAAAGATTTTATAATTTTTTTATTGATAGGTAATATTTTCATTGCTATTATTTACCATATTCTTCCACAGAGAAGGAGTGATATGTTTTCTTCTCATTGAGCATCTCCATGGTGATTTCATACCATCCGAGGATGGGCTCTGAGATTAACTGGAAGGAGAGTTGTAGAATCCCTCCCACAGACTCCTCATTCACCCACTGTTGTATTCGACTGCCTTCTGGATCCTGAGAATAAGAAAGCGTATTTTTGTATGCTGGATGTTTTTATTCATTATAAAGTTTCAGCAAGGTGTTTCCTACTTAGGTTTCCAACTTACTTAGGATTCAAAACATGAGTGCGTCCTCACATCACCCAAGGAGAATTGGTTACTCTCCTATCTGGGGTCACATAGATGCATATTACAGCACTTAGTATATTTTAGAGCTAGCTGTGATTTTTTTACATTTATTTTCTGTGTCAATCTCTGATTTCTTAAAGGCGAGCCATATTTTATCCCCAGTGCATAAACATTAAGTGTACATTTATATACATTCAACAACTAAACATTAAATTAAATACAATCATACTTGCCCGTTGTCTATATTATTATTGTCTGTATTAATGGGTGCATGCTAATATGAATCACATGGTGGTGGGGGTGGAAACCTATTTCTGTCCTCTTGGGGCTGTCTGCATGAAATTAATAATTCTGCAACAATTTAAATAGACAATCTTCCCTGTGAGCTGCCTTTTGATTTTGAGGTTTGGAGAGATGTTCAAAAAATGAGAAAACAATTCTTCAACTATTAGTTATCTTACCTGAAGGGTGATCACTGGATACTGAAATAAAAATAAAAATAATGTTAATATATGAACTCAAGGTTTTTTTTCTAGATGAGTGAAGAGGTTAATTATAAATCTATTATGAAGCAAAGAAACATAAACACATTTAGGACAACCCAAACAAATACTGATTTCTGACTGAAAGTTTGAATATCTATTGATTATATTGAAACTCATCTGCCTAGTTTTCAAGAATTTTCATTTACTTCTCTCTCTTTCACAACATACACCCTGCAGTCTCAGTAAGCAATCCTGCCCTTGGGTCTCTCCAACATAATAAAAATGCCCTCTTAGATGAATAATAACTTCCTTATCAACAAATTCGTGGTCAGTCTTCACTCTGACAGTTGCAATGTTTTACACTGCTGGTTGCCTCTTTTTGAAATGCTTCAATTTTGATTTCTGTATCTAGCACTAATTGTTTTTGTCTTAGATTATTGGCCATTCCTATACTCCACCATTTCCTTATCAGACAAGTAAATAAATGTAGACATTTGCCCAAGTTTCCCTTGCAGAGTTTCCTCTCCTTCTTCCTTCTCCTTCCACCTCTCTGTATCTCCTCTCAGTTCTCTCCATGTTTACCACTCTTGCCCCCTCTAAACCTATAGTCAACAGTTTGACTTTCATCTCTTAGTGTTTTCTCTCAGGACCTTAAAACTAACAAGTTGAAATTAAAGACTCCTAGGCCAGAAGCCCTCATGTGAATAGGCTGATGAGAATTTTAAAAATGAGTACATAGGGTCCTTTGCCCACTCCCCAAGTTGCTAAGTGCTCCTTCCCACTAATTGCAGCATTCATTCACTAATAAAACGTAATGTGTCTGGAGATAGGAACAGGATTCATAAACCTTGTCCAGAATTCTTGGAACTGAGAAATATAACAGTTGAATTAAGGGCCTACTTGTTATTCTAAATTCATGGAATTGAATCTTGATGAAATATTGAGATGGTATTGAAGAAAGCTACTGCTGCAACATTAACTCAAGCATTAAGAGAGGTAGAGCTTCTCATGAGATTTCCTCATAGGAAGAAAATGAATATATTACCCAAAGGTGCCATGGGAAGACGTTAACCATTTGGATGAGATTCTAATAATGAGAAATGAACCTAGAGTACTATCCCTTTTTGTTTGCTATTTGTAATACTTCCAATGCAGATGGCTTCAACTGTGTTCAACAAATTTAGTTTTTATTACTTAATTTGTCCTTTTTTTTAGATTTTTTTTTAACTCAGCTTGGTCTATTTCAAAAAACTAGTGAACAAGAACCTAGTAAAATCACATTTTCATTGTTCTAAGCTGCTTGATTTTTCTCTAAAAACAATTATTAAAATGAGGCTGATTCTGCTCTAGTCACTAATGACTGTCTGCACTAAATCTTGTATAAACCAGCCAAGAACCAATACAACAACTCCTTCATGTCCCCTTCTGGTTCATACTATCTCTCCCTGTCCATACACAGGGCCTCTTTTTAGAGGACTAGTAGTTCCAGGTCTTAAGATAAGTTTAAAGAAAGATCTGAAACTTCTTGATGCAAATGAAACTTTCTGGAAAAAGTATGTTTGAATATTCTACAAAACACTGACTTAAAGGAAAAGAAAGGCACCATCAGCAATGAAATTGCAGAAAATGAAAGAAAAGACCGATGTAGGATTTGGGCAGAAGAAACTAGGTATATGCTCCATATCTTGGCTCATTTGATAATGAGCCCAGTTGCATCATTACTATATTTTTATTATGTAGTCAAATTTATTATGAATACCCAAATCTCATAGGCCAGCCATGCATTGAATCTATTTATTTAAATGGAATACTGAACCGGACAATGTCCAGCAATTAGAAACACTGGCTTGCAAAGATAAAACCACATAATCTCTTAGCTGCCATCATTTTTGGAAATGCTACATCAATTTCCATCTCTATACATAAGCACATGCAGTTTGTTGTGCCATGGAAACTCCTTGCCATAAACATTTGGTACAAACGATCTTCTTATCTATGACCCATATTTGAGGGAACAGTCCATTAATCCTGTTCTTATGCAAATGTAGTTATTACTAAAGCAGGGAGTTGGGTAATCATATTTGGCCTAATTGACAATAATAAGTCAACATTCGGGGGGTGAGAACTAATAAGGGAGTTATGATAATGCTGCAGCTGCTTTGATTTTCAAGAAGCCCTTTACTTCCCCATGGTGCTTCCAATCAAGGATGATTGTCAAAGGATTGCAGTAGAAATTCTCACTGCTTTGGTTAAATAGAGGAGTTGCATTCTTAGAAATAGAAGCTTCAACCATGAACCAAGGAGAACAGGAACCACATGCTATCTTACAGAAGTGATTTCGGATTTAGATTACTACAAGGTCTTTGGAGCACTAAAAATTAGATTCCTGCTCTGGAAATTAAAATTAAGCAACAGTCTAGTGAATGTAGCATAACTATAGAAGATGGGGAAAGGAGGTGGATTAAAAGTGACGATGTCTTAAGGATGAAGTACAGTTTGGAGGGAGGAAAAGGCACTAACAGAGAAACCATCTGCACAGCTTCTGTAAGCTTCAGAAGCTTCTTCGTAACTGCGCTCAGTTGATAGATTGATCTGAGAGACCACAAAAGAATGCTTAGTTCTAACAGGTTTCTAAACTACATGAAATGAAATTTGTCAGGTATCCTGTTGTAAAGACTGAAGTCCAGGTCATGATTCGTTGTCTTTTGACAGTTTTCACTGTTGATCGCCTTGGTTCTCAGATTGTCGCTAGCTTGTAGTCTTCTGCTGAAATACTGTCTTAGACTACCATCACCATGTTCCCACCATGTATTTAGTTCCCTAACTGCACATCAGTATCTATGAAATAACTTCTCTGAATTTCCCATTAGGGAAAGTGAGGCAGTGTCGCTTTCCCTAATGGGTAGCAACACTTCCCCCTTTACCATCCCTGTGTAAATAAAGAACAATATCTGGAAAAATTGGAAGGGGTCCTGGAACACATCCCCAGTCAAGTTATTTCTCTGCTCTACACACAAACTGCTCCTCTATGACTAACTGTAATTCAAGTGCCTTCATAATATGGCACCAAGCCTCCTTTCCAAGTCGTTTTTCAACATGCCTTTTTTTTTCTTTTTTGAGATGGAGTCTCGCTCTGTCACCCAGGCTGGATGGAGTGCAATGGCGCAATCTTGGCTCACTGCAAGCTCCACCTCCCGGGTTCACGCCACTCTCCTGCCTCAGCCTCCCGAATAGCTGTGACTACAGGTGCCCGCCACCATGCCTGGCCAATTTTTTGTGTGTTTAGTAGAGATGGGGTTTCACCGTGTTAGCCAGGATGGTCTCGATCTCCTGACCTCGTGATCCATCCGCCTTGGCCTCCCCAAGTGCTGGGATTACAGGCGTGAGCCACTGCGCCCAGCCCTTCAACGTGACTTTCTATATTTGTTATAAGTTTCAGCAAAGCTGGGTTACGACTATTCCCTAAATCCTCTTGATTCTCTACCCACATGCCTTCACTAACATTTTTTCTCTGCCTACAGTATCTTCTAGGCCTAATTTATACATTTGGTCATCTCTGTTCCCTAAGGAATGTCTCGATTTCACCTACCCCGTGACATCTGTATCAGGCATGGCCAATGCTTCCCCCTTAGATCCCTTTTTCTGGTTCTTTCCAACCACCCCCAGCTCCATTGTGTTTTACTTCTAACAGCTTTCACCTGTGAACTTTTTGAGAGGCCTGTTTTGGAGCCTCCTGGCAAGTTCCTAGGGTTTTACTCCTATGTTGGGTGATGCCCAGAGCCAATAACTGCCTGATGCTGGAGTACAAAAGCCCAGCTTTGGTTCCTACTGTGGAACAAACTGTGAAGTGTAATTTATGCTCCGGAGCTTCCTGCCAGTCAGTCTGAAGACTTTGCCCAAAATCAGTTGATTGCACCCATGCTTGGCCTCCTCCCCTCCCCTGTCCTGCTTCTCTCCACTCTCTTATTGGTTTCCCCCGGCAGCACTTCCTTAATAATTCAGTTGTCCGTTTTTCCCTCTCTCAGAATCTGATTCTGGAGAAGTTGATCTAAGATAATACCTCTCCTGGTAACTCCAGATACAAAGCAGCCATAATGCTTTCATTCACTGGTTATGTAATTCACTCATTCAATCATTATAAAGTATTATTGTGGCTTGGCTCACTGGTTCATGCCTGTAATGTCAGCACTTTAGCAGGCCAAGGCAAGAGAATTGCTTGAGGTCAGGAGTTTGAGAAAAGCCTGGGCAACATAGCAAAACCCCATCTCCACAAAAAATAAAAAAATTAGCTGGGCATGATGGTGCTGCCAGTAGTCCAAGCTACTTGGGGGGCTGGGGCAAGAGGATCGCTTGAGCCCAGAAGTTAAGGCTGGTGAGTTATAATCGCACCACAGCACTCCAGTCTGGGCAACAGAGAAAGACTCCATCACTAAAATACATACATAAATAAAATATTCACTCTACATAACATTACTCATTCACTCAATACATAATTTAATAATGGTATAATATTACTAGCCTACTATCTGCCGTATCCTATTCTTCCAGATGTCAGGAATATAGTCATGCATGTTGCTTCATTTGTGTTCTTCTCCAACAACCTCTGCTCTAATGTAATCATTCTGGGGACAGAAAGAGTTTCTTCTGTATCTTTGGGTCTCGGCTTACCTAGCACAGTGCTTTTATAGGTGGTAAGGATTCAGTAAATTACAGACTTTTATTTGTAATTAGGAAATAGGTTTAATTGTGTTGACCAAAGAGAGAGGGAGAGAGAGAGTGAGGAAGAAGAAAAAAAGAAAAAGTTTGATGGTAAGGGAGGAATACATAGGCTAATAAGAATGTAAAACCAATAACTAAGACTGGCCTGCCTCATTTTCATGGATTAATTTTAAGAAGCAAAACCATGCACAAATACCTACCTATTTCTAGCTATAACTTACCATTTCATCAACTGGTTTCAAATGATCGTCCAGAGACACAACTCAAAACATCACTGAAAAAAGAAAGAACAATGATGTAAAGAAAGTATTTAACTTTTGTGTCCTCACAACTTTCCTCCTACATTGATTAACTTAGGTGAATCAAAAAGCACTAGGTTACTACCACCTGTGATGAGGAGTTACATGCACATCTTATGTAAGACATATTGGATCCTGGGGTTACCAGGTTGAGCTTATTAAGTTATACTGCCAAGAAAGGGTTCAGTACAAGAACTTCTTGTCTTCCTTTTGTACTTCCATCCCTTCTTTCTCTTTCTCCTCGTATGCATTCTCACAACATATGCTCAGGCTGCCTAATGACTTCATTAAAGAAACGAAAGACAGAGGAGGCAGGTCACTTAACTGTTAGTACAATTCCTCACAGAGATTGCATGCATGCTTATTCAGCATGTGCCTTTTCTGTGTATCCTTCATCAACCAATACCCTTATTCCCTTAACCCGCAGCGGAAGCACCTGCAATCAGCTATATTCTCCCACTCTCACATTCTTATCCATCTGTGTCCTATCCCCGAGTTGGTTCTCAGCCTGATGGACCTTGTCAAACTTATATTACTGTCCAGTCAGTAAAATTCATTCTCTTTTGAAGATGTTTCTCTCTGCCCCTATTTCTCTCACAAAACACTTGATTTCTTTTTTGCTCTGAGGTTGCCTCTCTCCCTCTAGGTCTCTATAGTGGAGACCTCTCATCTTCCACATGGCTTGAGAAGGGAAATAAGTAACTTCCTAATTCACAAATCCAACAAAACATTTTTTTTCTTGCATTTTAATTCAAAAGAGAGAAATTATTATTTTAGATGCCACTAGTTTCAGAAAATTTATTCCTGTTGATGTCATCTAATGACTTTCTGGTTGCTGTCACAGAATGTCACCTGGCTAATGGTCTTCCTTTCTACTGCTTAGCCTGTCATGGGAAATTTTGACATGCTTTAAGGGAAATGAAGATTCATGCCAAAATTGGTATTGGTCATCATATCAGAGCTATTGTATTTTGGAAAAAATGTCAATTGCTGATGACAAGAGTCTATGTTGTCATCTGTCTATACTTTCTGTCCCTTTGTGTTTTCAGGTTCATTTAGAGTTCAACTTTGTTAATCTCATTCTTCCAGATTATTGACCCTCTCCTGGCTTCAATTCATTTATTCACACATTAATTTTAAAAGCCTTTATTGATAACCTATTTCATAATTCTATTCATATGTATGTGCGAGTATGAGTGTCAAATGCTGAAAATTTTTTTTTAGAAAAAAGACTTGCTGTTTGGCTATCACAGGATTCATAAGATTGGCTGAGAAATGCTGATCCCATCATATCCCATCATGGTTTAAATGTGGTCTCTACATTGATGGTTCCTCAAATTCATATCTTCAGCCCTTTCTTTTTTTCTGTTTTCTTTTCTCTTTTCTTTTTTGAGACAGGGTCTCACTCTCATCACTCAGGTTGAAGTGCAGTGGCACAATCTTGGCTCACTGCAGCCTCAACTTTCCAAGCTCAGGTGATCCTCCCACCTCAGCCTTCCAAGTAGCTAGGACTACTTGCCCCACCACACCTGGCTAACTTTTTTGTATTTTTAGTAGAGATGGGTTTTCGCCATGTTGCCCAGGCTTATCTTGAACTCCTGGGCTCAAGTAATCTGCCTGCCTTGGCTTCCCAAAGTGCTGGGACTACAGGCGTGAGCAACTGCGCCTGGCCCTGCCCTTTCTTCTTACCTAAAGTTTCATAAATATACTGCTTCCTACTTGACATGTCTGCCTGAATATTTGAAAGATATCTCATCCTTAGTGTGCCCAAAAATGTAATCCTGATTTATTTCCTCTTGCCCTACACTTCCTTATTTTAGTAAATGACAATTCTGTCCAAGTGTTTAGGCTAGAAATTTCAGACTCATTCTTATTCCCTCATTCTTGTCATCCCCTCATTGTCGTTCCCTCTTTATATTACACTCTACATCAAAACATACCTTAAAGATATTATCTGCTATTTCTCTTGCCCAGAATGATTTTTCCCACCCATGGTAGACGTCCTCACTTCATTCAGGTCTCCGCTTAATTATCTTAAAACATTTTGCCCTCTAGTTCTAATCTGTTCACCTACTTTGTTAGCTCTGTCATTTAAAAATTGAATTCTGGCTAGGCGCAGTGGCTCATGCCTGTAATCCCAGCACTTTGGGAGGCTGAGGCGGGCAGATCACAAGGTCAGAAGTTCGAGACCAGCCTGGCCAATATGGTGAAACCCCATCTCTACTAACAAAATACAAAAAAATTAGATGGGCGTGGTGGTGCACACCTGTGATTCCAGCTACTCAGGAGGCTGAGGCAGGAGAATTGCTTGAACCCGGGAGGTGGAGGTTGCTGTGAGCCGAGATTGCCCCACTGCACTCCAGCCTGGGCGACAGAGTGAGACTCCGTTTCAAAAAAAAAAAAAAAAGATTTCTCTTTAACTCCAAAACTGTCCCTGTCTTTGTTCAAGATGTAATCATCTTTTATTTGGACTCTCACAACAGTCACTAACTGGATCACTGCCATTTGTGTTGCCATAACCTAGCTAATCTTTCTATGGTTATCAGAGCTACTTTCTGAAGACTAAATCTTATCTTGAATCTTCTCTGATGAAAACCTCACATTGCACAAAAGTCAGTGTCTTCATAACTTAATGTGTAGCAAGTCACACATTACTTTTTGTGAAGTTCTGACCTGGCCTTCTACCACAGCCTCCTTTCCAGCCATTCCCATCAAGCCCCCTAACCTGAAGCTATACAGTATCCCTTACCCGCAGTAATTTCATCATGAGTACTGACTTTACTTCTGTCATGGTTATTTCTATAATAGCCCTTTCTTTCTCACATAGAGGGGCTGCTTTCCCTTCTACTCTGACATTGGAAGCTTGAATAGCCCAATAGCTTGAATAGCTTAATTCTCCCAAACATAACTAGAATCTGTTTTGCTGAAGACTTTGTATATCAGTCAAGTACCTCATCCCTTCTTTCTCTAAATGCATTCATAAATATCATCTTTGATATACTTATTTTTTAATAACTGAAGAATTAGTCACTTTCTATTTTATCTGTTTACTATGCTTTTTCATATTTTGTTCATGCCACTATATAGTAGTTAATATACTGCATTATAAATATGAAGCAACAATAAACTGTGCAATGAGGTTTTAGCAATCATAGTTAATATCACACCATATTTTTATTCAAAAAGAAGCATGATGCTGAGTAGATTATGAATATTTGTAGCATTATAATCTCAGATTGTAATGATCAATTTTTTGAAAACTGAATATCTCTCAATTGCGTAAGACTCCTGGCTCAATTTCTTTGCTATGTTATAACCTTTCCTCTGTGCATTAGACTCTTTACTAGACTGTGGATGGATAAGAAATTTTAAAAAAGCAATTTTAAATTAAGGTTTAATGTTTCTGTGCTCTTTGAAGTAGCAGCCACCTTCCCCACCTCTGCCTTCTATAGCTCTCCTTAGCAAGAATCCTAGAAGCCTTCCTTGGACATCCTCTTGTGTCAAGCACATATACTCTTCCCCCTCATAAGCACCTCCCACGCCAGCATGCATGCTCTCGTAATGTTTGTTCCGCCGTTGTTGGTGCCAGCTCAAACTGTACAGCCATGCCCTGTCTTTCTTGTCTAGTCCTTCAGTCTTTCTCTGGTCCCTAAATACTGACCTGAATGCCCTCTTTTGTGAAGTGAGGGAGGGAGGCAAAGGGTCAGGGGAAGAGGAGTGGAAGGGTGGGGATAGCACAATGCATGCAGTGCATTCCTCCATCTCCAGCACACATCCCTCACCTCCCTCTGCTTGTGTTGTTCTGGGATCACAGTGTGTTGGTGCCTAAGCAGGCTCTGATTACTGTGATTCCCAGTTCATCCACGACTGCCTCCTCAAGCCATGATCCCCACATCTGTAGTGACTCCTCATGGGTGTTACTTAACTACATGAAAATGCCTCTTTAGTTCTATATTCAGGGATTTCCTTTAACTCTTCTCAATGCAGCTTCTTTTCCTTCCTTTTTTTTTCTTTTATTATATCACATTTTATTTTATTTTTAATTATTATACTTTAAGTTCTAGGGTACTTGTGCACAACGTGCAGGTTTGTTACATATGTATACATGTGCTATGTTGCTGTGCTGCACCCATTAACTCGTCATTTACATTAGGTATTTCTCCTAGTGCTATCCCTCCCCCTCTCCCCACTGCATGACAGGCCTTGTTGTGTGATGTTCCCCACCCTGTGTCCAAGTGTTCTCATTGTTCAATTCCCACCTATAAGTGAGAACATGTGGTGTTTGGTTTTCTGTCCTCACGATAGTTTTCTCAGAATGACGGTTTCCAGCTTCATCCATGTCCCTGCAAAGGACATGCACTCATCCTTTTTTATGGCTGCATAGTATTCCATGGTGTATATGTGCCACATTTTCTTCATTCAGTCTATTATTGATGGACATTTGGGTTTCTTTACTCTAAATAAGTCTATCTACTTCTCATTTTACGGCATGGTTTTTAAATTAATTCTACCTCAGTGCTTTTTTATGTACCATTCATCTCATCAGAAATGTCTTTCTTCTGACTGCTGTAATCTGTATTCATCAACTCCTTCTGTACCCAGGAGGAGAGAGGAGGCTTTTCAGCTTAATTCAACATCATGCTGATCATTCTATTACTTGGGCAATTCTCTAGTCACTAGGCGTATCTCATTACATGTTCATGACATACTTTGTTGCTGTTTTATTTCTATTTCAACCATAAGCTTGTAAGTTTGCATAAATTAAATTCAAAATCCCCAAATATGTGATTAGAATGTTATTAGAATAATATGGATATTATTAGAATATTATTAGAATAATATGGATCTTATTAGAATATTATTAGAATAATATGGATATTATTAGAATAGAATAAGGTGCTCTTTAAAAATGCACTTTCTGAGGCTCCCTCCCCCAGACTCATGGAAATGAAATCTCTAACATTTAGGCTATGTAATCTATATTTTTATTTTGTATTTTTAAGCAGGTTCTCTAATAAAATTTAATACAATAAAATTTCTGAGCTTGTATTGTGTACCATCAATTCAAATATCATATAAGTGACATTAGTTGAGGGTAACCTGATTTAGGTACACTCACCTTTCTGTCCAGGCTTGTAGGTGGGTTTATCAGTCTGTACGAAGACCACATTCTCTCTGGATCTGATTGCCACAGATCTCCTCTCTTCCAGGTTGAGAGTGGCTCCTTTAGCAGAAAATGTAATAAATGCCAGTGGGTCAGATCTGGCCTGAGGAACCTAGGGAACAAATAA
The DNA here is from genome assembly GCF_000001405.40 of Homo sapiens. Taxonomy (NCBI): domain Eukaryota; kingdom Metazoa; phylum Chordata; class Mammalia; order Primates; family Hominidae; genus Homo; species Homo sapiens. The sequence continues at coordinate 9,480,540 of NC_000012.12, read as the reverse complement.
ATACTCCATGAAACTGATTTTTTGTTAAGAAATCTCTATCACTGTGTGTTGGTATCACTACAAGTTTTAATTCATAATTTGTCATATCTATTTCTTCAGTAACCAACCTTGTTTATTTCTCTTGCTTTGTCACTTCCTTATCTCACCATTTAAATGGATTCTTTTGCCTTTCTTAAAACTTCCCTTTTCTGCACAAGAGTCATTCTTTCTCTATGTCTTATTCCCTTCAACAGTTTTCTATCATAAAATCAAATATTTTGGCTCTTGCCCTTGTTACCATTTATGACTGTACTTAACATCATCTCATACTGAGGACTGTATAAAATACAGTTTGTATAAAATAACTTTATACAAACAGTCAAATAGCCTGATCTCTGTCCCTAAAAAGTCAGTTATGTGGGTGGTGTTCACGCACCTGTAATATTCTTTTCTACATTAAGCAGGAAGAAGATCTCTGTTCCATTTTTGGAATTTATTTGGATTTATTCTCTATGTTTCTTAATTTCTCTTTCATATTTCCCATTTCTTTGTCTACTTTGGAAGAATTTCTGGGTTGATTCACTTTTAACGAATTCACCCTTCAGTTGTGGTTATTCTGCTATTCAACCCACCTATTGAATTTTCATTTAACTTTTTGTTTTTCTAATGCAGAAGGTACTCTATATTTTTCTCTTCTGGATGATGTTGTGGTATCTTGATAGTTATTTCATTATTCTGTGGCGATATTGCCTGACCAGTGCCTGTATTGATTTACTTATTGATTTATATATAACTTCAAATTTTGAATTTCTAAGCACTTTAGGAACTGAACTCAATATCTTTTAAGAAAAAATTTCTGGGGATTCAATAGTACTTTCTCTAAAGTTTTGTTCAGATTTTATTATTAACTCCATCCTTGGATGTTGGGTTTTCTTTTGGTTTTGCTTGTTTGAAACAGGGTCTGGATCTGTCACCCAGGCTGGACTGCAGTGGCAGGATCATGACTCACGGTGGCCTTAACCTCCCAGGCTCGTGATCCTCCCACCTCAGCCTCCCAGCTGGTACTACAGGCACATGTCACCATGCCTGGCTAATTTTGCATTTTTTGGTAGAGATGGGGATCACCATGTTGCCCAGTCTGGTCTTGAACTCCTGGGCTCAAGCAATCCTGTGCCTCTGCCTCCAAAAGTGCTGGGATAATAGGTGTGAGCCACTGTGCCCGGCTGGATGCTGGGTGTTTTGTTTCTTGAATGTTTCCTTTCATCTGTAGTGCTGGCTTTCCTAAATGTGTATCGATCCTTGGTAGTGACTTCCGGCATTTTTATACTAGAATTTCTTGGCTGGCCCTCTGTGAAAGCAACACCCGTGACTGCAGATGAATCTTTAGGATTCACAGTCAAATGGGTGAACATCCACCAGATCCATGATGAGGATATGCAGCTGATATGGGATGGTGAGTCTGGGCCTTGCACCTGGGTTCTGGGTGACACTAGTGGGTGGGGTGAGAGAGAATGGGGGATGAAGACATTTCTTAACAACATGGTTCATCATTTTATTTTTACCATTATCAATGTCATATAGAAAAGTAGAAAATGGAGAAAAGTAGTTGGAACGAATAAATTATACATTGTCCCATTAGTGAGATAAAAAGACTGCTAATATTTTGGGGATCTCTCCTTCCAGTCCATGAACATTTATAATGTGCTATAGGTGCTTACAGTGCAATGGTGTTCAAGACAGACACATCCCTGCTCTTCATAAACTTGCAGTTTTTTGTTTTTTATTGCACTGAACTCTTCTAACATTAATTTATATTTACAGAAGAAAATGCACAAATACAGTGTCTTTACAAAAAAGTAGAAATGTGACCAACAAGGGTAAAGTTGCACTCACCCCACTCCACCTCGCTCCTCTGCCCTCCTCCCCTGCCTGTTTGCTGTAGAGTCCTGTGTTCTTTGTCTTTATATACATTCTATAAATACACATACACACATATAATTTTTATTTATTATTAGTATTTCAATAGTTTTGGGGGAACAGGCTGTTTGGTTAGATGGATACATTCTTTAGTGGTGATTTCTGAGATTTTGGTGCACTCATCACCCAAGCAGTGTACACTGCATTGAATGTATAGTCTTTTATCCCTCACCACCCTCCCACCCCTTCCCAAGTCTCCAGAGTTCAGTGTATCTTTCTTATGCCTTTGCATCCTCATAGCTTAGCTCCCACTTATAAGTGAGAACATATGATGTTTGGTTTTCCATTCCTGAGTTACTTCACTTAGAATAATGGTCTCCAACTGCATCCAGGTTGCTGCAAATGCCATTATTTTGTTACTTTTTTATGACTGAGTAGTATTTTATGTTGGCTGTGTGTGTATATATATATACACCACAATTCCTTTACTCACTCGTTGGTTGATGGACATTTAGGCTGGTTCCATATTTTTGCAATTGTGAATTGTGAGGCTACAAACACATGTGTGCAAGTGTCTTTTTCATATAATGACTTCTTTTGGGAAGGCAGATACCCAGTAGTGGGATTGCTGGGTCAAATGGTAATTCTACTTTTAGTTCTTTAAGGAACCTCCATAAGGTTTTCCAGCATGGTTGTACTAGTTTACATTTCCACCGGCAGTGTAAAAGTGTTTCCTTTTCACCACATCCACACCAACATCTATTGTTTTTTGATTTTTAAATTTTGGACATTCTTGCAGAAGTAAGGTGGTATCTGTGGTTTTGATTTGCATTTCCCTGATAGTGATATTGAGCATTTTCTCACATGTTTGATGGCCATTTGTATATCTTCTTTTAAGAATTGTCTATTCATGTCCTTAACCCTCTTTTTGATGGAATTGTTTTTTTCTTGCTGGTTTGAGTTCCTGGTAGATTCTACATATTAGTCCTTTGTTGGATGCGTAGTTTGCAAATATTTTCTTCCACTCTGTGGGTTGTTTACTCTGCTGATTATTTCTTTTTCTGTGCAGAAGCTTTTTTAGTTTAATTAAGTCTCATCTATTTATATTTGTTTTTGTTGTATTTGCTTTTAAGTTTTCGGTGATGAACCCTTTGCCTAGGCCAATGTCTGGAAGAATTTTTCTGTTAGCTTCTAGAATTTTTATGGTTTCAGGTCTTAGATATAAGTCTTTGATCCATCTTGAGTTGATTTTTGTGTAAGGTGAGAGATGAGGATCCAGTTTCATTCTTCTACATGTGGCTTGCCAATTATCTCAGCACCATTTATTGGTTAGGGTGTCCTTTCCCCACTTTATGTTGTTGTTTGCTTTGTTGAAGATCAGTTGGCTGTATTTGGCTTTATTTCTGGGTTTTATTCTGTTCCATTGGTCTATGCACCTGTTTTTATACTAGTATCATGCTTTTTTGGTAACTATAGCCTTATAGTATAGTTTGATGTTGGGTAATGTGATATTTCCAGATTTGTTGTTTTTGTTTAGTCTTGCTTTGACTATGCAGGCTCTTTTTTTGTTCCATGTGAACTTTAGGATTCTTTTCTCTAGTTCTGTGAAGAATGATGCTGGTATTTGGATGGAGAAAATAATTTGGATGGAGCATTGAATTTATAGATTGCTTTTGGAAGTATGGTCATTTTCACAATATTTATTCTACCTATGCATGAGCATGGGATGCGTTTCCATTTGTTTGTGTCATCTATGATTTTTTTCAGGGGTGTTTTGTAGTTTGCATTGCAGAGATCTTTCACCTCTTTGATTAGGTATATTCCTAAGTTGTTTTTTTTTAAGCTGCTGTAAAAGGGGTTGAGTTCTTGATTTGATTCTCAGCTTAGTCACTGTTGGTGTATAGCAGTGCTACTGATTTGTGTACATTGATCTTGTATTCTGAAACTTTACTGAATTCATTTATCAGATATAGGAGCTTTTTGGATGAGTCTTTAGCGTTTTCTAGGTATACGATCATATCATCAGCAAACAGCAACAGTTTGACTTCCTCTTTACCAATTGGGATGCCCTTTATTTCATTCTCTTGTCTCATTGCTCTGGCTAGGACTTCCAGTACTACGCTGAATAGAAGTGGTAAAAGTGGGCATCCTTATGTTGCTCCAGTTCTCAAAGGAAATGCTTTCCACTTTTCCCTGTTCAGTATAATGTTGGCTATGGGTCTGTCATAGATGGTTTCTATTACCTTAAGATTTGTGTCTTCCATGCTAATTTTGCTGAGGGTCTTAATAATAAAGAAATGCTGGATTTTTACCAAATGCTTTTTCTGTGTCTATTGAGATGATCACATGATTTTTGCTTTTACTTCTGTTTATGTGGTGTATCACATTTATTAACTCATATATTTTTCGGGGGTGGGGGACAGAGTCTTGCTCTGTCACCCAGTCTGGAGTATAATGGCATGATCTTGGCTCATTGCAACCTCCACCTCCCGGGTTCAAAGGATATTCATACCTCAGCCTCACAAGTAGCAGGGATTGCAGGTGTGTGTCACCATGCCCAACTAATTTATTTGTATTTTTTAGTAGAGTCAGGGTTTTGCCATGTTGGCCAGGCTGGTCTCAAACTCCTGGCCTTAAGTGATCCAACCGCCATGGCTTCCCAATGTGCTAGATTACAGGTGTGAGCCACTGTGCCCGGCCTGACTTGTGTATGTTAAACCAACCCTGAATCCCTGGTATGGAGCCCACTTGATCATGGTGTATTATCTTTTTGATATGCTGTTGAATTTGGTTAGCTAGTATTTTGTTGAGGATTTTTGCATTGATGTTCATAAGAGATATTTATAAATATGTGTATGAAAAGTTTCAGACACTTGTTTGTTTCCCACTGAAATGTTGGTTCCAACAGATCTACTGCATTCCCAGTAGTGTTCCGTGGTATTGATATTCTAGAGTTTAGAAATCATTTCCCATGTAGATGAACACTGAAGTTGTTCCCAGGATGTTACTATTCAAGCAATACTAGCATGAACTTTTTTTTATTGTTATATTAAATTCTGGGGCGCATGTGCAGGATGTGTAGGTTTGTTAAATAGGTAAATGTGTGCCATGGTGGTTTGCTGCACCTATCAACCCATCATCTAGGTATTAAGCCCAGCATGCATTAGTTATTTTTCCTGATGCTGTTCCTCCCACTGTCCCCAGAACGTTTTTAAATATGCCTCCTTATACACAATTGTGAAGGGTTCTCCGGGCTAGGTACCAAAAAGTAGACTTTTATCATGCATTCTAAACTTAACAGTGTGAAGTAAAACTACATTATAACCTTCTGTCCTGTCTTGACATTCATTCCAATCACTGTCCTTCCCAATTACAGGCTTTTGATGGCCATTATTTTAGTTCTATCTAGCCCAGAAATTACAGACTGTATTAGTTCGTTCTCACACGGCTATGAAGAGACTGGGTAATTTATTCAGGAAAGAGGTTTAATTGACTCACAGTTCTGCATGGCTGGGGAGGCAGGAAACTTACAATCATGATGGAAGGTGAAGAGGAAGCAAGGCGCCTTCTTCGCAAGGCAGCAGGTGGAAGAATTGCTAGCAAGAGCAGGGAAATCTCCCTTATAAAACCATGAGACCTCGTGAGAACTCACTATCATGAGGACGGCATGGAGGAAACCGCCCCCATGATCCAATTACCTCCACCTGATCTCTCCCTTGACACCTGGCATTAGGGGGATTACAATTCAAGATGAGATTTTGGGTGGGGACACAGCCAAACCATTATCAGAGGCTATGACTGCTATCATTTTATACAAACTGTTTAGACTTACATACATTCTTACATTTCTTTTTGCATGTCTGACCTTCCTTTGGGGCCCATCCACTTCTCTTCATTGCAGAGTCAGCTTTTAAAAGTTTCTTTAGTGCTCTTAAGTGAGCTCCCTTAGTTTTTGTTTGAAATGTTATTTACTGTCATTCTTGAAAGACCACTGTACTGGTGACTCAATTCTAGAGTGACAATTGTTTTCCCTTGGCACTTTGAAGATATTATATAGCATAGTTTTCTGGCTTTCTTTGTCGGTGTGAAGAAGCCTGGGGTCATTCTAATTTTTGTTCCTTTGTAGGTGATCTTTTTTCTCTAGGTGGTTTAAGATTTTCCTTTTTTTTCATTTATTTATTCCCTTTTATTTTAAGTTCATTGGTACATGTGCAAGCTTGTTATCTAGGTAAACATGTGTCATGGGGGTTGGTTGTACAGATTATTTCATCACCCAAGTACTAAGCCTATTACTCAATAGTTATTCTTCCTGGTCCTCTTTCTCCTTCCACCCTCCACCACTTGATAGGCCCCAGTGTGTGTTGTTCCCCTCTATGCGTCCATGTGTTCTCATCATTTAGCTCCCACTTATAAGTGAGATCAAGCAGTATTTGGTTTTCTGTTCCTGTGTTAGTTTGCTAAATATAATTGACACTAGCTCCATCCATGTCCCTGAAAAATACATGATCTTGTTTTTTTTTTATGGCTGCAAAGATTTTCAGTTGTGTTTTCAGTGCTCTACAAAAGTATAGAGAATGGTATCACAAACTCCCATGTGCCCATTCCCCAGCCACAGCAACTCATGCCACCCGTGTTTTTCTGTCTCCTTACTTACACTGTCTCCCTGTCAGGATTATTGTGAATCAGATCCCAGACTTCTTGTTGTTTCATCTATAACTATTTTGGTGCATATTTCTAAAATCATATTCTTTTAAAATTGAAACATTTTTAAAAATTGTAGTGGACAAATTATTGAGTAAAGTGCAAGCTAGGCATAAATTTCTAAGATAAAAGAGATCCCAAGATTGTGTAGAATAGAGAGGCCCTGAGCAATTCATCCAGACACCAGAGATTGCCAGCTCACTCTCATTTACCCATCCTGACATCCAACCCTACCCATTTCAGAGGCTAAGCCATTTGTCTGAGGTCACATAGAGAATGACTGGGAGAATCAGTAGAATTCCAACTCAGGGCTCTTCCTACAGCCCATGTTCCCTACATTGTTCTTGAATCTTCCCAAAGTCCTGAGAAAGAAAAGAGGTAGGGAGTGGGAGTTGTGGCTATGGAGAAAGAGGAGTTGATATTTCCAATGTATATCAGAAGCAAACTTGAACTCACCTTTCACAGCCTTCCTTAGCACCAACAGCCAAACACAAATACCTGTGTTTTATATAGAATGCACTTCTGCCAACTCCCACTCTTGCTGTTTACACAAATTTGTTTCTTAATTATTGAAAACCTCCTGTGTGCCAGGTGATTCTCTAAGCCCTGGGGATGCTGCACTGAATTAAGCTGATGTCCCTGGCTTCATGCAACTTACATTCTAGCCAAGGAGAGGAAGCAAGCCCTCAACAAGGGCGTACATGTCAGGGAAGCACCATGGAGAAGATAAAGCAAGGGGAGGGGCTGAGCAGTGTGGGAGGGGCTGAGCAGTGTATGAGGGTGAGGTGACAGAGATGTCCTCTCCAATAAGGAGGCATTTCACCAGAGACCCATGTTAAACTAAAGGATGCAAGGTGGTCAGAATTTACCTTAAACAGAGTTGATTTAAGCACAAACGTTGAGGACAGGCCTGTGTGGGAAGCCCAGATTCCACAGAATGGAAGTCTGTATTCCAAAGTGAAGTTTGGGATCCTTTATACAGAGGAAGCTTGGGAAAGCCTAGCAGAATTTCAACATCTTTCTATGTAAGGTTTAATGCATCATTTAAATGATCTAATTAGTCCAGGTGGTCTTTTTCTTTGTGGAAAGGTAGATTAAACATTCCTCACTGAAGATTTAACAGTCTAGGCATCTCGGGTGTCATCTGGTCTTAGCAAGGTACACGACAATAAAGGAGTCAGTTAAACTATAACAAAGATCTGGGTTCCATAGTGGGCAAGGCCTGGTTTCTGGTCTCTCCTACTCATTCACAGAAGAAGAACAATGGGAAAGAGAGTTCTCCTTTAATCTAAGAAGCAGAATTGGAAACCGGTGGTGCAACTCAGTCTTGGGTCTTAATATCCTTCTGGGTGTAATAAACTTGGAGGGTGCTGAAACAGTATTTTCTTTGACACCTTGAAGGAAGGGAGAAAGGGAGCTCTATGGCTCTCTAAGGGAAGAGTCCTTGGCATGTTCAAGGATCAAGAAGCCAGTATGATGATCATGGAGGGAGCAGAAGGAAGAGCAGAAGATGAGATGAGAGAAGAGTAGTGGGGCCAGAATCCTCTTGGGTCTTCTATGCACAGTCAAGATTGAGGGTTTTACTTTGAGTGGGATGGGAGCTCACTGAAGCACAGTTTTTAACTTCTCTAAGCAGGAAGAGAGGGGTGAACAGTGCTTGTGATAGGGTGTGAGGATAGTCAGTCCATTCTAGGAGCAAGCAGAAATGGGTTATAAATTATTTGTTCCTGTTTTCCATGTAACAATTTCCTTCCTTTGATGTGGAGACAAAACAGAAAGAATGTTTGCTTTGGTAGATCATCTTCAGAGTCCCTCTGTGCTTAAGGAGGTGTATGCACATTGGAATGTCCTGACATGAGTGTCCAGGGTGCTGTTGTTGCCTTTTTTGTTGCAAACTCTTGTCCTTGAGGTGTTTGCCTTCTGATTTGAACCTAATCAGGGTATTGAATACTGTGGCTGCTAAGAGATCATATTTTGCATAAGCTGCTTTTGAGAGAATGGTGAATGATTGACTCCTCAGAGAAAATGCCTAGCAGACCTCTGCAGATGGAGAATTCCTTATTTCCCGTATGTGTCATTCCCAGTTCTTTGTCTAGAGAGTCAAGTATTGAACTAAACGATATTTCAGGGTCTTCTCTCTCCTCCAAGTCAGTGGTGAAATGGAAAAGCAGGGGCTCCAGAACCAGCCTGATCAGTTTCCATACCAGCTCTATGAGTCAGGACCCTGCAGACTTGGGCACGTGACTTCATCTCTAGGCCTTTCTTCATCCGTGTCATGAGGGTAACAGCGCTGATCTTGAACACCATTGTCATTATTGAATAAAAATGCACAAAATGTGCTGAGCTTTGCTGGGCACATAGATGTCCCACAAGACAATTTCATTGCCTTGATTCGGGTGTCTAGGTGCGGGCGGGGGATGATATGGAGGGTGGCAGGTAGGGAGCGTCCTTATAGCTGTAGTCAGGGAAAACTGAAATAGTCAGTTGCTTCTCCGAGAGCAGCCGTGCCACCTCTGAAGCACCAGTAACTGGCAGGGCTGTCTGTCCCCTTTGGGCTGCAACCTGGCTTCAATTCCAACCCTGACATTGTGTGCTTCTGAAGCCTTCTCCTCTTGTTTTGACACCTGAAGTCCCCCTGTATATCCTAGACTTCTCAGTCTACCAGAGCATTCACCTTACTTTCTTCATCCCACCCTGCCTTTGATAATGATGCCTAAGTCCCCGAGACAGGAGGAAGTCTTCCCCAGAAAGGTACTATAGCAGCACTTATACCCATGTTTAATGTCCCAGAAACCTTGTGTTCAAGTAATGCTTTCTCAAGGGTCTTATGTCTTTTCTGTTAGAGCTTCAGCCCCGTTCTTGTGTTCTGTTCTAAGTGAATGAAACGAACATGACGCTGTAGACATTGATGGGTTTGAAGGCCTAAAACGAACAAGTTTTGTTGAACCAAGATTCTTTCTCGTCTTTGTCCTTTTCATGCTAAGGAATTTCCTGTCTCCATTTCTTCTGTTCCCACCCTACTCTACACCCTCATGATTCCCTAACAGGACCACTTTAACAGCCTCCCAACACCCTCTTCCTCTTCTCTATACGATTCTGCTCTTAGCAGCCAGATTCTCTTTAGAACACGCATGCTGGAACATGCCACTCCTTGCTTTAAACCCCTCAGCAGCTCCCTACTGCTCTTAGGGTCTCAGTCTGCTCCCATATTCTCACTCACCCAACTCAGAATGTCCTGACCTCTGAGGCCTCTCACCCTTAGCCTACACCACTTCCTGCCCCTCTGGGAACTGCAGTCACACTGGTACTTTCTATGACACAAAGAGACCCCCACACACACCATGTGGAAGTCTTCTGCCCTTGCCCTGTGTGTTCCTAGGCTGGCTCTCAACTTCGGGTCTGAGCTGGAGCATCACCTTCTCAGAGAAGCATCCCCTGATGGGCCTAAGGGCTCCTCCCCAGTCATTTGGTCTCAGAACTCCCCTCAACTTCCTCCCTTTTACTTAATTTGCATTTAACTGCTGATTTGTCTTTCCCCCACCAGAATGCTAACTTCTCAAGGGTGGTAATCTGTTTTTCTTGTCCTCCCCTGGATCCCCAGCCCCTAGCAGTGCCTGGTAATAGTAAGTCCTCAATATATAGTTGCTGAATGAATTTATGATTACTTTTTGTAACAGTGAAAGATTGCAAAGAATCTAATTATTCAGAAATAGGGTATTTACCAAAACAATTATGATAGAATTAGTCAGATGTGGTGGCTCACACCTATAGTCCCAATGACTCAGGAGGCTGAGGTAGGAGGATCACCTGAGCCCAGAAGGTTGAGGCTGCAGTGAGATATGATCACACCATTATACTTTAGCCTGGGCGACTGGTTGAGGCCCTGTTTTTTTTTAAAAAAAGTTATGGTAGAATCATGTGATTGCCTGTTATGCTGTATAGAGGAATATATTATGGAATGAAAAAAATTACTAGTCCTATTTTGTGAAAAAAAAATCTATCAACATTTGGTTGTTTTTTGTTGTTTGTTTGTTTGTTTGTTTGGTTGCTGTTTTAAAAAAAGACTGCAAGGACAGCTACCAAATATTAGCAGTGTTATCTCTGGGATGAGTGATTTTTCTTCTTTTCCTTAAAATAAATTGTGTATTAAGTATTTCCTACAGTGAAACAAGTATTGCTTTTATAGTGCAAACATGATTCTAAGCAGAGCTGTGCAATGCTGACCTGGCATGGGGTGGGAAGAAGGGGGTTAGGGAGGCGGTGCTTAGGGTCCAGAGTCTGAGTTGGCCTCATTCTGGTTTCAGCTCTGGAAGGAGTGAAGAATGAGTCCCCGGAGCCCATCCAGTCCCTCATGGATGACATACTGAGGGCTCAGGAAGATGCCCCCTTGCAACCTGCCTCAGCTTCCAGGCTGAGTCACCTAAGCAGCTTCTTTCAGAAAGCCTCTTGTGCCACAGGCACACTCAGGAAGAAGTACATCTTCAATTGAACAAGAAATAATATGAATAAAAAATGTAAAGAATAAAAAATGCACTGCCACACTGGTGGGGCAGGAGGGTGAAAGTCGTGCCCCTCACAATAGGTAATGTCTATAAAAGGACAACCGAGGCCAGCACCAAAGTTCACCTGCAGAAGGCGGGTCTGTCTCAACACCAGCTGCCAGTCACTGTGAACCTTTAGAATTGGGGCTGTAGCTTCTTCCAGTTGTTTGCCCAGATGTCAGTGAGACCACTCCATGGCAGACAGGGGGAGCTGTGTGTCAGGGAAGTCCCAGCCACTAGGACAAGCCGCACTCCAGGCAGACGTTTCTGCTCTTGTGCAAAGAACAGCGCAATCCATTCAAGTTCACAGGGGCAGGTGGCACTTGAAAATGTCAGGGTCAACTTGCAGGGCAGAAGTTAGCAGGGAAGTCTTCCTGGGGGAGTGGGAGAGCCCAGCAGAGTTTAGGAGGAGAGAAGGGCGACATCGGGGCAATCCTCTGAGTCTCTCTTTCCTCCTCAGGAACTGTTCAGGAAGACCCTGCAATCTCTCTGCAGGCTCATGGGAGCTCCCAGAACTGAAGCAACATACAGATCCAGGCCACTCTAAGCTCTGCCTGCATTTTCACAGGGCACATTCTTGTGTATATGTGTGTGTGTGTGTTTGGTGCGTGTGTGTCTGTGTGTGTGTTCTCTTCTTAATAAAACCAGCAATCACTGGACTAAGTAGGGCCCACTTTTATCCACTGAGCTCCCCTTACCTTGGTAACATCTGCAAAGACCCTATTTTCAAACAAGGTCGCATTCCGGGTTCTGAGTGGACATGAACTTTTTCAACCCAGTACATCTGGGAACAGAGCAGTCAAGGGTAGAAGAGATCAACCTGAGGATGAGGTTTGGATGCAGAGTTTTGAGAGAAGGGTGATCAGAGCTAGGGTCTAAGCAACATTGGTCTGCTCCCTTGGAGGAGAATTTTCCCTTTTTCCTTCTGCCCTTTAGCCAGTGCTGCGGCCACCTCCTCTCTCATAGCTGGCATTTAAAAGCCAAATGGATGCCACAACCTTCTAATGCATCTAGATATGCAGCAAAAATATTCAAAAAATTCCAGCAAGGTCAAAATAATCTCAGGCCTAGATTTGCCACCAGTGCCCTCTTCTGGGCAGCTTTATTTTATAGTAGTGTCACAAAACACTTGTTTGTCAATATATGTATTTGTGCACTAAGTGTCACCAGAAAATATATTTATGTCTGTTGGTTACAGCCTAAACAGTTTAAGAAACCATGTTTAGATGTTTTCCCAGTCAGGAAAGGCCAAACTAAAAAGGGGTGTGTGTGTGTGTGTGTGTGTGTGTGTGTGTGTGAAAAAGAGAGATGGGGGCCCCCATTCCACTAAGAAGAAGGCCAAACTAAAAAGGGCTGTGTGTGTGTGTGTGTGTGTGTGTGTGTGAAAAAGAGAGATGGGGGCCCCCATTCCACTAAGAAGATGACAGAGGCCGTGCAGGTTTTTTCTCTGTGATATCCCCTCCTCCTACAAATCATGCCCAGAGGAGGGATCTTGAGGACCTGCCCCTGCCTCCCCAGACCCATCTCCACACCCAGGCCATCCTGGGCAGAGGACAGCAGAGCTCACATCTCTGTGGAGAGCAGACTGGGCTCACTGCAGGCCTCTGTGTCATTGTTCATCTTCACTTCATAAGTCTCATTCTGAGACCTCTCCTGACACACCATGGCTATCTGGCTCTCCTGGGAAAAGCACTTACAACATTCAAGATAGAGAAAATCATCAGCAGCTGCCAACCCTCCTCCCCTTCCCTCAGCAAGTAAGGCATCACGCATGCACATATGCACACATGCACAAACACATGAACTTGTGTATATACACACACACAGGCACACACACACATGAACATGCATGCAATTTCTGTGGCCTCATTTTCTTGTGATGGCTGATGAAGGCATGACGCCATGGAAGTGTTAAGATTAGGGAGAGGGTTCCATGTGGGAGGATGTCTGGTGTGGATCCAAGGAGATCTGAGTCCTGACTCCAATTCACTTACCCTCTGGCCCAAGTCACTTAGCCCACCCCATGCCTCAGTTTCTCTTTCTATGAAATAGGAGTGACATATGCCCTGCCTGACTCAGAGGCCTGTTGTGAGTTACAAATAAAGCAACAGATAAGACGGCGCTTTGAGACTGGGAAAAGTCAGCTTTGACCTAACGGTCCTGGGCTGTGCCATAAAGGGCAGGGTGGGCCTGTGAGGAGGCCCACCTGTGAGGGCCTGCCCTCCCACCCCTACCTGCAACAGCTGAGCCTTTGGGCATTAGTTTGGCACAGCTGAGATGTCTGTGGTATCCTGTTTTGATGGTGCCCTTGATTCTGACACCAGCTCCCTGCAGTAAAGGCACAGAAAGGAAACCTCACCTAGGAGGGTTTGCTCTCCCAAGCAGAGGGCAGTGAGCCGGAGTCCCTACTGAGCCTGAATCCTTCCTGAACTCCTGACCTGCCTTTTACCAGAACATGTCTTTCCCTATGGGGACACAGTCCTCTGCTCACTGGGTCCTGTCTTCTTCAGCTCTGAGCCATGAGCTCTTCCTTTTCCTGTTTGTGCTCAGCTCAGTGCCTCTCTCCATCTTTATTCCCAGACCCCAGAAGGCATTAAGGGAAGATCCCAGTCCATCTTCTTGGAGCTGAGAGCTGGATCAGTGCCCCTGGCTTTGAGGCAGGGTAGGGGCAGTTCTCTCTCAGGGAGGCCTGCAGATCGCCACCTGCCCCACGGTGGGAAGGAAAGATGACAGGTGGGAGCTCCAGGTGGATTGGGAGGGGAGGGAGATGGAGTGGGCTTTGGCAAGGCATGGGGGGATAAGCTTGAGATGCAGAGTGGCAGCAGGCAGGCAACAGCATTTCTGGAGACCACCAGGCACAGGACGTGCTGGCCTGTCCTCAGGACAAGCAATGCCAGGGCCTGAGCTGCCCTTACCCTTCAAGACGAGGCCCGAGAACTGGAATGTGGGCTATGCTTTTCTTCACCAAACTGAAGCTTGGCACCCTGAGTGTTGTTTGTACCAACTGCAGTAGGCAGACAGGGAACCAACGCTTCCTGAGCACTGACTGTGTGCTGTGCACTGTACTGTGTGCTTTCTGTTTGTTTGTTTCATGGAGAGATGTATCTCTGGGGAGAGGGAAATCCCCTGAGAATCCCCCCTCTCTCCAAAGCCCCCGCCACCCCAGGTTCTCTAAAAATCCCTCTCCCCTTATGTCACAGAGAATAAAGCTTCACGGGAAAATGCCCTTAGAAAGGGGGATTTAATTCACTCTGAGATGCTAAAGATGGCCACGGAGACCTCCTTAAGCAGAGGCTTTCAGGAGACCAACAGAGAAGAAGGCAGTGCAGGGACCCAGCGTGTCCTCAGCCTTGGCTAAATAAACCTGTAATTGATTGAAACATGTCGCAGTCACTTTTTGGTTAACAAGGTCAACGGAGGCACAAGCACCAAAGTCCACCTGAAGAAGTTGGGTCTATCTACGAACCACTTGTGAGTCACTGTGAATATTTAGAACTGGGGGCTAAAGCTTATTCCAGTTGTCTGTCTGGATGTCAGTGAGGCCACTCCATAGTAGATTCTCCCACCTTTGGTTTAATGGGATGGACAACTTTGGATTAGGACTAAGGAGGTAGATTTGATCTTGGAAGATACCTTAGGCTTCTTGTCTCTTATCTCCCTAGGAAACTGTTGGCTGTCAGTATCTATACTAGGGGTAAGCCCAAGTGACAGAACAGTTCTGGAAGCATCTCCTTGAGTTTTCAGGAAAGGTTTCACTGACACAAGAAGAGAGTAGGGTGGCAGAGCAGCATCGGGTTTGGTTTTCAATTCCCTTTTCTATCTCCACACGTGTTGGGTGAAATTCACAGGGTTGCCACACTCCCGTGGGTATATTTGGATTACGGATGAGAGCATAAGAAGGTGGGCTGTGGGATACATACAGTGGAGTGCTGCTGACTACAGCCCCCGTCATGTAAGAAAGCACGTCAGATTGCCATAGAACAAGTTATGCTATTGTTGGAATAACTGAAGTTCATTCTAATTTAGTTTTTAAAATCATTCTGAAACTTTCTCCCCGCTACCGCATAGTAGTTGAAGGGTACTCCGTTTTCCCGTTTTCTGTCCTAACCAAGAAACAGAGAGTGCCTCAACTGTCCTGTGACCCCATCAGCTACACAATTTGCCCTGCAGGCTGGAACCCAAGGTTTCGCTTCGAACATTCCCAGACACCTACAAAGGTGTTTAGGTTGTTGCCCCAAACACTGAGAGGAACTGGCCAGGCCCTGAGCCAAATGCCTTAATCTCTCATCAACTCCATTCCCTGATCCTCGTGCTGCAGACCTCGCTAGGTAGAGCACCTCTTTCCCTAACTGCCTATCTGGAGGAAATGGTGAAACCCAGTTTCTACCTAAGTTCTCGTAATAAATTTGAACTGATCACCCTGGCATCTAGTGCTTCTTTCTTTGGGATTCCAACTGGTCCCATCTTGGGATGGCTTGCGGTACTCCCTTGTGGGAACTCCCCTGATGCCAGCAGTGGCACCCCAGATGCCACTGCTAGGGTGACTCCAGCTGTGAATTCACTGGAAAAGAACACAGGTATTCCTGACTAGTTCTTTATGCTCCTTCAAAGGTCAGAGCTCAATATCGTTGCACCTGATTTCTCATCCACAAAATGGTATTTATAACACCTCTGTGGAACTGTCCTCCAATACTCTTCTTCCTTTTTAAAAAACCATGCATTTGGCTGCCTGGAATGGAGAATATGTTTTCCACCCTCCCTTGCAGCTAGGTGTGGCCACGTAGCTAAGTTCTGACCAAGCAGTGGAAGGCAGAGTCCCATATGGCACTTTCAAGAAGTATTCTTAAAGAGCAAGGGCACATGCATTTCTATCCTGTCTGTCTTCTTCGTGACTAGAATGAAACACGATGCCTGGGGCTAAAGAGTGATCTTAAACCATCAGCAGGAAGTGATATATTAAAAGGCAGAAGAGCCAAAAGATAGAAAGAACCTAGATCACTTATGCTAGCAGAGGTATTCATCATTTTGCACAGTTTACCTTCAGACTTTGTTCATAAGGGGGCAAGGGAGTGTGAGTTTTCTATCACAGGCAAACCCAATCCTGAGGGATTGACTTAATCTATCAACGTTGCTGTGAGGATTTAAGGAGATAATATAAAATCCTTAGCAGTTTTTCTGGCATGAAGTCAGAGGGCAACTTTTTTTTTTTCTCAAAAGTAATGAAATATTAAGGCTATTGAAACTTGGTTCTGAGAACACTGAAAGATATGGAAAGACCATAGAACCTGTTTCCACATTGGCCAGAATGGACTGACATTACATCTTTAAAGTTGGTCATAATCAGAATGTTTTTCACTGCTTCTAAATTGTATGCACTATTGGATAAAACTGGAACAGTACATGGCCAGGTGCGGTGGCTCATGCCTGTAATCCCAGCACTCTGGGAGGCCGAGGCGGGCGGATCACGAGGTCAGGAGATCGAGACCATCCTGGCTAACACGGTGAAACCCCGTTTCTACTAAAAATACAAAAAAAAATGAGCCGGGTGTGGTGGCGGGTGCCTGTAGTCCCAGCTACTTGGGAGGCTGAGGCAAAAGAATGGCGTGAACCCAGGAGGCAGAGCTTGCAGTGAGCAGAAATCACGCCACTGCACTCCAGCCTGGGTGACAGAGAGAGACTCTGTCTCAAAAAAAAAAAAAAAAAACTGTAACAGTACTGACTCCATGTTAGAGAAGAGCTTGTTTGCTTGAATACAGTTATTGCTTTTCCTGAGACTGTAGATTATTCATTAAAAACAGCCTCAGAAATACAGGACCTTCAGCAGACATAAAAGAAAAAACACTGACAAACAACTCTGGGAATGGGCTGAGTGGCTTGATAAGAATAGCCTGATGGTACCTGCAGAAGGTCATACAACACTGACCAAGAAAACAGTGATTGCCTGCCTGCCTGTCTGAGACTTCACATGTTTCATAAGAATGCTCTGATCAGCCAGGTACAGTGGTTCAGACTGGTATTCCTAGCACTTCAGGAAGCTGAGGTAGGAGGATTGCTGGAGGCCAGGAGGATGAAACCAGCCTGTGCAAAAAAGCGAGACCCTGCCTATACACAAACAAAAATAATAATAATAATTAATAATAATATTGGCCGGGCGTGGTGGCTCACACCTGTAATCCCAGCACTTTGGGAGGCCGAGGTGGGCGGATCACGAGGTCAGGAGATTGAGACCATCCTGGCTAACATGGTGAAACCCCGTCTCTACTAAAAATACAAAAAATTAGCCGGGCGTGGTGGCGGGCGCCTGTAGTCCCAGCTACTCAGGAGGCTGAGGCAGGAGAATGGCGTGAACCCGGGAGGCGGAGCTTGCAGTGAGCGGAGATCACGTCACTGTACTCCAGCCTGGGCGACAGAGCGAGACTCTGTCTCAAAAAAAAAATAATAATAATAATAATAATAATATTAGCTAGGTATGGTGGTGCATGCCTGTCATCTTATCTACTCAGGAGGATCACTTGAGTCCAGGAGGTCAAGGCTGCACTGAGCCAAGATAACATCACTGCACTCCAGCCTGGGTGACAAAGTGAGACCCTGTATCTAAAAAGAGAGAGAGAAAAAAAGCTAAGGCTATTTTCAGGTTAGGTCAGGCTTAGTAACAAAAACTTTTTGTGAAATGCTTCGATCATTGTTTGCCCTGCTCCTAATTTCCCTTAAAACCTCCCAGATCAGAGAGGTGGTCTTTGAAGATGAGTTCACAGCCTCCCTCGAGTTTTTGGCTTCCTGAATGTAGCTAACTTTCCCTTTCACCAACATTCGTCTCTAGACTTTTGGCTTTCAAGCAACAAGTGACCTAGATCTGGGTTTGGTTACAAATTTTGGCAAGCCCAGCCAGAAGCCGTGTGCTCTGGGCTGTTTGCACCCTGTCAGCTCCCAACAGACAAAGCAATTGGTCACAGCTTCATACCAGGACTAACTCATCCATATTGTTGGGAGGACTTCTTGGTTCCCAAGAGGTGGAGCAATTGATGGCGGCAGCAGGTCAGGGCTAACTCACTCACATTACCAGAGGTTAGCGGCAAATGCTCCGTGGCACTGGCTACTCATGGCAGAAGGGAACTGCAGAGACAGCCCCAAAGTCTGCCAAAGAGAGGCTGCCAAAACTCTTTCTACTTCAGGGAAACTTCCTCCTTTCCCCCATTCAGTACTGACTGCCTACCTTTGCTTTTAGTTGGTGAGAGGAAACTAGCTTTATTTTTTTTATTTTTATTTTTTTTGAGATGGAGTCTCGCTCTGTCGCCCAGGCTGGTGTGCAGTGGCGCAATCTCGGCTCACTGCAAGCTCTGCCTCCTGGGTTCATCCCATTCTCCTGCCTCAGCATCCTAGGAGTAGCTGGGACTACAGGCGCCCGCCACCATGCCCGGCTAATTTTTGTATTTTTAGTAGAGATGGGGTTTCACCTTGTTAGCCAGGATGGTCTCCATCTCCTGACCTCGTGATCCGCCCGCCTTGGCCTCCCAAAGTGCTGGGAAACTAGCTTTTTGGATGAGCTGATGAGCTGTACAACCAGGTAAGTCTACTGGGGTGCAAAGTAGTAGTCCACTTTCTTTACCATTTGGGCCTTTGGACCATTTGTGGTACCACTGGTAGAAGAAATGACTCATAGTGACTCCATACCAGTCTCTTCCTTTGTGAAAGCCTGGGTTGGAAAAGTGCTTCATTTGTTTTGGTTGTGTTTTGTTTGTGTCCACCATGGGAAGTTTTTTTCATCAATCCCCTCTCAGAGCCCGCTGTGGTTCATATTGGCTGACTGGTAAGCCTACAGTGATAACCCTACGACAAAAAAGATAATCTACTGCAATAAGGTGTGGCCAATGTACGTGATACATGAGGAAGATAGGTGGCCATTACATGGTTCTTTGAATTTACAGCTTGAACATTTCAATCTGAGATCAGGAAATTGGGACTGCATACCTTATATTCAAGCTTCTATGTTGGTACATAATAAGCATGCTTCCCAGAAAGGTTGCTGGCTGACGGTGCAAACAGGACCATATCAGGTAAAATCTCCTCACTCTCCATTACCTGAGGAGGAAGAGAAGGAGATAGGATAATCTTATCAACTATAAACCCTCCACAGGCAAATGATGCTGAGGCTTTGCAGGTGCCTGTCCCATTGCAGCCTGCTCTGGTGCCTGTGCAAGTTCCCATGGAGGCCCCAGCTGCAGTACCAGCACAGTACCCTGAGTTGCCCCATCTCTGCCCCCTCCACCAGAGGATTATCCAGATAATACAGACTTACAGGGTGTGGTGGCCCCTCCTCATTTTAAAGGTAGCCAAGAAATAGGCTCCCCTTTTAAGACCTGACAAGGCAACTAAATTTGACCAGAGCGTACACCCTCATGTGGCAGAACAATTTCTGTTATGCAAATTCCCCGCTGGAGGATTAAACGCACAGGGCCATACTCCTGGGCTATTTTGGTTATTCACCATTTTCTATCTTTGACTAAGTAAATTGAAAAATATTCAAGTCCATCCTATAGGGATGATCCATAGGAGATGACTGAAATATTCACCAGTATTTTTTCTACTCATCATTCCACAATAGCAGGTGTACAAGCATTATTAAATTTTATGATGAAAGGGGGTTATTTTTAGACAAGACTAATGATGGAGCCAGAAGGCTATACCAGCAAGACCCTGCTGGGTCCTCCAACACCCCAGAGGCAATTTCCTTAGTGAAACTCAAGTGAAACCTTAATAATGAGGTTATATCTTGACTGTAGGATTACTCCTAAGAAAGGGAGTACCTAAGCAGCAAAGCCTCAATAAAAAACATCCATGACCTCTGGTAGGAGGCCAATGAAAACCCAGCCGCTTGGTTGGAACAAGTGTATCAGGCTTACAGAAAATATTCAGATATTGATCCAGAGGCTCTGGAACATGTTTGGGTCATAAATATAACTTTCATCAGCCAAAGTGCTTCTGACATTAACAGAAAATTAGAAAAGCAGGAAGGGACTGTTGGAATGAACCCTTCCCAGTTTACAGATATTGCTTACAAAGACTTCAATGCTAGAGAAACAAGAAAAGCTAGACAGGCAACCATTTTTGTGGAGACTATTCAAAAAGGTGGAAGAATGAGGGGTGAAATAGAAAGGAATCCCTAGACAAGGACCAGTGTGCCTACAGTGGGGAAATCTGGACATGAGAAGTATGCCCCCCAAACCTACAGAGAAAAGATGGTAATAAAAAAGACAAGGGAGAGGAAAAGGGAAATATACGCCAAAGAAGGAGATGGTGGAGCAGGATTGTGACTCTGATGAAGACTGATTGGGCACAGGGACTCCGCCTGATTTAACAGAGCAACAATAATTTCCCTACAGGAGCCCTGGGTACAAGCGACAGTGGGGAACAAAATGACTGGCTTATTGGTTGATACTGTCGCAATGTTTCCAGCCAAGGCTGGAGTCACTGGGAAGTTACAACAGAGACTCTTTCTTAAGCCCTAAGAATGTAAATTGAGGGATATAAGATTGAGGTATAGCTTTCTGTATATGCCACATTGCCCTATTCCATTGTTGGGCCAAGATTTGTTATGTAAATTAAATGCCCACGTCACTTTTGCTCCTGAGAAACAACATCTAAGAATCCAGGTATCACCCAAACATGTCCTATGCCTACAGGCACTGGTGATTCAGCCAGAGAAAAGAACTCAAGAACCATTCCTGCTGGAAGTCTACAACAGAGGGAGTAGCACTGTTTGGGAAGACAGGGAACCTGAACTAGCAGTCAAAGCTCAGCCTGTGCACGTTGAATTTAAAAAGGCATTAATTCCACATAAAAACAACACTGCTTAAAAGGTAAAGAATTAGAAGTCATACAGGGGGATTACACAGGTTTCTAAAGCACAGACTTATTCAATCATGACAGTCTCAATACAATACCACTATCTTGCCAGTGAAGAAACCAAACTCCAATTAGTATCAATTTGTGCAAATTTGAGAGCTATTAATGACATCGTTCAAGATACCCACCCAATCGTGGCTAACCCATATACCCCACTTACAGCTACCCCAGGGGATTATGGCTAGTTCTCAGCATAGGAATTAAAGGATGCTTTTGTTCAGTGTCTACTAATTGAGGAGAAAGCCCAGTTGTTTTTGCACTTGAATGGCAAGATCTGGAGACTAGGGCAAACTTCCAAAACTGCTAGACTGTACTGCCCAAATATTTAAGTATTCCTTTACCATTTTTGAAAAAAATCTTACTAAAAGATTTGAGAAGCTTGCAATTAAACAGGGGAATACTATTACAATGCATGGGTAATTTACTCATTGCTAGCCCCACTTATGAAGACTGTTTATACCAGTTTTTGTTTGATTGTTTTGAAACAAGGTCTCACTCTGCCACCCATGCTAGAGTGCAGTGGTGTGATCATGGGTCACTGCAGCCTTGCCCTCCTAGGCTCAAGCGAGCTTCCCACCTTAGCCTCCCAAGTAGCTGGGACTGCATATGTGTGCCACTGCACATGGCTAATTTTTAAAATGTATTTGTTGTAGAGATGGAGTCTCACAGTGTTGTCCAGGCTGGCCTTGAACTTTTATGCTTAAGCGATCCTTCAACTGTGGCCTCCCAAAGTGTCTGGATTACAGGCGTGAGCCACCGCACCCGGCCAATACTAGTTTTAAACAGCCTGGTGGAATTGGATCATAAAGTATCTCTTTGCAAATATGCAAAGAGCAGGTAGTCTATTCAGGGGTTTGCCTGCAATAAGGTAGGCAGAGTCTGATGCCTGACAGGTAACAAGCAATAGCCACTATCAAGGCTCTCAAAAATCAGATAACTAAAAGGAGTCTTAGGTATAGTTGGCTTTTGTCACCTTTGATCCCTAATTTTGGTCTCCTAGTAAAGCACTTATCTGAGGCATTTAAAATGTCAGAGTCGGAACCTTTATATTAGACAGTGGAATGCCAACAGTCATTCAATAACATTAAAGAAAAACTAAGGAAATTCTTTATGGGCCCCCAAGATATTTACCCTAAGATAGTTACGTTGAATTTCACCCTGACCATGTAAATTGATGGCTTATCTTCACAGGCATGGAACAAGACACATAAGTCATCCCTCTTCTCACCTGAGACAAATGCATATCTGATTGCTCCCCCTGCCTGTTTATCTTATGTAAAAATGCAGATTCATTGAACTAGATGAATGTTTAAGTGACTGTTCCCCTACCCTCTTACATGTGAAGGCTAATCAAAGACTCAAAAAGAATGCAACTGCTTGCCTCGTATCTACCCATACCCTTTTAAAAATGTATCTTCTTCTTTCAATACCTGGCCTTTTCCCTTTAAATATTGGGATCCCAAGACCCTCTTTGGAAAAAGCATGAAACACAATGTTTCCTGTGGATCTACGTTCTTTCCTGGGCATGTCCTCAACCTCAGCAAATAAACCTAAAATGATCAGGACTCACCTTGGTCATTTTTCTTTAGTTTACATTTCCTAAGCTACAGACCTGTGCAGCACATGACTATACTGAATACTGTGGGCAACTTCAACATGATGGTATCTGTGTCTCCAAATGTCTCAACAAAGAAAAGGTACAGTAAACATATGGTTTGAAAGATAAAAGTGGTATGCCTCTAAAGGGCACTATAGCATTATAGTATTTACATGTCTTTGCCCAGGGTTCCTGGCTCATAACTTCTATGGCCCTCATTATAGTCTTGTTACAGTGCTGGGACACTTTAGGCTCAGAAAACAGACTCTCTGTCTCTGACTTTCTCCTGCCCTCCTTTCACCTGCCCAAGGCAGGACTCTGCACATTATAAGATCCTCATTCCAGAGAGGGTCCTGCCCATCCTTAGGAGGTGAGAATGCTGCACAGAGAGGCCAAGAAGAATCTGGATAAGCCTTGGTGGGTTATCCTATCTCATACAACTAGTGTTAGATCATCCCTTCTGGTCCAGTTGTATTTGTACATGGTTGTCAATCATGTCTACCCAATGATGTCTCCATTGAAGGCTCAAGAGGACAGGGCTCAGGGAGCTTCTGGAAAGCTGAACACGTGGAGGCTGACAAAACTCTTCCCTATGCCAGGAGGGTGGCACACCCCAACTCCACAGAAGCTCCTGGGTTAGGGACCCCTCCAGACTCACCCTATGTATCTCTTCAACTGGCTGTTTATTTGTATCATGTAAAATACCCTTTGTAATAAACCAGTAAACATAAGTGTTTCCCTGAGTTGTGTGAGCACTCTAGCAAATTAATCAAACACAAAGAAGAGGTCATAGGAACCCCAACTTGAAGCTGGTGGGTCAGATGTTCTAGAGACCTGGACTTGCTATCTTGGGAAGGAGGGGACAGTCTTGGGAGACTGAGCCTACAACCTGTGGGATCTGATGCTATCTCCAGGTAGGCGGTGTCACAATTGAACTGGAGGACACCTAGCTGGTGTCCCCTCCAGAACTGCTTGCTTGCTTGGTGTGTGGGGAGAAATTCCCCTGTATGTGGTCATAGAAGTCTTCCATGTTGATGGTTGCTGTGGTGTGAGAGCAGAAGAAAAACACATTGGAGGTGGTTTTTCCACACACAGGCACTTACTATGAATGGAGCTTGCAGGACTGGAAGTTGCTCTGGGTGAGTCAGGGAGTGTGTGTTGCATGCAGGTGAAAGCCTAGGACATTACTGCACACTGTTGTGGACTTTATAAACAGTGGACACTTAGGCTACACTAAATTTGTTAAAATATTGTTCTTTCTTCAGTAAATTAACCTTAGGTTTCTGTATCTCTTTCACTTTATAAACCTTTTAATTTTTTAAACTTTTTGACTCTTGTAATAACGCTTAGTTTAAAACACAACTGTAAAGCTTTTCTTTATAAGCTTTTTTCTATTTAAAAAAAATTTTTTTTAGTTTTTAAACTTTTCTGTTAAAAATTAAGACACAAACACACACATTAGCTCAGGCCTAAACAGGGTCAGGATCATCAATATCACTGTCTTCCACGTGTTGTCCCACTGGAAGGTCTTCAGGGGCAGTAACACGTATGAAGCTGCCGCGTCTTATGATAACAATGCTTCCTTCTGGGATATTTCCTGAAGGATCTTGGCTGAATCTGCTTTTCAGTCAGCTTCGTTTTTGGAAAGCAGAGGCCGGGCATGGTGGCTCACACCTGTAATCCCCGTACTTTGGGAGGACAAGGTAGAAGGATCACATATAGCCAGGAGTTCAAGATCAGTTTAGACAACAGAGCAAGAACCTGTCTCTACAAAAAGTAAAGATAAAAAAAATTAGTTGGGTGTGATAGTGTGCATCTGTTGTCCAGCTACTTGGGGGACTGAAGTGAGAGGATGGCGTGAGCCCAGTTCAACACTTTAGTGAGCTATGATTATGCTGCTGCAGTCCAGCCTGGGCAACAGAGCAAGACTCTGTCTCAAAAACAAAACAAAACTAGAAAGAGTACACTCTAAAATAATAATAAAAGTATTGTAAACACATAAACCAGTAACAGTCATTTATGATCATTATCAAGTATTGTGTACCGTATGTAACTCTCCAAGCTATACTCTTATACACTGGCAACTCAGGTTTGCTTATACAAGGACCACCACAAACATGTGAGTCATGCGTTGTGCTACCATGTTATGATAGTTACTATGCCACTAGGTCACAGAAATTGCTCAGCTCTGTTATAATCTATGGAACCACCTTCCTGTATGCAGTCTGTTGTTGGCTGAAATATCGTTATGCAGCCCGTGACTGTGCATTGGCATTTGTCCACTTGGCCTTCAGCCTAGCTTTGTACTTTGTCTTTGACATTTTGGTTTCCACTGCAATTTACTTCAGGCTTGGACTCCTTGAGGATCTCTCCAAACCTGCCATGGTCTGTTTCTTGCCACCAGTCCCTAGCTGCACATTCTTAGGGCAGCTGCCCCAGCTTAGTCTGATTTATGGGGCCCCTTATCTCGTAACTTTTAGAATCTTGACCAAGTCAGGCTACCCGGCAGGAGGAAATGTCAAAGGCAGAGGCAAAAGTGGCCCTCTCACTTTATCTGTATCTCCAGGGTCTTCCTTTGCATGGTCTCCTTTCCTTCCACCCTCAAGTCCATTCCTCTCCTGTTTCTCTCCGCCCCTCCAGGTTTCCTCCTTTAACCACATCACCTAGAGTCATCTTCACCGTGCAAAGTGGTTTTGTTCAAACTAATGTATTAACACTCAACTCAGTGCAGTTGCCCTTTGAATGATCACACCCAGGAGACTTTTTTCTAATTAGTGTTCACCTTGACTGTACTATATTTCAGTGTTGATCATTTTGTCCTTTGGCTCAGATAGCTGTAAACTGCCTTCTATTTCACTGATTCATCATTCTCTCATCTTCCTTTCCCATCTTCAAATGTGGACATTTCTTAAAGGTCATTCTCTCTTCCTCATTTTTTTTCAAAAACTTTTAAGAAAATATACATAATAAAATGTACCTTAACCCTGTTCAAATGTACACTTCATTCATGTTGGACATACTCGCATTGTTGTGCGACCAGTCTCCAGAACTTTTCCTCTTGCAAAACTGAAATTCTTACACCCGTAAAACAACTCCCTATTTGCCCTTCCCCCAGCCCCTGACAATCACTCTTCTACTTTCTGTCTCTATGAATCTGACTACTCTAGCAACCTCATGTAAGTAGAATAATACAGTATTTGTCTTTTGACTGGCTTTTTCACTGAGTATAATGTGATGGTTAATTTTATGTGTCAACTTGGCTGAGCCACCGTAC
This sequence comes from Homo sapiens, assembly GCF_000001405.40. NCBI lineage: Eukaryota > Metazoa > Chordata > Mammalia > Primates > Hominidae > Homo > Homo sapiens. The sequence continues at coordinate 9,454,628 of NC_000012.12, read as the reverse complement.
CCATACATTTGGCCAACATTATTCTGGGTGTTTCTGTGAAGGTGTTTTTTGGATGAGATTAACAATTAAATCAATGGACTCTAAGTAAAGCAGATTACCCTCCATAATGTGGGTGGACCTCATTCAATTAGGTGAAGACCTTACTAGAGCAAAGACTGACTTCCCCTGAACAAGGAGTTGTGCCAGCAGACTGCCTTTGGCCTTGAACCATAACTCTTCCCTAGGTCTCCAGCCTGCCAGTCAATACAATCAGATTTTCACTCACCAGTCCTCTACAACTGCATGAGCTAATTCTTTAAGCTTCTTTTTCGCTGTGTAGATAGACACACACACACACACCCACACACACACACACACACCCTGCTGGTTGTTTCTCTGGAGAACCCTAATACAAATAATAGCCTCAGGGCTCATCCATGTCATAGCATGTGTCAGAACTTCCTTCCAAGACTGAATCATATTCCATTGTATGTATATACCACACTTTATCCACTCATCTGTCAATAGACACTTGGGTTGCTTCTACCTTTTGGCTGTTGCGAATAATGCTGTTATAAACACAGGTGTGCAAAAATGTCTTCAAGACACTGCTTTTACTTCTGTTGTTTACAAACCCAGATGTGAAATTGTTGGATCATATGGTAATTCTATTTTTAATTTTTTTCCATAGCGGCTACACCATTTTACATTCCCACCAGCCATGTACAAATTTCTAATTTCTCTATATCCTTGCCATCATTTATTTTTTGTTTTGCTCCTTTTGGGTTGAGGTTTTTTCTTTCTTCTTTTTTTTTGAGACAGGGTCTTGCTCTGTCACCCAGGCTGGAGTGCAGTGGTGCAATTATAGCTCACTACAGCCTTGAACTCCTGGGCTCACACAATCCTCCTACCTCAGCCTCTTGGGTAGCTGGGACTACAGGTGTGTGCCACGATTACCCCCTAATATTTTTTTAAATTTTTTGCAGAGATCTGGTCTCACTATGTTACACAGGATGGTCTTGAACACCTGCCCTCAAGTTATCCTCTCGCTTCAGCTTCCCAAAGTGCTGGAATTGCAAGTATAAGCCACTGTGCCTGGCTGTGTGTGTGTGTGTGTGTGTGTGTGTGTGTGTGTGCAATAGTAGCCATCCCAGTGGATTGCAGTGGTACCTCATCGTGGCTTTGAGTTGCATTTTCCCAGTGACTGGGATGTCGAGCATCTTTTCATGTGCCTGTGGGCCATTTGCACATCTTTTTTTGGAGAAATATCTATTTAAGTATTTTGCCCATTTTTTTAATCAGATTGTTTTCATGTTGCTGAGATACAGAAGTTCTTTATATATTCTGGTTATTAACCCCTTATCAGATAGATGATTTACAAATACTTGCTCCCATTCTGTAGGCTGCCTTTTCACTCTGTTGATCCTGTCCTTCAATGCACAGAAGTTGTAACTTTTGTTGTTGTCCAATTCATCTATTTTTATGTTATTTTACAAATCCCTCAACTCATCATCAATTTTTTTGTTGCCTGTGCTTTTTGGTGTCATAGCCAAGGAATCATTGCCAAATGCAATGTCATAAAGCTTTTCCCCTCTGTTTTCTTCTACCAGTTTTATAGTTTTATAGCTTTTAACTTTAATTTTTAACTTCATTTTAACTTTAGAAAATCCATCTTAAGTTAATTTGGATATATTGTATAAGACAAGGATCCTACTTCATTCTTTTATATGTGGATACCTCCTTCTTTTTGGAAACTTTTCCTTTCAGTAATCTTACTACCTCCACAGCTTTAGTTTAGATGTTTTTTGTTGTTGTTGTTGTTTCCCAGGGGTGATCAAATCCATATATCCAGCTTTTACCACCTTCCTCAGTTCTAGTCCCCCCATTTTCAAACACCACTGAAAATTTAGTTTGACTAAGTACATCAACCTATTATGTGAAGAAACAACATGTCCCACCCCCACTACGGTGTGGCTTAATGAGCTAAAGTAACATATCAAGATAGACATAATAATCCAAGAAACTGGGGTTCAGAGAAGTAAATATTATTAGGGTGCATCTTGCGCTGTTCCACAGTGAGGCATATAGGGTTTTGGGGACAGAACAATCTAGTCTCTAATAATGTTTTCTCTTATAGCACAGGCACATTTCATGAGCCTTTCCCACTACCTAGGTGTTCCAGTTTGGATGTGGTTTGTTTGGCCTAAGTCTCATGTTGAAATCTGATTTCCAGTGTTGGAGGTGGCGTCTGGTGGGCAATGTTTGGACCATGGGGGTACATCCCTCATGAAAGGCTTGCTGCCCTTATGGCAGAAGTGACTCAGTTCTCACTCTTAGTTCCCGAGAGAATTGCTTGTTGAAAACAAACTTGTACCTCCTACATGCTCTCCTTCTAGAAGAGGATCTAAGGAAATTTATAATAAAAGCAGAGGAACGCTGAAACCAAACCCAATTCATATCAGTAATAGCTACCATTTGTTAAGCTTCCACAATGACATGTAAGATGTTAAGCCCTTTATGTTACCAGGATTATCTCACTTATCTCATAAGAATTCTAGAACATAGGTCCTATTATTATCTTTATTTTATTCGTGAGAAAAGCAGAGACTCAGAAGGCTTAAGTCATAGGCCAAGGTCATTCAGCCAGTTGAATGGTGGAGTGGGGAATATCTGGATCCAGGCAGTCAGACTTTTTTTTTTTTTTTTTTTTTTGAGACGGAGTCTCGCTCTGTCGCCCAGGCTGGAGTGCAGTGCCGTGATCTCGGCTCACTGCAAGCTCCGCCTCCCAGGTTCACGCCATTCTCCTGCCTCAGCCTCCCAAGTAGGTGAGACTACAGGCACCCACCACCACGCCCGGCTAATTTTTTTTTTTTTGTATTTTTAGTAGAGACGGGGTTTCACCGTGTTAGCCAGGATGGTCTCGATCTCCCGACCTCGTGATCTGCCCACCAGGCAGTCAGACTTTATTAGAAAATGCACTTAAAATTAGCAAGAAGGAATGAGAACAACAACAACAAAATTAAAAAATGCTTGCCGAAGAAAACTAAAACAATGTACAATATTTAGCCCTGAGATCACTAGCAGTGAAGGCAAAGAAGAATGCATAATGGGTTTCTATAGCTCTTACTGTCCGGTTATAGAAAATATTTCTACATTAGTACAAGCACTTTTCTTCCTAAGCCCTGAGTTTTGAGAGTTTATCAAGAAGGCCTCTGAGTTCATTCAATTAATGGCATCATCTAAGGCTGTTTAATAACAAATGCAGAGGTAGTCCACATAAGGAACTTTTGCCTTTACCTTTGAGACAAAGCCCAGGGCCTCACGTTAGGAGTACAGCTCTCTAAATATAAGCCTCCAGGGCAGAAGCGAGGGGAGGATGGAGGGACACAATGCAGATTTACAGCCTGGTGGGTACGGCCTTTGTCCTCTCCATGTCTATTGTCACTCTTGAGGTCTAAGCCTCTACTGCACTGCTTGGTTTACTGCACAACCCAACTTGGCTGCTTGCTTCTGGTCTCTCCAAACCATCCTTCACACTGCTTCCAGCTTACTATTTCCAAGACACTGCATTTGCAAATCCACTCCTCTGTTTAAAAATGTTTCAGTGACTTGCAACTTGTCTACAGTGTGAAGTATAAATTTATTAGCTTGTTGTTTAAAGCCTTCTACAACCAGACCCCGACCGACCTTCACGTCCTATTGAGAGGTGACAGCCTGCTGGCAGCCCTCGCAACCCTGGCTCGCTCTTGGCGCCTCCTCGGCCTTGGCACCCACTCTGGCCGCGCTTGAGGAGCCCCTCAGCCCGCAGCTGCACTGTAGGAGCCCCTTTCTGGGCTGGCCAAGGCCGGAGCCAGCTCCCTCAGCTTGCAGGGAGGTGTGGAGGGAGAGGCGCAGGCGGGAACCGGGGCTGCGCTCGGCGCTTGCGGGCCAGCGCGAGTTCCCGGTGGGCGTGGGCTCGGCGGGCCCCGCACTCGGAGCGGCCGGCCCGCCAGCCCGGGGCAGTGAGGGGTTTAGTACCTGGGCCAGCAGCTGCCGTGCTCCATTTCTCGCCGGGCCTTAGCTGCCTCCCCGCGGGGCAGGGCTCGGGACCTGCAGCCCACCATGACTGAGCAGCCCGCCATGACTGAGCCGCCCGCCGGCGCCCCAGCCATGGGCTCCTACGCGGCCGGAGCCTGCCCGACGAGCGCCGCCCCCTAATCCGCGGTGCCCAGTCCCATCAACCCCCAAAGGGCTGAGGAGTGCCGGTGCACAGCGCGGGATTGGCAGGCAGCTCCACCTGCTGCCCCCTGCCGCATCCACTTGGTGAAGCCAGCTGAGTTCCTAAGTCTAGTGGGGACCTGGAGAACCTTTATGTCTAGCTAAGGGATTGTAAATACACCAATCGGCACTCTGTATCTAGTTCAAGGTTTGCAAACACACCAATCAGCACCCTGTGTCTAGCTCAGGGTTTGTGAATGAACCAATTGGCACTCAGTATCTAGTTAATCTGGTGGGGACTTGGAGAACCTTTGTCTAGCTAAGGGATTGTGAATGCACCAATCGGCACTCTGTATCTAGCTCAAAGTTTGTAAATGCACCAATCAGCACTCTGTGTCTAGCTCACGGTTTGTAAATACACCAATCGACACTCTGTATCTAGCTAATCTAGCGGTGACCTGGAGAACTTTTGTGTCTAGCTCAGGGATTATAAACGCACCAATCAGCACCCCGTCAAAACGGATCAATCAGCACTCTGTAAAACAGACCAATCAGCTCTCTGTAAAATGGACCAATCAGCTCTCTGTAAAATGGACCAATCAGCAGGATGTGGGTTGGGCCAGAGAAGAGAATAAACACAGGCTGCCCTAAGCCAGCAACAGTAACTCACTGGGATTGTCTTACCAGAGTATAGAAGCTTTGTTCTTTTTGTTTTTTAGGTCTGCACTGCCTTTACGAGCTGTAACACTCACTGTAAATGTCTGCAGCTTCACTCCTGAAGCTAGTGAGAGCACGAACCCACCGGGGTGAACGAGCAACTCCAGTACACGCCGTCTTAAAAGCTGTAACACTCAGGCGAAGGTCTGCAGCTTCACTCCTGAGCCAGCAAGACCACAAACCCACCAGAAGGAAAAAACTCCGAACCTATTGGAACATCCGAGGGAACAAACTCCAGACACACCGCCTTTATAAAACTAACACCGTGAGGGTCTGTAGCTTCTGTCTTGCGTTAGTGAGACCAAGAACTCATCAATTCTGGACACACTATCAACTTTCTGTTTCTCCAAGGGTGCTTCTTAAACTGGATGATTCACACCCTAGGAGTGTGTGTGTAGAATGGGGTTTGAAGCAGTAGGGTAAAAAACCTAGCGTACCTTCTATTCCAGAGGTGTCAATTTACCAGACAACAGTTATTTTAAAAATTTTTTATGCAAAAACATGTTATAGGGTGGAATGCAACATTTTTATGAGTTTGTGGGCCATTTGTATACATCTTTGGAGAAATGGCTATTTAAATACTCTGCCCATTAATTCTAAACTTAAAACTACGACTCCAAAGACCCTCTAAGGATTTTGCTGGGCCACATCCCAAGACCCTGAAGGGTATTACTCGCCCTCTCCAAACTGCCGAAGTCGGAAGCAGGTGACAAAAAAGCTGACCCTGGAATCACCTTTCGCAAATTTCCCACCTCCAAGCTTTTCGATAGTTTGTAACACTGGCTCCTCTCCCCAAAAGCCTTCCCTTCAAGTCCCAGCGACTCTCCCTGACCCTGCTGGGAAGGCGCACCAATTACCTGTCATTCCAGGAAAGCTCATAGCATAAGATGATCCCATTGGTCATCTCCCAGAACCAGACTTTCTGAAAAGTCCTTAAGGACCAGCTAGTCCAATCCCTCACTGAATAAAGGAGAAGCAAAGTCTAGGGAGGTGAGGTGATTCGTTGTCCTCCTAATTAGCAGGTGAGCTCCTGGCAGGGCTGGGGTTTCATCTTCTGGGCTCTCTGCAAGGTCGTGCCCGGCACGGGCCAGGAACAATTTCATAAACTCGTCATCTAGACGGCCTTTGACTGACACCATCTCTCCGTGTGGAGGAGCCGCTGGGGTGCGCGGGGCAGGTGTCGTCCGTTTCAGAAGTAAAATAACCCAGCTGCAGATCTCCAGAGGCCGACTAGAGCCGGGGTCAGAAAACAGGTTTTCCCTCTCGGGGACAGTGCCCAGGGGACGGGCATTAGAACATCGGCTGATGTTTCATCTGGTCAGGGAACCATCCAGGGATTAGTACACCTGGCGCTAATCGGCGGGGATTAATCTCACACCCCGCAGCTGGCGGAAAGCAGCGGGAGGAGGCACCTAGCCCTGGGGTTGAGATCCAAGTTCCTGCGCGCGCAAACCACGCCCCTGTGGATTCTGGCTGCTGCGTGTTCGCGCGCGTCCCGGAGTGCGCATGCGCAGCGGCGGGGGTTGTTCCGGCAGCCTTTCACTGAGGGGACCCGCCAGTTTCAAATTCAGTGGCGTTTGCCCTGATTCCCGGGGCCTGGCTTTCAGCGTAGCAATTCTGCCGGCGAAGAAGGTGAGCGCAGTGCTGTGTGGCAGCAGAGGTCCTTAGGACGAGGAGCAGCGGGACGAGGAAGGGCAGACTGGTGAAATCGCAAACTGGGCGTCTGTTCCGGCGCCGGACCCCTGTTTGCAAAGGTGGGTGGCCCGTCCGGAGCGGGAAAACATTCCGGAGGTGGAGGGCTGGGCCAGCGTGATTGACAAGCGGGAACCCCTGTGTGGGGACGGGGCAGGCCTAGGAAGGTTGTGCCTGCGGTGGAACGGCGCGGTGCGCAGGAGTGGGCATTAACAGCAGCCGCGTGTCTGGGTCTTAGATTTGGCCTAGCTGTGTTGAGCTTTTCATGGATTATGTTACGTAGATAAGACACTGCAACAGTGAGTGAGCGCTTGTAACCCACCTGTCTCTTACAGAAACTGAGCCCCAGCGATACTAACTTTAGCAAGGATACAGCTGGGATCCTAAACTTGGCGATCAGAGCCCAGAGCCGATAAAGTTAGCTGCGTGAGTCTAGCTTCCCCCAGGGCGGGAATCGAGGCGGAGCAGGGTACAGTACGGAGGCCAGGGATGAGTGCAGTTGACCAGATTGTTGACGGAAGTGTCATAAAAGTGGACTTAAATGTTGATAAGCAGCTGGTTGGGTTCCACACAGGGTGCGAGCTCAGGATGCACGTTGGAGGGGACACAGGGCCAGAGCAAGGTGGGAATGCGGGTATTATGGGCCAGGCCATCCTCCAGCTGGTGGAGCACCGCAGCACTGCAGTATGTGGCCCTGGCTTAACAGCAGTGCGGAAAAGCTTTTCTCTTGGGGCTGTGGTGCTTTCCAGGTGTGTGAAGTTAAAACATTTTAGGGCCATACGGTAGGTAGCACCTGCCACATAGTTGTCTTGGTCAGCCCCGGCTGTCATGACAAAATACCATAAACTGGGTGGCTTAGACACAGAAATGTGTTTTCTCACAGTCCCAGAGGCTTGGGATGTCCAGGATCAATGTGGGGAGGACACAACTGAGCCCACAACAATAGTCTGTACTCGGTAATGAGTGATAATTGGGGACTGAAGAAAATGAACACGTTAAGAACTAATATGTTCCTGAAGTGCTTTCACAACTCTAACCTCGTTTTATGAGCATGAGCTTTGCTGTCCTGGTGTGTGCCTTGGCACTGGGAGGTGATGGTTGTCCTCCACACAGCCAACCTGAAGAGGGCTGAACAAGTCACTGCAAATGTTTTTAATAGGGCTTAGTGAATCCGTTATACTCAGATTTATCTAAACCTCTATGATTTAGCCTGTGCTGCTTCTGGAATAATGAGATCCATAATTACCACTGATGGGGAAGTGAGATAATACTTAACATTTCTTCTGTATTGTTTAGTGTTGTCATTCTAGAGTTTGGTCACCAAATCTGTCTTTTTTATCCCACTTACCCTGGTGGGAGGAAAAGTGAGGAGATAGAAAGTTTCAGGTGGCTTGGGGGTCTGGCAGATGTGGTTCAAATCCTGAGTTCAAGCACTTGCTGAGTGACCTTGGGCAAGTCATATAAGTTTACTGAGTCTCAGTTTCTTTCTCTATAAAATAGAGCTTATAAAAATACCACACAGGGTTTTTGTGGGGTTATCTGAAAACGGTTTGAAACCATTAAAGAACTGGCCATTTAACTAATAGGTATTCAAGTCATGGGACCTCCGTTACCCAGCCTCGGAAGAGAAACCTTTACTTACAGCCCCGATGTCTGGCTGGCTCCTCATTCATTCATCAGATTTTTGTTGAATGCCTATGAGGTGTTGAAGCACCTAGTTCTGAGTCCTGGAGCCAGAGAAGAGCAAGACAGACAAGGTTCCTCTATTTATGGAATGTATATTCCAGTGAGGAAGAATAAATAGGTTCAGATGGTGCTAAGAGCTATGAATAAATTAAATACAGAGTAATGTGATTTTTAAAAAGTGACTTAGAGCAAGCTAGGGGGTGAGGAGTGGGGGTGGTGTTTGACCACTGTCCAGCGGCCAGACAGCCGGAGAGGCTTCTCTGAGGAGGTGAGCCAAAGCCTGGATATTGAGGAGGACTCCTTCTCCAGGCCAAGGGGAGCAGCAAGTGCAAGGCCCGAGCTGAGTAGATGAGGCTGGGAGCCAGACCAGTCTCAGGCTGACCAGTGCTCTGTCTTGAGAGGAGCTGCTGGTCAGCTTTTTGTCTTGGGATTCAGAACGAGGAGACATGAAGACTTTTTACTTGGCAGTGGGAGCTGAAGCTGAAAGGTCCAGGGGCTGATGAGGCCACGTGTAAGCGAAAGTTTGGGATAAGCAGAAACCGAGTGCGCTGAGGGAGTGAGATTGTGGCTGTATCCGGCGCCTGGCTGAGCAGGAGAGTGAACCCCGTGGGTGTGTGTTTGCTGGTGACGTTCCTGGAGCTGTCTTGAAGTCCGAGCTGCCTTGCAGCTCTAGTCTGCTTCTGTTTTTGGCTTTCCCAGATAGTTTCAATTCTTACTCTCAGTTTGTGAACCTCCCTTCAGTGAACCTCCCTTTACTTATGCTGGATATCTCTTGCGACTGGATGAGCTTCACTAAAGCACAGTCATTTGGACCTGGATTCGAATCCCTGGTTTTCCACTTTTTAGCTGTGAGTTTGAGCAATTATTTAATTTCTGTAAGCATCAGTATCCAGTAGCTGTATCCTTATAGTGTTGTACAGATTAAATGAGATAATAAAAGCAAAAGACCACTGTAGAGTGTTTAACACATAGGAGGTACTCAAAAATTTGTTAGGTACCTTTCCTCCCCTTTCCTTCATGTGTTAAAGCTTTTTCAGTACATACCCCTCTCTCAGGATTGAATTGTAAGTCATATTTTTTAATTACCCTTCTTGTAATAATTCCTCTACCTCTGTAGTCATGTTTTTCTTTTTTCATTTTTTCTTGTCCCCAGAATGTCTAACAAAACAGCCAAATACACCTCTGTAAAGACAGAGGGTAAAATAATGCTAGTTCTGTGAGTTCTCTTCTTGTGCAAATCCATAAACTGCCACCAATCTGTAGTCATTTTAATTGCTCCTAAACCGAAGAGCATCATGGCAACTACCTTTCCCCTCGTAGAGTGACACTATCACTAGTCTTATTGAGGCCAAAGTTATAAAGATGGGCTCTCGATCTACTAATATTAGTAAAATGGGTTTGGGACTTACTAACATTTGTGCTTAGAAGAGACAGACCTGGCAAAGAGCTTGGAGAAGTGAGTTCCAAAGAGAGAGGTGTGGGAACCAGGATGGAAGAGTCAGGCCTCCAGATAGCGTTTACTTCTCCTTTCTTCCTTGAATCACTGTCTCACAGATAATTAGGTTCAGAAGAGGAGAAAAAAAAAGATGACGTCAACATGGAGCAGAGTTTTTCTTAGACCTTAGCCTAGCAAGGAAAGAGAAATGCCTGGTCTCAGTGCTGGGAAGCTGTTCCAGCCAGAGCCCCGTGGCTGTGAAGAGAGCTCTCCTGTCTGGAGCCAAACAGAAAGCTCATAGGTCTTGAGGCCAGAAAAGTTAGTAGGTGGCGGCTCTGGTCGGTGCTGGAAATGGAGGCCAGGATGAACTAAGAAGCAAACTAAAGATACTTGTAAGATAAGGACGTGTAGGCTGGGTGCGGTGGCTCACGCCTGTAATCCCAGCACTTCGGGAGGCCAAGGCGGGCGGATCACGAGGTCAGGAGATCGAGACCATCCTGGCTAACACGGTGAAACCCCGTCTCTACCAAAAAAAAAAAAAAAAATTAGCCGGCCGTGGTGGCGGGCGCCTGTAGTCCCAGCTACTTGGGAGGCTGAGGCAGGAGAATGGTGTGAACCCGGGAGGCGAGCTTGCAGTGAGCCGAGATCGCGCCACTGCACTCCAGCCTGGGTGACAGAGTGAGACTCTGTCTGGGAAAAAAAAAAAAAAAAAAAAAAGATAAGGACGTGTATGTTAACTTGCGCTATCCAAACAAGCTGTGCTTATGGTCCTCTGCCTGTGCGTCATGATTTTCCAGGACTTCACAACGGGATAAAGTGAAGTAGCTTCGGCTTGTGAATGTGCATTGCAGAGACGTGGGAGAAGAAAGCTGCAAAAGTCATTATGAGCAACACCCTTGATCTTAGGGGTGCTGGTCTTTGAGAAGAGAGCTCTAAGCCTTTTGTAGAGGCATTAGAAAGGTATCGGCGCCACGGTGAAATGCAGGGGAGATTGGGTTTAGGGGCTTTCCTGGTCTGCATTCTGCTACAGCCGTTAAATGCCGCTAGATGGAGTGCGTGATTCTGGTATGGCCTCATGTGGACCTGCGAAGGATGGAGAGAACATGGTCTCTGCTTCCCAGAAAAAAAGGAGAAATTTGGTAACAAGTGTGGAGACTGCTCTTAAATAATGCTCCAGATTTCAAGCCACTTCTTCCTGGACCATGAGAGAGCTCCCTAATGTTGTATTTATTTTTCCTAGGTCCATGGCTAATGAAACACAGAAGGTTGGTGCCATCCATTTTCCTTTTCCCTTCACACCCTATTCCATCCAGGAAGACTTCATGGCAGAGCTGTACCGGGTTTTGGAGGCTGGCAAGATTGGGATATTTGAGAGTCCAACTGGCACTGTGAGTATGAACAGTGAGAGATACTGAAAAGGACAACTTTACGGCAGCTGTGCTAGCTTTTCCTGTTTGCCCATCCAGAGATTTTCATAGTTTGAAGTTGGGCAGAGTAGTCTCTCTCAGTTTATCTTTCTGAGTAATACTCACTTCCTCTATTAAAGTCTTTTTTTTGCCCAGGCCGGAGTGCAGTGGGACGATCTCGGCTCACTGCAAGCTCCGCCTCCCGGGTTCACGTCATTCTCCTGCCTCAGCCTCCTGAGTTGCTGGGACTACAGGTGCCCGCCGCCACGCCCGGCTAATTTTTTGTAGTTTTAATAGAGACAGGGTTTCACCGTGTTAGCCAGGATGATCTCAGTCTCCTGACCTCGTGATCCGCCCATTTCGGCCTCCCAAAGTGCTAGGATTACAGGCATGAGCCACCGTGCCGGCCTAAAGTCTTAAACATAGCTCTGTGGTCTGAGAAAAATTAGGCTGAAGTCATTGGTGCCTACCTATTACGGTAGATGAGATGGCTTTCTTACCAACTCTTTTCCCTCCGGTTCCCCATCCTTCAAATATAATTCTAAGTTTTAGTCTCTGCTGAGTGAACCAGTGCGTTATGATTATGTTTTGAACATAATTTTGTCTTGAACAATATGTCTTAATATTCTGTTTTTTCTAGTTAATAATTGCCCTTTTAAAGTTAGTTTAGTTTTTAATATACCTATGCCAGTTCCTCCCACATCATCCAGTGGCCTCTCAATATGATTTTCCATACAGATAACTCCTGTCTTAGTCGGCCAGGACTGCCATAGTAAAATACCATAGACTGGGTGACTTAACAGGAATTTATTTTCTCACCATTCTGGAGGCTGGAAAGTTGAAGATCCAGATTCTGGCAGGGTTCTGGTTCTGGGGAGGGGGTCTCTTCCTGGCTTGCAGATGGCTGCGTTCTTATTGTGGAGCAAGAAAAGAGGAGGAGGAGAAAAACAAATCTTTGGTGTCTCTTTCTCTTTTATGAGGACAAGGGCTGCTCCCTTATGGCTGCTCCTTTATGACCTCCTTTACCCTTGAAGGCCAGATCTGTAGTACAGTCACATGGCAGGGTTAGGATTTCAACATATGTTTGTTTGTTAAGATGGGCAGTCTCACTGTGTGGCCCAGGCTGGTCTCAAACTCAAGCGATCCTCCCCTCTCAGCCTCCCAAGTACCTGGTGGCTGGCAAGATCCAAGATTACTGGTGCACACCACCATACACAGCTTCTTTTGTTTTGTTTTTGTTCTTTAAAAACATTTTTTTAACATGCATTTTGGTGGGGATACAATTCAGTCCACAGCAGTGACCAATTCCATTTTTACCTTGGAGCCCTCCTGGAATACTCCATCCTTTCCCTGTCATTTGAATTAGTTGCTCCTCAGACTGACTTGACAGATTTCAGCATGAGTGTTAGTGGGGACAGACGGCCGCACCCACACCACATCAGGGTATATGTCCGTTTGGAGGCTTTCCTCAAACGTCTGGCAGCCCTGGACTGCCTGTGTATGCTGAAGAAGAGGGCACAGAAAGGCTGAGTCTGCAGGGCAGGCTGGCTGTGGCTGCCAGGCTGGGCTCCTTTGTTGGGGGCCTCCAGTTGCCAGCACATCTGTGGGATTTTCCCTAGAGTCTTCGGTCTCTCCAGAGCAGGTGCCTCTGAGCTCTGGCCCAGCAGGTACAGACGCTGAAGCCCAATAGCCGGTCTTCCGGGAGGTGGTCTGGGGAAGGGGATCCAGGTGGAGAGTCCCCCTCAGTGCCTGCTTTCAGCCTGACCCTCCTCTCCCTCCCTCTTGCCTCCTCAATCTGCCAGTTGCCTCCAGGGTTCTCCTAGCTCAGCTTCCACTTAGAGCCCACTTCCTGTCTTCTGCAAGGAGCAGGAGCAGGGATTGCAACCTGGGAATCTAATTGTTCTTAAACAGAATTTCAACCCGTCCCTTTGTTTTCAGTGGCCTGCTGTGTTCCTACCACTTCCTGAGTCTTTCTGAGAATGAGTGGGGGAGATCTCTGGGGACACTTGGGCTTGAGTGTCTCTGCCGAATCACTTCCATGTCTCTGCCTTCTTTCCCTCTCTCCTAAAACATATTACTCCTTCCACTTTCTTTGTTTTTGTGGGTGTAAGCCTCCATATTACTTTGGTTAATTTTAGTGTGCTTTGGAACACAGATGAGTGCATGTTCATTCTGCCTTGTTTAATTTTAGAGACAGGGTGTCGCTCTGTTGCCCAGGGCCGAGTGCAGTGTTAAGATCATGGTTCACTGCAGCCTCGACCTTCTGGCATCAAGTGATCTTCCCACGTCAGCCTCCTGAGCAGCTGGGACTACAGGTGTGCGCCATCACACCTAGCTAATTTTTTAATTTGTAGAAATGAGATCTCACTATGCTGCTCAGGCTGGTGGTCTTAGACCCCTAGGCTCAAGCAATCCTCCCTCCTTGGCCTCCCATAGTGCTGAGATGACAGGCGTGAGCCACTGTACCTGACCCCTTTTACCTTGTTTAGCCTGACAACCCATCTTCTGCCTCTCAGGTCTTTCCATCTCAGTCTTCTGCACTCCAGGCTTCTGCATCTTCCTCCTATGCTCAGCCTTTAATTGTCGATGTTTCTGGTTCTATAGCTTCATCTTCTTGTGTGCACTCTCTGTGAATGTACCCTGTGGCTTTATTACCTTTGACATTCTTCTGTCTTCTAAATCATCTCCTGAATAGAGTGTTTTCTCCTGTCCTGGGTGTCCCCCAGCCCATAGGAGCAGCCATGCTGTGGGACACCCTGAGTGGGGTCTGTGTTACCTGTTGTGCCTACCATGCCCTTCCCCGCCTTGGATGCACAGGTGCCCCACCTTAGCTGCCCGAGATGCTGTTTATCCTTGATAGTCACCTTTTAAGCCTTATACAGGTCTATCAAGTTGAGTCACCATTACCACTTGGTGTGTGCTGTGCCTTGTGTAACACTGCAGTTCCGGGAGTCCTCCAACCTGGAATGCATGCTTTGCGGGGATCTATGATGCCCTCGAATTGTATGTTACATGTGAACTTGTGAGCATTTTCTAGGGGCTCTGCACCTTTGTGTTCTCAGCTCTGAGCCCCATGCTTGCTGCAACCAGCAGGTGTTCAGAGTGAATGAATTTGCTTATCTTGGCATAAATCATGTAACTGTTGATGATACCCCAGGAAGGTGAGCCTTTGGTTATAAATCCTTTTAACATTTTCCAGTCTAAAAGTTTTGTGGTCTTATTACAGGATGTAGAAAACAGTGGGCCTCAGTTATTCTTTTGCTGTTGTGCCGGAGTATACCACGGTTGTTTTTGAAAGATAACTTTGACCATACCCTTAGGAACTTCCTCAGCTCACTTTCAAATGGAGGGCACTGGCTTTCTAACCATTGTGTCTCCCAGCCCAGTGACAGCTGAAGCTGTCTGCTTCCGATATCACAGGCAGCACAGAAGAGCCGCCCTCCAGGTGCTGCTGGGAAATGCTGCCTGGAACTCTTTGCCATTTACTTTCTATCAAAAGCTGAGGGAAATGGTACATATGGGGCTTTCCTAAAAATATGGGATCCATCCATTTGTCAGCAATGTCATTCTATCCTATCCCAGGGCCTTTCAAGATTTTGGTGAAAACTAATAGATCCCATATTCCAGAATAATGCTATTAATAATTTTATTATTATTACTTAATGATAGCAAAAAGTTAGCTAACTCCAACCGCTCACTTGTTATTTGCCAGGTAATCCTCTAATCCAGAGGATTTGGCCTTTTGTGTGTGTTAATGTCCTGCTTGCACCAGCTCTATGAGGAAGGTGCTGCTGTTGTCATTTCCATTTCTGCACTCGTGGAAACAAGCGTAGTGAGGCCAGCCTGAGCCACAGAGCTGCAGGTAGGGGAGGCAGCTGGAACCCTGGCGCCTGGCTGTGGAGTTTGAGGCTCTGACTCCTGCGCCGCGCTGCTGCCCCAACCCTAGTCATACGAGGTGTTTCACCCCGCCCTGGATACTCTGAGATCCCCTCTGGGTTCAGCAGGCTCAGAGAGCTGACTGCCTGGAGCAGAAGGCATGGGGTCCTCCAGAGACTCCCCTGAGCTGAGTTCCCCTGTGGACACCAGGGCCGCCTCCTTGTGGCGCTCCCTGAAGGGTCCTCTCTGGAAGAACTGTATTGGTTCCCTGGGGCTGCTAGAGGAAAGCTTCACAAACTGGGGCTTAAACAACAGAAACTGACATCCCACAGCGCTGGAGGCTGGAGTCCGAGATCAAGGTGTCAGCATGCTTGGTCCCTTCTGAGGGTCGCGAGGGAAAGATCTCTTCAGGCCCCTTTCCTTGGCTTATAGGGGCGTGTTCTCCTTGGGTATCATGACATCGCCTGCCTTCTGTGCATGTCTGCATCCACGTGTCCCCTTTCCAATAAGGATATTAGCCCTTTAGGCTGGGTCCCGTCCTAGTAGTCTCATCTTAACTAATTACATTTGTGACAGTCCTATTTCCAGATAAGGCCACATTCTGAGATGCTGGGGGTTAGGATTTCAACACAGGAATTTGGAGGAATACAATTCAATCAGGCTTATGGACAATTCTGGTCTTAAGTCAAGAGTAGTCTTCTCCAGTCTGTATGTGGAGGCGCACACCTATGGTCCCAGCCACTTGGGAGGCTGAGGCCAGAGAATTGTGTGAGCCCAGGAGGAGTTCCATACCAGCCTGGGCAACATAGCAAGACCTCCTCTCAAAAACAGACAAAAAAAGTGGTGTTCCAGAGTGATTAGTTTGCTTTAAAAAAAAAAAAACAAAAAAACAAAAAAAAAAAAACACAAACCGTAAACACTGGCACTCGTGACTGATCATCCTGTATCCACGCACGAGCTGCACGAAGGCCGCGCGGTCACTGTGGCTCCCCGTTGGCGAGTACCTGGGATTTCTTGCTCAGCAGTTTGGGGCCTTAATTCTTTTAGGGGACTTTTTGTCTAATGTCTCCCCTTCTTCTAATTATGTGCGATATTTACATAGAATCTGATAAACTGCTTCAAATTTGTTTTCAGAACAGTGAGCTGGATAATTAAAGAAGCTTTTTCCTGCTTCTTGGGCCCAGTTTCCATTTCTTCCTTTTTTCTGTTTTTCCTGGCTATTCTAGTGCTAATTTCCTTCCTTTCCTTTCCTAGGCTGGCCTTAGAGCATCCTCTCCTATGTACAGCCAGACCTTCTTTCAAGCTTTTATTAAAATGGGGAAAGGTCATTTGGGAGGCTTTGTTGTTTTCCTGTTTCTAAAGATCATTTTTCTTCCTGCAGGGGAAGTCCTTAAGTCTTATTTGTGGGGCCCTCTCCTGGCTCCGTGACTTTGAACAGAAGAAGCGTGAAGAAGAGGCACGACTCCTTGAAACTGGAACTGGCCCCTTACATGATGAGAAAGATGAATCCCTGTGTCTGTCTTCCTCCTGCGAAGGGGCTGCAGGCACCCCGAGGCCTGCTGGAGAACCGGCCTGGGTTACTCAGTTTGTGCAGAAGAAAGAAGAGAGGGACCTGGTGAACCGACTGAAGGTGAGACCTGGGGTATCCGGAAGTGGGAGTGCTGGAGGAAACAGGGCTTCAGCGATTGTTGTGGGGCGATTCCGAGACTCAGGCAGTGCATGCTCCCCTGCCGTTGCTGTGCCTCTCAGCTCTTCCCTCAGCTCCTTGGGTCGATGGTGCTGCCGCTGTGCTGTCTCTTTTGAGCTGGAGGTCAGCAGGGCCTTCTCCACACAAGGAACTGTTGGTGCCCATTTATTACTCACCTGGGAAAGGACCTGATCGTTGCCATTGGCAGCATGGTTCAGTGGCTGCAAATGGATCTGATGGAGAGCGTGTGGCTTTGGGAGGAGTGTGCCGCCTTCCACAGTGAGCAGCGAGGCTGGGACCTGCAGGGATGAGGTCCCGGGAGGGGATGCGGCAGCCCTTGAGTGCTGGTTGGAGAAGGAGAGCTGCCCCCAGTGAGGAGGCGCCGAGCTGAGTGGCCCAGACTCCTTAGGAGAGGCCTGGTTTTGGGCTTCCTGGTGATTTTCCTTCATGTCTGCCTCCTGTAGGCGGAGCAGGCCAGGAGGAAGCAGCGAGAAGAACGCCTGCAGCAGCTGCAGCACAGGGTGCAGCTCAAGTATGCAGCCAAGCGCCTGGTGAGCCTCATTTCTTGGGGGGCAGGATTATGTCCAGGCAGGGTCGCCCTGCTTGGAGGCTCATGGGTGCGTGGCCAGGGTCTTGGTCTCCCCTCCATGACCCTCACTGGCTATGTGCTCCCGTACAGAAGCTGGGCTGTGAGTGGTTGAGGCGTGGATCCTAGGAGTCGACCTCTCTCCAGCCAGGCAGCCAGGCCTATGTGAATGGGCGTGGTGTGCTTTGTCTCTGGCACGTGGGGAGGTGGGTACTGGTGCTGAGACTTCTTCCTCCCTCCCCACCTCCACTGCCCCTGTCCAGAGGCAGGAAGAAGAAGAAAGAGAGAATCTCCTCCGCCTCAGCAGGGAGATGCTAGAGACAGGCCCGGAGGCTGAGCGGCCGGAGCAGCTGGAGTCTGGGGAGGAGGAGCTGGTCCTCGCCGAATACGAGAGTGATGAGGAGAAAAAGGTGGCGAGCGGGTGAGACAGAGGCGGTAGCACTACCCTGCCCCAGGCCAGGGGACACCCTTGAAGACAGCTCTTTCCCTCATGCCACAGATGCCATGAAGCACCTGGCAAGAGGCATGGTGGCCTCTGCCCTCTGCTCTAAGCCAGGTCCTTCCTAGGGTCCATGAGTGCCAGTGGCAGTGAGGACAGTCACCGGCCTGGCCTGTGTCCTCTCAGCTGTCCTCACAGCAGCTCAGGCAGGGCAGGAACATTTGTGTCTGCACCTTATACACAAGGAGGCTGCAGCCCCACAAGGAGAGACTCCTTGGCTGAGGCCACAAGCCTCGGCAGTGGAGAGCTGGGCTAGAACTCAGCCGGCCTGGCTCTAGATCTCAGGCTCTGAGGCAGCTGACTGCACTGGGTAACCTTTGAGGTGCCAACCGTCAAGGCGTCCTTAGCCTGAGCTTTCCTTCTCCCATAAAGCCTCTGTTGGTCCAGACTCAAGGTTTCCACTTGATGAGCCATGAGCTGCTGGGTGACTTAGCCCTGAGCAGGCCACCCAGGCCATTTCGGGCCCACAGGATCCCTGGTGACAGCCCCGTTTCCATTCACACTGGAACCTCACCACCATCCCTGAGTGTCTGCTCTGAGTATGGCACTGTCCAGATGCTGTGGACATAGAAGGGAAGAAGACATGGAGGGGACAGTTAATAGACATGAAAACAAATAGCACCTATGTGAAGTCAGCATGTTTGCCTACAAGGAAAACAAAATGGTGATGTGGATGGGGTGGGGGGCTGCACCTGATGATGAGTCCCGTGTGTCCTGTGACATCCTGGCCACCACATCTGTGGGAGGGTAACTGCAAGACCAGAGACCCTCCGTGGATATTCCTGAAGGTTCATCCCCGGCCTTCACGGTCTGTCTGCAGGGCGCCTTCTGACGCCACCTCCAGCCGCCATCCACCAGACGCCAGCTTCCCCGCTGCCCTGAACTTCCTCCAGCGCACCAGGCCTTCCTCTGTCCTGTCTGAGGATTTGCTCATGCAACGTGCTGTGGCCAAACACCCTGCCCTCCTCCCTTCGCAGATGTCTTCCTCTCCTTTAAGGCCTGGCTCAGGTGTCGTCTTGGTGGCTTCGGGTGTCAGCTGCTCTGTTTTGCTCACGCACCTGCTTGTGCTTCTGTTGTTGCCTCCTCTCCCTGGCTGGGCTCGAGCTGCTTCAGGGCAGGAACCACGTCTTTACAGTTTGATGTTCCCAGAGCTGACCCAGTGTTTGGCATAGGGGTGTGCTCAATACAATCGAGTTGACATGAATGAGCAGATGCTGCCTCGTTGCAGTCTGGTAGTATAATTCCAGGCTGCGCATGTGGACCTCGACTTCTGGCCCTGCCCGGGGCAGAGACCACCATGCTGCTTTATGCCTCGCTGGTGAGAGGGGGTCATAAACAGTTTGTGCTCCATGAACCGTTCCTGCCCACCTCCAAGGTCGTGTTTCTGCTCCCTCTCTTCTCCCTTAGAGCCCATGGGGACAAGGCAGAGAACTTGAGTGGAGATGAAGGTGGTGAATATTAGAGGAACAAAGTGCTCCTTCAGGTCTGGGCAAGAGCCGTGGATCCTGTAGGTCAGCTTCCGGGGCTTCCCATGCCCTCACGTTTCAGGAGATAATGTGAGCCTCAGAGGACCTGAGTTCTGAATAGAAAATTTTTGCTCTTCATTTCTTCACACACCCAGCCTCTCAGTGAGCTCCTGCTGGCTTTGTCCAGCATGCGACATAAGATTGAATCCAAGCCTTTTAAGATAGAGCCGCCTGCTCTTTAGTGACCATGAAGCCAAGCCTGTAATAATTACTCTTCTGATAGCCCAAGACAATTGTATTCTGCTTTGTTAGAAAGGAATTTCGAGGTGAACAAAAATGTTTTCTTTTTATGTGATGTTGCCATAGGTGGCGTGTGCCTGTCAGATGGTTTTGTGTTTTCTGAGGAGCATAGACTAGTAGAGCTAGCTCAGCTTCAGGCCATGGGATGCAGGGCTGGCTTCCCTGCCAACGCCTGGCGCTGATGGATTCTTCCCGCATTGCTGGAAAGGGCAGACTGAGGCGCTGACAAAAGAAGAGTTGCAGCTGGTCATAAGTGACAGCATCCTCTGTTCACTCGATTGGTCAGTTGTAGCTTCATCCAGGAGATGGTCATGGGGTTCCTGCTGCATACCAAGCTCTAGGTGAGGCCATGGGGACTCAGCAGAAACAAGGCCGACCTGGGTCCTCCCTTGTGGACATGACAGTCTGGGGAGATAGACCGAGAGGAAGCAATTTTGAATGAGATGGGTGTGAAGGGGCCATGAATCTGTGTCAGAGCAGCCAGACCTACCAGGGAAGGTCAAAGAAGGCTTCCTGGAGGAGGTGATGTTTCTGCTGCTATCTCAGAGTTGACTGGGAGCTGGTGAGGGGAGACAACATTCCAGGCACAGAACATCCGAAGGCCTGAGATGATGAAGAGCAAATATCCCCCCTGGGGCCTCAGAGGGGTCCAGCTTGCTGGAGGGAGGGCAGAGAGGAGAGCAGCCTGCCATGAGTCCCGAGGCTTCCAACTCAAGACTTGGGTTTGGGGTGCTGAGCTCATGTCTCCTTTTTACATTTCCCTACCCACAGACCTGAGCGGCCACGGGAGGTTGGGGTTGGCATTTGCCTGGGGGAGTTTCTGAGCAAGCAGCACCTGCTACCTTGGTGGAACCCATTGCTGGGAATGGCCAGGGCTCAGCACCAGCGCTCAGCAGATGCTCAGTGCGTTTTGCTGAGTTTGCTGAGGGAAGACTGTTTTCTGTTCTCTCTCACACACACAGAGTGGATGAGGATGAGGATGACCTGGAGGAAGAACACATAACTAAGGTAACACGAGTGTCCTCAGCTGGTGCTGTGCTGGGGGCTATGGGCTGGGCTGTGCACCCTTGGGGAAGAGGCTGGAGTCACTCGGCTACTTCTCACCCTCCTCTCCACAAAGGAGGAGCTTCCAGCACTTGGACTCTGTTGCTTCTTGCACGCAACCCTGGTCCTGAGTTGCTCCCTTGGCCAGCTGCAGTGGACCTTGGAGTCCTCTCCTGGGGTCAGGGCCTGGGGAGTCCTCTCCTGGGGAGACCTTTCCTGGGAGCAGGGACCTGAGGAGACCTCTCTTGAGTTTGGGGCCTGGGGAGACATCTCCTGGGTTCGGGGCCTGGGGAGACCTCTCCTGGGGGCAGGGCCATGCTTGCCACCCCAGGGCATAGAGGAACAGCTGTTCTGGGCTGAAGTCTGGGTGTTTTCTGTCCCTGCTGGGTGGTGCTGGATATGACTCGTGGAAGGAGCTGCCTGTGGGGCATTCCCTTGAACTTCTGGAGCTGTGGGTGACTTGGGAATCCCTGGGTCCCTCGATAGATGCCTGACATGGGACATTGCTGTCCTGCCTCGGCTTTGTGCATTGGGAGCCACTCCCTTTCCCTCAGCCTCTCAGGCCCTGGCGTGCCTTGATGTTAGAGAATGCTGTGGGATGTTTTGGTTCCCTCTTTGAAGTGCCTTTCTTTCTCTCTGCTAGATTTATCACTGTAGTCGGACACACTCCCAGCTGGCCCAGTTTGTGCATGAGGTGAAGAAGAGCCCCTTTGGCAAGGATGTTCGGCTGGTCTCCCTCGGCTCCCGGCAGGTAAACAGTAGCCAGTATTTCCACCAGGGGCCATCCTGCTCCTTTCCCCACAACTTTGTCCTGCTCGTCCAGGCCTGGGAGACGCTGGGTCTGTGACAGGCTGAACCGTGTGAGGAGCAGCCCCCTCCCTGGCCTGGCCGGCCCATCACTGGAAGGCAAAGGAGAGGTGGCGGGGGCAGGTCCACGTGTGTTGGTAGGATGTCATTTAGCTGGCACCATCTCTTTGCCTCTTTCTTTCTCCTTTGTTGCAGAACCTTTGTGTAAATGAAGACGTGAGAAGCCTAGGTTCTGTGCAGCTTATCAACAACCGCTGCGTGGACATGCAGAGAAGCAGGCACGGTAGCCACCAGGACCATGGTGTAGCCGCAGGTGGTCTGGAGAGAGTGAGGCAGGGGTGGCAGTGACTGAAGACCATTCAGTGTCTTTCATAGAAAGAATGGCAGAGGAGACCCCAGTTCCTCCCTGAGTCCCCTCTCCTTGGGAAAAAGTGTTCCTACTCTCTGGGTGAGCGTCTGGTCCGAATCGTTGGCTTGGAGATGATTTTACGGGCTCTTTCTGGAGAACAAAAGTAAAACGTTACAGTGTTCCGATGAGACACAGTAGGCAGTACTTGGGAGGGTCTTATAGACCCCACCCTGTGGAAGTGGGTCTCAACATTACACAACCCCCTCTCGGGCCCGTGGACAGTTGCTGTCCTCTCTGTTTTCTCTCTTTGTGCCTGTGCCCCCCTCAGAGAAGAAGAAAGGAGCTGAGGAGGAGAAGCCAAAGAGGAGGAGGCAGGAGAAGCAGGCAGCCTGCCCCTTCTACAACCACGAGCAGATGGGCCTTCTCCGGGATGAGGCCCTGGCAGAGGTGAAGGACATGGAGCAGCTGCTGGCCCTTGGGAAGGAGGCCCGGGCCTGTCCCTATTACGGGAGCCGCCTTGCCATCCCTGCAGCCCAGGTGAGGGCCCTGCAGGGCCAGAAAGCCGCTCTTGGCTCTCACTGTGGTCTAGGCCATGAGGGGGGTCCTCATCACACTGTAGTTTGGGGGATGCCCCCCACCGTGGTCAGGTTGATGGCACCTTAACCCATTCTCTCCTGAGGCGTGAGTTGGAGGAGGCGCGTGGGATCCCTTGGGGTCTCCAGGCAGCAGGGCCAGTTGGCATTACTGGGGATGGTATTTAGGAGCCAGGAAAGCCGGTGCATTCCTAGTGAAACCACAGGGAGAGGGGGGATGCCAGGAGCTGAGAAGAGTGTGCTGCATACATCTATTTACAAATGGCTTTCCAAGTGATGCTCCCAACTTCCATGCCTATGATGTGATGGAGGATGTCAGTGATAGAACCATTCAGTTTTCCAGTTTTTCCTTTTTGTAATATCAGTACTCTTAACTGGAAAGCTTTCCCTAACTTACACCTACCTGCAGCACGTGAGAATACTGTCTTCTCTGCCACAACTTCTCTTGATTTTTAAACAGAAGGAAGAACTGCTAATGTAGCAGATGAAAAGTAGTATCTCACTGTTACTTGGTGGGTGCAGTTTCACTATTTCCTTGCTACTTCTTTAACTTGAGTGACTTTGGAAACGGGATATCACTAGTGGAAAATTCTGTATAATCCAGAAAAAAATGTAAGGTTTTAAAAGATTCAGGGAACTAAGTAACCGTTTGCACAGCAGCTAAATGCTCACCAGCATACCTGCTGAGCTGTGTGGGCGCTGGCAGAGAAACTGAGGAAAGCTGCCAGGCCCCATGGTGTCCCAGGCCTTCCCTCCGGTCTGTTTGCCTTTAGAGCAAGATTAGTGCTATAGGCATTTATACACAAATACCATAATATGGCCCAAAATCTTTACGATTTTTGAATTTGTAAAGTACTTTGACCATATTTTGCTTTTATGTTAATAGTATTCCAGTGAAATTCCGTGCATGGGGACGCTGGAGCCCAGAAAAGTTAAGTGACTCATATTTTCTCACCAAGCGTGGGTGATGGAGCCATTCAGTTTTCCGATATTTTATTTCTTATATGAGTATTCCTTTAACTGGAAACTTTCCTAACAACAAACACCTAAAGACCTGCAGAGTTGCTTTTATTTTTGTTACCCCAGCTCCACGCCTTAACCCTCACTTTGAAATAGGATGTGTCAACCCTATTTTGCAGATGAGGAAAGCAAGGGTCAGAGAGGTTAGACAACTCTTCCAGAGTCACACAGCTGGGAAGTAGCAGCTCCAGGAGCAGAAGCTGGGGCCGCTTCCTGGTGCACCGATGGTCTTCAGGTGTTTTGTGGAAACTCGGGGGCCTCCGGGGCGACCTTGAGGACATGGACAAGGCTAAGCAGGGGTTCCCTTCACCCAGCCCTGCCCTTGGTTTACTCAGGAGTCAGACCAGCCCTAGTTTCCTGTGTTTCATGTATTGGCTTTTCATGTGAAACTCGAGGAGAGCTTGTCCGTTGCTACAAGCTGTTTTTTGAATGTCTCTACACAGTCCAGGCAGGAAGTAGAAGCACTCACATCAGGAGCTCAGTGTCAGGCAGGCAAGCCTCCTGCAGGGGAGCCCCGCCCTGCTCAGGTGGCCTCATCTCCCCTCCCAGCTGGTGGTGCTGCCCTATCAGATGCTGCTGCATGCGGCCACTCGGCAGGCTGCGGGCATCCGGCTGCAGGACCAGGTGGTGATCATCGACGAGGCGCACAACCTGATCGACACCACCACGAGCATGCACAGCGTGGAGGTCAGCGGCTCCCAGGTGCGTGGGCCTCCCCTCCCCGGGCCAGGGCCTGCCGTGAGGTAAAGGGACTTGGATGGTTCCTCCAGACACCTGGGCCAAGAATTCCTCCGGAGGTGGGGCTTGCTACAGGGTGCACGAGTCAAGGTGGTGACCTCATCGGAGGCTGACCATGGCTTTCCAGTGCATCCCAGAACTCTGGGGACCCCGCTATGACAGAGTGCCTCATTTCCCTGCACCTCACCTGCCCCCATGCTCCTGAGTCCCTCCAGCCCTGGATGCCAGCAGCCAGTTCTGCAAGCCAGGGAGATGGCATGTGTGAGGCAGAAGTCCCCTCAGGATTGGATTTTGTCATTACTGAAGTTGTCTGGAGGGGACTGAATTGAGGAATGCTCAAGATCAGTGCAGGCTCCTCCTGCTGCCCTATCATGCGCCATGCATGGCACCAGGTGTCTCTGGTCTTCACGCTGACTCTGCCATGGGGGTGGTGTTCCTGTTTTACATTGGAAACGTGGAGATTCAGAGATGGTCAAGCTCTGTCCTGAGGTCATGCAGCTCATGAGTGTGGAGCTGGGGTGTGCCCACTGGTTTCTGACTGTGAAACCCCCACGACATCCCACCAGCTCTACTGACCTGTGCCTGGGCTGAATTGAGGCTGGGATGTGATGGTGACCTTGAACCATCACTCTTTGTAGACTCTAGGTCTTTTCCCAACCCGGTGGAAACTAGCAGGGAGATTCCATACTTGAGGAATTCAGCCTCTTGCTTTTTCTCTGACCCACAGTGGACACTGGAGGAAACCTTCCCTTCCTTCCCTTTTCTCTTAGCTCCCACCAGCCTAAGGGCTGTGGAAACCAGTACCTTTTGTCTGCACCCAGCCCCCTCTCCTCCCTTTGGTGGCTTCCTGTGTGTCCAGGGCTAGCGTCTTCTAGGTGAATCTAAGATGTCAGTACCTTAGCCCTCGGCTGCTTGCTCAGAGCCTGGTTTGTGTTCTTTCCCCAGCTCTGCCAGGCCCATTCCCAGCTGCTGCAGTACATGGAGCGATACGGGTGAGATGTGACTCTCTGAGGTAGTGGGACAGTCCCTTGGTGGCCCCCTGCATGGGCCTCTGAGAGGCAGCACTTTGGTTCCCACCTCTGGCCCGGGCTGTGGCGGGGTGGAGCTGCATGCCATTCATGTCCTAGGCACATCATGGTGTGTGCTGCACACAGACCTGGAAGGCTGGGGACTGACCGCTGGCTCTGAGGCCTGGGGCCGTGGCCAGCCTGCTCTCTGGGAAAGGATTTGTAGCTTGTGACCCAGTTTGAGAGGCACCGGGCAGCAAGGCTTCCACTGGGGTGGGCGGGGCGAGTCGCCATCAGGGCACCACCACTTAATGTCCGTTGGCTTCTTCTCAGGAAGCGTTTGAAGGCCAAGAACCTGATGTACCTGAAGCAGATCCTGTATTTGCTGGAGAAATTCGTGGCTGTGCTAGGGGGTGAGAGCCTCGTCCCCCCGGCTGACCCCCGGCCTGCAAAACCCGCCGGGCTGCTTTTTCCTTGGATGCCCATCAGGACGCCTCAGTTCTCTGTGTTTTTAAGAAGGGTCGGCCAGGTGTGGTGGCTCACGCCTGTAATCCCAGCCCTTGGGAGGCCGAGGCAGGTGGTTCACCTGAGGTCAGGAGTTTTGAGACCAGCCTGGTCAACATGATGAAATCCCATCTCTACTAAAAATACAAAAAAATTAGCTGGGAGTGTTGCCGTGGCCTGTAGTCCCAGCTGCTCCAGAAGCTGAGACAAGAGAATTGCTTGCTCAAACCCGGGAGGCAGAGGTTGCAGTGAGCCGAGATTGTGCCACTGCAGTCCAGTCTGGGCGACAGAGTAAGAGTCAGTCTCAAAAAAAAAAAAAAAAAAAAGAAGGGTCTTGGTCATTGATTTAGAAAATTCTTGTTCTTTGTAGCTTAGTTGAGTTGTCTGACTTGAGCTTTTTTTAGACCCATGGGTTCTTTGCCCATGTTCTGAGGACTTTTTATTTCAGGCGCTGCTCTGGGGGGATATTAAGGATACAGCATCACATGGACACACGGTGTTTCCGTGATAGGCATAGTTCTGTGGGTTGTTCGAAGCACTTGCATATGCGGTTTTGTGTGCCCTGTGAGAACGCAGTGCTGGTATTTGAATCCTTGTTGATAGACGCATAAACTAGAGCTCGGAGCAAGGGCTGCTCCCAGCACGGGAGCCTGGGATCTTCTGACTCCAGCTCCCACGCCTCTTTGCATGACCCTGTCACATCCCCTTCTTTTATGATGGGGCACCCCCTTGTTGGAAAGTGTCTGTGGAAGTGGAAGCTGCAGAAAGCCTGTGGGAGCTCCTGGCGGGAGCTGGTCTCGTGTTGCTGCTCTGAGCCGCCAGCTCTGCTTTGCCTCAGGCTCACCAGTGGCCTGGGCAGCTCCTCTGTGCTCCGGTGCCCTGCATACCTTGGTCTGGCTGCTGTGTCCCGGCCTCCTGGAGAAGGGGTGAAAAACATAAACTTTACAGGGCTTTGGGTTCCACGTGCAAGCACGTGAGTCAGACGTGGGAGGCTCCTGGACCCACCTGCCCTCTAAGTGGGTCCGTTGCATACTATAAACAGTGAAAAGCAAAACAAAGCCGTTCAAATACAGATGCTCTTCTTACTTGATGTGCAGTGTGGAGGGAGAGAAGATAGGGAAGGGTTGGGGGGCCTGAGAACCACCATTGTGACCTATTTCCATTCTCTTTTTTAGGGAACATTAAGCAAAATCCCAATACACAGAGTCTGTCACAGACAGGTAAGAGAGTTGCCCTCAGAGGGCCCAGAGCTGATCTGAGCCACTTCCGAGCTTAACCCTGGGACTGAAACCTGAGGCTTAGGGTGAAGCTCCCAAGGCCCTTCATGTGTTTGTTCTCAGGGATGGAGCTGAAGACTATCAACGACTTTCTCTTCCAGAGCCAGATCGACAACATCAACCTGTTCAAGGTAGAGGTTTCCACCTTTCCACATTCCACATCCAATTTCCTTCCTGTCACCACCTGTGGGTAGAGTACTATGTTAAGACTATAGAAGGAAGAAAAAGCAAAACAGATGTGTAATTACTTAACCCTTAACGCAACACGCCTGTGAGACAAAAGTCATCTTCTTTTAGAGTGAAGGCCACAGGGATGAGGGATGGGTGAGAAAGGGACCTTTCTTGGTGCCCCATAGAACAGATAGAGACTCCAGGTCCTTGCTGTGTCACTCCATCTTCTGGCACAGTCTCCCTCAGGCTTATGGACAGGAATAGGATGTTGATTTGTTCTGTGCAACCCCTGTCACGTCTTCCCACTTGGGCCTTGGGTCTGGTTGCAGCCTCAGACCTCTGCTCGCTCCAGGTCTGTGTACCCAGCGCTCCCCAGATGAAACACGGCCACTGCCGCCTGAACCCCCAGCTCGTAACTCAAATCAGCAACAGTGACTGCCCCTGGGTACAGGGTTCTGCCTCTGTTCTAGGCGCCATGCCACGTGCTGTGCTCTGAGCTAGGATATCCTTTTGCCCCGGCAAGGAAAGCAAACAGGCCCATGGAGGTGACTTCAGGAGGGTGGCGAGCATAGGCTTCCCACAAGTGAGCCAATAGCAAGTGGCAGAGACAGCGTCCAAACCTGGCTGCACTGACTTGGGGCCCCACATTCTTCCCATCCTGCCTGCCTTTTTTTTCTTAAAACCAGCTTTTCCCCTGAATTACACATTTGGGTCACTGTCACTGCCACCATCCCTGCCAGACAGGCTGGATCCAGGTCATCCTTGATGCCTTTCTCCCCTTGTCTCCCACATGCCTGTGACAGCCGCCAGGCCTGACAGCCTCAGACAGTCCTGCCGTCCCCGCGCTTCTCCCACAGCTGGGACATGGGTGCAGGCACTCCTTCTCTCGCCTTCCCTTTGCCCTCCTTGCTTTCCTTCTCCCCTCTTCTTCCCATGGGTCTCGGGTCTCATCACTCACCATTGAGGGAATCCTCATCGAAGGACATCGCTCTTTTTAGAAACCGGTTTAAAGGCTCCAAACTCCTCATCTCTGCATCCCAAGCTAAGATCTGGCACCAAACCACACACATTGGATGCTCCGACTGAGTGGCACTGCCCCAGCCCCTGAGCAGGTCCCAGCCATCATCTCCTCTGTGGCTTTGCTCATAGAAGTTCCTTTGTTTTAACTCTGTCACCTGGAAGGAAAGCCAAGGGGACCTAGATTGTACTGAGCACTCTTAGACTTGAGAGAGACATTTGGAAAGAGGGTCTCCCCCCTGAGGAGGACACTGCGTTGTGGGCAGGGGCAGTAGAGGAGGGGGTGGCCTCGGAGAGGGGATGACAAGGTTGGTGGCAAGGAGGCTCCAGGTGCCTCAGAAGGTAGCACTGCGTTGTGCTGCCTGGGTGGTAGAAGTGGTGTTTTTTGTTTTGTGTTTAAGATTACAGCTTGCTCAGTTTGCACACATGCCTACAGCTGGGCTTGGTTTTTGCAGGTGCAGCGATACTGTGAGAAGAGCATGATCAGCAGAAAGGTAACTGCTCCCATCTTGTGGTCCTGAACAAGACCCAGCTGTGCCCCAACCCCCTGCCGTTGCCATGCTTTCCTCCCCTGCCCTCAGGAAACTCCAGAGTCCCCTTCATCTCCACCCTCCTTGGTGCAGTGGGCCTTGCTGAGGTGGTGGGATGCGTGCTGCAGGTGTCTTGGGCCTGGCAGAGCCTCCGATCCACCCAGCCTCTCTCTCATGGCTGTTCCTCGTTCCTCTCCACTGCTCTCTCTCATCCCACCCAGCTCTTTGGCTTCACTGAACGGTACGGAGCAGTGTTCTCATCCCGGGAGCAGCCCAAACTGGCTGGGTTTCAGCAATTCCTGCAGAGCCTGCAGCCCAGGACGACTGAAGGTGAGGCAGGAGGGTGAGCAGGCAGAGCCGGCTGCACGCATGGGCAAGGACTTCTGTTCCTCATGTGTGGACCTGACAAGAGGGAGGCCTCCTCCCCATTCTGCTCTGTGCAGCTCTTGCAGCCCCTGCAGACGAGAGTCAGGCCAGCGTCCCGCAACCAGCTTCCCCACTGATGCACATCGAAGGCTTCCTGGCAGCTCTCACTACGGCCAACCAGGACGGCAGGGTCATCCTGAGCCGCCAAGGTAATCAGGTGGTTCTTGGCCAGGTTCAGTTCCCAGGAAGGAGCCAAGCTGAGCCCGGGAGCCGCAGCATGAAAGGATTCTTTCCTTCCATCCTGGGAACTCCCTGGGTTAGGAGGAAGCAGTGCAGTGGGCACTGGCCTGCTGTGACCTGGGCAAGCAGTGGAGGTGGACGGGAGGAGATCGAGGGGCTGGGATGGAGGTCCTCTAGGGCAGGGGTCCTAGGGAAACTTGTATTGTGGGGTAGGTGGGCTTTGGTTTGGGTCATGATTTTGTCATCTATGAGCCTTGTGATTTGGACTATTTTCTTTCTCAACTTCAGTTTCCTCATATGAAAATGGAGAGGATAGGCCGGGCGCGGTGGCTCACGCCTGTAATCCCAGCACGTTGGGAGGCTGAGGGGGGCGGATCGTGAGGTCAGGAGATCGAGACCATCCTGGCTAACACAGTGAAACCCCGTCTCTACTAAAAATACAAAAAATTAGCAGGGTGTGGTGGTGGGTGCCTGTAGTCCCAGCTACTCGGGAGGCTGAGGCAGGAAAATTGCTTGAACCCAGGAGGTGGAGGTTGCAGGGAGCCGAGATTGAGCCACTGCACTCCAGCCTGGGCAACAGATCGAGACTCCATCTCAAAAAAAAAAAAAAAAAGATGGAGAGGACAGTATGGTCCACCTCTGTGGGCTGGTTGTCCTAGAGATTAAATGGTGTTTAATTTAAAGAGAAAGCACTAGCACTTGTGCCTCAGACCTGGACTCAACTGTGGACCCCCTTTGCTGGGACGATAGAAGTGTCTGTTGGGCTTGCACTCATCTCCCCACCAATCTGTTTTTCCAGGCAGTCTCAGTCAGAGCACCCTGAAGTTTTTGCTCCTGAATCCAGCTGTGCACTTTGCCCAAGTGGTGAAGGAATGCCGGGCAGTGGTCATTGCCGGGGGGACCATGCAGCCGGTAAGGACACCTTTCCCAGCCCCTCGTTCCCCAGGTGTTGGGATGAGATGGGAGCTTGGGAGAGATGCGTTATCAGTCCTGTTCTCTCCTGGGGCCGCAAGCCAGAAAGGGTCAGCTCGAGCAGGCCCAGTGGTGTCCACTGGGTGACACTGCTATTCTCTCACTGCTGTGCCTTTTAGGCTGCAGGAGCAGTGGAGACTCCTCTGCTGCTCCATTCTGTAGCCCCAGGATCACATGTCTCCCAGAGAAAGCTGTTCTGTGGTTTCAAACTCAAGGAAAAAAATCATGATTCCACTTTTAAAAGGTTCGTTTTGATGTATATGAATATAATAGTCTTTGTAGGCATAATTTTTACTTATGTGCATAGCTGTTTTAAAAACAAAAGTTTTTAAAACATGTGCTGTCACTGGAACTTGCTCTTTTCACTCAGCAGCCAGAGGGTCATAAACCCTGTCTCCTTGTCAGCAAGTATGCATGTATTTCAGTATCCCAGCTGTGCTGGATTCCAGTTACACAGATATATAGCATTTCATGTAGCTGCTTCTCTCTTGTTAGGTGTGCAAGCTATTTGCAGTTTTCTGTTTTGAGCATGACTGTGATGAATATAACCGCATTTCTGCACAGTGGTGACTCTTACCTAGCAAAGGGCCTCCTGGACAAAAAGCTGCTGGGAATCCTGAAGCAGTGCTTCCCAGCCCCAGCTGCCTTAGCTTTTGATTTTTATATTTTTGTATGGATAGATTCATAGTTTTATTCATTCGGCATATTAAAGTTGTTTACAGTCATTATTGTTTCTGACATTCACATGGTGAGAGCCCCTTCCTGCTAGCTCAGGTCCTCCCCGTGGCCCGGTCAGTCTCGCCTCCAGCACAGCAGAATGTCATGGGATCACCATGGGTGTCCTTGCCGCACACTGGATTGATTCATTTCTCCAAGCCGCTCTGGTTTCTTGTAATGGGGAATGACATTTGGAAGTCAAGCTGTGGGTGCTAGGGTGTTTGTCATGCTCCTGGGGCATTTTAGTAGACAGATCTAGGAAATGTTTTCAGAATGAATCCATACTGGTATTTCTTTCTTTCTTTCTTTCTTTTTTTTTTTTTTTTTTTTTGAGACAGAGTCTCGCTCTGTCTCCCAGGCTGGAGCGCAGTGAACCCGATCACGGCTCTCTGCAACCTCTGCCTCCGGGGTTCAAGCGATTCTCATGCCTCAACCTCCTGAGTAGCTGTGATTACAGGCATGTGCCACCACACCCAGCTAATTTTTGTATTTTAGTAGAGATGGGGTTTTACCATGTTGGCCAGGCTGGTCTTGAACTCAGGTGATCCGCCAGCCTTGGCATCCCAAAGAGCTGGGATTACAGGCATGAGCCACCACGCCTGGCCCATATTGGTGTTTCTAAGTAAAAATGAAAGGATTTGTTTACTTGACCTTTTATTGTATCTCTTTTTCTCTTAAGCCTGAACATGTGTGCTACATTAACTTACTTATCTGCTCTATCCTATAATATACTTAAAAGTTTTGAAATCATAGTACCAATATTAATTCTAACAATAGATCTGATTGAAATTGCCTTTCCTCTTTGCCCTTAGAGTGTAACCCACTAAGGATGCCTGGTCACTAGGCTCTAAAGTCACGTGGAACCAGGCTTCTCTCCGTGTGCTTCTGTTGTCAGTTTCATAGATAGCTAGGCTGTTTTTGTTTCATTTTCTTTTCAATTTTAGAATTTGCTTTCTTCTTTTCTGACTTGTAGTTTTTAAATATGTAAATATTTGTATGGCTCAAAAGTCAAAGCAATATAAAAAGATCTATTCAGGAAAGCCTCACTCTCATCCCTTTCCAGCCCATTCCCCACCCCCATAGGGAATCCGTTTTACTAGCTTATCCTTTCAGTCTTTTTTTCCCCTAAATAAGCAAAAACGTGTCTTCATTTTTCCCTTCCCTGTTTTATTTACACAGAAGGCATCTTAGTCAGTTGTCTGACCATCGCTCCTCTAGTGGGCTGCGTGGTTCTCTGTTGGACAGATGTAGGGAGCTTATCCAACCAGTACCCTCTGGATAGGCAGGCTCATGATTACAGGGAAAGGTCTGGGGGCACATGCTGTTTGGTATTTGTGGGCTGTATCTTCTCACTGGACTCCTAAATATGGGATTCCTGGGTTAAAAAGTATAACTATGTTTAATTTGTTAACTACTGTGAAATTTCATGAGAATTGTACCATTCTGTATCCCACCAGTACTGTCTAGGAATGCCTGTTTCTCCAGAGTGGTTACATTTGGATTTTTGCCAGTCTAGCAGGTGAAAGCTTGGAGATTGTTATTCAGTAGTTTGGGCTGGGGCCTGGCCACGTGTTATTTTTGAAAATTTTCGCTGGTGATTTTGCTGCATGGCCAGGGTTGATAATGACTGTGCCAGATTTGCTGGATTTCCTTTGCTGTTCCTGCACATAGTTTAAACGAGACTGCCAGCACTGGGTATCAGTCACCATTTTTCTTTTTGTTAGTTTGCCGTCAGCCTTTTCTTTGACCTCTTCTTTCAGTTTGTGTGTACTTGCTGTCTCTTAGGCCAGACTTCTCGCTTCCTTTCTGCTGGGCCTCTGAGGGGTCATGGGGCCATGACGCTGTGGCCTTGGTCTACAGGTGTCTAACTTCCGGCAGCAGCTGCTGGCCTGTGCCGGGGTGGAAGCTGAGCGCGTGGTGGAGTTTTCCTGTGGTGAGAAGCTGTGCCCAGGGTGGGGCAGGCTAGAGGTCAGGTTCTGGCCCCCGTTTTCTGTGGGTAATAACTCATACTGCGACCAGGCACAGAGGCGGAGGAGACCCCGGGATGGGAGACTCACCCTTCGTGCGCTCACCCAGGCTCTCCTGCTTTGCTCCCTGCTGCCTGCTGCGTGCTGCCCAGTGTGACTGGCGATGGTGGGTGGGTGAGCGCTGTCAGTCGCTGTTCCTGTGCTGGATGATGGGGCAGGTAAATGCCCTCTCTGCAGTGTCTTACAGCACACCTGCATCTTCAGTTTTCGGCCCCTCCCTGGCTCTTACCAGGTCACGTGATCCCTCCAGACAACATCCTGCCCCTTGTCATCTGCAGCGGGGTCTCCAACCAGCCGCTAGAATTCACGTTCCAGAAGAGAGACCTGCCTCAGATGGTCAGTCCCAGCCAGCTCGCTGCACCACAGCCTGGCCTCCGGCAGCAAAGGGTTTTCTGGGGCAGGGGCGCTCTGGCCCACCCTGAGTGTTTTCAGGTGTTGGGGAAATTGCACAGGGACACCCACTTAGAGCCACACAGAATGAGCGGCGTCGATCTAGATGCTTATGGAGGAAGGTCTGAGCTTCCCCGCCCCTCACGCCTTAGGCTGCGAAATATGTATTCATAAAACCTCCAGGCATCCTCTGAGGACGCCTCACTCAGCAGAAAGCTGCTAGTTCCCTTTGGCTCTCTTGCCCTTTGGTTATATCTGCCCCTGCCGGGGGCAGGGATGTGGGGCTTGGGGGCATCTCCTGTGGTGTGCCTGGGGTGTGCAGCCCCTGATTGTCATTGTGGTGCCCATCAGGACCCTGGACAGAAGAAGGGACGACTCAGTGCCAGGGCAATAGGGAGGCCCCCCAGGGACGCTAGTGCTGTGACATGTGTCGGAAAGGCGCAGTCAGCAGCAGTGGCTGGGTGTGTTTGGTGGGAGGTGGCACCTACCACCCCGTGGTTCCCACCCAGGGGAGCCAAGTCCTCTTCTTTGGCTGTAGTCCTGCCGAGGGTCTCTCCTCAGTTTTGAGTCTCAAGGTGAAGACGCGGTTTGCGGGTGGCTGAGGGGTTGCTCCATGGGGGCTCCCTCCCTCCCTCCCTTCCTTCCTTCCTTCCTTCCTTCCTTCCTTAGATGGACGAGGTGGGTCGCATCCTCTGTAACCTGTGCGGTGTGGTTTCTGGAGGGGTGGTCTGTTTCTTCCCCTCCTACGAGTACCTGCGCCAGGTCCATGCCCACTGGGAGAAGGGTGGCCTGCTGGGCCGTCTGGCTGCCAGGAAGAAGGTGAGTGGCCTGTCGGCAGCCTTCCCACTTGTGAGGACAGTGCCACTGAGTCCTCCTGGGAGCTCTTGTGCTCATCGGGTCAGGACAGGCTTCTGGCTCCTCATCCCCACCACTCCCAGTCCCTGACTACAGAGGATTTCCCCAAAGTCCCTGGCTGTGAGGTTCTCCAGTCCCCTGGCCAGAAAACACAAGGCCACGAGCAGACCCGAGACCTGGCACCCTGAACCTGTCTCTGGGAAATGTCCTCTGTCTTTCTCAGATATTCCAGGAACCTAAGAGCGCACACCAGGTGGAGCAGGTGCTGCTGGCGTATTCCAGGTGCGGGCGTCATGCTGAGCTTGGGTATGAGACCATGTGGGGGTGGCAGCTGGAAACGTTGTGGGTGTCATCCAAGTTTTGGCTCAGCAACTCAGCGTCTGGGTTTCTCCTACAGGCCTGTGGCCAGGAGAGAGGCCCCGTGACAGGGGCCCTGCTCCTCTCTGTGGTTGGAGGAAAGATGAGTGAAGGGATCAACTTCTCTGACAACCTAGGCCGGTAAGTAGTGGTTCTGCTCATCTCCTGGGCCGTGATACATGGCCGACCCTCATTCCCAGCAGCTGGGCCCCTGCCTGCTGTCTGCTGCCATTAGAGCCCACAGCTGGGCTGCGACTGCTCAGACCAGCCAGCTGGAGGGAGGGGCTCAGCAGCTCTGGGTTTGGCCCTGGGAGAGCAGTTGGATTTTAGGCTGGCCATTGCTGTATCAGGACCCAATCAATTGGCCTAGACGGGATCTCTCAGCCTTACAAGCCCTCTCCAGGTGGTAGGTACAGAGTGGAGAGAGGCTGAGTTTTGATCACAGTCGGAGAGGGCTGACGGAAGGGGTAGAATGGAGCAGCTGGTGACATGGGTGATGACCCGGGAGGTCCTGACGTCCACC
Organism: Homo sapiens; assembly: GCF_000001405.40. Classification (NCBI taxonomy): domain Eukaryota; kingdom Metazoa; phylum Chordata; class Mammalia; order Primates; family Hominidae; genus Homo; species Homo sapiens. The sequence goes on along the minus strand of NC_000012.12, from coordinate 9,419,598 downwards.
CGCTGGGCTCTTGTCTCCCCCCCAGGTGTGTGGTGATGGTGGGCATGCCCTTCCCCAACATCAGGTCTGCAGAGCTGCAGGAGAAGATGGCCTACTTGGATCAAACCCTCGTGAGTGACCCCAGTGTCACAGAGGGGGTGACAGGAGAGTAGGCAGTGGGTGGGAGTGGCATCACCCCCAGGGCTGATACAGCCAGGCCTTCCCCACTGCGCTGGTGTCTCCTGCCCCCTCCGGAAGCTTGGATGCCCCTCCACACCCTCTTGATCTTCCCTGTGATGTCACCTGGACCCCTGCTGCTGGCATTGGCCACGAAGCCTCCTGGTCTGGCTCCAAAGCCTGGCAGCGTCTTTTCCCCGGGGGAGCTGCAGGCAGGGAACAGTCCTGATGGGTCATCCCCTTCACTCCCAGCCCAGAGCCCCCGGCCAGGCACACCCAGGGAAGGCTCTGGTGGAGAACCTGTGCATGAAGGCCGTCAACCAGTCCATAGGTGAGCCTGGCTGCCTCCAGCTGGGTGGACAGATGGGAGCTGGAGAAGGGGAGAACAGGAAAGAGGGGTTGCCTGCCCTGTTTCCTATATAAGTCTGAGGAAGGTGAGGGGGGGTCGCCATGGGAATGTGCTGTAGGGGGAGGCAGGTGTTGCTCGGAGCGCCAGCCTCTGTTCCTATGCAGGCAGGGCCATCAGGCACCAGAAGGATTTTGCCAGCATAGTGCTCCTGGACCAGCGATACGCCCGGCCCCCTGTCCTGGCCAAGCTGCCGGCCTGGATCCGAGCCCGCGTGGAGGTCAAAGCTACCTTTGGCCCCGCCATTGCTGCTGTGCAGAAGGTCAGTCCTACCTTTTTCTTTCTGAGAGCCTCCCAACCCCGAGATCACATTTCTCACTGCCTTCTGTCTGCCCAGTTTCACCGGGAGAAGTCGGCCTCTTCCTGATGGGCAACCACACCACCGCCCGGCGCCGTGCCCTTCCTTTGTCCTGCCCTCTGGAGACAGTGTTTGTCGTGGGCGTGGTCTGCAGGGATCCTGTTACAAAGGTGAAACCCAGGAGGAGAGTGTGGAGTCCAGAGCGCTGCCAGGACCCAGGCACAGGCGTTAGCTCCCGTAGGAGAAAATGCGGGAATCCTGAATGAACAGTGGGTCCTGGCTGTCCTTGGGGCGTTCCAGGGCAGCTCCCCTCCTGGAATAGAATCTTTCTTTCCATCCTGCATGGCTGAGAGCCAGGCCTCCCGCTTGGTCTCCACAGGAGGCTGTGGCAGCTGTGGCATCCACTGTGGCATCTCCGTCCTGCCCACCTTCTTAAGAGGCGAGATGGAGCAGGCCCATCTGCCTCTGCCCTTTCTAGCCAAGGTTATAGCTGCCCTGGACTGCTCACTCTCTGGTCTTAATTTAAAATGATCCCATGGCCACAGGGCTCCTGCCCAGGGGCTTGTCACCTTCCCCTCCTCCTTCCTGAGTCACTCCTTCAGTAGAAGGCCCTGCTCTCTATCCTGCCCCATAGCCCTGCCTGGATTTGTATCCTTGGCTTCGTGCCAGTTCCTCCAAGTCTATGGCACCTCCCTCCCTCTCAACCACTTGAGCAAACTCCAAGACACCTTCTACCCCGACACCAGCAATTATGCCAAGGGCCATTAGGCTCTCAACATGACTATAGAGACCCCGTATCATCATGGAGACCTTTGTTCCTGTGGGAAAATATCCCTCCCACCTGCAACAGCTGCCCCTGCTGACTGCGCCTGTCTTCTCCCTCTGACCCCAGAGAAAGGGGCCGTGGTCAGCTGGGATCTTCTGCCACCATCAGGGACAAACCGGGGGCAGGAGGAAAGTCACTGATGCCCAGCTGTTTGCATCCTGCACAGCTACAGGTCCTTAATTAAAAGTGTACTGTTGGTTTCTGCTGAGTTTTTCATTGATATGTGCTGCTGTTTTCTCTGGAAGCCTCTTTAGGGAATCGAGGAGCGCACTGGTGCAGGGGCTGGGTGGAGCCATCCTCCGATGGAGCACAGGCAGACGGAAGCCCCCACCCCAGCTGCGTGGCCTGAAGCCAGCCTCCCGCTCCCCGAAGGTGGTCTCCACACAGACCTGGGACAGTTCCATCCCCGCCCCTTCCTCCAGGGCAGCAGGGCTGAGGATCCCATTCTGGCTGTGTCCACGTCCGGGCCATGGCTGGAGTCTGGGTTTAGGGGAGGAAGGCATGGCGGCGCCCGCTAGGATTTCCAGTTGTCCTCTTCTTCCTCTGCCTGTGGCTGCTGGGGGTTAGCAGACACGGTTTGTTGTCTGACATACGGGCTCTCTCCTCCCGGCCCCTCACCAGCCCCAGAGGTGAAAAGGCTGGAGGGCAAAGGCTGAGTGAGGGAGGTCTGTGGGGAGCACTGGTTTCCCCAGGCCCCAGAGACTTAAACACAGGAAGAAAAAGGCAAGAGAGAATTAACGATGCCACAGCCCATGGCAGACAGCGGCCCTGCCTCCTACGCTTGCGTCTCAGGACCAGCTTGTTGAAGAGATCCCACATCAATTCCCTGCCTTGGCTTACGGCTCTCACTGCAATAGGAAAGCCACGGAGTGGGGTGTGGGGTTCAGTCACATTTGACCCCCGGCTCCGTGTTCCTGTCCCCTGTAGTGTTTTTGTTATTAGACCCTTTTTTCTCCTTGGTTTAGGAATGGGGGCCCCAGGGCCACCCTTGTCCAGGCTCCCTCTACCGTAGAGGTGAGAATTCCAGGGCGCTACAGTTTGAAAACCACTATTTTATGAGCCAAGTAGAACAAGAAATGACAACTATTAAAAAAAATAAGGGATTTCTGACCAGCTAACAACCCCACAGAAAATCTGCCAGGGATCCAGAAATGAGACTGAGGTGGCCTCAGAGAGCGGCTCCCTCCTGAAGGGGATGCTGCTGCTGTCATCCTGCCCGGCACCTTGGACTGCAGTGGGCGGGGCCTGGGGTGGGGATGAGGGTGCACTGACCAGCACCGCAGCAGCTTGGGGAGGTTGGGGTGCTGTTAACATGCCATCGTATAGGTCGGAAGTGGAAATGGGAGAAAGTGTGGGGTGCCTAGGGAAGGAGGTGACTGAGTAGGGAGCCTGGCTGCCATCCTAACACCCAGCTCACTGGGCTTGAGAGACTTGAGCCTGGTGCCAGGGCAGAGTGGGTGATGCTGGGGCCCAGGCTGGCACCATACTTGAGGTCTGCCAGGCAGGTCAGGTAGGATGGCACATCGACCTTGGGGACTTGGCCCAGGTCTGGCGTGTAGAAGTAGTTCTCCGGGACACACGGGATTAGGTAGGGACATGTGAGAGGTGACAGGGACCTGCAGGAGCAGCTAGCGAGACCTCATGTGCACCCTGCACAGCTGTGGTGGCATAAGGGGTTCAATAGAGCCTCTCCTAGAGAGGAGCCTGGCAAGGCCCCCAGCCCCTGCCCCTGCCCCTGCCCCTGCCCCTCCCCCTCCCTGTCCACCTGCTGCTCCAGCTGCTCTCTCATTGATGGACAAGGGGCACTGAACAGTTTCTTCTCTGTCTCTGCCCCCAGCATCACATGGCTCTTTGTTACAGCACCAACCAGTTGGTCCGGGAAGACAGACTTCTTGTATCTACAGAGGCAATGTGGAGGTCAGGCAAGCCAGCACCTGCTGTCCTGGGACCATGTTCCTGACCTACCTCTCCCATGTCATCAGGGACACTGCACTGAGGGGTCCCAGGCCACCGAGCCAAGCCACCCTGGTCACCTTCTGGCTCCCGCCTCTGTGCTGCACCTGAGTGTGATGCCCTGGGACCCCATTAAGTCAGGCTGAGTCTTGCACCCACACCCTGCGACTCCATTTTCTGCTACAAAGGATCTCTCTGATGTTGACGAGCAGCATGGAGACTTGGGGAGACCCCCCAAGCGCCTCCTCCATGTCATCCTTGGGCTCCAGCTTGGCGCTCACACACACAGGAAAGGACTTCAGCTTCTCCTGGGAGGGCTGGGTGGCTGAGGGGTGGTGGATTTCGGAGTTGGACCAGCAGCTGGCCTAGAGGCTACTGGGGAGGAGGGAGCAGGGAGCACCCACTGCTGATCCAGATTCACTCCTTCCCTCGCCTCTGTCATGACCCCAAAGAAGCAGATCCTGAACCTGGGCTCTTGTCTTCACCTTTGTTCTCTTCCACTCTGGGGTAATTAAGAATGATTTGCTGGCCAGGCGCGGTGGCTCATGCCTGTAATCCCAGCACTTTGGGAGGCTGAGGCAGGTGGATCACAAGGTCAGGAGATCAAAACCATCCTGGCTAACACGGTGAAACCCTGTCTCTACTAAAAATACAAAAAAATTAGCCGGTCGTGGTGACGCGCATCTGTAGTCTCAGCTACTCGGGAGGCTGAGGCAGGAGGATGGCGTGAACCTGGGAGGCGGAGTTTGCAGTGAGTGGAGATTGCGCCACTGCACTCCAGCCTGGGCGACAGAGTGAGACTCCGTCTCAAAAAAGAAAAAAAGAATGATTTGCTAATTATGCAGGCAGCTGATCCAGTGCTGTGTAACCTTGGGGGCCACCAGATGCCAATCAGTAGAATGGGAGAGAAGGAAGGATGGAGGAAGTGAGGACAAGGGGCAAGGAGGAAGGTCTGTCCACCTGTCTCTTTTGTGCAGGAGGTGTCCAAGCAGGAGGAGCACGTCACATCCCCACTGAAAAAGCCCACAGAAAATGAAAAGCCCACATGCTTGTCCATTGCTGCAGGATGGGGGCAAGTGGAGAGGGAGAGGTGTCAATGCTCCCACCTTACTCCCAGTCATGGCTGACTCCTCCCTTTCCTTCGTTCTTGTTCCTAATCTGTCACCATGTCCTGTCGTTTTCTTTGTCTCACCCAACCCTCTGTGCCTGCAAATCCCCTGACTGCAGCCTCATCCCTGTCACCTCCTGACTGTAGTTGGTGACAGAAGAGGAGGCTGCACCAGTGAAGGAGCAGGGACTCCAGGTCTGGCAACAACCAGGGATGGGGCCGGGTGGGGGTGACTTGGACCTGGAGAGGGGCCTGAGTCAGGCAGTCACATACTTCATGCTGGGGTCCCCCAAGTGAGGCACAGCCCGGGGTCCCGGGAAGAAGACCAAGCCTCATTTCAGGTTGCTTGTGGCCAAAGACAGGACCTGTGTACCCAACAACCCCTGGGACTTTTGCAGGAAACAGCAAACGCCATTCGCTCACTCGAGTTAGATAAACACTGAGTGAAAAGTCACTGGAGCCCAAGGACTGCGGGGTCAGCACTGCCGATACAAGAACCGCAGCCCTCCAGCTCGGCTCCCTCAACGGCCTGCGCTGCAGCCACACTGGCCTCCTTTCAGGTCCTCCACCTCAGGGCTGTAGCTCATGTGCTTACTTCTTTCTGGAATGTTCTCCCTGACCTACCCACTCACCCTCAGGTTTTACCACAAATGCTATTTCCTCACATCCGTCTTCCCTGACCCCTGAGACCAAGCCAGGCCCCCCATGATGAGCCTCGCAGCACCTCATCTCCCCTCCGCAGAGGCGGTGATAACCCACAGAACCCAGGGCCACGATCCCTGGCTTTGAACCCTGGCTTTGGCACTCGGCCAGATCTCTGTCTTTCTGTGCCTCAGTTTCCTCATCTATAAAATGGATAACAGCAGCGCCTGCTCATAAAATGTGGCAAGGATTAAATGAGTTAACACACTCAGATCAATGGTGGAGCAAGCTCCATGATACATGAAGATTAGTGATTACAAAATACTATAAATAGGCCTTATCACAACTGTAATTAAATAACTGATCATTAATTGGTTATTTAGGTCTGTCTCTCCTGCCAGAGTGTATACACCAGTTGGACAAGGACGCTGCCTTATTCATCACTGGATCTATAGTGATTTGCTCAGTGCCTTGCACACAGGCACTGTTGGGTAAATATTTTCCGGCTGCAGGAAACAGTGAAGGACTAACCTCCCCCATCCCCGCCCCCCACCCCCCGCCCCCCGCCCCCCGCCCCTCTCTGCCTCGTGGGAGGAAGAGCATGAATTGGGAGAGCAGAGCCACCACAGGAAACCAGGAGGCTAGGTGGGGTGGAAGGGAGTGAGCTCTCCGGCTCTCAGGAGCGAAAGCTTCCAAGTTGGGCTCTCCCCTTGGCCCCTTCCACCCAGGGAAGACAGCTGGGTCCTCCAGGACCAAGAATCCCCAAAGGGGCTGCTCCCAGAGGTTGTGTTGCAGGGACTGGAGAGAGGACTTCCCAGTACAGGGGCTGGCCCTCTGATCAGGTGGGGGTAGGTGGCAGCAGAGCATTTGGTAGGAGGTCAGGAGCTCATAGGAGATGGGATTCTGCCGATGCCTGCTGAATGAATGAGGGAGGGAGACGGCAGGACCAGGGACTGGGGAATTGGTACTAAGGTGCTGGGTACCTGCCGAGCACCCTGTCCATACATGATCTCAGTTCAGCTCTCCACCTTGGAAACACAAGAAAGGATCCCTGGCTGAAGAGGGAAACAGAGGCTGGAAACAGGTACATGGGCAGGGTGGTGGTGGTGAGAGAATTGCCCGAATCAACTGCCAAATGGTGCCCAGGTTGGAAAAGCAAATGTGCACACGTGGGTTCTTCCCACTCTAACCCTGAGGAATTCGAGGCCTGCGTCCTAGACAGACTGGGCAGTGGCTAGTGACTCTAGGTATAGGAGTGTCCAGGCCCTGCTCACCCAGGCTAGAGCTTAGGGAGCCAGAAGGAAGGAGGTGCATGTTGGGGTGCAGGACAGGAGGGAAAAATACTCGAATTGCAAGGTGAGGGCACAGTCTGTTTATATTGGGTTGAATTAACTCTTCTCCCGATGCCACTAAAGCAGGAATCACACTGCAGATGGCACTGATTTGATTGGCAAGAGACATGCCAGGAAGAATATTAAGGGACCAGGCCCCTATAATTAGGCCTAATCATAGCCTGTTGTTTGAAAAGGGCATGAGGGACATTCATCCGGCCTGGCACTGTGCCCTAGACCTGCTCTCCTGGGTAGTGGGGCCCTCCATTGCAACAGAGGTGTGGGTGGGCCTGGGTGAGTGTGGCAAGAAATGCCTCGGAGGCTGTACTTGGCCTTAAAGGGCTGTGTGACCTTGGGTAAACTGCCTTCTCTGAATCTCTGGTCCTTTCCATTTCCCATTCTCCAGGCTGAGAACTGCACTCTGATACACGGTTATTCCCAATAATAATAATGTGTGTATCACACATAATGCACTGCACCTCTTCACCATGCTGGCACCTACTCCTCTGCTCCCCCTGCCAGCTTCCTCAGCCCCTTCTTCTACCCTGATGGTTCTCTCCTTGCCTCCTCAGGCCAGCACTTCCCATGATCTGAGATGTCTCTTTCCTTTTCACCTTTTTCTCCAGCAGTGAGTTCCTCCTCCTAACTCAGGCTTCCAGGAAGGATATCCTCTGCTTCTCAGACCTGAACCTGCCTCGAATACTCATGAGGACCCAGGAGCTACTCCTCACCTCCCACTTCTCCTCTGTCCTGTCACATAACCAAGGCACGGCCAACTGATCTCCAACCATCTGAGGAACCAATCGTGTGAGACCACCCACACCTTTCAAAAATGTTCCTCCCCTCTCCTTCTTTGTATTTATACTCATGCAAATTTGCTGGCCATCTTAACTCAATCCTGTGCCTCAGTTCTCCCACCTGTAAGATCAGGAGGAGGATAAAGATGTAAAACTTTCTGTACACATTTTAAGATGAATTCCTTGTTACCACATCTGAGGGTGTCTGTGTTTACTGTACTATCCACATGAGAGGATTGTACAGACACGAATCTAAACAAGGAAGTAGCAAGTCCATTCAAGCACTAAGAGGCTGATTAGTGGTTTATTCATTCTGTCTACAAACATCTACTGATCATCTATTCAGTGCAGACCATTATCACGACAAAGACGAATAAGACACTATGCAACAGCCAGGAAAACAGCGTCAAAAACAGTTAAACTCTAATCCAGCCATGAGTACAATGCTAAGGAGGAACAAAGCCCTTCTAGGGTTAGGGAAGTCAGGAAAAACCTCTCAGCAGAATGTGTGCCTCTCTACCAGGCCCAGGGAGAAGGTGCAGAGACAGCATTCCAGGTGGGGAGCAGTGGCTCACACCTATAATCCCAGAAGTTTGGGTGGCCGTGGTGGAAGAATCAAGCCTGGTCAACATAGACTCCTGTCTCTACCAACAAATATATATATTTTAAATTAGCTGGGTGTGGTGGTGCAGGCCTGTAGTCCCAGCTGCTAGGGAGGGCTGAGGTGGGAGGATCATCTGAGCTCCAGGTGGTCAGTGGAGGCTGCAGTGAGCCATGATCATGTCACTGTACTCCAGCCTGGGCAACACAGTGAGACCCTGTCTCAAAAAAACAAAACGAGAGCATCCCAGGTAAAAGGAACAGCTTGAACAAAGGTATGTGGTGAAACAGCAGGTGGTCTTGAGTGGTGGGGACACAGTCATCCTTGAGGAAGTACCAGGAAAAAGAATGATAAAGAGAGGCCAGTTTGTGAAAAACACCCAAAACCAAGGCTAGGAGTCTGGTTTTGAACCAGGAATGAAATCCTTAGACCTGTGCTGTCCAGTGTGGTAGCCACCAGGTACATGCAGCCACTCAGCACTGGAAATGTGGCTAGTCTAAATTGAGATGTGCTGTCAGTGTAAATACACACCGAATTTCAGACTTAGGAAAAAAGAACATAGACTATCTCATTAAAATCTATATTGATTACATGCTAAAATGACCATAATTTGGATACATTGGAGTAAATGAAATATATCGCTAATTTCTTCTTTTTTTTTTTTTTCCAACTGAGTCTTGCTCTGTTGCCCAGGCTGGAGTGCAGTGGCACAATTTTGGCTCACTGCAACCTCCACCTCTGGGGTTTGAGCAATTCTCCTGCCTCAGCCTCCTGTGTAGCTGGGATTACAGGCACCTGCCACCACGCCCGGCTAATTTTTGTACTTTTAGTAGAGACGGGGTTTCACCATGTTGGCCAGGCTGGTCTCAAACTCCTGACCTCAGGTGATCCGCCTGCCTTGGCCTCCCAAGGTGCTGGGATTACAGGCATGAGCCACCATGCTCAGCCTCTCCTGTTTCTTTCTATGTTAAAATCACATATGTGATTTCCATATTTTTCTTTTGTTTTCTTTTTGCCACACTCAGTGTCCCATGATTCCAAAGAAATGAATCCCAGTTCTTTTCAGGCAGGAGCTATCCTAGAATGGATTCTGGCGTAAGCATCAAAATCATTCATAACATTATCATTTTATGGCCCCTTCATTCTGTATCTGGTAGCTCTTAAACTATTATCATGAAGATAATCATTATTGTGCCTCTCTCAGCAGATGGTATTTCCTTATGCTACAATGGTACTACAAATATTAGCTCATAACACCTATGTATGTTAGAACCATTCTAACACCTTCTTAAGAATAATCTCATTTAACACTTAATAACAGTGAATTTATTATCTCCAATGTTAGGAAAGGAAATGAAGTTGGAAAGACCACATGACATTTTTTTCAGCATTGAAACCCTAGTTGAGATCAAGCCCAAACTTGGACCTATGTTGTCTGACTATAGAACTTTTGTTATTTATCAGTATGTTTTATTATTTTTATACATTAAAATTGAAGATCTTGGAGTTTAAACATTTTTTTAGTACTACCAATTGTAAGACCCCTTTTCATGATACTTTGTCTTTATGTAAACCTAAACTAACTATCTATCTATATATATATATATATATATATATATATATATATATATATATATATATATATATGTATAGACAGAAAAACAGAGAGTCTTAACACTAACCACCCCCTCCTGTATGGTCAACATTTTTGTTACTTTAGGATACACCACCCCAATTAACTTCACAACAAACTTTGGAGTCATGTAGTACTATTTTTAGGAATGAGAAAATCCAGGTACAAAGGGTAATTGGCAATTATCTTTTGCAAAGTCTGTGGTGCTCATCTGAAAAGATGACGATCACTTCTTGTTTAGTGGAAAGACAATAAATAGTTGATAAGTAATAGTCTTCCATCAGAGAGTTTTGTAATGAGAAACCCTGACTCCTCAGTTCCCCAGTGGATGACTGCAGTTCACTCTCGGTCTTTGCTATTGTGTTACCTGCTTATCCATTTTGTTACCTTTTAATGCATTACATAAATGCATAAATATTCTTTAATAATGGTGCTTTCCTCACATCTATGCCATCCGTGTTCATCAAGATCTTCTTTCAGTTTCTTTGACAACTAAAACTGTACATATGTATTGTGTATGGCGTAATATTTCTACTGCACAGCATAGCTTTACACAATGTGGTAAAAACTATGGACTCTCCCAGGAAAATGCACACACACCGTACCCCTGTCTCATAAGGCAGTTTATAATTTCAAAGTGCATGGAGCCCGTCCTGCACACCATTCTCCCACACCCCGCTCCAGCGCCTCTCCCCGAGTTACAGACCTCACTGTGGGCCCCCGGGAACCAGCGCAGAGGTTTAAGCGGTGTGGGGTCAACTCCAAGGGTCAGGAGTTGGCAACTGGTTGGTTCCCCATATAATTGATGCCCCCAACACAGCATCTCCCCGAACCAATAATAGAAGCTTCTGACTCCTTCGCCCACCCTTCTGACTTCTTGCTTCTCCCATGGAAGCAGGTGTGGGAACCGCTGAGCAGAACACCCTCCCCCAGCGGGAAATCCGGGACACGCAGGAGCCTCAGTGAATCCGACCATTGTCTCATCTCACCAGGCAGGTGCCTCCTCCATCCTATGTGCGATCAACTTTATTACTACAATTATTAATATAAAGCTGTTGTAACCAAGCGGGTAATAGAGGAACGCCACACTTTGAGACTAATTCAGGAGTTCTTTATTAGCCAGCGATCGAGAGACGGCTAGCGCTCAAAATTCTCTCAGCCCTGACGAAGGGGCTAGGGAAGAGGGGCTGGCACTCAGTCCCCGCCTCGCGGGGGGTGCCTCAGCCCCCTGCGATGGGGGTCCTAAGAGCCAGGAGGGGAAGATGGGGAGAGGATGATAATAATTTCAGCATTGCCGGCTGTGTTCACCCAGCCTGTGAAATTGTTATTAATATCCTGAAAGGGAGAGAATGATATTACTCCCCATAATAGACAGATATGACTCCGCATAATAGAGCACGAGGTGTACACCCACCCTGTGATATTCTTCCTCATATTCAGAGGCCAAGAAGTTGATATTACTCGTAGTATTGCAGGACGTATACACCCTCGTGTTAGATGGTCCTTAATAATATTCCAAAGCAGAGTGGGTGATGTGACTACATATATGGCAGAAAGTGGAAATCCCCCTGGCATATTGTTCCCACGGTCCTGGAGGGAAGAAAATGATATTACTTTCAATATGACAGAAGGTGGACACGCCCCCACTGATATTGTTTCTAATTGCAAGGTGGGAGAGGAGGATATGACACGCGATATCGCAGGGAGTAGAAACACCCCTGTGATACTGTTCTTAATATTCAGGGAGGAAGAGGATGATATTACTCCCAATACAGATGGGTGTACGCCCTCTGTACACTGAGGGTGTACACCCGTCTGTGAAACAGTTCATAATCTCCGGAGGTCTCCAGAGGGGGAGATGATATTACTCACAATATGGTAAACAGGCTGTGAGTCCACCGTGGATCCTAAGAGCCAGGGGGGGAAGAGGGGCTGGCTCTCAGTCACCACAGCATGGGGGGCCTTTATGTTCAGGTTTTGCCCAAGAGTCAGCTTATTTGCTTCTAGTACTAGCAGGGTAGTTGCTGCCAAGGCCCTCCAACAGGGGGGCCATCTTTTAGAAACCCTGTCTAGTTGTTTAGAGACGTAGGCCACTGGCCTCAGCCAGGTCCCCACAGTTTGGGTTAAAAGTCCAGCTGCCATCTTTTCTCTCTGTGAAGCATACAATGGAAAAGGCTTTGTCACATCGGGTAGCCCCAGGGCTGGGGCTGCCAGAAGTTTTTCCTTTAACTCATGAAAGCCTTCCTGTTGTTGGGATCCCCATTGGAAAGCTTTCCGGTCCCCACCCCCTTTGTGACCTCATACAAAGGCTTGGCTAATACTGCAAAGTTTGGAATCCACAGTCTACAAAACCCCACAGCTCCTAAGAATTCTCTAACCTGCCTTCTGCCCTTAGGCTCCGGTAGATTGCAAACGACCTGCTTTCTTTCTGATCCCGGGCTGCGTTCGGACCCCTGTCGTATAGAAAATCCCAAGTAAGGTACCTGCCGTCGGCAGATCTGAGCTTTCTTCTTGGACACCTAATACCCACAGTCCTCCAGGTGGGTCCTAAGGATCTTAGGATCCGCAATGGGGGTCTTAGCCAGTGGGGGAAGAGGGGCTGGCTCTCAGTCCGTGCCTCACGGGGGGTGCCTCCCCCGCCTGCGATGGGGGTCCTAAGAGCCAGGGGGGAAAGAGGGGCTTTCTCTCAGTCTCTGCCTCGCGGGGGGTGCATCCCCCCACTGCGATGGGGGTCCTAAGAGTCAGGGGGCGAAGACGGGCTGGCTCTCAGTCCCCGCCTCGCGGGGGGGGGGCCTCCCCCCCGGGATGGGTGTCCCAAAAGCCAGTGGGGGAAGAGGGGCTGACTCTCCGTCCCCGCCTCGTGGTGTGTACCTCCCCCCACTGCGATGGTGGTCCCAAGAGCCAGGGGGGAAGTGGGGCTGGCTCTCAGTCCCCGCCTCGCATGGGGTGCCTCCTCCTCCCTGCGATGGGGGCCGAAGAGCGAGAGGTGAAGAGGGGCTGGCTCTCAGTCCCTGCCTCACGGGGGGTACCTCCCCCGCTGCGATGGCTGTCCTAAGACACGGGGGGGAAGAGGAGCTGGCTCTCAGTACCTGCCTCGCGTGGGGTGCCAAGCGCCTGCGATGGGGGTCCTAAGAGCCACGGGGGGAAGAGGGGCAGGCTCTCCGTCCCTGCCTCGCGGGGGGTGCCTCTCCCCGCTGTGATGGGGGTCCTAATAGCCAGGGGGCGCAGAGGGGCTGGCTCTCAGTCCCCGCCTCGTGTGGGGTGCCTCCCCCCCCCGCAATGGGGGTCCTAAGAGCCAGGGGAGGAAGAGAGGCTGGCTCTCAGTCCCTGCCTCGCGGGGGGTGCCTCCCTCACCAGCAATGGGGCTCCTAAGAGCCAGGGGGGAAGAGGGGCTGGCTCCGGTACATTGCAAATGACCTGCTTTTTTTCTGATCCCGAGCTGCGTTCAGACCCCTGTCGGATAGTAAATCCCAAGTAAGGTACCTTCTGCTGGAAGATCTGAGCTTTCTTCTTGGACACCTAAAACCCACAGTCCTCCAGGTGGGTGCTAAGGATCTTAGAATCCGCGGTGGGGGTCCTAAGCCAGAGGGGGAAGAGGGGCTGGCTCTCAGTCCCCGCCTCGTGGGGGATGCCTCCCCTCCTGCCATGGGGGTCCTAAGAGCCAGGTTGAAAGAGGGGCTGGCTCTCAGTCCCAGCCTCGTAGGGGGTGCCTCACCCCCTGCGATGGGTGTCTTAATAGCCAGCGAGGGGAGAGGGGCTGGCTCTCAGTCCCGGCCTCCTGGGGTGTGTCTCCCCCTCCTGCGATGGGGGGTCCTAATAGCCCGGGGGGGAAAGGCGCTGGCTCTCAGTCCCCGCCCCGTGGGGGGTGCTTCCCTCCCCCCCGCGTTAGGGGACCTAAGAGCCGGAGGGGGAAGAGGGGCTGTCTCTCAGTCCCCGCCTCGCGGGGGGTGCCTCCCCCCCTGCGATGGGGGTCCCAAGAGCCTGGGGGGGAAGAGGGGCTGGCTCGCAGTCCCCGACTCGTGGGGGATGCCTCCCCCCCTTGCCATGGGGGATGCCTCCCCGCCTTGCCATGGGGGGATGCCTCCCCGCCTTGCCATGGGGGGATGCCTCCCCGCCTTGCCATGGGGGGATGCCTCCCCGCCTTGCCATGGGGGGATGCCTCCCCGCCTTGCCATGGGGGGATGCCTCCCCGCCTTGCCATGGGGGGATGCCTCCCCGCCTTGCCATGGGGGGATGCCTCCCCGCCTTGCCATGGGGGGATGCCTCCCCGCCTTGCCATGGGGGGATGCCTCCCCGCCTTGCCATGGGGGGATGCCTCCCCGCCTTGCCATGGGGGGATGCCTCCCCGCCTTGCCATGGGGGGATGCCTCCCCGCCTTGCCATGGGGGGATGCCTCCCCGCCTTGCCATGGGGGGATGCCTCCCCGCCTTGCCATGGGGGGATGCCTCCCCGCCTTGCCATGGGGGGATGCCTCCCCGCCTTGCCATGGGGGGATGCCTCCCCGCCTTGCCATGGGGGGATGCCTCCCCGCCTTGCCATGGGGGGATGCCTCCCCGCCTTGCCATGGGGGGATGCCTCCCCGCCTTGCCATGGGGGGATGCCTCCCCGCCTTGCCAAGAGCCAGGTTGAAAGAGGGGCTGGCTCTCAGTCCCAGCCTTGTAGGGGGTGCCTCACCCCCTGCGTTGGGTGTCTTAATAGCCAGCGGGGGGAGAGGGGCTGGCTCTCAGTCCCAGCCTCCTGGGGTGTGTCTCACCCTCCTGCGATGGGGGTCCTAATAGCCCCGGGGGGAAAGGCGCTGGCTCTCAGTCCCCGCCCCGTGGGGGGTGCTTCCCCCCCGCGATGGGGGACCTAAGAGCCAGGTGGGGAAGAGGGGCTGCCTCTCAGTCCCCGCCTCGCGGGGGGTGCCTCCCCCGCCTGCGATGGGGGTCCCAAGAGCCAGGGGGAAAGAGGGGCTTTCTCTCAGTCTCTGCCTCGCGGGGGGTGCATCCCTCCACTGCGATGGGGGTTCTAAGAGCCAGAGGGGAAGAGGGGCTGGCTCTCAGAACCTGGCTCGCGGGGGGTGCCTCCCGCCCCTGCGATGGGGGTCCCAAGAGCCCGGGGCAGAAGAGTTGCTGGCTGTCAGTCCCCGCCTCGCTGGGGGTGCCTCCCCCCATCGCGATGGGGGTCCCAAAAGCCAGTGGGGGAAGAGGGGCTGACACTCTGTCCCCGCCTCGCGGTGTGTACCTGCCCCCCCCCCCCGCCTCGCGGTGTGTACCTGCCCCCACTGCGATGGTGGTCCCAAGAGTCAGGGGGGAAGTGGGGCTGGCTCTCAATCCCCGCCTCGCATGGGGTGCCTCCCCCCCCGCGATGGGGGCCTAAGAGCGAGAGGTGAAGAGGGGCTGACTCTCAGTCCCCGCCTTGCATGGGGTACCTCTACCCCCCTGCGATGGCAGTCCTAAGAGACCCGGGGTGAAGAGGAGCTGGCTCTCAGTACCCGCCTCGCGTGGGGTGCCAAGCGCCTGCGATGGGGGTCCTATGAGCCACGGGGGGAAGAGCGGCAGGCTCTCCGTCCCTGCCTCGCGGGGGGTCCCTCTCCCCCGTGCGATGGGGGGTCCCTCCCCCCTGTGCGACGGGGGTCCTAATAGCCAGGAGGGGCAGAGGGGCTGTCTCTCAGTCCCCGCCTCATGTGGGGTGCCTCCCCCCTGTGATGGGGATCCCAAGAGCTGGGGGGAAGTGGGTCTGGCTCTCAGTTCATGCCTCACAGCGGGTGCCTCCCCCCTCTGCGTTGGTTGTTCTAAGAGCCAGGGGGGGAAAAGGGGCTTGCTCTCAGTCCCCGCCTCGCGGGGGGTGCTTCCCTCACCCGCGATCGGGCTCCTAAGAGCCACGGGGGGTAGAGGGGCTGGTTCTCAGTCCCCGCCTCGCATGGGGTGCCTCCCCCCCTTGCGATGCCTCCCCCCCTTGCGATGCCTCCCCCCCTTGCGATGCCTCCCCCCCTTGCGATGCCTCCCCCCCTTGCGATGCCTCCCCCCCTTGCGATGCCTCCCCCCCTTGCGATGCCTCCCCCCCTTGCGATGCCTCCCCCCCTTGCGATGCCTCCCCCCCTTGCGATGCCTCCCCCCCTTGCGATGCCTCCCCCCCTTGCGATGCCTCCCCCCCTTGCGATGCCTCCCCCCCTTGCGATGCCTCCCCCCCTTGCGATGCCTCCCCCCCTTGCGATGCCTCCCCCCCTTGCGATGCCTCCCCCCCTTGCGATGCCTCCCCCCCTTGCGATGCCTCCCCCCCTTGCGATGGGGGTCCGAAGAGCCGCGTGGGGGAGAGGGGCTGGCTCTCAGTCCCCACCTCGCGGGGGGTGCCTCCTCCCCCCTGCGATGGGGGTCCCAAGAGCCTGGGGGGCAAGAGGGGCTGGCTCTCAGTCCCCGCCTCGCGGGGGGTGTGTTCCCCCCTGCAATGGGGGTCTTAAGAGCCAGGGGGAAAGAGCGGCTGGCTCTCAGTCCCCGCCTCACAGGGGGTGCCTCCCCACACTGCGACGGCGGTCCGAAGAGCCTGGAGGGGGGAAGAGGGGCAGGCTCTCAGTCCCCGCCTCGCTGGGGGTGCCTCCCCCACCTGTGACGGGGGTCCTAAAAGCCAGGGGTGGAAGTGGGGCTGGCTCTCAGTCCCCGCCTCGCGAGGTGTGCCTCCCCCACCTGCGATGGGGGTCCCAAGAGCCCGGGGCGGAAGAGTTGCTGGCTGTCAGTCCCTGCCTCGCTGGGGGTGCCTCCCCCCACTGCGATGGCTGTCCTAAGAGCCAGGGGGTGAAGAGGGGCTGGCTCTCAGTTCCCGCCTGGCGGGAGTGCCTCCCCCCCCCGCGATGGGGGTCCTAACATCCTGAGGGGGAAGAGGAGCTCTCTCTCAGTCCCCGCCTCGCTGCGGGTGCCTCCGCCCCTGCGATGGGGGTCCTAAGAACCAGGGAGGAAGAGGGGCTGGCTGTCAGTCCCCGTCTCCCGCGGCGTGCCTCCCACCCCTGCGATGGTTGTCCCAAGAGCCACGGGGGAAAGAGGGACAGACTCTCAGTCCCCGCCTCGCTTGGGGTGCCTCCCTCCCTTGCGATGGGGGTCCTAAGAGCCAGGGGGGCAACAGGGGCTGGCTCTCAGTCCCCGCCTCGCGGGAGGTGCCTCCCCACCCTGCTATGGGGGTCCTAAGAGCCGGGGGTGGGAGGGACTGGCTCTCAGTCTCCGCCTCGCGGTGGGTGCCTCCCCGCCCTGCGATGGGGATCCTAAGAGCCAGGGGGGGAAGAGGGGCTTTTCTCTAAGGATCAAAACACTGTCACCTTTAGCAGTGAAGGATCCAGTGAGATTTTCCAGGTTAACGGTCATAATCGCCTACTGGTCCAACGTTCAGAAGTAACACAGGCACCTGGACAATACACAGTAGATGTGGAAGGACACGGTTGTACATTTATCCAGGTAACAGAAATCTGCCTAAGAGGGTGATGAGTGTTTGCCAGTAAAAGAGTCAGACTGTCTGTTCAGTTCTACGTGAAGTGTTATTTGACCGTTTTGTGTATTTACATAATCAATAGCCAAAATTGCAAGTTACTTTTTGAAAAGCTACTCAGCTGTCTAAGAGAAGTTTCTTGAGGAATATTGCTATTAGAAAGTATTCTATCTTCATTAAATTACATTATTCTGAAAACTAAAGAATTTAACCTGATTCCCTGATGATAAAGATGTAAACTGCGTTAGTAATAGAAATAAACAATAGGCTCTTTCTTTTTAAAAATGTTTTAATTTTTGTGGGTACATAGTAGGTGTAAATATTTACCGGGTGCATGATACAGGCATGCAACGTGTAAGAATCACATCAGGGCAAGTGGGGTATGCTCACCTCAAGCATTTATCCATTGTGTTACCAATGATCGAAGTATACTCTTGGTTATTTTAAAATGTAAAATCACATTACTACTGACTCTAGTCAGACTGTATAATTCTTAATACAGGATGGGTTTTCTTATAATTTGCTATCCTTTCTAGGCCACCCTTAAGTACAATGTTCTCCTACCTAAGAAGGCATCTGGATTTTCTCTTTCCTTGGAAATAGTAAAGAACTACTCTTCGACTGCTTTTGACCTCACAGTGACCCTCAAGTAAGTGTCATATTTTGACAGTAACTCCCATGTGAACAAGATGGTAAAATATTTTAAAAGTTCAAACAGTAGTGAAATAACAAAATATAAATCATGGTAATATGATGAGTTCTCATGTTGGTGGTGACAATTCTACAGCACAGTCACTTTTTAGCCCTCTGTCCGGACACCACAATTTAGTACATCTTCAGCTAAATCAGAGCTAAAATGAGGCAAGAAAACATGCAGTCTATGTGAGCAGGATTTGAAAGCTTTCACTGCACTGATGTTTCAATGATACTTTTTATTCTGTTGTATGGAAGTACTCCTAGTTTTGAAAAACAGAGATTCTATATTTCTTTCTCAAGACAAGCATGCATGGTCATATAGTAGCAAGCCCACAAATGTTTCTTTTGTAACTGTAAAGAGTAACATTTTAGATTTTTACTTTTCAGAATAGAAAAACAAAATGATCCTCTTGAATTCAAGCATGATTTATAGATGCTAAAGGCTTTTAGCCTTAGTTAATATGTGGAAAACATTGAGTAAAATTAGTTTGGGAGATATTTTTTAGAATTTCTAAATAAAAATCGCTTGAGCTCCAGGGCTAAGAACTCAGTGAATTGGGGAACTCTTTTTCTTTTTTGGGTTTGTTTTTGAGACAGAGTCTTACTTTGTCACCCAGGCTGCAGTACAGTGGCACAGTGGCACAATCTCAGCTCACTGCAACTTCCACCTCCTGGGTTCAAGGGATTCTTATGGCTCAGCCTCCTGAGTAGCTGGGATTAGAGGCGTGCACCACCACACCTGGCTAATTTTTCTATTTTTAGTAGAGTCAGAGTTTTGCCATATTGGCCAGGCTGGTCTTGAACTCTGACCCTCAAGTGATCCACCCACCTTGGCCTCCAGAAGTGCTGGGATTACAGGTGTGAGCAACCATGCCCTGATGAACTATGGAACTCTCAACTTCACACCCCCATAGTCTTATCCAGAAGCAGGAAACTGAGCTAGAAGTTCTCCTGGGGACACATCTACTCTCTAATTATGCTCATATACCACCTTTTAAGCAAAGATGTCCTCTAAGTGTTATGCAACTCTAACACTAACCTAAGTATATGTAAAAGATTTAGAAGCTCTGTTTATCAGTTCAAACTTTGAGACTGCAGGTAAGCTTAAAAGCAGGGTTTGGGGAAGATTTCATGTCCAGATAATTCATTATTTGCTCCAATTTCTGTTGCTATGTATCATCTCTTTCATTATCATTCTGGTCGTGCCTATTCACAGATGCTTGAAAATGACTTTCTTCCGATGTTTTCTCTTCAGCTTTTACCTGTCCTCCAGATTTCTAGCCAATTAGTATTTATCCACCTGGCACTCTCATTATGAGATAAGTCACTTTTTAAAATTGATATCTAAACGAGTGTTTTCTTAAAATTTTCAGATACACTGGAATTCGCAATAAATCCAGTATGGTGGTTATAGATGTAAAAATGCTATCAGGATTTACTCCAACCATGTCATCCATTGAAGAGGTAAATAATAGAAGCCTAATCTTTCAGCACAAAGACAGCTACATAGAGTATAAAGATAAAATAAATACTTGTTCAGCCATAGTTTAGCAAAACAAAACTATAGAGTTCTTCTTCAACATTCACCTTTGTATTTTTGCGCTAACACTGGAGAGCTGGTTTACTTAATTTGTACCAATTAGCAGTCAGTATTTCCCATGGTTCATCATATATTTTTCTTTAGTTGCTACCTGTGTTTATGAAAACATCACGGCACCAAGGAATGTTCCATAAAACAGAACGTGACGTAGAAAAGAGTGGACATTGAGTTCTGCAGTGGCGCTGTCATTTGTTCTAAAATCTATTCTCTATCCTTCCCTAACAATTTCTTCAAAGCTTGAAAACAAGGGCCAAGTGATGAAGACTGAAGTCAAGAATGACCATGTTCTTTTCTACTTGGAAAATGTAAGTTTAGCCATATTTTTTTTTCTTTAAAGTTTTTCTTTTTTCCTTCCAAGGATAATTGGATGCTTCAATTTCTTATAGATATGTATGATAGGATCTGTAAAAGGAAAAAATAAGGGACGTTAAGGATTACCAGTGTTTTATCCCACTGATCATCTTCTCCTTGCTAGTTCCAAGGCTATTTCATATATGCCCTGGCTATGTGACTAGATAGCTTTCCATTTTAGAAACATCATCTCCCTATCAAACACAGTCTGGTCACAGAGTAGATATGTAATTATTTTATAATTTGACTAAACTCTTACAATGTTTGCCATAATTTTTTGAAATTACAATTGCGTACTGAAGGTATGTGGTGTGACGTTTTGATATATATAGTGAGCTGATTGTTATCATCTAGCGTGACTATATGTGAATTAGCTGACTAACACATCCCTCTCTTCACACAGTTACCTCTTCTTTTTTTGTGACAAAGCACTTAAGATCTACTCCCTTAGGGAATATTACATATACAGTACAGCATTGTTAACTGTAGGCCACCGCTGTACCCGAGATTTGTAGAATGTATTCATCCTGCACAGCTGAAGCTTTCTATCCTTTGACCAGCATCTCCCCATTTTCCCATCCCTGATAACTGCCATTCTACTCTCTGCATCTATGAACTCAACTTTAGATTTAACTTACAGGTGAGATCCTGCAGTGTTTTTTGTGTGTATCTGGTTTGTTTCATTCCACATAATGTCCTCCAAGTTCTTCAGTGTTGTTACAAATGGCAGAAATTCTTTTTTTTTAAGGCCGAATAATTTGTATGTGGATATGCCTCAGTTTCATTATCCATTCATCTGTTTCGAACACTTAGGTTGACTCCTTATGTTGGCTATTGTGATTAATGAAAGAATTAGCATGGGACTGCAGCTGTCTCTTCAAAATATTCATCTCATTTTCTTTGGATGCATACCCAGAAATGGGATTGCTGGATCATAGGGTAGTTCTATTTTTATTCTACTGAGGAAACGCCAAACTGTGGCATGCGCTTTAGGGACATCCTTTCTATGTGTATTGTTACCACTCACATAAATGCCTACATTCCTCTAAGACTTCCAGCTAAATTCCTCTCACCTCAGTGTAAGCAAAGGAACTTGAAATTTTATATGATTTAAGGTTAACAACTCATTATTTTGCCAATGTGTAAGTTAATCATACCCTAGATCTATTTAATTATGTAGATCATAAACTTCTGCGGACAATTTTCTCAGTGATTATCTTTTCTCAGACCTGCTACAATGTAATTATAATTTGTGTCATGATAGGGTTTTGGTCGAGCAGACAGTTTCCCTTTTTCTGTTGAGCAGAGCAACCTTGTGTTCAACATTCAGCCAGCCCCAGCCATGGTCTACGATTACTATGAAAAAGGTAGGCAAGCAACAGCCATGCCCTAAGGTTATTGAATGTGGTATTTATATCTAATATTCCCTGAGCTACTAAATTTCCAAAATCAACCTCCGTCTTCACAGAGTAAACAATAGATGGCATTACTTTGTATACTGGTTTCTTTATCCCATGATGTGTCTTCTGACTGAACCCATTTTCCAGTTACCAGAGTTTTTCAACACCAGAATCCTTGCAATATAACCTGACAGGGCTCCACTTGAACTTGAAATACAAGCCACACTAAGCTTCCAGGTCTTTTTGTTATTGTCATTGTTGTTCATGCTAAGACTGACTGTTCCAAGCTACTTCTGTGGACTTTGACTTAAAGAGAGGAGTGGGGAATATTCTGAAATGCTAACTAACTTAAAAATTTGATAGATTAATTTCTAAAACATATACAAAGATGTTGTAGAGACCATACAACTGTTCCCTGGAAGGTTGGTACTATTTATTTCTTGTTGAATGCTGTGTGAAGTTTGTGGAGTGTTTGAATTCTGTCTCTATCATTTACTAATAGAATATATTTCATCAAGTGTCTTAAATATTATTAGCATATTTCTGGATGTATAAAATGGGAAAGTAATTGTCTCTATTTCAAAATTATTGGAAGGATTAGATCTAATGTGCTTATATCATCTATTTAATAAAAATACATGTTCCCTTTATTTTTTCAGAAGAATATGCCCTAGCTTTTTACAACATCGACAGTAGTTCAGTTTCCGAGTGAGACAAAGCAATTACTAGAAGAGGTAAAGAAATTTTATTACGTCATAAACCATTGAAAACACATCTAGTAAGAAAATGAAAACCTGAATAAGATAGGACAATAGTTGAAGAAAGAAAAGTGTCTGGTACTTCATTAGACTTGTGTAGCTGTGTACTGCATGAGTAATCTGATAATCATTAAGATTATATTAATTTCTTTAAAAATAGCTTTAAAGAATTCACAGCTATATATGTACCTTTTATAAATCTCTCATTTTTGTTTTGTAAGTTGACAGGTCAGTAAAAATTTAGGCATATATATTTGTACATATGTGTGTGTATGTACATGTCTATGTGCCTATATATGCATGTTTTTATATCTAAATATCTATTTATATATACATACAAACGTGTTTATTGTTTAAATGATGTTTTAAATCCCAGTTGGAGAAGCATTTCTTGTAACAAACTGATTCTTCTGTATCAAACCTGGAAAAAAATCATGAACCATCTGACATCGTGAACAGTCTGCAGTGGGCTATGGTTTCTTGTCAAGTCTTATTTCCTTATCATCCCATTAAATGTTGTCATTTTGCATCTGAGTCTATGACTTTTTTTTCTTCCAGTACTCTATTCACAGTTTTAATCCTAGAAAACGCAGGGATTTTTTTTTTTTGACAGCAACTTGAATAATTTGCTGTATGGCTGTCAACTCTAAATTTGAGTATTTAGACATTATGGAACACAGAGTTAAAATTCTTCCACATACAAAGAAAGAGAGAGAGAGAAAGAAGTGGGGGAAGAGAAAGGAGACTAAGTGAAAGTTGAAATGGACTCCATGTTAATTCAAGGAAACAAAAATAAATGCACAAAACACATAGACTCGAATGTATCTTCCGAGATCAAATCTGCCTCAGGCCTAATCCAACGTTGCCCATCCCGTTGGAGCAAAGGCATTGCTTGTGCAGAGGATCGGCCAGGACGTCCTATGCTTGCATCCTTACTCACCAGGTAAACACGCTCCTCATGCTCCAGATGTAGGCGGTCGTCGTCACCCCCGAGGGATACTGGTCAGGTACTCAGGGATGGTTGAGAAATGGTTGTGGCCCGCCTCAGACCACCCCACGCAGTGGGCTGAGTGAATTTCCAAAGCACAGAGACAGCATTGCAAAGGCACAGTGTACCGGGTTGGGCCCTGGACATACACTGTGCAGTCCATCTCAGATGAGGTAACGGGAGCAAGTTGGTGTGTCCCAGGCCACAGGCACTTCTCACATCCCACCTGAGTGGGAGCCATCACAGGCTAGCATCCTCTTGTCCTGCCCTGATCCTGGTTTTCTGCCTGGCTTTGCAGGTCAAAGGGCATCCTTCCACCTGGAAGGATCCTGGGGGAGACATCTCTCAGAAGACAGTCCCAGAACATGGAATGTGACCTTGTTTGGAAATAGGGTCTTTGCAGATGTTACCAAAGTAAGAGAAGCTCACAGTGGATTAGAGTGGGCCCCATCTAGTCTAATGATTGCTGTCCTTAACACACACATCCACACACACACACACACAGGCGCGAATGTGCCCATGAAAAAGGGAGGCAGAGGTTAGAGTGATGTGTCTACCAGGCATGGGAAGTGAACGGTTGCCAGAAACCAGCAGAAGCCAGGAGAGAGCCATGGAGTTGATCTGCCTCACAGCCTCTAGTTGGAACTCATCCCGTCAATACCTTGATTTTGCACTTGTAGCCTTCTCAACTGACAGAATAAACTCCTGTTGTTTAAAACCAGCCAGGTGTGGCATGTTTTCACGAGAGCCCTAGGAACCCAATACATCGACTTTCAAGGGCCGCATCCCACTGACTTCGAAGCAGGCCTGGATCCGTGTGTTGTCTCAGTTCTGGGAGCTCCCATGAGCCTGCAGAGAGACTGCAGGGTCTTCCTGGACAGTTCCTGAGGAGGAAAGAGAGACTCAGAGGATTGCCCCGATGTCGCCCCTCCCTCCTCCTAAACTCTGCTGGGCTCTCCCACTCCCCCAGGAAGACTTCCCTGCTAACTTCTGCCCTGCAAGTTGACCCTGACATTTTCAAGTGCCACCCGCCCCTGTGAACTTGAATGGATTGCGCTGTTCTTTGCACAAGAACAGAAACAGCTGCCTGGAGTGCAGCTTGTCCTAGTGGCTGGGACTTCCCTGACACACAGCTCCCCTTATCTGTTGTGGAGCGGTCTCACTGACATCTGAGCAAGCAACTGGAAGAAGCTTCAGCCCCAGTTCTAAAGGTTCACAGTGACTGACAGCTGGGGTTGAGACAGACCCGCCTTCTGTAGGTGGACTTTGGCGCTGGCCTTAGTTATCCTTTTATAGACATTACCTTTGGAGGGGGCACAATTTTCACCCTCCTGCCCTGCCACACCAGAGTATTTTTTATTCTTTGTATCCAGTTATTTCTTGGTGTTTCTTGGTGAATTGAATGGAAGATATGCTTTTTCCTAAGCATGGCTATGGCACAAGAGGCTTTCCGAAGCAGCTGCTCAGGTGGCTCAGCCTGGAAACTGGGGCAGGCTGTGAGGGAGCGTCTTCCTGAGCCCTCAGTATGTCATCCACGAGGGACAGGATGGGCTCTGGGGACTTGTTCTTCGCCCCTTCCAGAGCTGAAACCAGAATGAGACTACCTGTGTCTCCAAAAAATAAAAAAAATTATCTGGGCTTGGCAGCATGCACCGGTAGTCCTAGCTACTTGGGAGGCTGAGGCAGGAGGACTGTTTGTGTGTGCCCAGGAGTTTGAGGATACAATGAGCCATGATCGCACTTAAGCCTGGGTGACAGAGAAGGAACCTGTCTCTTAAAAAAAAAAAGAAGAAAAAGGAAAAGAAATCACCTTGTTTGTGAATAGAGACAATTTCTTTCTTTCTAATCTTACTACCTTTATTTTGTGTCATTTTCTTCCCTTATTGTATTGGCTAGGACTTCCAGTACCATGTTGGATAGGAGTGATGAGAGTAAACATCCTTGCCTGGTTCTCAATCTTATGGGGAAGGCAATCAGTTTTTCATCACTAAGTAAGATGTTTGCTGTAGGCTTTTTGAAGGTGCGATACATCAGGTTAAGAAGCTTGCTTCTATTCCTAGTTTGCAGAAAATCTGTAATAGGAAAATATGTTGAATTCTGTAAATTTTTTTTCTATATCAATTGATGTGATCATGTTGATTTTCTTGTTAGATTATTACTATGGCAGATTACATTGACTGATCTTCAAGTATTGAAGCAGTCTTGCATTCCCAGGAAGAACCCACTTGGTTATGGTATATTCCAAGGACTACATAAACACGTGCACAAACACACACACACACACACACACACACATTCCAGAAGTAGCACAAGTTCAAAATACAAAACTCATTTAATTTGTATATACTAACAATAACTAACAGAAAATCAACATTTTAAAATAATTGCATTTGTACTATCTCTGAAAAAATGAAATGATTGAGTCTATATAAGATCTGTATGCTGAAAATGTACAAAATGCTGTAAACAAAATCACAGAAGACCTAAATCAATGAAGAAATACATGGATCCATGGGTAGAAATACTTAATAAAGACTTCAATTCTTCCCAAATTGATCTATACTTTTAATACAACTCCATCGAAATCCCACCATAGGATATGTTGTATATCAGGTAATCTGATTTTAAAAGACATGTAAAGATTAAAAGGTAGAAAAAAGAATGATGTCAGAAAAGCGATGCTACACAATTTTAAAGTTCTGCTCCAATGCTGAAGTAATCAAGACAGTGTGATTCCAGCAAAGGGATAGACACAGAGATCAATGGGACAGACTGTATCCAGGAATAGATCCACACTGACATGGAAAATTGATTTCTAACAAAGCTGCAAAGACAACTCAATAGAGAAAGGAGAATCTTTCAACAAATGCTACTGAAACAATTGAACTTTCATAAGCAAAAAATTGAACCTCAACCTAAAGCTCCTACCTTTATATAAACATTAATTCAAACGGAGCACAGATTTAAATAAAAAATGTAACACTATGAAACTTTTAGAAGAAACCATAGGAGAAATATTCAAGACTAAGTTGTTAGACATGACACCAATATAACAATTTGTAGAAGAAAATACTGACAAAATGAACTTCCTCAATATGTAGGACTTTTGCTCTGTGAAGGATCTTATTAAGAGGATGAAAAGACATGCTACAGGCTGAGTGAAAACACCTGCAAACCATATAGCTGACAAAGGACTTGTATGTAGAATCTATGAAGAACCTTCAAAATTCAACACATTTTTTTTAAAAAAACAATCCGGTGTAAAAGTGGGCAAAAGACATGAAAAGACATTTTGTCAAAGAAAGAACATGAACAGCAAATAAGCACAAGTGAATATGATCAGCATCAGTAACCATTAGAGAAATGCAAATTAAAACAATGAAGTATCGCTATGTCTGTTAGAAAGGATAAGCTCAATGATGACACCAAATCCTGGCAAGATTGCTTAGAAACCAGACAACTCACACATCACTGGCATCACTTGAACAAGGTATAGCCACTCTGGAAAAGAGTTTGGCAGTTTCTTATAAAACCAAAGGTACATGTCCTATGTGACTCAGCAATTTCACTCTTCAGGATTTAACCTGAAGAATGAAAGCAGGTTCACAAAAACCTGTACATCAATGTTCTTAAAAGTTTTATTCAAAATAGCCTCAAACTGGAAACCACCCAAATATCTTTCAATGGTGAAAGACTCAACAAATTCTACCATATCCATATAAGAGACTACTACCCAGGAATAAAAAGCAAGAAATTATTGATACAGGCAAAAACTTGGAGGTTTTGTTAGAGCGTGAAACTTGGTGAAAAAAGCCAATCTTTTGTTGAAGATTGGCTTTTGGCTTTTGTTGACGAAAGAAAAAACTTCCTCTTATGAAAAAAGCCAATCTTCTAAAAGGTTTTACACTTACAAGCTTCCATGTATAAAACATTCTCCTGTTGTGGGATAATTTAGGAATCAGAGAGACCGAGGGGTTGAGGAGGATTTATTATTATTATTTAGGTGCATTGGCCCAGTCAGATTAACATCCAAAGGACTGAGCCCCGAACAAAGAGTCAAGTTACCTTTTAAGCATTTCATGGGTGGGGGAAGATTTGTGCAGGGGGAAGCATATTACAGAAGCGAGAAACAAAGACAGTTATTCAATTGAGACTTGCATTACATTATTTCTTACTTTTCAAGGAAAAACATATTTTACAACTTGAGTTTATCTGTCTAGTGACCTTGGAGCTGCACAGCTAGAGAAACAGGGTCTTCATAATGCCTGGGAAAGGGAGAGATAAGGCTCACTAGCCACAGAAAAACAGGCAGTTAATTTTTAAAGGACTCCAGCTCTTTCTCTTCCTCAGGGGGAATTGGGTTTTCTTACATACAACTGAGTTTTTGCTTACACATTCTTTAATTTCTTTTAATTCCTGTTCCACTCCAACTAACAAAACTATAGAGATGGAGGACAGATTGGTGGTTGCCAGGAGACAGGGACAAGGTACGAGGATGTGACTAAAAAGAGGTAGCACAAGTGAATTCCTCTCAGTGATGAAACAGTTCTTTGGCAAGGACAGTTGGTGCAAGTGGTTACAGGATACTACACATGAGATCACCTTGCATAGAACACACACACACAAAGGAGTGCATGCAAACACTGTGAAAACTGCATAAGGTCTGTAGTCTAACAATAGTCAGACAATGCCCATGCCCTGGTTTTGATGGTGTCCTGCTGTTCTGTAAGATAGCTGTTCTGTTAGGGAAAGCCGGGTAAAGCATCCAAGGGACTCTGTCTACTACTTTTGTGACTCTCTGTGAATCTACAATCATTTCAAAATAAAAACTTTAAAGAAAATCAACCAAGTGATTTTTATATAATAAACGTCAGGTTAATCCTCACCTTGGGAGGGAATAGAGACTAGGGAGCATCGCAATGGTGGATTCTGGAGTGCTGGCAGTGTCCTTTTTTGTTTTTCTAACCTAGATGATGATGACATAGATACTCCTTTGTGACAAGTCATTGAGGTGTACGTATTGTTTCATAAACTTATGTGTGTTAAACTATCGAAAAGAATTAAGTTAAAAGAAGAACTTTAAGGTAAATACAGCATTTTACATAAAAGAAACATGGAGCTGTATTTTTGTTAATGGGTCCAAAACAGAAAAACAGAGATTGATTTAAACAACTCTCTAGATAGGTTTCACAGCAGACTAGGCACAGCTGAAGAGTGAATGAGTGAATTGGAAGACAGAGTGACCAATTTACAGCACAGATATGTAGAAAGATGAGCAAAGTAAAATAGAGTTTTACTCCAATATGTGCTTAAGGGGAATTAAAAAAAAATTGAGTAGTTGGGCAAGAGGTAATCATTGAAGTGACAATGGCTGAGAATTTTTCAGAATTAAAAAAGATAACCCTTGGGTTGAAAAGGCACATCAAGTCTTTTACAGGATTAAAAATACATATTTATTTATTAGATAGTAGATAAACCCCTAGACACATTGGGATAAAAGAAAAAATTTAAAAAATGAGGAAACACCAAAAGGTTAAAAGAAAAAAGAAAGATTTGCTGCAAAGAAAAGATTGCCAAGCCAACAGCAGACATCTCATCAGCAACAGTAGATGAGACAATGGAATAATAACTTCCACGTTTTGAGGGAAAATAACAATGAGCCTAAATCATCAGCAGCAGTAGATGAGACAATGGAATAATAACTTCCACGTTTTGAGGGACAATAACAATGAGCCTAAAAATTTATCCCCAGCTACCCCAGTATTCACGAGTGAGGTTATTTAAAATAATTTTATAAAATGTGGCTATTTTATAAATGCAGTTATTTAAAATAATTTTATAAAATGATATTTGATGATGGGGAAATGCTCACACTACATTAAGTTAAAAAAGACAAGGAAATGGATAATGGGTATAAAAATACAGTTAGAAGGATTATGACCTAGTGTTCAGTAGCACAATAGGGTGATTGTACTTAATAATTTATTGTATATTTCAAAATAACTGAAAGAGTGGAATTGGAATGTTCCTAATACAAAGAAATGATCAATGCTTCAGGTGATGGGCATCCCAAGTACTCTGGTTTGATTATTACATTTTGTATGCTTGCATCAAAATATCACATGTACCCAATAAATAGGTACAACTGATATGTATCCACAATAATTAACAACAAAAAAAGACAGGTTACAAAAAGTATCTATACTATTGTTGTAGACATAGCCAATGATATGGATAACGGAGTTGGATATATCCAGATTATACACTTATGTGTATACTACATATATACATACAACTATACACATATGTATGTGTACATACACTCACATATGAATGCACAGATAAAACTGAAAGGAAATACATCAAAATGGTAACATATCTGTTAGTTTTTGAAGGGAAGGCGAAGGTTAAAAAAAGACACAGGAAGAGCTGGCAGCTCGACAGCAACACAAGTTTATTGCCAGAGCGACCTGCTGAGGTGGGGGACCAGCTTAACGCCAGAGCCCACCACCGCTTACAGGCTAGGGTACTTATAGGTATGGGCGGGCAGGGTCTGGGTGGCGTGGTTTGCTGCTTGACAAAGATGTTCCTTCAGTTGGGCCTTTGCTCGGCAGGGTATGATAAGGACATTCCTGTGCCTTGTGGTCAGGTGGTGGGGCAGGACATTTCTCACGGTGGAACCCCCATGGAATGTTTTGCTCTGCCAAGGTCTGTGAAACGGCAGGGGGCTTACAAAACAGTGCAGTTTGGACTAACAGTACCCAGATTGTACATTTAAAAATCATTTTTCTGTTCTTCGAAGGGCTTTTCAATATGTTCTGTATAGTCTAAAATAAGCATATGTTACATTGTCACATTTAAAATGTTATTTTTTTAAGTATGTTCTCTTCAAAATGCATTTAAACTGTCTGACAAATTAGAAAATTGTTTATTAAAAGCAAAGAGGCTTATAGACAAATCCTAATTCAGGTGGATTCAACAAATATTCTTTAGGCATTTTCTATATGCTGGCAATTATGAGAGTATTTAAGATAAGTCTAGTATAAATCTAGAGAAAAACATGACAAATACTTATAACATAGGATAACATATGTGATATTATAGGCATACACAATGTTCTGAAATAATACAGAGGAGGGCATAATTATGCACCAGCTAGGAGGAGGTTCAAAGAAGAGGGCCTACTGAGTAGGGCTTTTCAGGATGTAAAGGAATAGAGGGAATGGCATGGGAGGAGAAAGAACTTTTCAAAAAAAGACAACAGGGCCAGGAGTGGTGGCTTGTGCCTGTAAGCTCACCACTTTGGGAGGTCGAGCTGAGGGGAACACTTGAGCCCAGGAGTTCGAGACCAACCTGGGCAACATAGTGAGACCCCTGTCTCTATTGAAATAAGTTTAATATTTTAAAAAGACAACAGAGTACACAAGAAGCATTGACACAGAGAAAACACGACATGCAGAAGAAAGCAGAGTCAAGTGGGTAACATTGTTTCTGGTTAACACTGTTTCTAACATCAAATGATGAAAGCAGCATGAGGCTATTAAAATTGGCATCAGAAAGTGCATTCAGTGACTTCAATCTTTAGTGGAAGTTCCTAGTGTATGAAATGAACAGATGAGGAAAGGCCTTAATTGCTGTGCTATGGGAATAGGGAACCACTAAAGGGCTAAGGATGAGAGGATCTGTAATTCAGAGAAATTGCTCTGTTGGTAAAGTGGAGGGTGAATTTGAGGGGAATGAGACTGGAGGCAGGAGCAAGGCAATAATGAAACGGCCTCATTGTCTGGAGTATCACCTGAAGTTTGTGGTCTCACAGCCATGGAGAACAAGGATGCGGACTCACAAAGAGTGAGGTTAAGAGTGGAAGTTCAACAGGCAGAAGAAAAGCTCTCTGCTGCAGAGAGGGGTCACAGAGAAATGGATTGCCAGTCCACGGCCAAATGCAGAGGGTTTTATAGATGAGCTGGTGAGGAGGTGGTGTCTGATTTACATAGGACATGAAAGACTAGTCAGACCAAGCATGCCATTTGCACAGGGCATGAAAAACTGCTTAGACCAGGTGTGTCGTTTGCATAGGGTGAGAAATTCTAGTCGCCCCCTCCCTAATCTTGTATTATGCAGGTGGGTTCTCTGCCTGAGCCGCGCCATGTTGCCCATTTCTCTATTACTGCACACGTGGTGACAGAAAAGGGAAGATGGGCCCTCTATGTTGGACATGCCCGGCCCCCAGGTAGCCCTTTTCTATTGGCACAGCTGCCAGCATTCCCCCGTGCAAGCTTCCAGCTTGCTTATCTATGTTTGCAGCTCAATTTTTCAGGCTGCTCTTTGTTAGAAAAAAAATTTGTTGGGCTGCTTTTTGTTAGAAGGGAAGCTCTGCCAAGGACTCTGTTCCCCTCACTATCTGCCTAAATAATTTCTTTACCTCCTGTATCAGTAGCAGTGGAGGTGAGGAGAAAAAATATGTCAGACTTGGCCACTGATTAGAAAAGGTGAGAGGAGGGGTCAAGGAAAGGGAAAAGTGCTGGATCACGCCCAGGTTTCAGGCTGGAACAGGACAAATGGCAGAAGCATACAATGTTGAAAATAGAGGCAGAGAAGACCACTTGAGTGGAGAGGGATAACGGGGCATTCTAGGACAGGATGGGTTTGAGATTTCCTGACTGTATCCAAGTGGAAAAGTCTTGGGAGCATGAGGATTCACCGGAGCTCAGAGCAGAAGACAGGGAATGTGGAGTCATCAGCTTGCAGGTGATGGCTGAATCCATTCTCCCACTTCAGCAGAGAAGCACCCAAGCAAAGTGCTGAGAATCCTGGAGAACACCAACATTCCCCAGTGAGCTCAAAGAGAATTTAGAGGAGGCGCAGAGGAAAAATTAAATGGAAGAGAGTGCTGTAGAGAGCACCATAATCCAGGGCTTGGTCTGGAGGCAGGCTGCTTGAATAACCATTTCCTTTTCTGTAAATGAGAGTAAAATTATCTACCCACGCATGGAAAAAAAAAATTCTCAACAAACTAGAAACAGGAAGGAACTTCATCAACATAATACAAAGCATCTGTGAAAACCTTACAGTTAACACATTTAATGGTGCAAGGCTGAATGCTTTCCCCCTAAGATTGGGAATAAGACAAGGATGGCCATGTTCAGCAGGTCTATTCAGTTTTGTAATGAGGTTTTGGCCCAGGCAATTAGGCGATCCATATACAACAGAATCCAGACTAGAAAAGAAGTAAAACTGTCTTACTCACAAGTGACATGATCTTGTATACAGAAAATCCTAAGGAATCCCCTAAAAAAAAAACCCTAGAACTAGTTCAGCAAGTTCACAAAATTGGCATAGAAAAATCAATTGTATTTCTATACACTAGCAATGAACAGTCCAAGAATGAAATTAAGAAAATTATTCCATTCACAATAGCATCCAAAAGAATAAAATACTTAGAAATAAATTTAACAACAGGAAAACTTGTACACTAAGAACTTCAAAACATTGTTGAAAGAAATTAAAGAAGACCTAAAGAAATGAAAGATGTTACTTGTTCATAGATCTGAAAACTAAATGTTACTAAGATATCAACACTCTCAAAATTGGTCTACAGGTTCAACCCAATTCCTGCCAAAATCCCAGCTGCCTTTTCTGCAGAAATTGGCAAATGAATCCTAAAATTCACATGGAAATGCAAAGGACACGGAATAAGCAAAACAATCCTGACAAAGAACAAGGTGGGAGGACTTACCATCCTAACTTCAAAACTTACAAAGTAATCAAGAGTATGGTACCAGCATAAGGACAGATGTATAGGTCGATGGAATGTAATTGAAAGCTCAGGCAAGTACTCTCACCTGTAATCTCAGCACTTTGGGAGACCGAGACAAGGGGATCCCTTGAGGCCTGGAGCTCAAGACTAGCCTAGGCAACACAGTGAGACCTGTGTCTACATACAAAACATTTTTTTGTATCAATGTACCAAAATCAATTTAAAAATTTTGCTTTTCATTAGCCAGGCATGGCGGTGCACACCTGTAATCCTAGCTACTCAGGAAGTTGAGATGGTAGGATCACCTGAGCCTAGGAATTTTAGCCTTCAGTGAGCTATGATTGGCTACCACACTCCAGGTCAGGCAACAGAGAGAGAGATCGTGTGAGTAAAGAAAAAAAATAAGTAAATAAAAAGCCAAGGATGGTGGCTAACACCTCATATCCCAATACTTTGGGGGGCCAATGAGGGAGAATCCCTTGGAGCCAGGAGTTGAGATCAGCCTGGGCAACATAACAAGACCCTATGTCTACAAAAATAAAACTAAAAATTAGCTGGGCATGGTGGCACACACCTGTAGTCCCAGCTACTTGGGAGGCTGAGAGGGGAGGATGACTTGAGCTCAGGAGTTCAAAACCAGTCTGGGCAACATAGTAAGACACTGCCTCCAAAAAATTAATTAACTAATTTAAAAAATTGATAGCCCAGAAATAAACCCTTACATTTACAATCAATTGATTTGACAAAGGTACCAAGAAAAATCATTTGGAAAGAAATAGTCTTTTCTTTTTCTTCCTTTATTTTTTGGTTTTTAAGAGATGAGTATCTCACTATGTAGCCCAGGCTGGTCTCAAACTCCTGGACTCAAGTGATCCTCCTACCTCAGCTTCCGAAATACTGGGATTACGGGTGTGAGCCACTACACCCAGCCAGGAATAGTTGTTTCAACAAATGGTGGTGGGACAACGGGATATCCATGTGCAAAAACATTGAGTCCCTAACTACCACCACACACAAAAATTAACTTAAAATGAGTCATATACCTAAATGCAAGGACTAAAACTATAAAACTCTTAGAAGAAAACATAGAAGTAAATCTTTGTGATCTTGTGTTAGGCAATTGATGCCTTAGATACAACACCAAAACCACAAGTGAGAAAAGGAAAAAATGGCAAATTGGACATCAGCCAAATTTAAAACCCTGGCACATCAAAAGACACAAGAAAGGTTTCTCCCAACCCACAGAATGGGAGAAAATATTTATAAATCATATCTCTAGTAAGTGACATATCCAGAACTCTTACAACTCAGTATTAAAACATAATCCAGGCCAGGCGTGGTGGCTCATGCCTGTAATCCCAGCACTTCGGGAGGCCAAGGTGGGCAGATCACTTGAGGACAGGAGTTCGAGACCAGCCTGGCCAACATGGCGACACCCCATCTCTACTAAAAATACAAAAAATTAGCCAGGTGTGGTGGTGCATGCCTGTAATCCCAGCTACTTGGGTGGCTGAGGCATGAGAATCGCTTGAACCCAGGAGGCGGAGGTTGCAGTGAGCTGAGATCGTGCCATTGCATTCTATCCTGAGTGACAGAGAGAGACTCTGTCTCCAAGAAAAAAGAGAGAGAGAATCCTATTTAAAATGGGCAAAGAACCATCCAAAAAAGATGTATTAAAGTCCAAAAAGCACATTAAAAACTGCTCAATGTCATTAATTGCTAAGAAAATGCAATTCAATTCACAATGAGAAGTCACTTCACACCTGCTAGAAGGACTATAACCAATCAGAAAAATAATATCAAGTGCTGGAGAGGATGTGGAAAAATCAAAACCCACATAGATTGCTGGTGGGAATGTAAAATAGTGCAGCTATTTTTTGGGAAAACAGTATGACAGTTTCTCAAAATGTTAGATGAATTGCCTTAAACCCAGCAACTTCACTTCTGTGTACCTGTCCAGGGAAAATGAAAGTCTATGCCCACACACTGACTTGTATGTGAATGTTCATGGCAGCACCATTCACAAGAACCAAAAGGCAGAGACAACACAAATGCCCATCATCCGGTGAAGAGATTTAAAAAAAAAAAAGTGTGGTATATAACGGAATACTATTCGGCAATAAAAGGAAAATTCTGATGCACGCTACCACATTGATTAACCTCAACAACACAATGCTTTGTGAAAGAAGCCAGATGCAGAATAACACACACTGACTGATTCAATTTATATGAAATGTCCAGAATTGCCTGATATAGATTAGTGGTTGCCTAGGACTGGGGATGAGAATGAAGAGTGACTCTGATAGGCACAACTTTTCTTTCTGGGATGATGGAATGTTTCAAAAGTAGATTTTAGTGATGGTTGCACAATTCTGTAAATAGACTAAATATATTAAAAATCACTGAATTGTACACTTAAAAGGGGTGAATTTTAGTAGGTAAATTCTACCTCAATTAAAGCTGTCAATTAAAAAAAAAACTTTTAAAACTGTAACATCGACCCTTAGCACCAAGATTGTGGTCCTCAAATACCCTTACCCACTAAAGGAAACCAAGGCTTCTTAGAGAAATTGATGATTCCAGGTCTGGGCTAGAAATGCTTAAGACAAGACTGGAACATATTGTCACTCTAGATAGCAAGGAATCTATCAAAGATCATTAGGATGATATCAATATGCTTCAAGAGCCAATCTGAAGGAACTCCTTCTGACCAAAGATAGAACATTTTGTATATCAATAAGTATAATAATTGCAATGGACTAAACTACATCAAATATGTTTAAATCTCTGCATTCATAATGATTCTTTATTAAAAATAAGAGTGAGCCAGGCAGGGTGGCTCAGGACTGTAATCTCAGCACTTTGGAAAGCAGAGACAGAAAGATCACTTGAGCATAGGAGTTCGAGACCAGCCTGGGCAACATAGGGAGACCCCCGTCTCTAAAAAACATTTTTAAAATGAGCCATGCCTGATGCTGTGTGTCTGTGGTCCCAGCTACTTGGGAGGCAAAGGTGGGAGGACCCCTTGAGCCAGGAAGGTTGAGGGTGTGGTTAGCTGTGATTGCGTCACTGCACACCAACGTGGGTGACAGAGTGAGAGAGACCCTATCTAAACAAATAAATAAAGCAACTACCTGGCCTTTTCTATATAAATTGTACAACTGAGTAACACAATAATTTATAAAGAGAAGTATCTCTTTTTATATTTACTTTTTCATTTTATTTTTTTCTTCTACAAGGCTGTTCTCAGGGTAGCAGTATCTCTTTATAGAAGTATGACAGCACAAAAATGAGCAGGAATGATATCACAATACCACCATTGTTCAATCCATAATCAATCAGTGGCTGGCAACATCACCAAAAAAAAAAAAAAAAAAAAAAAAAAAAAAAAAATATATATATATATATATATATATATATATATATATATATATATATATATATATATGCCGGACAGTACACACCTCCTGATGGAAGAACCTAGCAAAGTATTTTTACCCTGCCCCACAAATCCAACCTGCCTCTGACCAAGTTTTTAGATCGTACCACTAATTTATAGTAAATAGAGAGAACAAAGTGAAGACCAAGTTAAACACCACAAGGATACAATTAGCAAAATCCAAACTATGAGAAACGCCATAATGAGGATACATTTAGCAAGATCTGAAATACAGGGAAACAGTCTTGTTTCTTCAATAAATAAATTGCAAAGGAGAAACAATTGATGAAAGGAGAAACCTATAGATCCAGAAATACTAACAGGCAAATCAAACAATCATAAGGAGAGACTTTATTTGGATTTTGATTCAAACAAACTAACAAAAAAATGAAATTACTGGAAATTTGGAGACAGTAGGGTAGTTGGTAGTATTAAAGAATAGTAGTGTGCGATGGTTGGTATGATAATGGTATTGCAATTTTGTTTTTTTTTTAAAAGAGTTCTTGGCTGGGCACGGTGGCTCATGCCTGTAATCCCAGCACTTTGGGATGCTAAGGCGGGAGGCTCATTCGAGGCCAGGAGTTCATGACCAGCCTAGCCAACATGGCAAAACCCCATTTCTACTAAAAAAAAAAAAAATACAAAAAAATTAGCCAGATGTGGTGGCACATACCTGTAATCCCAGCTACTCGTGCAGCTGAAGCAGGAGAATCACTTGAACCCAGGAGGCGGACGTTGCAGTGAACTGAGATTCCGCCACTGCATTCCAGCATGGATGACAGAGCAAGACTCTGTCTCAAAAATAAATAAATAAATAATAAGTTCTTATCACTGGGTATGGTGTCTCATGCCTATAATCCCAGCACATTGGGAGGCCAGGGCAGGAAGATCACTTGAGATCAAGAGTTCTAGACTAGCCCAGGCAACATAGAAAGGCCCTATCTCTACAAAAATAGAAATAAAAAAATTATCTGGGCCTGGTGATGTGCATCTGCAATCCCAACTATTCAGGAGGCTAAGGTGGGAGGATTTCTTGAGCCCAGGAGGTTGAGGCTGTAGTGAACCATGATCACACCACAGCACTCCAGCCTGGGCAACAGAGACCCTGTTTCAAAAACAACAAAAAATTAGTCCCTTTCTTTTACAGATACATACTAAGATATTCACAGATGAAATTACATAATGTCCGGGATTTGCTTTAAAACAACAAGAGAGGGGGATAAGTGGGTGGGAGTATACAGGAAACAAGATGGGCCATGAGTTAACAAATATTTAAATCTGCTGATAAGGAGGTGAAAGCTCATTACACTATCCTCTTGTTTAAAATGCTCCAAATGGAAAGTTTTTCTAAAAATCTGCTTCATGGGTTTGTAGTGAGCATTGAATAAGGTCATGTATACAGAGTGCTTCATCACCATGGCTGACAGGAAGTCAGCATTCAAACATTGTTTTTAGTTTTGTATAGTCCCTGTCCATTAACCACACCCAAAAGAGGTGGGTTATTTACACCAAGAACCCTGGCCCATGGACCTTTGCCCACTTGGAGGTAATTCATTAAAATTTGAGGTTTAGGATGAGGAAGTGCCAGCCTTCAGAGTCCCAGGCCTATTGTGCAACAGCAGAGCCAACAGCGCCAAATGCCTCCCTAGCATGTCTGGTGAATAGGATCACTTTCCTCTCGCCTTGTAGACATACTTGAGATCATTCACTACTTTTCATTCATTTCTTATGTGCCAGGCATTGGGTGCTGGAGATCCATAATACAGTGGATCCTTAACTGACTGGAAGCATCACTTTCAGAGCATCATTTCAGGATGAGTGTTTGAGTGCCAAGTGAATTCAAGCTACAGGGCTAAGGATCCATGGCCTCAGTCACCATGAAGACCCTCCCAAGAGCCAGTCCTACGAGGCACATAGAAACGAGTGGAGACAGAACTCACTCCTGCAAAGCCTAGAACCTGATAGAGCACACGAGACAGGAGCCCAAATAACCAAGAACCGGGAGCTGAATGTGAGAGGTGGGCTCCAAAGGATTCGGCCACCAAGGTGGAGAAGGTATGTGTGCAGAATGGGAAGTAGTCAGGTTTGGCTGACACATTTAGCAGGCATTTGGGGAGACATGGAAACTGAGGCTGGAATGATCCACTAGGGCCACGTGTGTAGAAGGTCAGGTTCAGGCATCTGAATCTCAGTCGGTATCAACAGAGTTGCTTCTTGGTGCCGAGCAAAGGCTCACAGGCTTAGGACCAGGATTCAGGAAGTGGTCTCTTGCAGCAAGGGGCTGAGTCCACCCTGGGAAGGCCCATCCCAGCCTGACGGTGCACCTCAAGCTCACATCACATGACCACATGCGTCAAACAAACCACATGCATGTTCTCACATGACCATATCTATGTTCCCACAACCATATGCATGTTCACACATAACCACGTGCATGTTCACACACAACTATATGTATGTTCACAGGACCATATGTATATTCACACAGCCATATGCATGTTCACATGACCATGTGCATCTTACATGCCACCATATGCACATTCACATGTGACCACATGCATGTTAATATACGACCATATGTGTGCTCAGGTGACCACATGCATATTCACACATGACCACATGTATGTTCACACACTTAATGATTCACAGCTTTATAAGACCTGAGACAGATGTGCGTTTTGGGAGATCCAGCTTCACGGTATGGGCTCATCTTGTCCACACATGGAGACTAGGCCTGAACTATCTCTGAGAAAGTTGCCTGCCAGTTTAGAGCAGGGCTTGGGAAACCTTTTCCATAAAAAGCCAGTTAGGAAATGTTTGAAGCTTTGCAGGCCATGTGATCTCTGTTGCAACCACTCAACTCACTAAAGCAACCATGGACAATACATACATGAAGGAGAATATAAAGGTGCATTCTGATAAAACAGGAGCTGGCCATAGTTTGCCCAGCCTAGTCTAGAGTTTGTAGCCTCTTTCCAGAGCCCAAGTGCCCCCTCCAGACACAGACCCACTCCAACTCCAGCCAGAGACCCAGGCCTCATTCGTCAGAGACTGGGAATGCTCCTTCAGAAGGACACCCCTCCAGGCCTGAGGATCTGTCCACTGTGGGAGGCCTGGAGCTACTCGTTCTCCACCCAACTTGGTGCAAGCTGACCCCGTCAGGCCCTGCCACCGTTAGTTATCCTTGCTGACCACCCTCGGCATCCTCTCAAGCAGAGGCTGCCCACTTCTCACGTTCTATGCCACAGGGTCGGGCACTGCACTGGCTCCTTCCAGCCCCAGAGAAGCCCCTCTCCACAGCCTGTCACTCAGGAGCCCTTGCACATCCAGCTGAGCCCAGACAATTTCTTTAGGAAACCACCTCAACACTGAAGTCCAGATCGCAGGCCTGTCCTGGAATGTTCTCCTTGCAGCCTGTTCTTCACTTATGAGACCACACTGCATATTGGACTACAACCATCAGCCTCACCATCTATCTCTTCCTTCACCTTCTCCCCCTGTACCAGGCCATGAGCTGTATGGGAGAAGGAACTCATCACAGTGCCTGGCCCG
Organism: Homo sapiens; assembly: GCF_000001405.40. Taxonomy (NCBI): domain Eukaryota; kingdom Metazoa; phylum Chordata; class Mammalia; order Primates; family Hominidae; genus Homo; species Homo sapiens. The sequence continues at coordinate 9,379,854 of NC_000012.12, read as the reverse complement.
GGAAGGCTATTCATAAACATGCAGTGAAAGAATACACAGGCTCTTCCAACAAGAAGAGAGACTGGACCTTACAAGACCCAACAGGAAGGCACTGTCTCAAAACCAGTGAAAAATACCAAGGATCTAGATAAGAGGGTGCAGTGGGAAATGAAATAGTGGGGTCTGGGGAGACGCCCCATATTTGTCAATGACTCATAATCTTTCTCCCGAGATCGCTCCTCCACCCTTGTGTTCAGCTCCACCAACACTTACACCAGCCACTGAAGCCAGAAACCTGGGAGACTTCTGCCCTCATCCGGCCCCATCTAGCCAAAGACCAGAACCTGTCATTTCAACCTCATGTTCACCTCACTGCCCTTCCCACTGCTCCTGCCTTAGTTCAGACAACTGCCCTCGCTCCCTCCACCTAGTTCAAGCCCAGCTGACTGGGCCAGCGGCCCTCAGGCCTGCCCTTCTCCATCCTGCCACGTCTGTCCTCCACAGGCAGAACAGGGAGCTGTCATTTTAAAGTGCAGGTCTGCTCTGGTTGTTCTCCTAATGAAACCCTTTGGGGGCTTATCGGATCCTTCCAGGCCCTGGTCCAGACTCCTTAGCATGGGCATGCAGGACAGCCCTCCATGATCGTCCCCTCCCTGAGACCCCTCCTGCCCTCAGCACCCTGTGTTCAAGCCCCAGCTCGCCCTGTGGTGTCACACTCAGCCCAGCTCCCCTGCCTGGGGTGCCCTGCCTGGTGTGCCCTGCCTGGCCTAGGAACCAGGAAAACCTGCCGGCTTCCAAGACTCAGCTCAAGCACCTCTTCCTGCTGGGTGTTTTCTGAGACCCCTCCTCTCCCCACTTTCCGGGGATCCCACAGTCCCCTGAAGAGCCTTCTGCCCCAGCGTTTGACCTCACTGTTTGGCCCTGTATCTGTTTCCACGGCTGCCTCACCCTTTTAGACCACCAGCTCCTGCAGAGCAGAGCCCCATATCTCAGTTGGCTTTGCATTCCCAGTGCCTAGCACAGAGCCTGGCTCCCATGAACCAGGTAATTTTCAATAACCCTCGAAAATTCACTGGAATCCTGGACAGTGCAGAGGAGGCACCTGGGATGGGAGAATGTCTGCTGCCCTCTCCTGGGGCAATGTGAGACATTGTCGTAAGCCCAGACACCTCCCTCCCGGCCTTACAAAAACAAGGGCAGGAAGGGGAAGCTGGAAAAGGAGCTGATGGAGAATGGGGGAGATGGATGTTGTCTAAGGAGACAAACTAGATTGAGAGGTTGCTGAGACTCTGCCAGCTCCCACACTATTCCCACGTCCATGGGCGCAGGGGCCAGGTCAGTGCTTCCAAAGGAGGCTGCATCCTTAGTGGCTGTGGCTCCCTCCAACAAACCCTAAATGAGATCTTCCTTCTCAATGTCACCTGTTGTCGTGTTGTTGTAACTATCACTGCAGCTTTTATTCACTTCATTGGGTAATCACTGAGTTTTTCCTCCATTGCTGTAGAACATGTGGCTTGCTCTTGTGTGTAAAAAGACTGAATTTAACCGCTGGCTTTTCCTGATTTTAACTCAGCTTCCTACTGTTAGGAGGTTATTTCTAACATTCTGGGTTTCTCAGCTTTCTGTCAAAACCCAAATACCGTCGTTCCTTAGTAATTATTGGGGATTGGTTTCAGGATCCTCCCTTAAAGATACCAACAGCGCAGGTGCTCAAGCCCCTGATATAAAATGGTGCGGCATTTGCAGACAACCTATGCACACCCTGCATGCACTTTCAATAAGCTCTAGATTACTTGTGATACCTAATTCAATGTAAATACTATGTCAATAGTTGTTTAGGGAATTATGATAAAAAGAAAAGCTTGTACATGTTCAGCACATATGCAATGTTTTTTGAATAGTTTTACCAAACATGGTTGAATCTATGGATGCAGAGCCTACAGATACAAGACACGCAGGTGGGGAGGGCTAGCTACTCTGGTTAGGATCCCCCAAACCCCACTCTGTCCACTGCTTCAACAGGTCAGGTGATGTCATGTGCCCCTCCTCGAAAGGAGTAGCATTATCTCAGCTCCTCTGGGGGCTGCAGGTCTAATTGTCTGCATCTTGACACCTGGAAAGTTTGCCCAACACCTAACACAGGACGTGGATTAGGGGAAGGAGCTTGGGACTGTAGATGGATATTTGTGAGGGACCGTAGATGGATATTTGTGAGTGATGTGCATAGAGACAGCCCCCTGCAGAGAAAGATCATCTGTTGTTCACCTTTGAATCCTCAATCTCTGTTGCACAGGGCATTCAGTAAACATCAGATGTCTGTGGAACAAATGCATGGATTGTACATAAAAGAAGCAAAAGGGACTACCTTCTCATGGTGTAGAAATTTAGAGCTGCATGACACATTTAGCCCTAAATTTAGGAATCCACCCCTCTAGGCAAGAAATACCTTTTCCAATGAACTAATGATCTCTCCACTCCTTTCCCTGAAGAGTTTACTGAACAATGATCAGGAGGGCACCATAAACCTTATTTTCATGTCAAACAGTACCTGTCCTCCAATGGTTTATCTATTTGGTGAGACATGATACAAATGAAGAAAGATTGCTCCCCATCCTCAGAAAGTCTGTAACCTCACCAGACGAGGCATCCGTCTCACACTTGCTTCTCCAGAAGGACTAGAGAACCACAGGAGACCATGTGTACTGAAAGGTTGAATGCACAATCACTTAGCACTGAAAATATGCAGCACAGAAAATAAGTGTTTGTAGTTGGGTGGCACTATCAGGGCAGGCTTCCTGAAAGAAGCTGGCTTTGAACTGCCCTAGGCTGGGAAGAAGTTGAAAAGAGAACAGAAAATTCATTGGTCTGTGGTCTGGAGGCACCCTGGGTCCTCGGACCCTGAGTCTCAGCCAGAGATCCTGGTGGGGAGACAGAGGTGTGAAGCCATCGACCACCCTGCCCATGTTCTCACTCTTCAGAGTGTGGCACCAGGGCAGAAGCAGCAAAGATGACCACTGCATACATTCCAGCTCCCAGACAGAGGTGCACTTGGCTTCTGATGCACAAGGCCCCGTTCAACAAAATCCATGCCTTTTCAGGGTGCAGGATAATAGAGTGAAGTGCGTGTGGACCGGAGAGAAGTGCTGCCCAGGTTAATGGCACCAGCTCAGAGCATCCTCAGGGAAGCCAGCACGTTTGGAGAAGATTGAGGGACGAGGCCATCTAATGAGCCAGAAGGTCCCTGAGAGATGAGGCGGCCTTGGCCTCTGGGATTCCCTACCCCTCATTCACAGAAGCAGCTTGGTCCGTGGAGTTAAGCAGCACTGTTCTGAAATAATAATGAACAGCACGCCTGGCATGCCTCCTGTCAGAGCCCAGTGAGGTGGGCAGGCCAGTGCTGTCTCCCCAGCACCTGCTCCTACCCCAGCCAGCAGCCCTGACCCTTCTGACAAACCCCAAAATGCTCCAACCACTATGTGGTTTCTCACCATCTCCAGCCCAAACTCTCTGCTTCCAAAGCCTAGTGGATCCACCCAATGGACCTCACCTCCCGCAGTCCCAGCACACGCTGCTTAATCTGAGAGGAGCCTGCTCCCTGCGCGGCAGCGTGCATGTTGACCTGGGGGCTTTCTCGCACTGTTCCCACCACCTGAGATACCTGCTCCCTTCTACCCCGAACAATGGTAGGAAAAAATCAACATGGACTTAGAATCAGAAGAGCCAGCTTCAAGTCCTCCACTGAAGAGAGAGTGCATATTCCCAAAAAAGAACATAAACTTAGGATCTTACAGTGACAGAGGTCCGATGTCCACAGTCAGTCTCCGAGGGCTGAAGTCACGGTGTCATCAGGGCTGGCTCACTCTGGAGCTCCAGGGAGACGTTGCTCCCTTGCCTTTCCCAGTTCCCAGAGGCGGCGTGGGTTCCTTGGCTCATGGCCCCGCAGCACATGGACCTCTGCTTCTACGGCCACATCTCCGTCTCTGACTTTGGTCTTTCTGCTTCCCTCTAATGAGGACTCCTGTGATTACATCAGACCCAGCCAGGTAACCCAGGAGAATCTCCCCATCTCAACATCCTTAGTTGAATCACATCTGCAAAGTCCCTTTTGCCAGGTAAGGTAAGAAACTCACAGTTTTTACAGATTAGGTTGCGAACATCTTTGGGAGGCCATCATTCAGCCTAGCACAGTGAGATATATATGTATCTTTACTTTCTGTTTATTTTTAGTGACAGGGTCTCACCATGTCGCCCAGGCTGACCTCAGACACGTGGGCTCAAGTGATCATCCTGCTTTGGGCTTCCAAGTAGTTAAGACTACAGGCAGATGCAACTATGCCTAGCTTCTATCTTATAAATCAATAAGAAAACAGTTTGATTTTTTAAATGGGTAAAAGGCTTGACCAGGCACTTCACCAGAGAAGTATACAAAATGGCAAAAAAAAAAAAAAAAAAAAAAAAAAAGTGCCTGAAAAGATTCAGAACATCATTATTCATTAGGGAAATGCAACTTGAAACCACAACGGTATCCACACTAGAACAGGTGAAATCAAAAGACACATCTGCGTTGGCAAGCCTGCAGAGCAGGGGAACTCTCACACGGTGCTGACGGACATACAAGATGGCACAGCTGCTGTGGAAAACAGTTCAGCAGTTCCTTATAAAGTCAAACATAAGACCCAGCGATCCTTCCCCTTAAGTGTTTATCCAGGACAAATAAAAGCAGATTTCCACACAACAATCTGTACAAGAATGTTCCAGCAGCTTCCCTCTGCTCCCCACAAACCGAGAGCAGCCCAAGTGGCCTTCAGCTGATAAATGGATAAACAAACTGTGGTACATCCATAGAGCGGAATATATTCAGTAATAAAACAGGGCAACTTACCGATACACATCTAACACGGATACCTCTCAAGAGCTTTACACTAAGTGAAAGCAGCCAGACACAAAAGATACCTACTGTAGGATTCTTTTACCTGAAATTCTAGAAAAGGCAAAATGACAATGCGAGAAAGCAGGTCTATGGATACTGAAGGCCAGGAGGCAGGCTGCTGGGGAGGAGCCTTAAAGGGCACACGGGAACTCTGAAGGATGCTGGAAATGGTCCATGTCTTCACTGTGATGACCACGTGGCTGCATGCATTTATCAGAACTCACTGAGCTGCACACCTAAAGCTAGCAAATTTTAACATATGTCGACCATAGCTCAACAAAGCTGATATTAAAAATCAATTGAACTGTTGCACAACAACGTGAGTATTCTTAATGCCACTGTACTCTACAATTAAAAATGGTTTAAATGGTCAATTTTATATTATATATATCATATCACAATTAAAATAAATAACCCCCCTAAATCAATTGCATTCCATATACTGGCAGTAAACAATTGGAAAATACACTTTTGAAAGGAGCATTTACCAAAACCAAAAAATACCTAGGCATAAAACTAAGGCAGGCAAGACCTTTACACTGAAAAATATGAAACACAAAACATTGCTAAGAAAAAAATTAAAGAAATACCTAATTAATGGAGGATTATATCATGTTCATGTATTGGAAGACTCAATATTTCCAGATGCCAAATCTCTCTAATTTGATGTACAGATTCAGTGGAATGCCAATCAAAATCCCAGCATTTTTTTTTTTTGGTATACATTGAAGATGATTCTGCAGTATATATGGAAAATCAAAGAATCAAGAACAGCCAATGCAGCCCTTAAACAGAACAAAGCTGGAGGACTGAACTGCCAGACAGCAACACTTCTTTTAAAGCTACAATAACTAAGATGCTGAAGTGCTGGCACAAAAATATATTCTAGGACCAATGGCGCAAACAAGAGTGCACGGAAGTGAAAAATGCGGTAACACCTGATAGATGACACGGGAGACAGCACAGTTAAGTGGGGAGAGGGTGGTCTTTCAATAAATGGCCCTGGGTTAGCCACACATCCATATAGAAAAATAGAAACCGTGACTCTCCACCTCAGTCCTGATGTAAATAAATCTGAGATGGATCCTAGACCAAAACATGAAGGGTAAAAAAAGTCAATCTGTGTTAAGCATGGTGTATTGAAGAAAAAAAAGGTCTAGATTTTTTTTTTTTAAATAAGTTTATCTTTATAACAAAGGGATAGGCAAATATTTTTTATACAAGACACACATAAAAAACCACTAACTATAAAAATAAGTAAATAAACAAAAATAATAAATAATATATTGACAAGGTTGTTAAAAATAAAATATAGTAAAAGTAGATTAATTGAACTTTATTAAAATAAAAAATATATGGTTCATCAAAAAATACCTTTATGTGAGTGAAAAGACATGCCACAGAGCAGAAGATTATTACAATATATGTCTTTCAAAGCAAATCTTATCTAGAATATATCAAGAAATCCCACAGATTTCTTGTGGGAATTTCTTGTGCTCACGCCTGTAATCCCAGCACTTTGGGAGGCCGAGGTGGGCAGATCAGGAGGTCAGGAGATCGACACCATCCTGGCTAACACGGTGAAACCCCGTCTACTAAAAATACAAAAAATTAGCCAGGCGTGGTGGCGGGTGCCTGTAGTCCCAGCTACTCGGGAGGCTTAGGCAGGAGAATGGCGCGAACCCGGGAGGCGGAGCTTGCAGCGAGCCAAGATTGAGCCACTGCACTCCAGCCTGGGCTACAGAGTGAGATTCCGTCTCAAAAAAAAAAAAAAGAAAAGAAAAAGAAACCCCACAGATTAATAACAAATGACAATAAAAATCTTTATAAATGGGTCAAATAAGTATTTCACAAAAGAGGCCATTCACACAGCCAATAAGTATATGAAAACCTGTTCAACTTCATTAACTATCAAGAAAATACAAATTAAGCTGACCATGGTGTGCATGCCTGTGGTCCCAGCTACTCCAGAAGCTAAGGAGGGACAATTCCTTGAGCCCATGAGGTGGAGGCTGCAGCGAGCTATGATCACACCATTGTACTCCAGCCTTAGCAACAGAGTAAAACCACGTCTCAACAACAACAACAACAAAAAAAAAAAAAAGAAAGAAAAAAAGGAAAGAAAATGCAGGTTATATAGCACTGCATTCCCCAGATGCACTAGAATGAAAAGAACTAACAATACCACGTGTTGGCAAGAGTGTGGAGCTACTAGTGCTTTTGTCTGCACTTGGTGGGCGTGTAACTTGAACCACAACTATAAGAAACTTTCTGTATCTGCTAAAGCTACATGTAAGAAAAAACCATGACCTAGCAATTCAATTTCTTAGGTATCTACCAAACTGAAATGAGCATTTATGTTCACCAAAAGTCATATACAAACACATTCAGAGATGATGAATGTTCATTCATCATCATCAAAAAGTGGAAGGAATAGAATGGATACAGTGTGGGGTGCTCCGGCCATGGAAGATTACAAGACAGTGAAAGGCAGTGAGCTCCTCCTGTCTGCCACAAGAGGGATGAATTTCACAGACATAATGTGGAAACAAGGAAGCCAGTCACAAAACAGTCCATACTGTATGATTCCTCTCATTCCCACTGATTTCAGAAACAGTGTTTGGAGGTTACTCAATTGTCGTGAAAAGAAAATCAGGAAAGACACTGACACACCAATTTACTATCAAGGGTAGGGTAACCAATTGCTATTTGTAGTTGTCCTGTGTAGATAAAGGATTCAAAGCATGGAACAAAACACCTTTGGTGTTAGACGTAGGCAGGAGTAGGTGAAGCTTGATCTGGTTTTTCTCATCTCCCTTCCTTGGCCTGGTCAGCTTCATCATCAGCATTTTCCTCCTCCTCACTCCTCCCCCAGTATCGTTATTCTAATTTCTGTCGTTTTTTTTCCCCTAGGAAATATACATTTTCTAGAGCCCAATCTGCCAGGAGAGATCTAAGAGATTACAAAGGAAAAAACTTGAAATTCTGAGGACAGAGAAAAGAAAAAGGAAGAGTTAATGACTAGTGAGACACCATCATGTAGACTGGTGCCACATGGAATCTGGGGCAACAGAACATGATCTATCCAGATGGACATACAGGGAAAGCTGGTGCTGGGAAGCACCTTAAGCTACATGATTGCAATAAATTTTGCTCACCAGTGATTGTGGGGGCTGAAGTATATTTCTCTTTGTTTCCAGTGTTGCCCAAGTTTGAAGTTAAAGTCAATGCACCATGAACAGTAACTATTTCAGATGATGGATTCCAAGTGGATGCGCGTGCTAAGTAAGCATTTATTCAGGAGATTTGCCTTCACAAGGAGACACAAAGCTTAGAGATAATAAGTGAGATTAACCAGGGAACTTAAATTATTTATATGCTTGCATTAATATTATTAGAGAAGCAATGTATTCTCATTGTAGAATATTTGAAAAATATAAAGAAAAAGATTAGAAATTACGTAAAATTAATTCTACCAACAGCCATTAACATTGTGATTTATTGTTCTACCATAAAGAAATACATACACACATGTTCATTGCAGCACCATTCACAATAGCAAAGACATGGAATCAACCTAAATGTCCATCCACGGCAGACTGGATTTAAAAAAAAATGTGGTACATGTGCACCATGGACTACTCTGCAGTCACATAAAAGAACTAGATCATGTCCTTTGCAGGGACATGGATAGAGCTGGAGGCCATTATCCTTAGCAAACTTACAAAGGAAAAGAAAGCCAAATACCGAATGTTCACATTTATAAGTGGGAGCTAAATAATGAGAACACACGGAGACAATAAGGGGAATAACAGACATTGAGGCCCACTTGAGAGTAGAAGGTCGAAGGATAGAGAGGACCAGGAAGAATAACTATTGGGTAGTAGGTTTAGTGCCTGGAAGACAAAATAATATGTACAACAAACCCATGTGACATGAGTTTACCCATCTAACCTACATGCACTTGTGCCCCTGAACCTAAAATAAAAATTAAAGAGAGAGACAGATACACAAGCTCAAAACCAAGGACTGAGAACAAGCTTCTGCCTGGAGCAGGAATGGATGACATGGTTCACCAATCCTGAAAAGGACATGGAAGTGATAGATATACCAGTAAATCCAGATATGCTCATGGAAAACAGATGTAGAGGGAGAAGTTGTATTTAGCTTAAGGGAATGTATTCTGGAAATAAGGAAAATAGAATGCATGAGAAAAGTGGTTAATGGTCACTGATGTCTACTGGTTGTTGTGGAAAACAGTCAACAGTCTTAACTAAAAAAGAGATGAACAGACTTTTAGGGGAGGGTCACAGAGTCTAAACTTCAGTTATAAAACAGAATCTCAAAATTAGCTAGCTAGCTAGATAGATAGACATATTTATTTTCCTCTAATTTTTAATGAATATTTTTCATGACTGCCATCATATTTTTCTGTTCATGATAACTAAGAAAACTTGTCTCTATATTATGCCAATCTTTTCATAAATTCCAATTTTCTGCTGCATAAACATATCTTTATGTGACTACACGAAATTTATTTAGTTATGCTTTTATTATATAACATATAGATTATTTCATTTTGTTTTCCTAGTAATTAATAATTTTGTAGCATATGTCTTTGTGTATAACTATATAGTAAGTAGCTTTTGAATTAGGAATTGTTCACTTAAGAAAGATTTCCAGAAGAGGAATTACCAAGACAAAATATGCAACATTCTTTTAGTCTTCTGATTGCCATATTGCTCACCAAATATGTTGTGTCAACGTAGAATTCCAGCAGCTAGTATGGAAGTGCCTGTCTCACTGAATCTTCACCATCATTACATATTTTCATTAAAATAAGAAAACAAGCTATTGGAATGTCATTGTGAAGATAAGGCATCATCCATTTAATTTGAATTAATTGGAATCTTCTTAATGTTACAAAATAAGTCCTATATGATTTGAGAAATTTTTATTTTCTTTTGGGGGAATTATTTTCAATGCCTTTTATCCTTTTTTAGTGTGATTCTTTTTCTCAAATTTCTAATAATAATTTTTTAAGAGCTAATATTTTTGAATGTCAATTAGTGTGATAAGCTCTGCATATATGATTGCTACAGTGCTATTAGGTAGGAGCAATCATCACCTCTATAAGGAAAGATACTAAGACACCGATAATTCAAATAACTTATCAACAGTAATGGAGCTTGTTGATGAAAGAACCGGGATTTAGACCTAGGCTGTTCGGCTTCAGAGCTACTCTCCTAATCAATAACTCTCTTGCACTTTACATAAACAGTTAAAAATATTAATATTTGCCATATTTGTTAAACATTTTGTTTAGTTGATTACATGAAAATTACTTGCCTTTGAGTATTTTCAGCAGACTATTAGAGATACATTGGGTAAAGGGCCGTCTAATGAACATGCAAGGGGAGTTCTTAAGGATGCCCCAGAGATTCTTGGAAACCAGTTTTCAGCCTTTTTTTTTTTTTGGTAGTATTTAACATCTTCTTTGGATTCCAGCAAAGTGATCCTAAAATTTTTCTCAGTTTCAATGAAGAGCAGTTGAACTTGTGCCAGAATTCAATTTATGTAATAGATGAAAGATTGTAGATTATCCATGTTAAAAATGATGGGATAATCAGAACAGCTTGGACAAATCCAGGATCCTAAACAGGCTTCACTAGAAAACTCTACACAAAGCCAGAACTTGCAATGGCATTAATATCTCATTTATTTATCTGCACAGTAGTATGCTAAAAAAAACTACAACACATTGTTTGGGAGAGCAAAACTGTTTCTCAAGCATGGCCTTTGAAAAAGACTTGCTAACCAAATGCTTACATGGAACTGATGGTTCCTTAGCACTACGTCAGGTTATAATCCATGATCCTGATTTCTTGAAACTTCTTTAATATATTCTGGGTAGACTTACATTAAAAAGTAAATTAGTATCAGTAATAATAATATCCTGCCAGGCTGCCAGGCAGCTAGACTGGAACTATGCTTGCTACAAAGTTATTTCCAGACAGACTGTGAGCACACTGTGCCTAGAAGTTCACATCAATTTTATAATACTGTGTCTCAAATTGTATGATACTGTGTCTGTGCATTGCTTCTTTAGTACTTCCTGGGATTTAGCTTGGAATGGCTAGAGAAAATGAGCAAATTAGATTATTTTAGTAAACAAACTCAGAGATGAATTAGGCTTTTAAGAGAGGAAAAACACTTACAGGTGAAGGTATTTTAACAAATCGCTTTAGCATCCATGGAAAGCTTTCAAATCACAAACAAAGGGAGAATACTTATCCTATCCCATAGAGATTTAAGCTACATGTCTCATGGGCATATATTAGCCTGCCAATAATACTAGGGTGCGAGTTTGATTGTATACATGAGAAACATTAAAAAGAAATAATAAGAAATGTTTAGGCATAACATTTGTGGCTGAATCTTAGTCTGGCTTCTATATGATCATCAGACGTGACAGATGATTTCAGTGATATGAGTTGAGACAGAATCTCAAATGTGTTATGAAATTTTTAATAGAAAGAGAAAAAGATGAGTGGGAAGGAAAAAGCACAGACTGTGGAGTGAGGCAGATCTGAGTCTGAATTTTAGTTTCATCAATTACAATGTGGAAAAGTGAGTTGCTTGACCTTGAACATTTTACAGATTGAGAAATTGAGGTTTAGAGATTAATTTGCCCAAAGTCTCATAGCTAGCGAGTAAGAAGCTAGAGGTTTCAAACTGGGGACTTTCTGATGTCAGAGCTCAAGCTTGTCACCACCGTGCTCCTGGGGAAACGGTCAGGAGAAAGCCAAGTTTCCAGGAAACTGGAATGGCCGCAGTGAAGAATGACCCTCTTATATCCTGCTGATTAGATGACCAGACTTGGTCATCACAGACTTTGAGCATCACAGTGGAAGAGGGGCCAGAAGAGGAGGGCAGTTTCCTGTGTTGCTCCGGAGTTGCCTCATGTTGCCCACATTTTTCTGGGGCTGACATATATTTTTCCAGTAGGTGTGACCTGAGGGTGTTGGGGCTTTACTTTTGTGCTGGTGCAGGCAGTTTTCAGGCTCATATAAACACTCACTCGGCTGTTTATTTATTCATTCAACAAGCATTTCTTAGACACCTCCTCTTCTAATTCTTGGGCCAGTAAATAAGTATGGTCCCTGACCCAACAAATCTAGCTCAGGTTCAGAGATGCACAACCTCATTCCAGCAAAGCTTTCTGTAGATTATCGGGGGCAGCTCTTACTACCCTTGATCTTTCCCACTTCTCAGCTATTCCTGTACCAACAGAAAGCTCTCCCATGGAGGAATGGCAAAGAGATGGAAAAATGCGGCTGTGAATTGGGCTGAAGTTTTGGGGAAGGATGTGGAAGCCAGAGACTAACAAGAAGTTTTGATAGTGGGTGTGATGTCCCTCCCCCTCCCTGCTGTTCCATTTCCTTGGGCACTTAGGCTGGTCTCATGATCTAAGGGCCAACTGCTCATGTGAAAATCCATCCCAGCATCCTCAGCTCAAATAACTGCTGCTTGCCACACGCCTGCCCCAACGGAATTAACGGAAGCTGCTGATAGCCCTGCTGACCTCATTGGATGGAACCGTGTCCTCAGCAGACAGGAGCTCCTTCCTCTTCTGAGTGAGACTCCCTCCTATCTTGGAGCAGGAAGTCCTCTCAGGAGAAGTCCAAGCTTCAGACAGAGAAGGAGCAGGTGCCATTCATTTACTCCCCTCAGTGTTGACCCAAAAGGCAGAGGCTGAGACGCAAAGCATAATTTAAAGAGTTTACTTGAGCCAAAGTGAGGACAGCTGCCTGGAAGACTCAGACCCAAGTACTCTTGGCTGTGAGCTTCCTAGAGCCTTTGTTCCAAGCAGGTTTTTAAAAACAAAAGACTGGGACCGAGAGAGTGGGCTGGTACAAAGTTGTTGATCAGGAACTCTCTTTGGATTACAGAAACAAAATTGATGAGCAATTGGTTATTGTTAAGTTATAGGATGTGGTTTATGCTTCTGGTGAGACACTATAATAATCCTAAATTAAAATTAATTCATAGCTACTTGTGGCAATAGCAAGCAGTTTTAAGAGATGAATACATAGCTCAAAGCGGGGAGTAGGGTGTGATTGCTCTCATTTTAACGTCTCTCCAGGCCTCATAGTTTAAAAAGGATTCACCTTCCTCAGATGAAAGCTCTTTAGGTTTTGCATCAGGAACCTCCTTTTCTGCTTTCTTGGAGGGTCAGGATGGGTCCCATGAAGAGCTGCTGGTGGGGACAGACAGAAGCCAAGGAGAGGCCGGGCAAGGAAGCTGAAGTGCTTGGCAGGGGGCAACAGTCCCCTGCCTGCAACCAACGTTAAAAAACACTGTCACTTCAGGCCGAAAGTGGTAGAAACCAGTTTGTTAAATCACACGAATGTATATATTAGGCATGCCTGGCTAGTCCTTTGCCAAGAGATCTTGTAGCATAACTGCAGGCAAATAGAAAAGACATGAAAATCGTTAATCACTGCACAAGCTTAGGGATCAGTTCTTTTTGGAGGGTGGTGAGTGGTGGAGGTACTGGAAAATGTGTACAGAAAGAGTGAAATAAGTGGAAGAAAGGCCCTAGGACTCAGGGTTTGCTTACAGTGGGATCAGAGACACCTGGAAGGATGAAGACAAAAATCCAGATTATAATTGGCCCTGGGAGTGAGACTTCATGACAATTGTGTTACCTTGAGAATTTCTTTTTAGTTCCTGGCTTCAGATTTAAGGTTATGGTTGATGGATGAATATACTTTTGGAATCTACTTTTGGAAGACCTTCTCTGGGCTGAAGTTGATAGCTAGGTTAAAATATCAAGGACTTCGGTAAATCTCTAGCAGAGCTTCACTACAGCAGAGAGGGAAAAACACCAGATTTAACATTTCATTCTTGGTGCTGCTGAGCTGTGTGCTCTAGGACAAGACATTTAACTTTTTCAGCTGCGTCCTAGAAGGATTCACACCTATCTCCCAAGACTTTGGCAATGATTAGGAGGGAGAATAACTAGGAAAAAGATAAGTGAACTGTGAAGAGCTGTGACCTTACAATGGTGACGGTGACGGTGATGATCTTTATACTCTTGGGAGGGTTGGTGCAGATTCTTGCCTGCAGCAATCATAAGCAGAGGCTAATGCTTCCATCTTTAAGATTCTCATAGTAAGGTTAAAAGATACTGATATTACCTAATGTTTAACATAACTGGACCCACTACCTACTGCTTCATGCACAGAAGTTACAGGGCTGAGGGACCCTCCATTAGCCACACTGAGGATCTGGGTTATAAATGAGTGGAATGTGTAAGGGGAGAAGAGATCTTTAGCGATCTTTGAGAGCAATATTAGCAGTGAAATGAATGCAAACCACATCTTGCCTCTTTGAAGTAATAAAGGAAGGGAAAAAAGTTATGCAAGCAAAGAAGTGCTTTTGTTTCCCCAGCCATGAATCCTGGTTAAAAATTGCACACAAACCACAAGGACAGTCAATACCATCATCTCAACTCCTAATGTGCTGTGTTTCAGGAAAAAAAAAAAAAAAAAACTAAACTAAAATTAAAGCAGTATCACACTGTCTTTGACTTGCTAGCTTTATATTCTTTTGTGAAAATCTCAAGACGTTACCCATCTTCAGAGGTAGCTCATTCCTCCCAGGCATGGAGCCGGGGAGGGTAAATGAAATGTCTCATACAACTCAGTCATTCATTTGCTCAGTGTTTATTAAGACCTAACATGTGCCAGGCTCTCTCCTAGGTGGGGCTAACTAAAGTAAGCCCAAGAGGTACTGTCCTTAAGGGGAGGAAAGACACGTACTCCAGTATCTGTATTTGGGTAAAGAAAGTGATTTGTCAAGAGAGAACAGGATTGGGATTGTTTAAAGTATGTTCACAGCCCACAGACCAAATGGACTCCCTATGACTCACTGAGGTACTCATATTTAAAACAGAAACCCAGTGGCTACAGCCGGGTGTGGGAGCGATCACATACTCTGTGTTCTCAGAAAGATATAAGAGCATCACAGGACCCCTCTTTTCACAATCAAGCCAAACCAGCGCCTGCTGTTGCTCCCAGGACAAACTGCTGCTGGGCCCCTCCCACCACCAGCCAGCCACAGTCTGACAGAGACTCCCAGTTTAGGGCTTGGAAACCAATCAATCAGAGCTCATCTGCTCGGTTAATCAGGGCTCAGCTGCATCAGAGGAAAGCAAATGCAAATGAATCTGGGTTCATATGCAAATGAACCTGATGGGGAACCTGGGCAGCAAATTTTGCTATAAAGCCCGACTCCTCTCTGTTCTCTGAACGCACATTCATTTTACACTGAACTCTGGTCTCTCAGTGTTAGTCCAAACTGCACCATGTCATAAGCTCTCCCTGCTATTTTGCAGACCTTAGTCAAAGTGAAACAGGGGTTCGGGTGTGAGAAACGTCCTGCCTAACCACCTGACCACAAGGCAGACAAAGGCCTAACCAAAGACACATCTCTATCATATCATGCTGGACAAAGATCCGAGGAACACCACAACGAAATCCCACTGGAACAAGGGCCAGAACCATCTCATCACGGGAACATCTTATCAATATCCTGCCAGGCAGCAAGCCATACTGCCCGGACCCCTTTGGCCCATAAATTGCCCCAGCCTGTAAGCAGCAGTGGGCTCTGGCATTATGCTGGTTCCTGACTTCTGTAGGTTTTATGCTGGACATAAAGCCTGCATTTGCTATTAAGCCACCCTCTTACGTATGTCTTTCTTTAACCCTCGCCTTCCCTTCAAAACCTAACACCCAGTTTTGTCCACTGGAATAAAGTCTCTTTCCTCCAAATACCTTTTCAGAAAACATTTGTTCATGGGGTTTAGAAGGAGGAGTAGTTATTTCTAGGAAATCTAATCAGCTGGAGGTAGACTGAGTTGAGTGCTTGGAAAGGAAACAGTGGGCAATACTACTAGAAATAGATTTTGACCAGATCACAGGTGGCCTTGAATGATGAGATAGGAATCTGTGACTTTAATTTCAAGGAATAGGGGTCACCGAAGCTTTTTGAGCAGGGGAGTATTATGATCATCTGGCTGTAAATAAACCCTGAAATGTAGAATCTCATTTTTGAGAATGAACTTAGAAGATAATTACATGGGTAGGTTTGAGGATGACTTGAGGACATTTAAAAAGGGCCTAGCAGTTTTGGCTTGCCCTCCTGCTAATAGCATTTGCTGCTTTTCATTTACACTTTATCGTGCACGGAGAACTCTGCATACATACAAAGCAGAGTCTAATTTTTCCTAATTCATCTCTGTAGCCAAAGTAGACTCGGACACTTAAGAATATAGACAACACTCCTACCTAAAATGCCCAGAGAGAAATTTTACATGGCTAAAAGTGGGAGCTAGCTACCCCAGCCCAGAGGTGTTTCTTTCTAAGAGGAAGGGCACTGACACAGAAAACTGTACTATGCTGCAGTGACCAGAAGAATGGACCCTCCCTGCACCTGCTGTGGAGGAGGAGGGTGGGACGTGGCAGTGCACCAGACTCTGCTCATCTCAGTTCAAGTCTAGGCATTGCCACTAATCTGTGCGACCTTGAATGAGTCACTTTTCCTCTCTGGGCCTGAGTCTCCACATCTGTTAATCGAGAGGTGAGATTGGATGGTTTTAAGAACAGGTTCTTGTGCTGACGTCCTGTGGGCTTGTGGGACTGAGTAAGACTGCTATGAGCTCTGGCGTGGCTGGTCTGATGATCCCCAAGTTTCTCTCCTTTCTCCTCGGTGCTGAGGGAAGCAACACAATGAGATACGCTTTTGTTCCAAACGCTGGCCGCATCTCACGGTCTGAGTTGAGTCCTGGCCCTGCTGTAGGTTAGCAGTGTGAACTTGGGCAAGTCACTTAACCTCTCTGAGCCTCTGTTTTCTTTTCTGAAAAATAATGAGTCAATGTCGTCTAACCCAAGAAAAATGGAGGGATAGAAACAAAAAATTAGAGGCTGGATGGTGTGGCTCACGTCTGTAATTCTAAGTTTGGAGGCTGAGGTGGGCAGATTGCTTGAGCCCAAGCAATTTGAGACCAGCCTGGGAAACATAGCAAAACCTCATCTCTACAAAAAATACAAAACTTAGCTGGGTGTGGTGGTTGGGCACCTGTAGTACTAGCTACTCAAAAGGCAGAGGTGGAAGGATCACCTGAGCCTGGGAAGTCCAGGCTGTGGTGAGCTGTGATTGTGCCACTACACTGCAGTCTGGGTGACAGAATAATATCCTGTCTCAAATAAATAAATAAATAAATAAATACATAAATAAATATTAAAACAAGAAATGTAAGCTTGTTTTAAATAAAAAAGTAGAGGGAACTGGCTTCCAGTAAGTATGAAATTATGACTATCAGGCTAATTAGGTTATTTTGCAAAAAAAAAGAAAAGTTAGAAAAACATATTTTTGACAAATACTCTCAAAGCTAGTGAAATTATCCTGTTTTGGACAACAGCTTGGCCTTCGACAGTTTTATCAATCTGTACAACAAAACCCCAGCACTTATTAATCCCTGAAGTATGGAAACAAATGAGGAAGGGACTGTGTCTCCTGCATTAAACACATCGATGTCTCTGTCCCACAAGAGAAGCTCTTCACGGGGCTCCTTCCATGTTTGCTGTACAGAACCTCTCAAACGAACAACCTCATTCATGTGAAAATTCCCCAGAGCGGCCACTGCAGTTTCAAATGGTGTCTCAAGAAATTGTGTCAGAGGCATAAGATGAGTTCACACGACAGTGAGGAAATCTGAAAGCAGCAGGCGTTTGGCCTGGGGAAGAGCCACGTCCGATGAAGAAGGTCGCACGGGCACCCGAGCAGTCCGAGAAGAGACTTCGTGCCTCCAGAGCTTGGTCAGAGGCCACAGGCTGATTGTCCCCAATCCTCCTGATTCCAGGCAGAGGGAACTTTAAAGTGAGCAGTTCTCAGGAACCACACAGAGACAAAGTTGAGGGGAAAATCCACCCTTAGGTATGAAAACAGTGACCTGGGGCAAAGCTCATTCCAATGAATGCTAGTCTGAGGGGAACTCCTGAGCACTGTGACCTCCAAGACCAGCTTGAGGACAGACTTCCCGGGCCCCTATCAACTACTGAATTTTCCACTTAGAGACAACGCTTAGAACATTCGACCACCAGATAGACATAGGAGCATTTCTCAGAAGGCTAGACAGCAGTTTCACCGTGGAGCGGGGCAAATCTGATCAGATCACCAGGAAAAGTCGCACAGCACCTCATTCCCAGAACAGAGCACACCTGAAGCGGAGGGGCCTCAAGGAAATATCAGCCTCCATGGGGCCTCAAGGAAATATCAGCCTCCATTCAGCCCGAGCTGCCTTCCAGCTGTGGGCCACCCGGCACCTCAGACAGAGGGAGACACCCTGTATGTCTCAGCTGTGTCCACCCTAACTGAGGCGGGGGTTCTTGTCCAAGGGGGAGGGCTTCAGCTGACTCAGGGAACCTCTATTTCTGCCAATCCTCCTAAGCTAAAAAACCACCAAGAACTCACCTGTAGCTGAACCAAAATGGGTTTATTGACTTGTTGCACAAAGGAAGAATGTCCAGCAGTAAAGAGGGCCTTCAAAAGAACTTGCTATAGATGCGGGCTCGTGGCTGGTGAGTCTCAGGAGGGCTTAGGAAGCAAGGCCTTTCTCTGGGTTGGATATCGTGCATAAAGGGACCACATGGCACAGGATTCCATTCTATGCAAAAGTGCAGAACAGGCAAATCCAGAGAGACAGAAGGTAGGTTTGTGGTTGCTGGGGGCTAGGGGAAAGAAGTGTGGAGACTGACCATGCGTATGAGGTTTCTTTGTGGAGGTGATGAAAATGTTTAGAATTAGATAGTAGTGATGGACGCACAATTTTGTGAATATATATGAAAACCACTTTAAAAGGGTGATTTTTATGTTAGGTGAATGATATCTCAATTTTTAAAAAGTGAAAATAAAAAGAGGGGCCTCAAGATTTGGTGAGCTGATAGACTGATAGCAAGAGAGGATACTAAGGAAAGACACTAAGGAACACATATTCACAAAGCAGAACCGCCCAGAGCAGCAGGCTGTCAGCCTTTATGCCAGAGCCTCTGTTGGCTTCTGTCAGTGCAACCCCGCAGACACACACAGCATCGCCATGGGCTGGCCGAGGTGCCGAGGAGCACACAGAGGACTGAGACATGGTCCCTGCACTCTGGGGGAAATGACATCTCAACACAATAATGGTGTTCATCATCAGGACCCCAAGTCATGATGAAAAGGTTAAATTATTCTCAAAATGCTCAATTGTAAGAAAGCAGAGGAGTGGATCGTAAGGAATAAATGTATGAAAAAAATTTCAAAATTGCCAACCTTTTCAAGAAATATTGAAACCTCTGGTGCAGGAAGGTAATCTGTGTGGAGTGGCAGCCAGGGAATGGGATGCTGTGTGTGTGTGGAGAGGCAAACATCCCCATAGTCTTCAGGATCCCCCGAGAGGGGCCGAGTCAGAGGCCGTCAAAGCCTCCAGTCCCCTGGGCATCCAGGGCCTCATGGCAACTGTACCAGTTGTTCTCACTTTTGTTATTCTTCCATAGAACTCAACGTGCCTCTCACGCAGGGACTCAGGATGGTGCTGAGTCCAGGTGGAGGGAAGGGGTCGGATGGGGGGCTGGGTGGGGGACATGGTGGGGGCTCTGTTGGAACCTGCCACCCTTCTGGCTCTCTACCGTGTTTTTCTTAGTTAGTGGGAGGTCTGTGAGCTCCATACCTCCAGGGCCTAGCTGTGAAGCTGTTGCTGGTGTGGATCTGTCCAATGGAGTTTGCTGGGTGGGGGAAGGTGTGAGGGAACCTCCATCTTGGAACGGCATCTCCAGAATGCAGGAGTGAGGCTGGCACACAGCACGGCCTCTGTGGACAGGGGGTCCAGGGAGGTTGGGGAGGGGCCTCAGGGATGGAGGGACAGAACTGGGGCCTCCCATTCTATCCACATCAGCCTGGTGAGTTCAGATCATCTCTTTAGCACCTTATCACCACTTCCACACTCAGGTGATTTCAAGGAACCTTAGGTCCCCAATTGCCACAAGCTTTGGGGCACAGCTCCTGCCTTGTAAAATAAATATTTTGGAGATTTTAAAGATGTAAATTCAAACTGGCTTTTGGAAAAGACAGGTTTTAAGGGATGGTTCCCATTCTAATGTCGGGGCTTTCCATCAGGCCACCCTGGGCAGAACCCGGGGGCGAAAAGAGAGAAATGAACAAAGCCTCCAAAAAATATGGGACTATGTGAAAAGACCAAATCTACAATTGACTGGTGTACCTGAAAGTGACAAGGAGAGTGGAACCAAGCTAGAAAACACTCTTCAGGATATTATCCAGGAGAATTTCCCCAACCTAGCAAGGCAGGCCAACATTCAAATTAAGGAAATACAGAGACCACCACAAAGATACTCCTCGAGAAGAGCAACCCCAAGACACATAATTGTCAGACTCACCAGGGTTCAAATAAAGGAAAAAATGGTAAGGGCAGCCAGAGAGAAAGGTTGGGTTACCCACAAAGGGGAGCCCATCAGACTAACAGCAGATCTCTCAGCAGAAACTCTACAGGCCAGAAGAGAGTAGGGGCCAATATTCAACATTCTTAAAGAAAAGAATTTTCAATCCAAAATTTCATATCCAGCCAAACTAAGCTTCATAAGTGAAGGAGAAATAAAATCCTTTATAGACAAGCAAATGCTGAGAGATTTTGTCACCATGAGGCCTGCCTTACAAGAGCTCCTGAAGGAAGCACTAAACATGGAAAGGGACAACCTGTATCAACCACTTCAAAAACATGCCAAATTGTAAAGACCATCGATGCTATGAAGAAACAGCATCAATTAATGGGCAAAATAACCAGCTAACATTGTAATGACGGGATCAAATTCACACACAAGTATATTAATGTTAAACGTAAATGGGCTAAATGCCCCTAATAAAAGACACAGACTGGCAAATTGGATAAGGAGTCAAGACCCATTAGTGTGCTATATTCAGGAGACCCATCTCAAGTGCAGGACACACATAGGCTCAAAATAAATGGATGGAGGAAGATCTGCCAAGCAAATGGAGAGAAAAAAAAAGCAGGGGTTGCAATCCTAGTCTTTGATACAGCAGACGTTAAACCAGTGAAGATCTAAAGAGACAAAGAAGGCCATTACATAATGGTAAAGGGATCAATTCAACAAGAAGAGCTAATTGTCCTAAACATATATGCACCCAATACAGGAGCACTCGGATTCATGAAGCAAGTCCTTAGAGACCTAGAAAGAGACCTAGACTCCCACACAGTAATAATGGGAGACTTCAACACCCCACTGTCCATATTAGACAGATCAATGAGACAGAAGGTTAACAAGGATATCCAGGACTTGAACTCAACTCTGCACCAAGTGGATCTAATAGACATCTACAGAACTCTCCACCCCAAATCAACAGAATATATATTCTTCTCAGCACCACATCACATTTATTATAAAATTGACCACATAATTGGAAGTAAAGCACTCCTCAGCAAATGTAAAAGAACAGAAATCACAACAAACTGTCTTTCATACCACAGTGCAATCAAATTAGAAATCAGGATTAAGAAACTCACTCAAAACCATACAACTACATGGAAACTGAACAAGCTGCTCCTGAATGACTACTGGGTAAATAATGAAATGAAGGCAGAAATAAAGATGTTCTTTGAAATCAATGAGAACAAAGACACAACGTACCAGAATCTCTGGGACACATTTAAAGCAGTTTGTAGAGGGAAATGTATAGCACTAAATGCTCACAAGAGAAAGCAGGAAAGATCTAAAATCAACACCCTAACATCATAATTAAAAGAACTAGAGAAGCAAGAGCAAACAAATTCAAAAGCTAGCAGAAGGTAAGAAATAAGATCAGAGCAGAATTGAAGGAGATAAAGACACTTCAAAAATCAATGACAAAAAAACCCTTCAAAAAATCAATGAATCCAGGAGCTGGTTTTTTGAAAAGATCAACAAAATTAGTCGACCACTAGCAAGACTAATAAAGAAGAGAGAAGAATCAGATACACACAATAAAGTGATAAAGAGGATATCACCACCAATCCCACAGAAATATAAACTACCATCAGAGAATACTATAAACACCTCTACACAAATAAACTAGAAAATCTAGACCAATAAAAGGCTCTGAAATTGAGGCAGTAATTAATAGCCTACCAACCAAAAAATATCCAGGACCAGATGGATTCACAGCCACATTCTACCAGAGGTACAAAGAGGAGCTGGTACCATTCCTTCTGAAACTATTCCAATCAACAGAAAAAGAGGGAATCCTCCCTAACTCATTTTATGAGGCCAGCATCATCCTGATACCAAAGCCTGGCAGAGGCACAACACAAAAAGAGAATTTTAAACCAATATCCCTGATGAACATTGATGGAAAAATCCTCAATAAAATACTGGCAAATCAAATCCAGCAGCACATCAAAAAGCTTATTCACCAACATCAAGTCAGCTTCATCCCTGGGATGCAAGGCTGGTTCAACATATGCAAATCAATAAACATAATCCATCACATAAACAGAACCAATGACAAAAACCACATGATTATCTCAATAGATGCAGAAAAGGCCTTTGACAAAATTCAACAGCCCTTCATGCTAAAAACTCTCAATAAACTAGGTATTTATGGAACGTATCTCAAAATAATAAGAGCTATTTATGACAAACCCACAGCCAATATCATACTGAATGGGCAAAAACTGGAAGCATTCCCTTTGAAAACTGGCAGAAGACACAGATGCCCTCTCTCACCACTCCATTTAACATAGTGTTGGAAGTTCTGGCCAGGGCAATCAGGCAAGAGAAATAAAGGGTATTCAATTAGGAAAAGAGGGAGTAAAATGGTCCCTGTTAGCAGATGACATGACTGCATATTTAGAAAACCCCATTGCCTCAGGCCAAAATCTCCTTAAGCTGATAAGCAACTTCAGCAAAGTCTCAGGATACAAAATCAATGTGCAAAAATCACAAGCATTCCTATACACCGATAACAAACAGAGAGCCAAGTCAGGAGTGAACTCCCATTCACAACTGCTACTAAAAGAATAAAATACCTAGGAATCCGACCTACAAGGGATGTGAAAGACCTCTTCAAGGAGAACTACAAACCACTGTTCAACGAAATAAAAGAGGACACAAACAAATGGAAGAACATTCCATCCTCATGGATAGGAAAAATCAATATTTGTGAAAATGGCCATACTGCCCAAGGTAATTTATAGATTCAGTGCCATCCCCATCAAGCTACAAAAGACTTTCTTCA
Source organism: Homo sapiens (assembly GCF_000001405.40). Classification (NCBI taxonomy): domain Eukaryota; kingdom Metazoa; phylum Chordata; class Mammalia; order Primates; family Hominidae; genus Homo; species Homo sapiens. The sequence continues at coordinate 9,356,597 of NC_000012.12, read as the reverse complement.
CAGAATTGGAGAAAACTAAAGTTCATATGGAACCAAAAAAGAGCCCGCATTGCCAAGACAATCCTAATCAAAAAGAACAAAGCTGGAGGCATCATGCTACCTGACTTCAAACTATACTACAAGACTACAGTAACCAAAACAGCATAGTACTGGTACCAAAACAGATTTATAGACCAATGGAATAGAACGGAGATCTCAGAAATAAAACCCACATCTACAACCATCTGATCTTTGACAAACCTGACAAAAACAAGAAATGGGGAAAGGATTCCCTGTTTAATAAATAGTGCTGAGAAGACTGGCTAGCCATACATAGAAAGCTGAAACTGGATCACTTCCTTACATCTTAAACAAAAGTTAATTCAAAATGGATTAAAGACTTAAATGTTAGACCTAAAACCATAAAAACCCTAGAAGAAAACCTAGACAATACCATTCAGGACACAGGCATGGGCAAGGACTTCATGACTACAACACCAAAAGCAATGGCAACAAAAGCCAAAATAGACAAATGGGATCTAACTAAACCAAAGAGCTTCTGCACAGCAAAAGAAACTACCATCTGTGAGAAAATTTTTGCAATCTACCCATCTGACAAAGGGCTAATATCCAGAATCTACAAAGAACTTAAACAAATTTACAAGAATAAAGCAAACAACCCCATCAAAAAGTGGGCAAAGGATATGAACAGACACTTCTCAAAAGAAGACATTTATGCAGCCAACAGATGGATGAAAAAATGCTCATGATCACTGGTCATCAGAGAAATGCAAATTAAAACCACAATGAGATACCATGTCATGCCAGTTAGAATGCTGATCATTAAAAAGTCAGGAAACGGCCAGGTGCGGTATCTCACGCCTGTAATCCCAGCACTTTGGGAGGCCGAGGCAGGTGGATCATGAGTTCAGGAGATTGAGACCATCCTGGCTAACACAGTGAAACCCCGTCTCTACTAAAAATACAAAGAAATTAGCTGGGCTTGGTGGCGGGCCCCTGTAGTCCCAGCTACTCGGGAGGCTGTGGCAGGAGAATGACATGAACCCGGGAGGTGGAGCTTGCAGTGAGGCAAGATCGCGCCACTGCACTCCAGCCTGGGTGACAGAGCGAGACTCCGTCTCAGAAAAAAAAAAAAAAAAAGTCAGGAAACAACAGATGCTGGAGAGGATGTGGAGAAATAGGAACGCCTTTACACTGTTGGTGGGAGTGTAAATTAGTTCAACCATTGTGGAAGACAGTGTGGCAATTCCTCAAGGATCTGACCCGGCCATCCCATTACTGGGTATATGCCCAAAGGATTACAAATCATACTACTATAAAGACACATGCACACGTATGTTTATTGTGACACTATTCACAATAGCAAAGAACCAACCCAAATGTCCATCAATGATAGACTGGATTAAGAAAATGTGGCACATATACACCATGGAATACTATGTAGCCATAAAAAAGGATGAGTTCATGTCCCTTGCAGGGACATTGATGAAGCTGGAAACCATCATCCTCAGCAAACTATCACAAGGACAGAAAACCAAACACCGCATGTTCTCACTTATAAATGGGAATTGAACAATGAGAACACTTGGACACAAGGCAGGGAACATCACACACTGGGGCCTGTCAGGGAGTGGGGGGCTGGGGAAGGGATAGCATTAGGAGAAATGCCTAATGTAAATGATGAATTGATGGGTGCAGCAAACCAACATGGCACATGTATACCTATGTAACAAAACTGCATGTTGTGCACATGTACCCTTGAACTTGAAGTACAATAAAAAGAAAAAGAAATAAAGTTATCAGAAACTTGAAAAAAAATTCAAGAGGGGGAAAATTGTTAAGTACAATGAGTTCTGAGTTCCTCTTCAAAGAACCAACATGTCAGTATGTTCAGCTTCCCTGTTGTTTGTTCTCCACTTTAAAGTTTAACTTTGTTCTTTACGTCTCTTTGCCCCTAGTTTTGGTAAACAACCCCCTCCCAGCCTCTATCACCTGCTCTGTCCTTAGTCATCCTTAGTCACCTGCTGTGTTCTTAGTCATCCTTAGTCACCTGCTGTGTTCTTAGTCATCCTTAGTCACCTGCTCTGTAACCATCCTTCCCACCAAAACTACTCACCCCGCCTCTCTGGCTCATACCCCTGCTCTCTTTAAAATAGCCAGTTGGAATTAGCTTAGACTGTGCAGTCCAACCCCAGCCAATAGGGGAAAGACACAGCAGTAGGGACTAGCTGCATTAGGAATAAGAACCCCTTCCCCTCCCTTGTCCAGTGTGCTCTTGCCATTGCTCCATCCGTGAGATGCACCCTTCTGTAGAAGTAAATTGCCTTGCTGAGAAAACTTTTGCCTGAGTGCTATTTTCACTTGGCAGCACCGAGCATTTACTTCCAACACTCAAGAGGTACCAGACCCTCCTGGAGACACTTCAAGGCTGCCACTGTCAGCTGGGATCAACTTTCCACCCACAAAACTGCAGGGACAGCTGGCATTGCAGGAGGGGCAGCAAGGCTCTGGCCTGGCCCTCACATCCCTAACACATGGTCTCTGGGAAGCCCACTACAGGGCAATGCCTCCCAGATGCCCTCAGGGTATTCTTCCATTTCTAGTAGCTACACCAGGCAAGTCACCTAAATTAGTGAAGGCCAGGTGTGTCAAGAGACTCAGAAAGAGAAGGAGGAAGGTTGTGAGAGAGTCCAGGTTGTTCTAAGTGACCCCATTTTAAAGTTCTTTCAGCGAAGTGGGAAATGTAGATTTGTAAGCAGATTTTTCCCATTTTAACATGTCAACCTAAAAAGGAAAAGCATTCCAAGGCCACCGTCACTCCACCAGCTTGTTGGTTTGCAGTCACAGTCTAAGCCCCCAGCTGTCTCAGGAAAGCTGCATGAATGAACCCACAAGGCTTCCCTGTGCCCTGCCTATGAGGCCTTCCACTGCCTACACCCTTGAACATGGATATTGTAGCTGAGAAACTGGCCCACAGCAGAGGAGGCAGTAGGGAGGTGAGAATTTAAAAAGCTGGAGCTCAGTAGGACTGCAGAGAAAACTCAGGCCAAGCCTCCATTTGATAGGTGAATGAATCATGACTAACACAGGACAGGGGACTGGCCAAGGCCCTGCACCTGCTGAGTGACAGAGCCAGGAGGGAGCCTGGCCCCTGTTCTGCAGGCAGAGCTCCTGCCCCAGCGCCACACTACTTGCAGCACGTCTCGGCCCCACTTTTTCATGACGGTGCTCATCAGCTGCCCAATAGCCAGAGACAGCTTGGCACTGCTATTGGCAAAAGACAGGCAAAAGACAGCTTGTGGGTCAGTTATTATACAAGACCTTTGCCTTCCTCAAGAGCCCATAGACCTTCCTTAGGATGGCTACAATCAATTCCATAGGTAAGGTGGCCACTCCTGGTGACTCCTCCCTCCCATCTTTAGCAGGGGAGCCCCCCTTGGTCTGAGCAGCTCCTTCCGGAAAGCCTTTGGTGCCAAAGCCACGCCCCAAAAGAGGCATATCTTTAATTCTGTTCCCATCGTATGCCAAGAAACACCATGAAACAACCTGCTTGAAAGAATAAAAAATGCACTGCCACACTGCTGGGGCAGGAGGACGAAAATCACACTCCTCACAATATGTCCATAAAAAGACAACCAAGGCCAGCACCAAAGTCCACCTACAGAAGGCGGCGGGTCTGTCTCAACACCAGCTGCCAGTCACTGTGAACCTTTGGAAATAGGGATGAAGCTTCTTCCAGTTGCTTCCCCAGATGTCAGTGAGACCACTCCACAGCAGATGGGGGAGAGCTGTGTATCAGGGAAGTCCCAGCCACTAGGACAAGCTGCACTCCAGGCAGATGTTTTTGCTCTTGTGCAAAGAACAGCGCAATCCATTTAAGTTCACAGGGGCAGGCAGCACTTGAGAATGCTGCAGGGCCAACTTGCAGGGCAGAATTTAGCAGGAAGCCTTCTTGGGGGAGGGGGAGAGGCCAGCAGAGTTTAGAAAAATGGTGGAACAATATCTGGGCAATCCTCTAAGTCTCCCTCTCATCCTCAGGCACGATTCAGGAAGACCCTGCAGTCTCTCTGCAGGCTCATGGGAGCTTTCAGAACTGAGACAACACATACATAGATCTAGGCCTGCTTGGACGTCAGTGGGATGAGGCCCTTGAAAGTTGGTGTATTGGGTTCCTAGGGCTCCCTGGCTTATAACAATAGAAATGTATTCTGTCTCAGTTGAGAAGGCTGGAAGTGCAAAGTCAAGGTGTTGGCAGGGTGAGTTTCTACTGGAGGCTCTGAGGGAGAAGCAGTTCCATGGCTGTATTCTGGCTTCATATTTAAAATACGAGAGGACTAGAAATGGAATAAGCTCCCTGAGAAATGGGGACGAGAGGGGACTCAGTGCTGTGAGGAGGCATTAGCTTTACTCAAAAGTAAGGCCTCCTCCCACAGCTGTAGAAGGAGAGGCTGCCGGGGAGAGGGGCTCTGCAGAGGGAGGCTAGAAATTTTGAACGTTCCCCCCACATAAGGAAATTTACTTCTACCTTGAAGCAGAGGGTAAGTTCATTGTGAGCTAGGGCTGGGGAGGGGCGAGTCAGTAGGAAAGAAATCTTCAGGAGACTGGTGAAGGTCTGTTATAGCCATTGGGGGAGTAGGACATAAAGCTGGCCAGAGACCACAGGACTTACGGGCAGCACCAAGGATGAAGCAGAGGCCGGGAGCTCATGCCCGTCTAGATCCATGAGGCCGTGTGGTCTCAACAGCGCTCAGCTGCTTCAGGCAGGACAGAGAAGGCGGCAGCTGGACTGAGTCAAATGGAGTCCTCTTGTGATTGTCCCCAGGGGCAGGCGGTGAGGTCAAGGGGATGAGGGATTGCTGAAATAACTGACAGGACGGGCCATGCAGAAGCAAGTGAAGAGGCTAAGGGGACTCAGCGAGGGTCCTGGGAGGAAATGGAAAGGTTGAGTCCTTGATGTTGGACAGGGCCACCAGGTAACAAGGCAGTGAACAGCGAGGACAAGAAATTGGAATAGAGGAGACAGCAGCATGCTAGCTTGAAGAAGTGCATTGCTTATTGCTAACAAGGAAGAGGGTAATTGGACTGGGACGCTGGAGATGGAGCCCTAGGCTCTAGCCAGCATAGGGCTGCCAGACTTAGCCACCAGCTCTGAATTCTCAACTCCTGTTCTGGGAAAATATCCTGACTTTGCTAAGCACAGATTTGTTTTTTAAACAGAGACAAGGTCTCCCTCTGTCACCCAGGCTAGAGTACGGAGAAGGGATCATAGCTCACTGTAACCTTAAACTCCTGGGCTTAAGCAATCCTCCTGCCTCAGCCTCCTGAGTAGCTGAACTGCAGGTGCATGCCACCATGACCAGCTAATTTTTTGAATTTTTAGTAGAGATGGGGTCTCTCTCTGTTGCCCAAGCTGGCCTCAAACTCTTGGCCTCCAGTGATCTGCCTGCCTCAGCCTCCCAAAGTGCTGGGATTACACGTATGAGCCACTGTGCCTGATCTATGCATGCCTTTGACTTAATAGTGACCTTGACCTTGAGCTCATCTTTGATGCTTCAAATTTTTGTAAATATGGTTTCAAAGCCACACATAGTAAAAAAATTTGGAGAATACAGAATACCAACAGAAAAGAATAATATAGAAAATCCATACAGGAGAGAAAATAAAAATCTCTTGTAATCTTCCTACCAGGATTTGGACATGACTAATTTGGGGTTAGGTCTTTCCAGTTTGCCTTTTTCTCCCTTATTCAGCAGCATTTTAATCATCTATCCTCCAACTTACTGGGGCTTCGCTCTCTGCAACTCAGTTTTCCTGTTTAGAAAATAGGATGGCTGCATGGTAACAAATTTCTCCAACTGCTTTTCATGTGGTTTCCTCATCCCTGTGACCAGGAAGTCTGCATATGTGCCAGGTGATGGGTACAGAGTCATGCAGCAGGCCCATGGGCCCCAGGGCTTCTCACTCTTAACCCAAGTGGGTGCCAGAGAAAAATCTCATCTCAACGAGAGGAGGCACAGACACCAGGCTGCCAGGGCCGTGCACCACAGGTCAGATCATCCAGGATCTCCTGCGAGCTGTTCTCAAGTCTCTGTGACACACAACCAGAACAGCAGCCACTCCCTCAAGAGAGTTTACAATTAAGCCAATCAGACCTTTAAACAAAATGTCCTCTTTTCCACAGTGTGTCCGTCCTGTTTACCTTCAGTTTGGAGAGCTGTTCTGACCTTTCTTAATGAAATGGGTCACTCCCCTTCTTCAGCAAATAATAAACTCAGTGTCTGCTTTAGACAGCTTTGGCGCCGTTTGTGTTCTGCTGTGGCATGAACCTCTCTTTAGTCATCGCTGTGGCCAGTGGATAGCCACTCCTTTCTGAAGGCTGTCCCTGAATTCCTCCTTCCTGTCTGTTTATTGGTGATGGGGCAGGGGGTGGTCAGGGGTCCCAAGCCTCCCGGGCGAAGGCCAAAGCCCTGCTTTCTTTACCAAGTTCCTCAGAGGTCTCCACTCGCAAATCATTGGCCTCATCGGGTTGGCACTCGTCCACTTGCATTTCTAGCTGGGACATTCTCTTCTCTGAAAATAGTCTGTGGATAGAATGAACGGACAAAGGAATTTGTTTCTGTTAAGGTGTTGCTTATGGTAGGGCAACGGTTCTGACTCTTATTGTTCAGTCAGATTCCTTCATTTCCCAAACTGCTCTGGATTTCGCCTTATCTTGGAAATCAGAACCTAGTTTGACTAAAAAGAAAAATCAGAACTTCTGGGTAAATTACCAGATATTCACTATTGGGAGGAAACAGCTCCACACTTGGGCTTCCTCCTGTCCTTCCTTGCCCCATCTTGGATGGAATAAATGGACCCCATTCCCCTCCACACCTCCTGAGTCTTCCCTCATGGTGAGAGGAGCCTTTTTCTGCCTATTAGCCATGACTTCAAGCCAACGTTGAAAAAGCTCTGTATTCCTGGATCGTGGGCATCCCAGCCTCACATACCCAGTGCCTCTCCCAGCCCCGTGTAGCAAATCAAGTGTGCCCTCCTGAAAACTTCCTTTGACTGCAAGTGCCCTCATTGTGTTTTCTCTTATGTTATTGGAGTCAAGGCGTCTTGAATACAACCTGCAAATTTATGCAAGCACTATGCCAAAATTTTTTATAAAAATTGGCGAAGGACACCCCGTCTCGGAAGTGAGGAGCGCCTCTGCCCGGCCGCCACCCCGTCTGGGAAGTGAAGAGCTCCTCTGCCTGGCTCCCCCGCCGTCTGGGAAGTGAGGAGTGCCTCTGCGGTCGCTGCCCCATCTGTGAAGTGAGGTGCCCCTCTGCCCAGGGACTACACTGTCTGGGAAGTGAGGAGCGCCTCTACCTGGCTGCCGCACTGTCTGGGAAGTGAGAAGCGTCTCTCCCTGGCCGCCCCACCGTCTGGGAAGTGAAGAGCGCCTCTACCTGGCCGCCCCACCGTCTGGGAAGTGAGAAGCGTCTCTCCCTGGCCGCCGCACCATCCGGAAAGTGACCAGCGCCTCTGCCCGGCCAAGGCACTGTTTCGGAAGTGAGGAGCACCTCTGCCTGGCCACCCCATTGTCTGGGAAGTGAGGAGCGCCTTTGCCCAGCCACTGTGCAACCCTCCAAGTGTGAAGCGACAGCCTTGTGTGTGATCTTTCTGCCCTCCCCAAGTTTGCATTTTCAATATTAAAGTTTACTTTTAAATTTAAAAAAAAATTGGCAGAGGAAAACCTTTTGCAAGTGAAGTGCAGCTAACACCTAATGGCTAGCAGAGGGCTATTTGGGGCGGGGACTCAGGTGAGAGTTGAAGCAGAGGTGGGGAGGAAGGAGGGTTGGTTGGTGTCTGCAGCAGTGATGGAAGATGCTGGGGCCTTGCTCCTCTCCTGCCTTCCAACGTGGGAGTAACCGGTGAAGGAGCAGAGAGAGTCAGGGGCTCCCTGTCTCTTTCTCATGGTGGAGGCATCTTCAGAGCTGGGGTGAGGACAGAATCTCTTAGCCCCTCTTGAGATGCTCCAGATGCCGCATCTAGTACAGAGAATGAGGTTGAGAGGCCCCCATGCCCTCCGGCCTTCCTATGCTATTACATTCACATCAAACTCTACCACGTCGTCATTCACTTCACATTAAAGCATCTTAATTGCCCCCTGGGAGGTTAAGCTGTGTGGATCTTACTTTTTTATGATCTCTCTTTATCAAAGAGCCATTTACCCTTTAAGTCTTAACACTGGAAGGACCTTTAGTGATCCATCTGGTCCAATCCCTCTGTTTTATGTATAAGGGGACTACGACATGAAGAAGTGGTTTACCCCAGTTCTCAGACCCAGACTCCAAACCAATCATACCCCCTCTAGGTGACATTACTTACTGGACAACAGGCCCTCAGCAATCTAGGTGCCACTATAAGATATCATGGGAGCAAAACATGCTTGTCTTCTTTTAAAGAGGTACTTTGGGTCAAGAGTTACTTTGTAAATATACACCTCTGTCATTTCCCGGTATGTGGTCCCATGGACATCACCAGCTTCTAAGTGTGCTTTTCAAAAGGCCAGGCAGTTGAGTAGGCCACAGTAGTTACTTACAGACTGTCAAAAACTGTCCAGTTTTCTGATCATTTTACCCTTTGGCTGTTCATAGGCCATGATGAAGCTGGGGGGTTGGGAGAGGAAGACAAAGAAGGGAATGGCAGAATGAGGTTTCGCAGCAATAAAGATAAACGTTTATTGAACACTAACTACATTCCTGACATGGTGCTTAGTGCATTACCCAATATTATCCCCATTATACAGATTGAGAAATTGAGATTTGGAGAGGTGAATTTGCCCAAAGTCTCATAGCTAGCAAGTAAGAATATTGAGGTTTCAAACTTGGGGCTGTCTGATTTCAGAGCCCAAGCTTGTCACCACCATGCTCATGGGGCAATGGTCAGGAGAAAGCCAGGTTTCCAGGAAACTTCTAAATGGCCACAGTGAAGAATGACCCTCTTACATCCTGCTGATTGGATGACCAGCCTTGATGCGATCTTTAGCATCACAGTGGAAGCGGGGCCAGAAAAGGAGGAGGGCAGTTTCCTGTGTTGCTCAGGACTTGCCTCATCTTGCCCACAATTTTCTGGGGCTGACATATATTTTTCCAGTAGGTGTGGCCTGAGGGTACTGGAGCTTTGCTTTTGTAAGCACTCACTTAGCTGTTTATTCATCCAACAAGTATTTATTAGACACCTCCTGTGTCAGTTCTTGAGCCAGTTAAATATGGTCCCTGACCCAACAAATCTAGCTCAGGTTCAGAGATGCACAACCTCATTCCAGCAAAGTTTTCTGTAGATTATCTGGGGCAGCTTTTACTACACTTGATCTTTCCCACTTCTCAGCTATTCCTGTGCCAACAGAAAGCTCTCCCATGGAGGAAGGGAGAAGAGATGGAAAAATGAGGCTGAGTTGGGCTGAGGTTTTGGGGAAGGATATGGAAGCCAGAGACTAACAAGAGGTTTTGGTGGTGTGTGTGATGTCCCCTCTCCCTGCTGTTCCATTTCCTTGGGCACTTTAGCTGGTCTCATGATCTAAGGGCCAACTGCTCATGTTAAAATCTATCCCAGCATCCTCAGCTCAAATAACTGCCGCTTGCCAAGCGCCTGCCCCAACGGAATTAACGGAAGCTGCTGATAGCCCTGCTGACCTCATTGGATGGAACCGTGTCCTCAGCAGACAGGAGCTCCTCCTTCTGAGCAAGACTCCCTTATGTCTTGGAGTAGGAAGTCCTCTCATGAATAGTCCAAGCTTCAGACAGAGAAAGAGCAGGAGCCATTCATTTACTCCCCTCAGTATCCACCTGAAAGGAAGAAGCTGAGACACAGAGTACAATCTAAAGAGTTTACTTGAGCCAAAGTGAGGACAGCTGCCTGGAAGACTCAGACCCAAGTACCCTTGGCTGTGAGCTTCCTAGAGCCTTTGTTCCAAGCAGGTTTTTAAAGACAAAAGGGGGACAGAGAGAGTGGGCTGGTACAAAGTTGTTGATCAGGAACTCTCTTTGGTTTACAGAAATAAAATTGATGAGCAATTGGCTATCCATTGTTAAGCTAAAGAATATGGGCTATAGTTCTGATAAGACACTATGCTAATTATCCCAAATTAAAATTAATTGATAGCTACTTGTGGCAATAGCAAGCAGTTTTAAGAGATGAACACATAGCTCAAAGCAGGGAGTAAGGTGTGATTGCTCTCATTTTAACGTGGCTCCAGGACTCACAGTTTAAAAGGACTCACCTTCTTCAGATGATAGTTCTTTACTTTTTACATCAGGAACCCCCTTTTCTGCTTTCTTGGAGGGTCAGGATGGGTCCCATGAAATGCTGCTGGCAGGGACAGACAGAAGCCAAGGAGAGGCCGTGCAAGGAAGCTGAAGTGCTTGGGAGGGGGCAACAGTCCCCTGCCTGCAACCAACATTAAAAAGCACTGTCACTTCAGGCTGAATGTAGTAGAAACCAGTTTGTTAAGTCACACCGAAGTATGTGTTAGACAGACCTGGCTAGTCCTTATGCCCAGAGGTCTGTGGCATAACTGTAAGCAGATGGAAAAGACATGGAAAGCATTAATCGCCGCACAAGTTTAATGTGTGCAACCAATTGTAGTATTCAAAGAACTGGAGTGGTAGATATTTAAGAAATGTACTTTGTTTGTAACTTTATAGGTTTTGATTATTATTCCTTTAAAGCCTTAAACTTTTTGGTTTTTAAAATTATTAAAGTTAAAAAATCTACCTATATTAAAACCTCTTTTTCTGTTATTCAGAGAGTGCATAATATTCTAGCTGTATATTAGTTTAGAAAATATAATGTCAGGCTGGGCATGGTGGCTCATGCCTTTAATCTCAGCACTTTGGGAGGCCGAGGCAGGCAGATCACTTAAGCCCAGGAGTTTAAGGCCAGCCTGGGTAGCATAGTGAGACTCCCATTTCAACAAAAATAAATTTTTTTAAAAAAAGATGTCATATTTATTGTATGATTTCCAAAGGAATGAACTGTTATGGTCTCTCTGATTGAATTATAATTTTAATACTCTTGGTTGTATGTAGCTGAGAACTAGTCCATCCCAAATTCATTTTTTCCTGATGTAGACAAAATTCCATCAACTGAGTTTTGCTTCTGGGCCCAGACTTCAGACTTCCTGCTGAGAGAAATACCAGGGGCTCTGATTCTTCCTCAAACTCACCACCACTAAACTGAAATGCTTGCTTGAGGCTTCACAATTGTTATTTCCTGCCTCAGGTTAAAATGTGTGAATTTTTTCATTTTTAAAAGGACACATTCAGAACATAGAGTGTGTAGATAACCTGCACTGCAAGAGAATAATCTTTTGATACTTTTCTGGTAGATCTTATAAATTCTGATCCAAAAATTTGATGTAGCAAAGATATGAGGCACATTAAACACTTTAGGGTTTGCCTTTTTTTTTTTTTTTTTTTTTTTTTTACAATTTGGTGTGAGAATTATCATGGCATCTGTAACACACATGCCTGTGCTATATTCTCACAATTTTGTTCAGGTTGTGCATATTAAAATATGGAGCTCCATATTTTTTCACTTCCTAGTTGATCACAGTTGACTGGGTTGTCTTTTCTGTCACCTGTTAGTTTTGAAGAGATGTCTCATATGTAGTGATGTTAGGTATGATGCATTCAGCCATAGTAAATACCTGGTACTGTCTCTCAAAAAAAGCCTTTAGCTTTTTTGTAAAGAGGACAACAGAAAACACACCAAAAAAGCAGAAAAATATGTGTCGGTGATAGTGGGAGAAACTTATAAATCATGGTCATATGTTACCCCAGAGAAGGCTTACACAAGGTCAGCTACAGTTTACCCAATAACGCTGTGATTGTCTGGTTCCTTGGCTTAGAAAGCTTAGTCTCTGCCAAGTGGCTAAAGCAGGAAAATCCAAGGTTACTCAGATTCTCTGTGATTTTGTTTTACCATTTAGGAAATAAACCCTACTACTGTGCTGTACACTATTTAGAAATCCACATAAGAAAGGGTTCTTCAATGTTTGGGGGGTCCAAGATAAAAACTATCTCACTTTGAGAAATTAGAAAATCATTCCTGTGATTCTACTCTGTTAAACCTTGTCACCCAAAATCCATTTAGAATGAAAGGCAGCACAAGGCAGCACCACGTTATTTTCTTACAGTCGCAATTTAGATTTAAAATTTTGGATTCCAAGAATTATAGGAGTTTTATGCCAGGAATCAAGATGAAGACCAGATATATATTTCATAATATCACAGTTTCTTGAGGTTCTTTAAATCCCAAACACACACTTCTCCATTGCCTCTGTCCCCACCCCTACCTGCCAGTTCTTACTCTTAAATGCCATCTACTAGACTGCAGCCTAAATTACACCTCAAACAAAACTATATCACAAGAAGCAGTGTCTGGGGAAGTCACTGCATGAACCTATTTGCAACTGAGGAACCCATACAAAGCCTTGGCACCCTGAAAGTACTCAGAAACCAAACCAGCTGATCATTAACAATATACAGCAGCCATATCCCTAGGGGAAAAAAGAATAAAAATTCAAGAAGCACCATCCAAACAATAGCAAATTCTGTCCAACCTCAGGATTTCTGGCCTCTCTAGTGTGAGCAGCTGCTCTGTCCTCAAAATCTCATTGGCCCCCTACTGCCTCCTCCTAAAGGATGCTCTCAAGTACCTCCCCAACATGTAGGGCCAGGTCTGAAAGGGCCTTGATCCTCGGCTGCTGGTGACTTTTCAAAGCAACTGTCTTTCCCTCCTTACCTTGCCCGTGGTCCGTTGTGCCCTTTCTTTGCTCCTTCTGCCTAATGCAGTAGTCACAAGACAAGGGAGCTTTCTGTCAACTGGCAGGACTTGAGCACAAGCAGCTGTGTGCCGTGGGGAGGAAATCTTGTGTTATTACACACCCAGGACCTCTGAGTCCACACAGCTTATCGTATACCTTATCCACACCTCTGGCTCCACTGGTTTTTGTTTTTGTTTAGAACATTTCCTTCTCCCTAAATCTGCCTTGGATCCTAGGCCCTTTTTTGCAGTAGTGCCTGATCTCCTGACTCAAAAACCCATTTTATGCAAGGGAAATGGTTGCAGATTTAGGAAACCGCTTTAAAAAACAGTTAACTAAAAATTTCAAGGTGCCTAAAAATCTAAAATAAAATCAAATATTTTTGTCCAGCAATCTATACCAAGAGTGTGCTAGATGCACAGTGAAAAGGATAGATGTGATACCAGCTCTAGTAGAGCCTGGACTCCGGTGAACACAGGCACTAAACAAATAGCTACAAGAGTGATGATTGTTACAAAAAAAAAAGAGGTGCAAGGTACTATAGGTGCCTATGGCAGGATTTGACCTAATCTGAGGGATTTGGGGAGTTTTTATCTCTGGTACTGACTGAATGACACTGAGCAAACAATTTAACCCTCTCTATAATTAATAGTATTTTTTCTGACCCTCCAAGCCCTCCCTGCTCCAGTCAGAGCTTCTGGGTCAATCAACTGTGATGACAAGGGAGGACACTGTCAACAGCAGGAAGGCTAGCTGCAGAGAGCAAACACATAGAGCCAGTGACAGTGGAGGCATAGAATAGGCCCCAGAGCACCAAGGCCACTGGAGGTAGAAAATGGGGGAAAGGCTCGTGGGCAAACAGTAAACTGCATGGGAGACATCCCACCTGTCCTATTCATTGTTATAAACCTGGCACTTAGCCTAGTGATTGTCAAATATTGATGGAATGCTTACTTACTCCTGTCAATTTCCATCCACAACTGCTTGACTCTGAAGGTGAGTGGTGAGCCCTCTTGGGAATGTTGGCAGGAGAAGATGACTCCACACATGGGCTGAACTGCAAATGGAGTGCATCAGATGACCACCACCTCCCTAGAGCAGATCACCCGTGGGCCAGCAGGTGTGTGCTCATCTATCTATCCCTTTCTACAAGAGTGTTCTCTAGCCCTGCCAAGCAACTGGCCCTGTTCACAATGCTGTCAGGTTATAACAAAATACGTGATAGCTCCATCTACACAGAAAGACTCATCTCAGATGAAAGTTTTTGTCAGGGGAGCGGTGAGAACAGCAGATTTGGGGATGTCCTGAGTAAAGCAATGGGGCAAGCTAAAACTGGGCTATGACCAGATGGTGAAATGGGTTGAAAAGGAGCTTATAGGTTAATCTGACAGACTTGGTTATGCATCTGGCAGAGGAAAAAGAGAGAAGTTAAAAATTTAGGAGAGAGATGATAACTGACAGAGCGTGGTCTTGAAGGTGGCAGGAGCTGAGGAAGGGAAATTCAGGTGAGCAGCTTTGTCTTGAAAAGAGGAGGAACACCACATGCAGGGCAGCAAGAGAAAGACTGGGGATGGGTAAGGCTAGGGATGGCTTCAAGCTTCCTAATGACATGTATGGCAGAGGTGTCAGCTGAGACCGAGGGTGCCGGGTGGTAAGCTTGAGTAAAGGAGTGGAGGTTTGAGTTAAAATGAATAAGAGTGAAACCCATCAAGGAATATTTAAAAAACAAAGTTTGTTCTTTTAGATATTGAGTGAAGCAAACCATTTACTACACATACAACCCCTAAACACATTGTCGATATTGCAGGGTTTTCTACATTCACATTAGTAGACCAACCTCTGTTTTAAAAATGTACTCCTGGCCAGGTGTGGTGGCTCACACTTGTCATCCCAGCGCTTTGGGAGGCTGAGGCAGGTGGATCACTTGAGGTCAGGAGTTTGAGGCCAGCCTGGGCAACATGGTGAAACCCCATCTCTACCAAAAAAACAAAAATTACACAGGCGTGGTGGCATACATTTGTAATCCCAGCTACTCAGGAGGCCGGGGCATGAGAATCGCTTGAACCCAGGAGGGGGAGGTTGCAGTGAGCCGAGATCATGCCACTGTGCTCCAGCCTGGGTGCCAGAGCAAGACTCTGTCTCAAAAAAAAAAAAAGTGCACTCTGCCTATACACCTGTTACACACATACACACACACACACACACACACACACACACACAAACCACTCTACATCCTTGCCAATTTATAACCAACTGAATGTAATGGTCAATATTCTTTAACTTCCCCTCAATTAAGGAGTGTGAGAGTCTTTTTTTTCTTTAAACTTTGAGTTTCCAATTTAGGTATGTGGTCTTTATACAGTACTATTTCACAGTGTGAAGTTTAGGTTCAAGTAATACCACAGTGGAGCTTAATTCTAGCCGCAGGATGTGGTTGGTAACTTTGATAGATCATATGCTCATTGTGATCCAGGGACTATGCTGGATGCTTGACACCTATGTTATCCTGTTAAAAATCCGTACAATTGTTAAGCTGACAGATGGGGAAACTGAGGTTTACTGATGTGAAAACATTTGCTCAGGGTCACCTACCTTGTTAAGGTAAATGTCGAGGTTTCAAATGCAGGCCTGGAACACTAAATGCCATCATGTCATCTAGCTACAGCAAGAAGCTGAAAAACAATCCTCCTTAGTTTCGATGCTGAAGATGCTCTTCAGCTCATGCTGACTTGAATTTCCTGTGCAGTGAAGGAGGAGAAGGAGAAAGTGAATTTTAATCAACTTCCATTAAATTAAATCTGATTCTACTGAAGTTTATTAAGTGCCTCTATTCACTTGGAGAGTGCCAGGCACTTCGGGGGATCTATGGATGAGTCTGACTCAGCCCTGCTTCAAGAGCTTACAAACTAGTGGAGAGGATGGCAGTGTGCATTTTGCTCTAACACGAGATCAAAAGTGATAAGGACCATAAGAAGTGACTCAAACAATGGGTTCTTAAGGCAGAAATGCAAGCTTATGTGAATAATGAGAAAATTGACCCAGCAGTGCCTAAACACTGGAAGCATTGCACAAGGGAACTCTCATAAAGGGTTTTTATTTTAAACATGATCACGCCTTTGGTCAAATCCATGCCACGTCATGAGTGAAGAACGTATGGTGATGACATCATTTGCAAGGCTGTAAGGTCAGCAGTGTCAGCCCAGTGTGAGCCATAGAGTTTGGTGATTTAAGACCCAGGGGCAAGGCAGGAAGGTCACAGCAATCCCAGTGGTGGTGCGTGGCCTGCAGCTGCTCTTGGTTCTTTGTCCATTTTGGCAGGCAACAGCTGTTCAAGACATCAGACTGCAATTATAAGAAAATATATGTTATGTCAAGTTGTTGTCTTTTCTTATCCTTTTATGGTGCTTTTTTGAAGTTAAGGAACCTTAGCTTCAGAAATGCTGTGATCCCAGGATAGGTTAAGTCCTACATATTCTGGCTAATCAACCTTTTAATACATTTTTAAGGGAATTTAAAAGTAGGGCAGCCGATACCACCATACAATTCTTGTCCAGGTTTATTGCAAGCTTTTGAAGAAAGGAATCAGAGCTGAAGAGCATGAGCTACTACGAAATACCATGTGCAAATAGGAATTTCTAAATGCTGATTCTCTTAGTGATCACTTATATGTGTTAGGTTCCACAAACCACTTCCAAAATACACAGCTGAAATAAACATTGCTTCTGTCTTTGAGGATTTTATCTCTAAATAGAAAGGTTGGGGGAATGATTGGAAGCAAGATTTCAAGTGCCATATAATTGAGAATGCACAGCTAACTACAAAAGCCATCATTCCATAACTTTTGCAACACTTCGCACCGCTCTCTACCACCACATGGCTGTCCCCAGATTCATCCGAACATCCTTGGGTTTTCTTTGCCACACTCCCCTGCTGCAGTCAGTCCGTGCCTCCCTGATTGGTTGGTTGGTGTGGCATTTGGTGTTGCTTGCACGAGGTGATGGATGCTTGTCTCTCCTCTTTGGCTGCTTGGAGCCAAAATACAAAAGTGCTGGTTAAAAGGTGATTTATCTTCCCTAATGGTACCATGCATTGTAAACAGGGCTTCTACTCTGTCTTCACTAGACTTTATGATACTGTTGTGTGTTGTGCCATTAAAGATTGTTGTCATAACAAGGAGAATCAGAGGGTAGAACATAGTCATAGGCCTTAAAAGGCTGTTTTCTGAGCCAGCGTCACGTGGTGACTTTGGGGTTCTCACTGGTCAGGCATCTGTTTGGACACATTGTGCTGTGGGTCACCAATAAAACTCGATTAGGTTCTCCTTTCTCCTTCCTTCTGTGCATTCTTATTGGGATCCAGAGAGTGCATGGTGTTTTTTTCTACCTGCCAGAGGCACAAATGTTTGTGTCTTCATTCAGAGGTGAGCAGCTGTCAGGCACGAGGTGCATAAGCATCCAGCCCCTGCTCCCCTGGGGCTGGCTAAGCCCAAGTCCTTTGCACTTCTAGGAAAAACTCCTGCTCCTTGTGTGTACTTTCCTCTCAATGCTCATTCCCGTGCCCATCTTTCTAAACGGCATCACTAGATCAAGATTTGGCCTCCCGTGGCCACTCTGGGGTATATTTGATTTAAACAAAATTCCTCAATTGAGAGGTGCCTTAACAAGAAAGGAAATAAGATTTCTCAGGCCCAGTGAGTAGTAGTTGTTGGTTGGTACGCAGAGGATTCCAAATGACATTTGGAATAAAAAATCTTCTCATTAGTCCAGGTACAGTGGCTCATACCTGGACAGCCAGCATTTTGGGAAGCTAAGGCACAAAAATCGCTTCAAGTCAGTTTTAGTCCAGCCTGGACAACATAGGAAGATCCAGTCCTTACCAAAAAAAAAAAAAAAAAAAATATATATATATATATATATATATATATATATATATATATATATAAATTAGCAAAGCATAGTTGTATGTATCTGTAGTCTTAGCTAATCAGTAGGCTGAGGTGGGAGGATCATTTGAACCCAGGAGTTGGAGGCTGCAGTGAGCTATGATGGTGCCACTGCACTCTAGCCTGCATGACAGAGTGAGGCCCTGTCTCCAAAAAATTTAAAAAATATTGTCCCAAAAAATACTTATCTGACCAAACATAATGGGCAACTCAGCAAACTGAAGCAACAACAAACTAAACTCATCTTCTTAGGAAACCCTCCCCTTCCTTGTCCTCCAGCTGACACTTATATACAGGGGTCCTTCCTCCCCTTTTCCATTCTGATCTCTTTCCTGCTTTACCTTTGTCCTCTCCTCCCTCTACTTCTCCTTGTCCAGACCCCAAATCCTCCCAACAACTTTCCTAAAACTCCAAATGCCCAGTTGCTTCTAAAGTTCCTTTTGTCCTGTGGACAAGTTGTGCAGGCAACTGTAGAAGTTAAACTTTGGACCTAGCTGAATCAAGACCTACAATTAAAAAAAATTTTTTTTAACCAAGAGGAGACCAGTGAATATTCACAGAAGATTACAGAATTATTTTGAGTGCACATGACTCAAGAGTTACCTGATGCTATGGACCAAATGCTTTTGTCCCCCTCAAATTCTTATGTTGAAATCCAGTCCCTTATATGATGGTCTTTGGAGGTGAGACCTTGGGAGGAGGTGATTAGATTATGAAACCAGAGACCTCATGAATGGGATTAGTGCCCCTACAGAAAAGTCTCCAGAGGGCTCCCTCATCCCTTCTGCTATGTGAGAACACAGTAAAAAGATGGCTGTCCATGAACCAGGAAGCCAGCCCTCACCAGACACTGAATCTGCTGAAGACTTGATCTTGAACTTCACCATCTCTAGAACTGTGAAAAATACATTTCTCTTATTTATAAGCCACCCAGTCTTTGGTATGCTGCTTTAGTAGCCCAGACTAGCTAAGACATCTGACATATCAAGTGGCATACATAATTTCTGGAAACTCTGATGCTAAATTCTTGATGCCAAAAGGTGGTAAGATCTGACTCAGAAATGAATCCATATGAGCCTTCCTTCCACAATAAATCTAAGAGTCAAAAAATGCCAAATATAGGTCAAAGACCTCTAAAAGCCATACCTGAAAGATTTACAATAATGATTGTAATTTAATCACACAAACAACCACAGCAAAAAGATGAAACTCTGAGGTATTTTCAGGATAGCCTCAGCAATGCTATCTGACAATATAGAGGGGTAAAGAAGACATGGAAATTTTCATTAAAAAGTCAAATTCTTTATTTGAAAGTTATTATATAAATTTGAAATCTTATCAATATGAATAAGTGTTTGGGCAGGATGGAGGCATGGAGACCCCAGGGCACAGCTGCTAGTCTTGGAGGCTTTGGGACCTGTACCCTATGGAGGCTGCACCCCCTCCAGATACCTCCGCCCTCCTGACAGCCAGAAAGAGCCTGTTTTGGGCAGCATATTGGAGGACCTGTTGCAGGAAGTCAGGGACCCCGAACAGAGGGACCGGCTGGAGCTGTGGCAGAGGAACATAAATTGTGAAGATTTCATGGACATTTATCAGTTCCCAAATAATACTCTTATAATTTCTTATGCCTGTCTTACTTTAATCTCTTAATCGTGTTATCTTCATAAGCTGAAGGATGTACGTCACCTCAGGACCACTATGACAATTGTATTAACTGTACAAATTGATTGTAAAACATGTGTGTTTGAACAATATGAAATCAGTGCACCTTGAAAAAGAACAGAATAACAGCAATTTTAGGGAACAAGGGAAGACAACCATAAGGTCTGACTGCCTGCAGGGTTGGGCAAAAACAGCCATATTTTTCTTCTTGCAGAGAGCCTATAAATGGACGTGCAAGTAGGGAAGATATTGCTAAATTCTTTTCCTAGCAAGGAATATTGATATTAATACTCTGGGAAAGGAATTCATTCCTGGGGGGAGGTCTATAAATGGCCGTTCTGAGAATGTCTGTCCTATGCAGTTGAGATAAGGACTGAGATACGCCCTGGTCTCCTGTAAGTACCCTCAGGCTTATTAGGGTGGGGAAAAACCCTGCCCTGGTAAATTTGAGGTCAGACTGGTTCTCTGCTCTCGAACCCTGTTTTCTGTTGTTTAAGATGTTTATCAAGACAATATGTGCACCACTGAACATAGACCCTTATCAGTAATTCTGCTTTTGCCCTTTGCCTTGTGATCTTTGTTGGACCCTTATCAGTAGTTCTGTTTTTTGCCCTTTGAAGCACGTGATCTTTGTACCTACTCCCTGTTCTTGCAGCCCCTCCCCTTCTGAAATCCTTAATAAAACTTGCTGACTTTGAGGCTCAGGTGGGCATCATGGTCCTACCGATACGTGATGTCACCCCCAGCAGCCCAGCTGTAAAATTCCTCTCTTTTTACTCTTTCTCTCTCTCTTTATTTCTCAGCCAGCTGACACTTATGAAAATAGAAAGAACTTACATTGAAATACTGTGGGGGGGGTCCCCCGTTAAGGACCCTAGCCCAGATGCTCAGCTGAAATCAGACCTCAGTCCCTGAAGAAAGAGGTGGCCTCTGGGAGCAGGAGGAGCTGCTGGAGTCCCACCCTGCCTGCTCCTTCACCTCCTGTCAGGAAGCCTGCCATGAACAAGGCAAAGCCTGCACCAAGTATGAGAAAAAGGGGCAGTTCCCAGACACACGGGGTCAAGCCTGTCCCCTGGGAAGCCTTTCAGAGAGGCCCAGGAGCTGGGGTCGCATGCTCTGCTCTCCATCTCCGTGACAACTCCTATGTTCAGGATCTGGAGGAGCACGGGGCTTGGGGACAGGGGCCTCACCAATTGCTGCTTCTCTTCAGCCTCCTGCTGCAGGGCTGAGGCGAGAGGTTGCAGCAGATGCTATGATGTCAGGTATCTCCTTGCTGGACTGATTCTCACAGTCCCAGGACAAGGGCAAGAAGGCTCTGGAGGTGGCTCTAACTGCAGCACTGTAACTGGAAGGTTCTCATCCCATGCTGACACTAACTCAACAGCTAGCACTGGAAATGCTCCTACTTCTGGATATGGATCAGAGCTGGGAAAAGAGATAGGATTACCATCATCGATCACTTTGCACTGGTCTTTCCAAACACCAAAGTGAACTCACTGAATTTAGGGGAATTCCAGCCCCAAAATCCCACACCTCAGAAAATCTTCCAGACTGCAGCCACCTCACTATCTGCCTCTACCTCTCCCTCTATCTGATGGGCTCCAGAGGCTTCATCCAGGCAAGAAAAATGTGCAGATGCTGCGGCAGCTTTGATCCAGGCCACTTGACCTACATGTAGGTCACCTTAGGCTTGAAGGATGGAAAGCTTGGGGGCTGAGAGAAATCTACAGAGTATTGATCTGGCCAAGTGGCCAAAATGAAAGAGAAGGTGCTGGGGGCAGGAAGTGGGCATCAGAGTCAGAGGCCTGGTCTTTCCTCCAGCACGGCTCATCCACAGCACCTGTGTGCTGCTGCCTGTCTAGAGGACAGCCCCATCCCAGTCCAAGCCCTTTGTGCTGTCCTGGCAGGGACAGACCTGGTCATAGAGCAGGACTTTACAGACAATTGTGGATCTCAGCTACCCACTGACATTCTCCTCCTGTAGGCCCAGGGCACACAGCTTCGTGTACCTGGGCACCAGGACTGTGGCTCCAGGCAGGCGTGTGAGCAGGTGGCTCGTCACTGCTTCAGGTCTGGGCCCCCTGGTGCTGGGGTTGGGAAAGGTGGATGTGGGAAGGAGGAGGACAAGCAGAGCTGGGAAGTGACTGTGCTGGGCATGGGTCTTTTGGGGGCCGGCTCTGACTCCAACTCCCCTCTCCTTTGACAAGGACGTGAGGCCCCATCTTCAGCTCACCTTGACTTCTTTCCTCTTGCAGAAGCCCCAGACCTCAGCCATCTTGGAGGAATTATGAGGTGTATGAGATCCAGAGTTCCGTCAGTCTCTCCCCAGCCACAGGCCGTATAATCCCCTCATCCTTTTGGGGTCCCAGGAAGTCCTTCTTCTGGACCCAGAGTCCACCCACTTTAGAGTTGGTCCTGGGATCTGTCATCCTGCTCAGAATCTGGGAGGAAGTGTTTATACCTAGAGGAGGCCAGGAGGGCATTGCATCTCCCACTCTGTGGGCGTGCCTTGCTTTCGATGTCTCCAGTGAGGATCTGACTCCCTGGATAGAATGGAGTTGAGGCCCAGGGGTTGGCATCTGCTTTGTTTGTTAAAATATGCTAGTCATCTATAAAAGTGCCTGCACAAAGTAAATGCTTAACATATGTGTGTTTAGTGAATGAACACCAACCAGAACCTTCCTAGATAACTGAGCGTGCCTGGGGCCTCTCTTCTAGCACGCAGGGACTTGTATTCATAGACTGTATAAAGAGCATTATCCCAGCAAATCCTCAAAAACACACCCTCATTTTAGAAATGAGCAAACACAGGCTTTTGGATGTAAGAAGGCAGCTCCAAAACTGCTCACGGGAACTACTGTGTGACTTTCCCTCTCAACTCCCCGAGGCTTGGTCTGCGCTGACACGGAGGAAAAGGACCTGGGGAGGCCTTGTTTCCTCCTCTGTTTTAGAGACAGTGACACAGCAAAAAACTAGAAGAACCCTTTGGACTTAAAGCCAATAACTGCTTCTTTGTTTAACATAAAGGCAGTCTTGAGAAACAGCTACCGCAATTGCAGACCCGGCAAAGGGCCCAATGCCAGGAGACTCATTGGGTGGGAGAAAGAGCCCATCACAGTGCCACGGATCTGAGCGATGACTCAGGGAGGAGAAAATCCAAGTGGGGACTATACAGCCGAAAGGTGACACACACATATCAGCAGGGAAGCTGGAAATGAAAGGATCAATGGAATTTTATTTGTCACGCAGACACCGGATTGACAAAATATTAGAAGACTTGACACCCAGGGGTGGCTGGATGCTGGGAAGCAGCTACATTCAGGACTGCTGGTGGCAATGTATCCACAACAGCCCTTTTGGAAAGTCATCTGACTAAGCCATGAAAATGTCATGTATGCATATTCCTCACCAAGTAACTCCTTTCCTGGGAGTCTGTCTTCTGCAAGGCATTAGTATATGTTACAGGATGAATTTTGTCTACTCTTCAAAGTTCATGTTCATGTCTAACACCAGTGCCTCAGAATGGAACTGTATTTGGACATGTGGTCCATAAAGAGGTGACACAGATTACGTTCATTAGGGCGGGCCCTAATGCAATATGACTAAAGTCCTTATAAGAGAGGCAGTAAGGACACAGTGAAGCACCAGGGAAGGCCCTGTGACCCAGAGAGAGCTGGAGACCATCAACTAGCCATGCAGAGAGGCCTCAGAGAAACCAATGCAGCCCACAGCTCCATGTCCAATTTCAAGCCTTCAGAATTGTGAGAAACTGCATTTCTGTTGTTAAAGCCCTTCAGTCTGTGGCACTGTATCATGGAAGTGCTAACAAACTGTCATGGCCTATTCTGAAAAGCATCAGATACCGCTACAAGATAGCTGATGTCGAAATAGAATTTTATCATGTGAGGCTCCGGCAGCATTGAGAGGCCTCCCTTATTGAAAGTTATGAAGACATATGAGGACACAGCTCCTCTCCGATGGTGCTATGGGGGTGAGGTCTCTGAGGTGACATATTGCAGACAGATGCATAGAGCAGCTGAAGGCTCTTTTTGTGTGACACCCCCACCCTTTGTAAAAAAGAACCTCCCCAGTAAGACTGACAGCTTGTAAGGTTTGGAGGCAGTCTGGCAGGACAGTGGAGCTGTCTGCTACAGGAGACACCTGGGGTAGGTTGTTAAAACAATAAAAACAGCAGCAACATGCAAAGATAATCATAGCGTTGTGTAAAGTGAAAACAACACAAAAGCACTTCCTCTGATCTTCCTAAAAGTAGATGAGCAGGGACTTTCCACCTAAACAAGTTGCCACTGGGTACTAATGGAGGCCAGATTCCTTTGGGAGGGGACTGTGGGTCACTCAAGTGGGAAAGCCGAAGGACAGAGCCCAGGGAGTCCCCATTTGTGCGTCTGAGTCATGGGCCACCCTGGACTTCTTGAGTCTCTGTCTGTGGAGACCCCTCTGTGCCTGCTCTCACCCTAGCCCAGCACTGGCCGTGGTTGATGGCATGTTGCACCTGCCCTTCGTTCAAGGAGATGGTGTTGTTGAACCCATCTCCTGCATGGAGCTCTGCAAAGAGAGTGCCTGGCATCAATGGCCTGCCTGGCTCTTTGAGGTTTATTTTATAAAGCTAGTAATCCCAATCATGAGAATTCCACCCTCAGGACCTCATTACCTCCCACCTCCTAATATCATTACATTGGGGGTTAGGATTTTGCCATATGAATTTTGGAGGGGGGAGATATTCAGTCTATTGCAACTGTTATGCTTTTATTATCCCCAAAGCTGCCATTTTTCTGCTGTTCACTCTCTTCTGTTTTTCCTCCCCCAATCTCTCAGTCTCTTGTTTCTCTCTCTCTCTCTCTCTCTCTCTCTCTGTCTCTCTCAGTCTCCATTGCATTCCTTAAACTGGGGAAGCGAGTTCTGCTGTTATGAGGTGCTCTATGTACAGGCTTACATGGCAGAGGCCAAGGGAGTGCCCAGGCCAAGAGACGGGGAGGAATTTACGCCCTCAGTCCACACTGAGTCCTGCCAATACCCACATGAGTGAGCTTGGAAGTTAATCCTTCCCCAGTCCAGTTTCAGTTGAGACCACAGTCCCAGCCTCAGGAGAGGCAGTGAGGCAGAGGCATCCAGCTAAGCTGTGCCCAGATTCTGCTGGACACAAATTGTCAGATATTAAGTATTTGTTGCTTAAAGTTGCGAAGTTTGGAGGCACAATGTTGTCAAAGACAAGCAGATCTCTACCCTCATTTCCCCCGACTCCTCCCTCCCTCTGCTCCTCTCCCCCCAGCCTCCCTGCAGCCACACTGTCCCCTTTCTAACCTCCTCTGCCAAACTCAGGTCCACCTGTGAGGCTGTGCCCCAGGGTGGCTTCTTTCTGACACCGCTGTCCCTGACTTGGGCAGCGTTGGTCCCCCATTGTCATTCTGGCCATGGCATAAATGTCACCTCAGTGAGGCATTTGGATTCTCCCCACACAGTGACTCCCCGGCCCTCCCTCCCGTCATCCTACCGTATTTTTATCACAGCACCTGCTCTTTTCTTTCATGTGGACTTGCTTTAGTGGTTCTGTGCAGGTCTCCTAAGACTGGGCTCCTGGGGTGGAGAGGGACTCCTTTGCCATTTTCAGCACCAATGCTGAGCCCACCAGGCCACCTGGCACAAGGTGAGTGCTCAGGGCAGAGTCGCTGAGTGAATAAGTCAGCACGGGGAGAAAGTGATTAAACCCCTTCCTGCTTCCGTTGTCCTCATAATGTGGGGATCATTGATACTAACAGGAGGTGCCTTTCTCAGGAGGCTATCCCGGAGCTCCACCTGCTCCAGCAAAGCTCCGTGGGCACCAGGGACATGGGAGGCTGCTGCCCCCTGGTGACCAGTACTAGCACTGCAGCCCCAGGCAGGAGCATCACAGAGAACAGGCACATGCATTTGGACTTTATTAAAACTAAGAACTTCATCAAAAGATGCCTTCAACAAAATAAAAAGGCAAGAACAGAGTGTGAAGAAACATTTACCATTTTTGTGACAAGAGCCTGACATGTAGGATGTGGGACTAACTCCCATCAATTAAGAAGAAAGGCGACACACTGGGGAGAATGGGTAAACAATCCGGACATTTCCCAAAGAGTGGCCAGACAGCCAACAGGTGTAGAGAAAGGTGCTGCACATTCTCCGTCATCAGGGAGATGCAGATTAAAACCACAATGTGATACCACTATGCAATGGATAACATTTTATTTGAAAAACAACATCGAGTGTTGCTGAGGGGGCTGAGCGACTGGGACTCTCATATGCCGCTGTGTGTGTAAACTGCTACAAACACCCTCAAAAGCCCTTTGATAATATTTTCTAAAGACGGACATATACATTCTATGGCCCCACAATTTGACTCAGGTATAGATCCGTTAGAAATGCCTGCATCTGTTCACCACGCAAAAGAACGTCCACAAATGGCCAGAACTATGACAGTTAAGGGAGGTAAATTCTCAATAGCGGAGCTGTGAGTTAATTTAGTTTCTCCTTAGACTATTTTTCTCTTTTCTACAATACATCATTATTTAGCACTTTTCCAAACTGGAAACAACTCGCATGTACATCAATAATAAAAAGAATACATGAAATATATATATACAAAAGTCCTAAAATATGATATTGCATATATAGACGCATATAATAAAAGCTATACAGAACTGAAAGTGAACTATAGCTGCCTTTAGAAATACACGTGAGACTTTCAAATATAATAAATTATCCTGACAGAGTTTATTCTGTACCATTTCATTTAATAAAATTTTAAACTAATATTAAAATTAAAATATTAAAATTCTCACTTCAGAAGTGAGAATATTTGTTATCACTGGAGACTCTTCTCCAGCGCAGTGGCCTGAGATGACAACATGAGGGAACTCCTAGAGGGCTGACGATGTTCTGTTTCTTATGGGTACTGGTTACTGGGTGCACTTGCTTTGGACAATTCATTGAGCCACGCACTTATTATTTCCATATTTTTAGGCATACGAAATGCTATGCTATGCTATGCTTCAACACACAAATTCACAGAATCAACCTAAATGCCCATAAATGGAAGACTGGATAAAGAAAATGTGGTGCAAATACACCATGAAATACTATGCAGCCATAGAAAAAGAATGAGATCATGTGCTTTGCAGGAACGTGGGTGGAGCTGGAGGCCATTATCCTTAGCAAACTAAGACAGGAACAGAAAACCAAATCCTGCATGTTCTCATAAGTGGGAGCTAAATGATGAGAACACATGGACATGAAGAGGGGATCAACAGACAATGAGGCCTAGCAAAGGGTGGAGGGTGGGAGGAGGGAAAGGAGCAGAAAAAATAACTATTTGGTCCTAGGCTTAGTACCTGGGTAATGAAATAGTCTGTACATCAAACCCCTGTGACATGAGTTTACCTATAAAATAAACCTGCACATCCACCCCTGAGCCTACAATAAAAGTTTTTTTAAAAAAACAAATTCAAGCAATTGGATCTGGACTTTCATTTTTCTGGTTAATCCCAAGGCCAGCAGGCATAGGGGTTGGTTCAAGACTCTGGCATCGTAGCATCTAGATTCCTGTCCTGGGTATCACCACTTCCTATCTCAGAGATCTTGGCCACGGTACTAACTCTCCAAGCTCCAGTTTCATTATCTGTAAAAGGAGTTAATTATGCTTCCCATTTCATAGTTATTCAGAGGATTAAATCCTCACAAGAAATACTAGCTCTTGCGGGACTTCATGTTGTTTTTTGTTCTATGAACTATGGAGAAGACAGATGATGACCTGTGGTAAAGGAAGGAGAAGCATGAGGTTCAACCCAAAGATGTTGTCAAGGTGAAATGTAGACAGGGCCTCTTGGCTTGAACCGATAAATACAATCTATAGTTGTAAATTTTGAGGCCATCCATTAATAAATCCTCCATTCCTCCCACCTTTGTCTATAATTTTGTTAATAACGCTCGATGACATCATCAATCAGAAGATAGCCCAGGGCAGGGTCTCCCCTGAAATTCTCCCTCCAGGTGACAGTGATCCATTAAGCAGCCTGCTATGTGGCAAGAAGGAAAACGGGTTTGGATGTGTGTTGCTGCCACAGCAGCAGCTAAGAGCCCCAGGGACTTGGCTGCTGGCAGCATCCTCTACCAGAGTTTTCCTTCGACAGTGAGAAGACTCCCGGAGTCCTTAGGAGCCAGGATCTGGCTGTCGGGAGACAGCATTCATTCATGCATTCATTCAGTCGTTCTTCATTCATTTGAAAAAACATATTGAAGTCTTCTACAGGCTAGATGTGCTATGTCCTTATAATAAAGGTCAATAGGACACAATGCCTGCCCTCAAGGAGCTTGCCTGTCTAATAGAGAGTAATATCACAGCCAGAAGGACTCTATGAAAGAATCCAGCCAGGTCATGCCACTCTTCTGCTCAATACTCTGCGATGGCTCCCATGCTCCTCAGAGTAAAGTTCAAGGTCCTTCCCACAGCCCCATAGGACCTGGCCACCCCATAGTTCTTGTCCACCCCCCGTCCTCTCCCCTGCAGCCGCACCGCCCTCATTTTCAAACACAGCAGCCAAGTGCGCGCCTGCCTCCAGAACCTTGCACTGTACTTGTCTTTTTTTGTCTAGATGCTCTTCCCCCAAACACCTACCCTCCCTTCCTTGCAAGCCTTTCCTCGGAAGACACCTTCTCAGGGAGGCTTTGTCAAGCCCCACCCCATCTAAAATTTCAACACTCCCCAGCACTTCATATCCTCTTCCTGATTTATTTCTTCTTCTCAGGACATCTTCCTCTCTAATATTCTCTACCCTACTTACTAATCTTGTTTAATTGCCATCTCTCCCACCAGCATGTAGGCCTCTGAGAGCAGTGGGGAGCTGTGGATTATTTTGATGTGGTTTTGTTTGTTGTACCTAGAACACTTAGATTAGTGACTAATACAGTATATAGAAACTGGGAAAAGGAAGGAAGGGAAGGGAAGGGGAGGGAAGGGAAGGGAAGAGGAGGGGAGGGCATGTTCTCCTTACAACTCGATCCGACTCCCCTAGAAGAGGGGGCAGGGAAGGAGGGCAAAGCTAGGAGAGTTGAAGAATATTAAGAAGAGAATAAGGTAGCCAGAGTTAGCAAATAAAAATATAAAATGCCTAGTTAATTCTGAATTCCAGATAAAGAACAAATAATTTTTTAGCATAAGTATGTCCCAAACTAAGAATGGCACAAGACATATTTATGCTAAAGAAATTACGTATTCTCTAATAATAAATTATTTTCTCCAATGCACATTGATTTTGCATACTGTATTTTATCTGGCAACCCTAAAATAGAAGGACTACCCCCGTACTGCTTCACTCCAGCTGGACTCTTATCCTCTGTGACTACTCTCCTACCTTAGGAAAGATCCAAGTGGCCCCTTTCCTCCTCATCGCCATCCCTTGCCCTGCACATCTCGTTTTCCTGTGTCGCAGCAAGTCCAGCGCCTCCAAGACTTGGCTCTTCTCTCCCTCCTCAAACCCTTAAAAGAAAGGGCCAAGTCTGAACTCTTTGCCTTTGAGTCGTGGAGACACCAAAGATATTTAGGTTATAAGTCAAAGGGGAGAGGGAAGTCACATAGGTCCCACGGGCCTCAGACCTGCCACGTGTCCTCTCCCTAAGTCTCAAAGCTTAAGAAGACAAACCTTATGCGGCAGGAAGTGTTGGTTATAGCTGTTTTGCCACTCCTTCTGGTTATGTTATTTCTGTTCTTCTGATACTACAGCCCCCCTAGGTCATGAATTTCTCTGTCCATGCTAAGTTTAATATCTCTGCTCAAACCTTGTTAAACTGCCTCCAGAATAGGAAACTCTTCTTCCTGGCCTCATAAAGCTTGGAGCCCTCTCCAATGTATGTTACAAAATTTCTCTCTAGGCTTCTCAGAGGATTATAGGCTCCGCCTTAAAAAAGGCAAACTCTGGACACTCTGTGGAGTAGAATGGCCAAAGTTTAGAGTCAGGTGCACCCCCGCCCCCAGAAGGGTCACTGAACCTCGCAATTGTTCAGACTGTGTGGCGGGTTGTTGCTGGAACTCCCGGTCACCCCGATCAGTTTCCCTACATTGATCAATGGCTGAGTTTGGTCCGGAGCCCTCCTCCACGGCTCCGCTCATGCGCCATTCATAATTCTACCTCCAAGGTCCTTTTGAGCCAGACCTCACTTTCGCCTCGACCCTCAGCCGGCTCGGCTCCTCCTGTATTGCCTCCTTGTGAGGAAGAGGAAAGTTTCCTTCACCCAGTTCCACCGCCTTATAACCCTCCTGCTCCCTCAGAATGTTCTCTTGTCTCCTGCACTACCTCCCCTGTGGGCTCTCCACCTATTGCCTCCTGATCGCGGCCACGGCAGGAGGAGGTAGCCCCCCTCCTCCCGCTGAGGAGGCACAAGTCCCTCCGGGCGATAAGCACTCAGGCCCATTCTTAGTTTATGTCCGCTTCTCTACTTCTGACCTGTACAACTGGAAGACTCATAACCCCCCCTTTTCTGAAATGCCCCAGGTCTTGACCTCACTGATGGAGTCCATGCTCCGGACTCACCGGCCCACCTGGGAGGACTGTCAACAGCTCCTTTTAACCCTTTCCACCTCTGAAGAGAAGGAACGTACCCGAAGAGAGGCCAGAAAATATTTCCTTACATCAGACGGTAGACCAGAGGAGGAAGCTCATAACCTCCTAGAGGAGGTTTTCCCTCTACCCGGCCTAATTAGGATCCAAACTCCTCAGGCAGGAAGAGAGCTTTAGATGATTTTCACCAGTATCTCCTTGCGGGTATCAAAGGAGCTGCTCGAAAACCCATAAATTTGTCTAAGACATTTGAAGTTGTCCAGGGACCTGATGAGCCACCGGGGGCGTTTTTGGAACGCCTCCAGGAGGCCTACCGGAGTTACACCCCTTTTGACCCGGCGGCTCCCGAGAATAGCTGTGCTATTAATTTGGCATTTGTGGCTCAGGCAGGCCCTGATATTAAAAGAAAATTACAAAAACTGGAAGGATTTGCTGGAATGAACATTAGCCAACTTCTAGAGATAGCCCAGAAAGTTTTTGACAATCGAGAGTTTGAAAAGCGAAAACGGGCAGCTCAGGCAACTGAAAAGGCCGCCGATAAGGCATCCAAAAGACATGCGAAAATCTTAGTGGCGGCCATCCAGGAAGCCAAGAAGGAAAGGCCCCCATCACAGAGGAATGGCCAGGGAACCCCAGGTCCCCGCCAGAAAGGCAAGAAAGGCGAGCAGGCTCCCCTGGAGAAAAACCAACATGCTTATTGCAAGCAGACTAGACACTGGAAAAAAGAATGCCCATTAAAGCCAGAGGAAAAACCAGAAAAGAAAAATTAAGTCCTCACCCTCCCCGCAGCGGAGGAGTCTGATGACTGACGAGACCGGGGCTCCTTCTCTCTTGGCCCCCAGCAGCCCACGGTGACCGCCACAGTGGAGGGCCATGGTGACGTCCGGTAGCCTACTTGTCTTAAGAGGCTAGACCCTGTGGCCTCCACCAAGTAGCCAAGTTGTCTGTGAGCAGTAGCAGCAACAGCGAGCCTGGTCCAGGAAGCTGATAAACTGACTCTGGGCCAAAATTTAACCCTTACAGGTCCTCATGCTGTAGACACTTTACTATGAAGTGCCTCTGGCAAATGGATGTCAAATGCCCGCATCCTGCAGTATCACAGTTTACTGTTAGATCAGCCTCATTTAACTTTCTCTCCCACAAGATGCTTAAATCCAGCTACCTTGCTCCCTGACCCAGACCTTACCACACCTGTCCATGACTGCCAAGAACTGTTAGAGACTACGGAAACTGGCCGACCTGATCTCCAAGACGTGCCTTTAAAGGAGGCGGATGCCACTGTGTTTACAGACAGTAGCAGCTTCCTTGAGCAGGGAGTTCGAAAGGCTGGTGCTGCCATCACTACGGAGACGAATATACTGTGGGCCCAAGCACTGCCAGCAGGTACCTCGGCACAGAGGGCTGAGTTGATTGCCCTCTCTCAGGCCCTCCGATAGGGTAACGACGAACGTATTAAAATTCACACTGACAGCAGGTATGCTTTTGCTACTGTGCATGTACATGGAGCCATCTACCAAGAGCATGGGCTACTCATCTCAGCAGGAAAGGCTATCAAGAACAAAGAAGAAATTTTGGCCCTGCTTGAAGCTGTTTGGCTCCCTCAACAGCTGGCTGTAATTCACTGCAAATGACATCAAAAAGAAGACATGGCCATTGCCTGTGGTAACCAAAGAGCAGACTCTGCAGCCTGGGAGGCAGCTCAACTCCCAGTCACGCCTCTGACTCTGCTGCCTGCAGTGTCCTTTCCGCAACCTGACTTACCAGATCACCCAGAATACTCCCCAGAGGAGGAAAAATAGGCTTTGGATCTTCAGGCCAGTAAAAATCAGGAAGATTGGTGGATTCTTCCTGATTCCGGAATCTTCATACCCCAAGCTCTCGGGGAAACTTTAATCAGTCGTCTGCATTCTACCACCCATTTAGAAGGAGGAAACCTGGCCCAGCTTCTAAGGAGCCGTTTCAAGATCCCCCACCTTCAGGACTTAGCGAACCAAGCAGCTTGTGCCCAGGTGAACGCCAAGCAAGGTCCTAAACCCAGCTCAGGCCACCGCCTCCGGGGAGGCTCGCCAGGAGAAGGTAGGAAATTGGCTTTACAGAAATAAAACCACACCAGGCAGAGTACAAATACCTTCTGGTACTACTAGACACCTTTTCTGGATAGACTGAGGCATTTGCCACCAAGAACGAGACTGCCAGACTGCCACCACGGTAGTTAGGTTTTCACTCAATGAAATCATCCCTCGACATGGGCTGCCTGCTGCCATAGGGTCTGATAATGGACCGGCCTTCACCTCGTCCATAGCTCAGTCAGTCAGTAAGGCACTAAACATTCAATGGAAGCTCCATTGTGCCTCTCGATCCCAGAGCTCTGGGCAGGTAGAACGCATGAACCACACCCTAAAAAATACTCTTACAAAATTGATCTTAGAGACCGGTGAAAATTAGGTGAGACTCCTTCCTTTAGCCCCTCTTAGAGTGAGATGCACTCCTTACCGGGCTAGGTTTTCACCTTTTGAAATCATGTATAGGAGGGCTCCGCCTATCTTGCCTAAGCTAAGGGATACCCATTTAGCAGAAATCTCACAAGCTAATTTATTACAGTACCTGCAGTCTCTCCAACAGGTACAAGACATCATCCAGCCGCTTGTCCGGGGAGCTCATCCCAACCCAGTTCCTGACCAGACGGGGCTCTGCCACTCTTTCCAGCCGGGTGACCTGGTGTATGTTAAAAAGTTCCAAAAGAAAAAAAAAAAGGACTCACTCCTGCCTGGAAAAGACCTCATACTGTCATCCTCACCACACTGACGGCTCTGAAAGTGGACAGCATTCCTGCTCAAATTCATAACACCCCCTAGTACCAAAGCATGTTTAACTGTAATCCATGACTAACTACTCTAATTACTGGATTGGCGGGACCCCTTTCTCCTCCTCTTGTTTAGTCTTCAAACCTCGTAAGTTAAAACTGGTTTCTTAACTTTATAAAGCAACACATAGCTTCTGTCAAACTTATATATCTTAAAGTCCAATATAACCCTCTTGTAACAAGTGGGGAATATGATATGCTACCTTGTTTTAACCTGAATTGAGTCTCCCTTAGCTGAGAGAGCCAGACAAACTCCATTTTGGCTCCTTCACTTGCAGCTCCTTGCCCACCCAATTCCTCAAGGACTTAACTTGTGCAAGCTGACTCCCAGCACATCAGAGTGCAATTAACTGATAAGGTCCTGTGGCAAGTTATGTCCGCAGTTCCCAGGAATTCGCTCGGGTGATAGTATCCTAAGCCCCTGCATTTGTATCCAGTAGATAGCACCCAAAGCCCTTGCACCCATCACCTTGTGATGGATTTAAAGCCCCTGCACCTGGAACCATTTGTTTTCCTGTAACCATTTGTCTAACTTTTTTTTGCCTGTTTTACTTCTATAAGATTGCTATAGCTAGGCTCCCCTTCCCCTCTCTAAACCAAAGTATAAAAGAAAATCTAGCCCCTTCTTCAGGGCTGAGAGAATTTTGAGCGCTAGCCGTCTCTCGATCGCTGGCTAATAAAGAACTCCTGAATTAGTCTCAAAGTGTGGCGTTCCTCTATTACCCACTTGGTTACAACAGCTTTATATTAATAATTGTAGTAATAAAGTTGATCGCACATAGGATGGAGGAGGCACCTGCCTGGTGAGATGAGACAATGGTCGGATTCACTGAGGCTCCTGCGTGTCCCGGATTTCCCGCTGGGGGAGGGTGTTCCGCTCAGCGGTTCCCACACCTGCTTCCATGGGAGAAGCAAGAAGAAGTCAGAAGGGTGGGCGAAGGAGTCAGAAGCTTCTATTATTGGTTCGGGGAGATGCTGTGTCGGGGGCATCAATTATATGGGGAACCAACCAGTTGCCAACTCCTGACCCTTGGAGTTGACCCCACACCGCTTAAACCTCTGCGCTGGTTCCCCGGGGGCCCACAGTGAGGTCTGTAACTCAGGGAGAGGCGCTGGAGCGGGGTGTGGGAGAATGGTGTGCAGGACGGGCTCCATGCACTTTGAAACTATAAACTGCCTTATGAGACAGGGGTACGGTGTGTGTGCATTTTCCTGGGAGAGTCCATAGTTTTTACCACATTGTGTAAAGCAATGCTGTGCAGTAGAAATATTACGCCATACACAATACATATGTACAGTTTTAGTTGTCAAAGAAACTGAAAGAAGATCTTGATGAACACGGATGGCATAGATGTGAGGAAAGCACCATTATTAAAGAATATTTATGCATTTATGTAATGCATTAAAAGGTAACAAAATGGATAAGCAGGTAACACAATAGCAAAGACCGAGAGTGAACTGCAGTCATCCACTGGGGAACTGAGGAGTCAGGGTTTCTCATTACAAAACTCCCTGATGGAAGACTATTACTTATCAACTATTTATTGTCTTTCCACTAAATAAGAAGTGATCGTCATCTTTTCAGATGAGCACCACAGACTTTGCAAAAGATAATTGCCAATTAACCTTTGTGCCTGGATTTTCTCATTCCTAAAAATAGATAGTATTACATGACTCCAAAGTTTGTTGTGAAGTTAATTGGGGTGGTGTATCTTAAAGTAACAAAAATGTTGACCACACGGGGGGGGGGTGGTTAGTGTAAGACTCTCTGTTTTTCTGTCTATATATATATATATATATATATATATATATATAAAAAGTATAGTTTAGGTTTACATAAAGACAAAGTATCATAAAAAGGGGTCTTACAATCGGTAGTACTAAAAAAATTTTTAAACTCCAAGATCTTCAATTTTAATGTATAAAAATAATAAAACATACTGATAAATAACAGAAGTTCTATAGTCAGACAACATAGGTTCAAGTTTGGGCTTGATCTCAAGTAGGGTTTCAATGTTGAAAAAAAATGCCATGTGGTCTTTCCAACTTCATTTCCTTATGTAACATAGGAGATAATAATAAATTCACTGTGATTAAGAGTTAAATGGAATAGTTCTTGAGAAGGTGTTAGAATGGTTCTAACATACATGGGTATTATGAGCTAATATTTGTAGTACCATTGTAGCATAAGGAAATACCATCTGCTGAGAGAGGCACAATAATGATTATCTTCATGATAATAGTTTAAGAGCTACCAGATACAGAACGAAGGGGCCATAAAATGATAATGTTATGAATGATTTTGATGCTTACGCCAGAATCCATTCTAGGATAGCTCCTGCCTGAAAAGAACTGGGATTCATTTCTTTGGAATCACAGGACACTGAGTGTGGCAAAAAGAAAACAAAAGAAAAATATGGAAATCACATATGTGATTTTAACATAGAAAGAAATAGGAGAGGCTGGGCGTGGTGGCTCATGCCTGTAATCCCAGCACCTTGGGAGGCCAAGGCGGGCAGATCACCTGAGGTCAGGAGTTTGAGACCAGCCTGGCCAACATGGTGAAACCCCGTCTCTACTAAAAGTACAAAAATTAGCTGGGCATGGTGGCAGGTGCCTGTAATCCCAGCTACTCAGGAGGCGAGGCAGAAGAATTGCTCAAACCCCAGAGGTGGAGGTTGCAGTGAGCCAAGATTGTGCCACTGCACTCCAGCCTGGGAAACAGAGCAAGACTCAGTTGAAAAAAAAAAGAAACAGAAGAAATTAGCAATATATTTCATTTACTCCAATGTATCCAAATTATGGTCATTTTAGCATGTAATCAATATAGATTTTAATGAGATAGTCTATGTTCTTTTTTCCTAAGTCTGAAATTCGGTGTGTATTTACACTGACAGCACATCTCAATTTAGACTAGCCACATTTCCAGTGCTGAGTGGCTGCATGTACCTGGTGGCTACCACACTGGACAGCACAGGTCTAAGGATTTCATTCCTGGTTCAAGACCAGACTCCTAGCCTTGGTTTTGGGTGTTTTTCACAAACTGGCCTCTCTTTATCATTCTTTTTCCTGGTACTTCCTCAAGGATGACTGTGTCCCCACCACTCAAGACCACTTGCCGTTTCACTACGTACCTTTGTTCAAGCTGTTCCTTTTACCTGGGATGCTCTCTCGTTTCGTTTTGTTTTGTTTTTCTGAGACAGGGTCTCACTGTGTTGCCCAGGCTGGAGTACAGTGACATGATCATGGCTCACTGCAGCCTCCACTGACCTCCTGGAGCTCAGATGATCCTCTCACCTCATCCTTCCCTAGCAGCTGGGACTACAGACCTGCACCACCACACCCAGCTAATTTAAAATATATATATTTGTTGGTAGAGACAGGAGTCTATGTTGACCAGGCTGGTCTTGATTCTTCCACCATGGCCCCCCAAACTTCTAGGATTATAGGTGTGAGCCACTGCTCCCCACCTGGAATGCTGTCTCTGCACCTTCTCCCTGGGCCTGGTAGAGAGGCACACATTCTGCTGAGAGGTTTTTTCCTGACTTCCCTAGCCCTAGAAGGGAATTTGTCCCTCCTTAGCATTGTACTCATGGCTGGATTAGAGTTTAACTGTTTTTGAGGCTGTTTCCCTGGCTATTGCATAGTGTCTTATTCACCTTTGTTGTGATAATGGTCTGCACTGAATAGATGATCAGTAGATGCTTGCAGACAGAATGAATAAACCACTAATCAGCCTCTTAATGCTTGAATGGACTTGCTACTTCCTTGTTTAGATTCGTGTCTGTACAATCCTCTCACGTGGATAGTACAGTAAACACAGACACCCTCAGATGTGGTAACAAGGAATTCATCTTAAAACGTGTGCAGAAAGTCTTACATCTTTATCCTCCTCCTGATCTTACAGGTGGGAGAACTGAGGCACAGGACTGAGTTAAGATGGCCAGCAAATTTGCATCAGTATAAATACAAAGAAGGGGAGGGGAGGAACATTCTTGAAAGGTGTGGGTGGTCTCACACGGTTGGGTTCCTCAGATGGTTGGAGATCAGTTGGCCGTGCCTTGGTTATCTGACAGGAGGGAAGAGAAGTGGGAGGTGAGGAGTAGCTCCTGGGTCCTCATGAGTATTCAAGGCAGGTTCAGGTCTGAGAAGCAGAGGATATCCTTCCTGGAAGCCTCAGTTAGGAGGAGGAACTCACTGCTGGAGAAAAAGTTGAAGAGGAAGGAGGACGGACATCTCAGATCATGGGAAGTGCTGGCCTGAGGAGGAAAGGAGAGAACCATCAGGGTAGAAGGGGCTGAGGAATCCGGCAGGGGGAGCAGAAGAGTGGGCACCAGCGTGGTGAAGAGGTGCAGTGCATTATGCATGATACACACATTATTATTATGGGAATAACCATATATCACAGTGCAGTTCTCAGCCTGGAGAATGGGAAATGGAAAGGACCAGAGATTCAGAGAGGGCAGTTTATCCAAGGTCACACAGCACTTTAAGGCCAAATAGAGCCTCCGAGGCATTTCTTGCCACACTCACCCAGGCCCACCCACACCTCTGTTGCCACGGAGGGTCCCACTACCCAGGAGAGCAGGTCTAGGGCACAGTGCCAGGCCTGATGAATGTCCTTCATGCCCTTTTCAAACAACAGGCTATGATTAGGCCTAATTATAGGGGTCCGGTCCCTTAATATTCTTCCTGGCATGTCTCTTGCCAATCAAATCAGTGCCATCTGCAGTGTGATTCCTGCTTTAGTGGCATCAGGGGGAGGAGTTAATTCAACCCAATATAAATAGACTGTGCCCTCACCTTGCAATTCGAGTATTTTTCCCTCCTGTCCTGCACCCCAACATGCACCTCCTTCCTTCTGGCTCCCTAAGCTCTAGCCTGGGTGAGCAGGGCCTGGATACTCTATACCTAGAGTCACTAGCCACTGCCCAGTCTGTGTCAGAAGCAGGCCTCTAATTCCTCAGGGTTAGAGTGGGAAGAACCCATGTGTGCACATTTGCTTTTCCAACCTGGGCACCATTTGGCAGCTGATTCAGGCAATTCTCTCACCACCACCACCCTGCCCATGTACCCCTGTTTCCAGCCTCTGTTTTTCTCTGCAGCCACGGCTCCTTTCTTGTGTTTCCAAGGTGGAGAGCTGAACTGAGATCATGTATGGACAGAGTGCCCGGCAGGTACCCAGCACCTTAGTACCAATTCCCCAGTCCCTGGTCCTGCCGTCTCCCTCCCTCATTCATTCAGCAGGCATCGGCAGAATCCCATCTCCTGTGAGCTCCTGACCTCCTACCAAATGCTCTGCTGCCACCCACCCCCACCTGATCAGAGGGCCACCCCCTGTACTGGGAAGTCCTCTCTCCAGTCCCTGCAACACAACCTCTGGGAGCAGCCCCTTTGGGGATTCTTGGTCCTGGCGGACCCAGCTGTCTTTCCTGGGTGGAAGGGGCCAAGGGGAGAGCCCAACTTGGAAGCTTTCGCTCCTGAGAGCCGGAGAGCTCACTCCCTTCCACCCCACCTAGCCTCCTGGTTTCCTGTGGTGGCTCTGCTCTCCCAATTCATGCTCTTCCTCCCACGAGGTAGCAAGGGGCGGGGGTGGGAGGGGGGTTGGGGAGGTTAGTCCTTCACTCTTTCCTGCAGCCAGAAAATATTTACCCAACAGTGCCTGTGTGCAAGGCACTGAGCAAATCACTATAGATCCAGTGATGAATAAGGCAGCGTCCTTGTCCAACTGGTGTATACACTCTGGCAGGAGAGACAGACCTAAATAACCAATTAATGATCAGTTATTTAATTACAGTTGTGATAAGGCCTATTTATAGTATTTTGTAATCACTAATCTTCATGTATCATGGAGCTTGCTCCACCATTGATCTGAGTGCGTTAACTCATTTAATCCTTGCCACATTTTATGAGCAGGCGCTGCTGTTATCCATTTTATAGATGAGGAAACTGAGGCACAGAAAGAGATCTGGCCGAGTGGCAAAGCCAGGGTTCAAAGCCAGGGATCGTGGCCCTGGGTTCTGTGGGTTATCACCGCCTCTGTGGAGGGGAGATGAGGTGCTGCGAGGCCCATCATGGGGGACCTAGCTTGGTCTCAGGGGTCAGGGAAGGCGGATGTGAGGAAATAGCATTTGTGGTAAAAATCTCACGGTGAGTGGGTAGGTCAGGAAAAACATTCCAGAAAGAAGGAAGCACATGAGCTACAGCCCTGAGGTGGAGGACCTGAAAGGAGGCCAGTGTGGCTGCAGCGCAGGCCGTTGAGGGAGCCGAGCTGGAGGGCTGCGGTTCTTGTATCGGCAGCACTGACCCCGCACAGTCCTTGGGCTCCAGTGACTTTTCGCTCAGTGTTTATCTAACTCGAGTGAGCGAATGGTGTTTGCTGTTTCCTGCAAAAGTCCCAGGGGTTGTTGGGTACACAGGTCCTGTCTTTGGCCACAAGCAACCTGAAATGAGGCTTGGTCTTCTTCCCGGGACCCCGGGCTGTGCCTCACTTGGGGGACCCCAGCATGAAGCATGTGACTGCCTGACTCAGGCCCCTCTCCTGGTCCAAGTCACCCCCACCCGGCCCCATCCCTGGTTGTTGCCAGACCTGGAGTCCCTGCTCCTTCACTGGTGCAGCCTCCTCTTCTGTCACCAACTACAGTCAGGAGGTGACAGGGATGAGGCTGCAGTCAGGGGATTTGCAGGCACAGAGGGTTGGGTGAGACAAAGAAAACGACAGGACATGGTGACAGATTAGGAACAAGAACGAAGGAAAGGGAGGAGTCAGCCATGACTGGGAGTAAGGTGGGAGCGCCGACACCTCTCCCCCTCCACTTGCCCCCATCCTGCAGCAATGGACAAGCATGTGGGCTTTTCATTTTCTGTGGGCTTTTTCAGTGGGGATGTGACGTGCTCCTCCTGCTTGGACACCTCCTGCACAAAAGAGACAGGTGGACAGACCTTCCTCCTTGCCCCTTGTCCTCACTTCCTCCATCCTTCCTTCTCTCCCATTCTACTGATTGGCATCTGGTGGCCCCCAAGGTTACACAGCACTGGATCAGCTGCCTGCATAATTAGCAAATCATTCTTTTTTTCTTTTTTGAGACGGAGTCTCACTCTGTCGCCCAGGCTGGAGTGCAGTGGCGCAATCTCCACTCACTGCAAACTCCGCCTCCCAGGTTCACGCCATCCTCCTGCCTCAGCCTCCCGAGTAGCTGAGACTACAGATGCGCGCCACCACGACCGGCTAATTTTTTTGTATTTTTAGTAGAGACAGGGTTTCACCGTGTTAGCCAGGATGGTGTTGATCTCCTGACCTTGTGATCCACCTGCCTCAGCCTCCCAAAGTGCTGGGATTACAGGCATGAGCCACCGCGCCTGGCCAGCAAATCATTCTTAATTACCCCAGAGTGGAAGAGAACAAAGGTGAAGACAAGAGCCCAGGTTCAGGATCTGCTTCTTTGGGGTCATGACAGAGGCGAGGGAAGGAGTGAATCTGGATCAGCAGTGGGTGCTCCCTGCTCCCTCCTCCCCAGTAGCCTCTAGGCCAGCTGCTGGTCCAACTCCAAAATCCACCACCCCTCAGCCACCCAGCCCTCCCAGGAGAAGCTGAAGTCCTTTCCTGTGTGTGTGAGCGCCAAGCTGGAGCCCAAGGATGACATGGAGGAGGCGCTTGGGGGGGTCCCCCAAGTCTCCATGCTGCTCGTCAACATCAGAGAGATCCTTTGTAGCAGAAAATGGAGTCGCAGGGTGTGGGTGCAAGACTCAGCCTGACTTAATGGGGGTCCCAGGGCATCACACTCAGGTGCAGCACAGAGGCGGGAGCCAGAAGGTGACCAGGGTGGCTTGGCTCGGTGGCCTGGGACCCCTCAGTGCAGTGTCCCTGATGACATGGGAGAGGTAGGTCAGGAACATGGTCCCAGGACAGCAGGTGCTGGCTTGCCTGACCTCCACGTTGCCCCTGTAGATACAAGAAGTCTGTCTTCCCGGACCAACTGGCTGGTGCTGTAACAAAGAGCCATGTGATGCTGGGGGCAGAGACAGAGAAGAAACTGTTCAGTGCCCCTTGTCCATCAATGAGAGAGCAGCTGGAGCAGCAGGTGGACAGGGAGCGGGAGGGGCAGGGGCAGGGGCAGGGGCTGGGGGCCTTGCCAGGCTCCTCTCTAGGAGAGGCTCTATTGAACCCCTTATGCCACCACAGCTGTGCAGGGTGCACATGAGGTCTCGCTAGCTGCTCCTGCAGGTCCCTGTCACCTCTCACATGTCCCTACCTAATCCCGTGTGTCCCGGAGAACTACTTCTACACGCCAGACCTGGGCCAAGTCCCCAAGGTCGATGTGCCATCCTACCTGACCTGCCTGGCAGACCTCAAGTATGGTGCCAGCCTGGGCCCCAGCATCACCCACTGCCCTGGCACCAGGCTCAAGTCTCTCAAGCCCAGTGAGCTGTGTGTTAGGATGGCAGCCAGGCTCCCTACTCAGTCACCTCCTTCCCTAGGCACCCCACACTTTCTCCCATTTCCACTTCCGACCTATAAGATGGCATGTTAACAGCACCCCAACCTCCCCAAGCTGCTGCGGTGCTGGTCAGTGCACCCTCATCCCCACCCCAGGCCCCGCCCACTGCAGTCCAAGGTGCCGGGCAGGATGACAGCAGCAGCATCCCCTTCAGGAGGGAGCCACTCTCTGAGGCCACCTCAGTCTCATTTCTGGATCCCTGGCAGATTTTCTGTGGGGTTGTTAGCTGGTCAGAAATCCCTTATTTCTTTTTAATAGTTGTCATTTCTTGTTCTACTTGGCTCATAAAATAGTGGTTTTCAAACTGTAGCGCCCTGGAATTCTCACCTCTACGGTAGAGGGAGCCTGGACAAGGGTGGCCCTGGGGCCCCCATTCCTAAACCAAGGAGGAAAAAGGGTCTAATAACAAAAACACTACAGGGGACAGGAACACGGAGCCGGGGGTCCAATGTGACTGAACCCCACACCCCACTCCGTGGCTTTCCTATTGCAGTGAGAGCCGTAAGCCAAGGCAGGGAACTGATGTGGGATCTCTTCAACAAGCTGGTCCTGAGACGCAAGGGTAGGAGGCAGGGCCGCTGTCTGCCATGGGCTGTGGCATCGTTAATTCTCTCTTGTCTTTTTCTTCCTGTGTTTAAGTCTCTGGGGCCTGGGGAAACCAGTGCTCCCCACAGACCTCCCTCACTCAGCCTTTGCCCTCCAGCCTTTTCACCTCTGGGGCTGGTGAGGGGCCGGGAGGAGAGAGCCCGTATGTCAGACAACAAACCGTGTCTGCTAACCCCCAGCAGCCACAGGCAGAGGAAGAAGAGGACAACTGGAAATCCTAGCGGGCGCCGCCATGCCTTCCTCCCCTAAACCCAGACTCCAGCCATGGCCCGGACGTGGACACAGCCAGAATGGGATCCTCAGCCCTGCTGCCCTGGAGGAAGGGGCAGGGATGGAACTGTCCCAGTTCTGTGTGGAGACCACCTTCGGGGAGCGGGAGGCTGGCTTCAGGCCACGCAGCTGGGGTGGGGGCTTCCATCTGCCTGTGCTCCATCGGAGGATGGCTCCACCCAGCCCCTGCACCAGTGCGCTCCTCGATTCCCTAAAGAGGCTTCCAGAGAAAACAGCAGCACATATCAATAAAAAACTCAGCAGAAACCAACAGTACACTTTTAATTAAGGACCTGTAGCTGTGCAGGATGCAAACAGCTGGGCATCAGTGACTTTCCTCCTGCCCCCGGTTTGTCCCTGATGGTGGCAGAAGATCCCAGCTGACCACGGCCCCTTTCTCTGGGGTCAGAGGGAGAAGACAGGCGCAGTCAGCAGGGGCAGCTGTTGCAGGTGGGAGGGTTATTTTCCCACAGGAACAAAGGTCTCCATGATGATACGGGGTCTCTATAGTCATGTTGAGAGCCTAATGGCCCTTGGCATAATTGCTGGTGTCGGGGTAGAAGGTGTCTTGGAGTTTGCTCAAGTGGTTGAGAGGGAGGGAGGTGCCATAGACTTGGAGGAACTGGCACGAAGCCAAGGATACAAATCCAGGCAGGGCTGTGGGGCAGGATAGAGAGCAGGGCCTTCTACTGAAGGAGTGACTCAGGAAGGAGGAGGGGAAGGTGACAAGCCCCTGGGCAGGAGCCCTGTGGCCACGGGATCATTTTAAATTGAGACCAGAGAGTGAGCAGTCCAGGGCAGCTATAACCTTGGCTAGAAAGGGCAGAGGCAGATGGACCTGCTCCATCTCGCCTCTTAAGGTGGGCAGGACGGAGATGCCACAGTGGATGCCACTGCTGCCACAGCCTCCTGCGGACTCCAAGCAGGAAGCCTGGCTCTCAGCCATGCAGGATGGAAAGAAAGATTCTATTCCAGGAGGGGAGCTGCCCTGGAACGCCCCAAGGACAGCCAGGACCCACTGTTCATTCAGGATTCCCGCATTTTCTCCTACGGGAGCTAACGCCTGTGCCTGGGTCCCGGCAGCGCTCTGGACTCCACACTCTCCTCCTGGGTTTCACCTTTGTAACAGGATCCCTGCAGACCACGCCCACGACAAACACTGTCTCCAGAGGGCAGGACAAAGGAAGGGCACGGCGCCGGGCGGTGGTGTGGTTGCCCATCAGGAAGAGGCCGACTTCTCCCGGTGAAACTGGGCAGACAGAAGGCAGTGAGAAATGTGATCTCGGGGTTGGGAGGCTCTCAGAAAGAAAAAGGTAGGACTGACCTTCTGCACAGCAGCAATGGCGGGGCCAAAGGTAGCTTTGACCTCCACACTGGCTCGGATCCAGGCCGGCAGCTTGGCCAGGACAGGGGGCCGGGCGTA
The DNA here is from genome assembly GCF_000001405.40 of Homo sapiens. Lineage (NCBI taxonomy): Eukaryota > Metazoa > Chordata > Mammalia > Primates > Hominidae > Homo > Homo sapiens. The sequence goes on along the minus strand of NC_000012.12, from coordinate 9,312,930 downwards.
TCGCTGGTCCAGGAGCACTATGCTGGCAAAATCCTTCTGGTGCCTGATGGCCCTGCCTGCATAGGAACAGAGGCTGGGGCTCCGAGCAACACCTGCCTCCCCTACAGCACATTCCCATGGCGACCCCCTCCCCTTCCTCAGACTTATATAGGAAACAGGGCAGGCAACCCCTCTTTCCTGTTCTCCCCTTCTCCAGCCCCCATCTGTCCACCCAGCTGGAGGCAGCCAGGCTCACCTATGGACTGGTTGACGGCCTTCATGCACAGGTTCTCCACCAGAGCCTTCCCTGGGGGTGCCTGGCCGGGGGCTCTGGGCTGGGAGTGAAGGGGATGACCCATCAGGACTGTTCCCTGCCTGCAGCTCCCCCGGGGAAAAGACCCTGCCAGGCTTTGGAGCCAGACCAGGAGGCTTTGTGGCCAATGCCAGCAGCAGGGGTCCAGGTGACATCACAGGGAAGATCAAGAGGGTGTGGAGGGGCATCCAAGCTTCCGGAGGGGGCAGGAGACACCAGCGCAGTGGGGAAGGCCTGGCTGTATCAGCCCTGGGGGTGATGCCACTCCCACCCACTGCCTACTCTGTCACCCTCTGTGACACTGGGGTCACTCACGAGGGTTTGATCCAAGTAGGCCATCTTCTCCTGCAGCTCTGCAGACCTGATGTTGGGGAAGGGCATGCCCACCATCACCACACACGTGGGGGGGAGACAAGAGCCCAGTGGGTGGACGTCAGGAACTCCCGGGTCATCACCCATGTCACCAGCTGCTCCGTTCTACCCCTTCCGTCAGCCCTCTCCGACTGTGATCAAAACTCAGCCTCTCTCCACTCTGTACCTACCACCTGGAGAGGGCTTGTAAGGCTGAGAGATCCCGTCTAGGCCAATTGATTGGGTCCTGATACAGCAATGGCCAGCCTAAAATCCAACTACTCTCTCAGGGCCAAACCCAGAGCTGCTGAGCCCCTCCCTCCAGCTGGCTGGTCTGAGCAGTCGCAGCCCAGCTGTGGGCTCTAATGGCAGCAGACAGCAGGCAGGGGCCCAGCTGCTGGGAGTGAGGGCCGGCCATGTATCACGACCCAGGAGATGAGCAGAACCACTACTTACCGGCCTAGGTTGTCAGAGAAGTTGATCCCTTCACTCATCTTTCCTCCAACCACAGAGAGGAGCAGGGCCTCTGTCACCTGGCCTCTCTCCTGGCCACAGGCCTGTAGGAGAAACCCAGACGCTGAGTTGCTGAGCCAAAACTTGGATGACACCCACGTTTCCAGCTGCCACCCCCACATGGTCTCAGACCCAAGCTCAGCATGACGCCCGCACCTGGATGCACCTGGAATACGCCAGCAGCACCTGCTCCACCTGGTGTGCGCTCTTAGGTTCCTGGAATATCTGAGAAAGACAGAGGACATTTCCCAGAGACAGGTTTAGGGTGCCAGGTCTCGGGTCTGCTCGTGGCCTTGTGTTTTCTGGCCAGCGGACTGGAGAACCTCACAGCCAGGGACTTTGGGGAAATCCTCTGTAGTCAGGGACTGGGAGCAGTGGGGATGAGGAGCCAGAAGCCTGTCCCGACCCGATGAGCACAAGAGCTCCCAGGAGGACTCAGTGGCACTGTCCTCACAAGTGGCAAGGCTGCCGACAGGCCACTCACCTTCTTCCTGGCAGCCAGACGGCCCAGCAGGCCACCCTTCTCCCAGTGGGCATGGACCTGGCGCAGGTACTCGTAGGAGGAGAAGAAACAGACCACCCCTCCAGAAACCACACCGCACAGGTTACAGAGGATGCGACCCACCTCGTCCATCTAAGGAAGGAAGGGAGGGAGGGAGCCCCCATGGAGCAACCCCTCAGCCACCCACAAACCGCGTCTTCACCTTGAGACTCAAAACTGAGGAGAGACCCTTGGCAGGACTACAGCCAAGGAAGAGGACTTGGCTCCCCTGGGTGGGAACCACGGGGTGGTAGGTGCCACCTCCCACCAAACACACCCAGCCGCTGCTGCTGACTGCGCCTTTCTGACACATGTCACAGCACTAGCGTCCCTGGGGGGCCTCCCTATTGCCCTGGCACTGAGTCCTCCCTTCTTCTGTCCAGGGTCCTGATGGGCACCACAATGACAATCAGGGGCTGCACACCCCAGGCACACCACAGGAGATGCCCCCAAGCCCCACATCCCTGCCCCCAGCAGGGGCAGATATAACCAAAGGGCAAGAGAGCCAAAGGGAACTAGCAGCTTTCTCCTGCGTGAGGCGTCCTCAGAAGATGCCTGGAGGTTTTATGAATACATATTTCGCAGCCTAAGGTGTGAGAGGCGGGGAAGCTCAGACCTTCCTCCATAAGCATCTAGATCGACGCCGCTCATTCTGTGTGGCTCTAAGTGGGTGTCCCTGTGCAATTTCCCCAACACCTGAAAACACTCAGGGTGGGCCAGAGCGTCCCTGCCCCAGAAAACCCTTTGCTGCCTGAGGCCAGGCTGTGGTGCAGCGAGCTGGCTGGGACTGACCATCTGAGGCAGGTCTCTTTTCTGGAAGGTGAATTCCAGCGGCTGGTTGGAGATCCCGCTGCAGATGACAAGGGGCAGATGTTGTCTGGAGGGATCACGTGACCTGGTAAGATCAGGGAGGGGCCGAAAACTGGAGATGCAGGTGTGCTGTAAGACACTGCAGAGAGGGCATTTACCTGCCCCATCATCCAGCACAGGAACAGCGACTGACAGCGCTCACCCACCCACCATCGCCAGTCACACTGGGCAGCAGGCAGCAGGGAGCAAAGCAGGAGAGCCTGGGCGAGCGCACGAAGGGTGAGGCTCCCATCCCGGGGTCTCCTCCGCCTCTGTGCCTGGTCACGGTATGAGGTATTACCCACAGAAAACGGGGGCCAGAACCTGACCTCTAGCCTGCCCCACCCTGGGCACAGCTTCTCACCACAGGAAAACTCCACCACGCGCTCAGCTTCCACCCCAGCACAGGCCAGCAGCTGCTGCCGGAAGTCAGACACCTGTAGACCAAGGCCACGGCGTCATGGCCCCATGACCCCTCAGAGGCCCAGCAGAAAGGAAGCGAGAAGTCTGGCCTAAGAGACAGCAAGTACACACAAACTGAAAGAAGAGGTCAAAGAAAAGGCTGACGGCAAACTAACAAAAAGAAAAATGGTGACTGATACCCAGTGCTGGCAGTCTCGTTTAAACTATGTGCAGGAATAGCAAAGGAAATCCAGCAAATCTGGCACAGTCATTATCAACCCTGGCCATGCAGCAAAATCACCAGCGAAAATTTTCAAAAATACACGTGGCCAGGCCCCAGCCCAAACTACTGAATAACAATCTCCAGGCTTTCACCTGCTAGACTGGCAAAAATCCAAAAGTAACCACTCTGGAGAAACAGGCATTCCTAGACAGTACTGGTGGGATACAGAATGGTACAATTCTCATGAAATTTCACAGTAGTTAACAAATTAAACATATTTATACTTTTTAACCCAGGAATCCCATATTTAGGAGTCCAGTGAGAAGATACAGCCCACAAATACCAAACAGCATGTGCCCCCGGACCTTTCCCTGTAATCATGCGCCTGCCTATCCAGAGGGTACTGGTTGGATAAGCTTCCTACATCTGTCCAACAGAGAACCACGCAGCCCACTAGAGGAGCGATGGCCAGACAACTGACTAAGATGCCTTCCGTGTAAATAAAACAGGAAAGGGAAAAAAGAAGGCACGTTTTTGCTTATTTAGGGGAAAAAGAAAGACTGAAAGGATAAGCTAGTAAAACGGATTCCCTATGGGGGTGGGGAATGGGCTGGAAAGGGATGAGAGTGAGGCTTTCCTGAATAGATCTTTTTATATTGCTTTGACTTTTGAGCCATACAAATATTTACATATTTAAAAACTACAAGTCAGAAAAGAAGAAAGCAAATTCTAAAATTGAAAAGAAAATGAAACAAAAACAGCCTAGCTATCTATGAAACTGACAACAGAAGCACACGGAGAGAAGCCTGGTTCCACGTGACTTTAGAGCCTAGTGACCAGGCATCCTTAGTGGGTTACACTCTAAGGGCAAAGAGGAAAGGCAATTTCAATCAGATCTATTGTTAGAAGTAATATTGGTACTATGATTTCAAAACTTTTAAGTATATTATAGGATAGAGCAGATAAGTATGTTAATGTAGCACACATGTTCAGGCTTAAGAGAAAAAGAGGTACAATAAAAGGTCAAGTAAACAAATCCTTTGATTTTTACTTAGAAACACCAATATGGGCCAGGCGTGGTGGCTCATGCCTGTAATCCCAGCTCTTTGGGATGCCAAGGCTGGCGGATCAACTGAATTCAAGACCAGCCTGGCCAACATGGTAAAACCCTATCTCTACTAAAATACAAAAATTAGCTGGGTGTGGTGGCACATGCCTGTAATCACAGCTACTCAGGAGGTTGAGGCATGAGAATCGCTTGAACCCCGGAGGCAGAGGTTGCAGAGAGCCGTGATCGGGTCACTGCGCTCCAGCCTGGGAGACAGAGCGAGACTGTGTCTCAAAAAAAAAAAAAAAAAGAAAGAAAGAAAGAAATACCAGTATGGATTCACTCTGAAAACATTTCCTAGATCTGTCTACCAAAATGCCCCAGGAGCACGACAAACACCCTAGCACCCACAGCTTGACTTCTAAATGTCATTCCCCATTACAAGAAACCAGAGCAGCTTGGAGAAATGAATCAATCCAGTGTGCGGCAAGGACACCCATGGTGATCCCATGACATTCTGCTGTGCTGGAGGCGAGACTGACCGGGCCACGGGGAGGACCTGAGCTAGCAGGAAGGGGCTCTCACCATGTGAACGTCAGAAACAATAATGACTGTAAACAACTTTTAATATGCCGAATGAATAAAACTATGAATCTATCCATACAAAAATATAAAAATCAAAAGCTAAGGCAGCTGGGGCTGGGAAGCACTGCTTCAGGATTCCCAGCAGCTTTTTGTCCAGGAGGCCCTTTGCTAGGTAGGAGTCACCACTGTGCGGAAATGCGGTTATATTCATCACAGTCATGCTCAAAACAGAAAACTACAAATAGCTTGCACACCTAACAAAAGAGAAGGAGGTACATGAAATGCTGTATATCTGGGTAACTGGAATCCAGCACAGCTGGGATACTGAAATACGTGCATGCTTGCTGACAAGGAGACAGGGTTTATGACCCTCTGGCTGCTGAGTGAAAAGAGCAAGTTCCAGTGACAGCACATGGAGGGAGCCGCACTTTTGTTTTTAAAATAGCTATGCACATAAGTAAAAATTATGCCTACAAAGACTATTATATTCATATACATCAAAATGAACCTTTTAAAAGTGGAATCATGATTTTTTTCCTTGAGTTTGAAACCACAGAACAGCTTTCTCTGGGAGAAGTGTGATCCTGGGGCTACAGAATGGAGCAGCAGAGGAGTCTGCACTGCTCCTGCAGCCTAAAAGGCACAGCAGTGAGAGAATAGCAGTGTCACCCAGTGGACACCACTGGGCCTGCTCGAGCTGACCCTTTCTGGCTTGGGGCCCCAGGAGAGAACAGGACTGATAATGCATCTCTCCCAAGTCCCCATCTCATCCCAACACCTGGGGCACGAGGGGCTGGGAAAGGTGTCCTTACCGGCTGCATGGTCCCCCCCGCAATGACCACTGCCCGGCATTCCTTCACCACTTGGGCAAAGTGCACAGCTGGATTCAGGAGCAAAAACTTCAGGGTGCTCTCACTGAGGCTGCCTGGAAAAACAGATCGGTGGGAGGTGAGTGCAAGCCCAACAGACACTTCTATCGTCCCAGCAAAGGGGGTCCCCCAGGTGAGTCCAGGTCTGAGGCACAAGTGCTAGTGCTTTCTCTTTAAATTAAACACCATTTAATCTCTAGGACAACCAGCCCACAGAGGTGGACCATACTGTCCTCTCCATCTCTCTCTTTTTTTTTTTTTTGAGAGGAGTCTCGATCTGTTGCCCAGGCTGGAGTGCAGTGGCTCAATCTCGGCTCCCTGCAACCTCCGCCTCCTGGGTTCAAGCAATTTTCCTGCCTCAGCCTCCCGAGTAGCTGGGACTACAGGCACCCACCACCACACCCTGCTAATTTTTTGTATTTTTAGTAGAGACGGGGTTTCACTGTGTTAGCCAGGATGGTTCTCGATCTCCTGACCTCACGATCCGCCCCCCTCAGCCTCCCAAAGTGCTGGGATTACAGGCGTGAGCCACCGCGCCCGGCCTATCCTCTCCATTTTCATATGAGGAAACTGAAGTTGAGAAAGAAAATAGTCCAAATCACAAGGCTCATAGATGACAAAATCATGACCCAAACCAAAGCCCACCTACCCCACAATACAAGTTTCCCTAGGACCCCTGCCCTAGAGGACCTCCATCCCAGCCCCTCGATCTCCTCCCGTCCACCTCCACTGCTTGCCCAGGTCACAGCAGGCCAGTGCCCACTGCACTGCTTCCTCCTAACCCAGGAAGTTCCCAGGATGGAAGGAAAGAATCCTTTCATGCTGCGGCTCCCGGGCTCAGCTTGGCTCCTTCCTGGGAACTGAACCTGGCCAAGAACCACCTGATTACCTTGGCGGCTCAGGATGACCCTGCCGTCCTGGTTGGCCGTAGTGAGAGCTGCCAGGAAGCCTTCGATGTGCATTAGTGGGGAAGCTGGTTGCGGGACGCTGGCCTGACTCTCGTCTGCAGGGGCTGCAAGAGCTGCACAGAGCAGAATGGGGAGGAGGCCTCCCTCTAGTCAGGTCCACACATGAGGAACAGAAGTCCTTGCCCATGCCTGCAGCCGGCTCTGCCTGCTCACCCTCCTGCCTCACCTTCAGTCGTCCTGGGCTGCAGGCTCTGCAGGAATTGCTGAAACCCAGCCAGTTTGGGCTGCTCCCGGGATGAGAACACTGCTCCGTACCGTTCAGTGAAGCCAAAGAGCTGGGTGGGATGAGAGAGAGCAGTGGAGAGGAACGAGGAACAGCCATGAGAGAGAGGCTGGGTGGATCGGAGGCTCTGCCAGGCTCAAGACACCTGAAGCGCACATCCCACCACCCCAGCAAGGCCCACTGCACCAAGGAGGGTGGAGACGAAGGGGACTCTGGAGTTCCCTGAGGGCAGGGGAGGAAAGCATGGCAACGGCAGGGGGTTGGGGCACAGCTGGGTCTTGTTCAGGACCACAAGATGGGAGCAGTTACCTTTCTGCTGATCATGCTCTTCTCACAGTATCGCTGCACCTGCAAAAACCAAGCCCAGCTGTAGGCATGTGTGCAAACTGAGCAAGCTGTAATCTTAAACACAAAACAAAAAACACCACTTCTACCACCCAGGCAGCACAACGCAGTGCTACCTTCTGAGGCACCTGGAGCCTCCTTGCCACCAACCTTGTCATCCCCTCTCCGAGGCCACCCCCTCCTCTACTGCCCCTGCCCACAACGCAGTGTCCTCCTCAGGGGGGAGACCCTCTTTCCAAATGTCTCTCCCAAGTCTAAGAGTGCCCAGTAAAATCTAGGTCCCCTTGGCTTTCCTTCCAGGTGACAGAGAGTTAAAACAAAGGAACTTCTATGAGCAAAGCCACAGAGGAGATGATGGCTGGGACCTGCTCAGGGGCTGGGGCAGTGCCACTCAGTCGGTGCATCCAATGTGTGTGGTTTGGTGCCACATCTTAGCTTGGGATGCAGAGATGAGGAGTTTGGAGGCTTTAAACCGGTTTCTAAAAAGAGCGACGTCCTTCGATGAGGATTCCCTCAATGGTGGGTGATGAGACCCGAGACCCATGGGAAGAAGGGAGAAGGAAAGCAAGGAGGGCAAAGGGAAGGCGAGAGAAGGAGTGCCTGCACCCATGTCCCAGCTGTGGGAGAAGCGCGGGGACGGCAGGACTGTCTGAGGCTGTCAGGCCTGGCGGCTGTCACAGGCATGTGGGAGACAAGGGGAGAAAGGCATCAAGGATGACGTGGATCCAGCCTGTCTGGCAGGGATGGTGGCAGTGACAGTGACCCAAATGTGTAATTCAGGGGAAAAGCTGGTTTTAAGAAAAAAAAGGCAGGCACGATGGGAAGAATGTGGGGCCCCAAGTCAGTGCAGCCAGGTTTGGACGCTGTCTCTGCCACTTGCTATTGGCTCACTTGTGGGAAGCCTGTGCTCGCCACCCTCCTGAAGTCACCTCCATGGGCCTGTTTGCTTTCCTTGCCGGGGCAAAAGGATATCCTAGCTCAGAGCACAGCACGTGGCATGCCGCCTAGAACAGAGGCAGAACCCTGTACCCAGGGGCAGTCACTGTTGCTGATTTGAGTTACGAGCTGGGGGTTCAGGCGGCAGTGGCCGTGTTTCATCTGGGGAGCGCTGGGTACACAGACCTGGAGCGAGCAGAGGTCTGAGGCTGCAACCACACCCAAGGCCCAAGTGCGAAGACGTGACAGGGGTTGCACAGAACAAATCAACGTCCTATTCCTGTCCATAAGCCTGAGGGAGACTGTGCCAGAAGATGGGGTGAGACAGCAAGGACCTGGAGTCTCTATCTGTTCTATGGGGCACCAAGAAAGGTCCCTTTCTCACCCATCCCTCATCCCTGTGGCCTTCACTCTAAAAGATGATGACTTTTGTCTCACAGGCGTGTTGCGTTAAGGGTTAAGTAATTACACGTCTGTTTTGCTTTTTCTTCCTTCTATAGTCTTAACATAGTACTCTACCCACAGGTGGTGACAGGAAGGAAACTGGATGTGGAACATGGCAAGGTGGAAACCTCTACCTTGAACAGGTTGATGTTGTCGATCTGGCTCTGGAAGAGAAAGTCGTTGATGGTCTTCAGCTCCGTCCCTGAGAACAAACACATGAAGGGCCTTGGGAGCTTCACCCTAAGCCTCAGGTTTCAGTCCCAGGGTTAAGCTCGGAAGTGGCTCAGATCAGCTCTGGGCCCTCTGAGGGCAACTCTCTTACCTGTCTGTGACAGACTCTGTGTATTGGGATTTTGCTTAATGTTCCCTAAAAAAGAGAATGGAAATAGGTCACAATGGTGGTTCTCAGGCCCCCCAACCCTTCCCTATCTTCTCTCCCTCCACACTGCACATCAAGTAAGAAGAGCATCTGTATTTGAACGGCTTTGTTTTGCTTTTCACTGTTTATAGCATGCAACGGACCCACTTAGAGGGCAGGTGGGTCCAGGAGCCTCCCACGTCTGACTCACGTGCTTGCACGTGGAACCCAAAGCCCTGTAAGTTCATGTTTTTCACCCCTTCTCCAGGAGGCCGGGACACAGCAGCCAGACCAAGGTATGCAGGGCACCGGAGCACAGAGGAGCTGCCCAGGCCACTGGTGAGCCTGAGGCAAAGCAGAGCTGGCGGCTCAGAGCAGCAACACGAGACCAGCTCCCGCCAGGAGCTCCCACAGGCTTTCTGCAGCTTCCACTTCCACAGACACCTTCCAGCAAGGGGGTGCCCCATCATAAAAGAAGGGGACGTGACAGGGTCACGCAAAGAGGCGTGGGAGCTGGAGTCAGAAGATCCCAGGCTCCCGTGCTGGGAGCAGCCCTTGCTCCGAGCTCTAGTTTATGCGTCTATCAACAAGGATTCAAATACCAGCACTGCGTTCTCACAGGGCACACAAAACCGCATATGCAAGTGCTTCGAACAACCCACAGAACTATGCCTATCACGGAAACACCGTGTGTCCATGTGATGCTGTATCCTTAATATCCCCCCAGAGCAGCGCCTGAAATAAAAAGTCCTCAGAACATGGGCAAAGAACCCATGGGTCTAAAAAAAGCTCAAGTCAGACAACTCAACTAAGCTACAAAGAACAAGAATTTTCTAAATCAATGACCAAGACCCTTCTTTTTTTTTGGTTCTTTTTTTTTTTTTTGAGACTGACTCTCACTCTGTCGCCCAGACTGGACTGCAGTGGCACAATCTCGGCTCACTGCAACCTCCGCCTCCCGGGTTTGAGCAAGCAATTCTCTTGTCTCAGCTTCTGGAGCAGCTGGGACTACAGGCCACGGCAACACTCCCAGCTAATTTTTTTGTATTTTTAGTAGAGATGGGATTTCATCATGTTGACCAGGCTGGTCTCAAAACTCCTGACCTCAGGTGAACCACCTGCCTCGGCCTCCCAAGGGCTGGGATTACAGGTGTGAGCCACCACACCCGGCCGACCCTTCTTAAAAACACAGAGAACTGAGGCGTCCTGATGGGCATCCAAGGAAAAAGCAGCCCGGTGGGTTTTGCAGGCCGGGGGTTAGCCGGGGGGCGAGGCTCTCACCCCCTAGCACAGCCACGAATTTCTCCAGCAAATACAGGATCTGCTTCAGGTACATCAGGTTCTTGGCCTTCAAACGCTTCCTGAGAAGAAGCCAACGGACATTAAGTGGTGGTGCCCTGATGGCGACTCGCCCCGCCCACCCCAGTGGAAGCCTTGCTGCCCGGTGCCTCTCAAACTGGGTCACAAGCTACAAATCCTTTCCCAGAGAGCAGGCTGGCCACGGCCCCAGGCCTCAGAGCCAGCGGTCAGTCCCCAGCCTTCCAGGTCTGTGTGCAGCACACACCATCATGTGCCTAGGACATGAATGGCATGCAGCTCCACCCCGCCACAGCACGGGCCAGAGGTGGGAACCAAAGTGCTGCCTCTCAGAGGCCCATGCAGGGGGCCACCAAGGGACTGTCCCACTACCTCAGAGAGTCACATCTCACCCGTATCGCTCCATGTACTGCAGCAGCTGGGAATGGGCCTGGCAGAGCTGGGGAAAGAACACAAACCAGGCTCTGAGCAAGCAGCCGAGGGCTAAGGTACTGACATCTTAGATTCACCTAGAAGATGCTAGCCCTGGACACACAGGAAGCCACCAAAGGGAGGAGAGGGGGCTGGGTGCAGACAAAAGGTACTGGTTTCCACAGCCCTTAGGCTGGTGGGAGCTAAGAGAAAAGGGAAGGAAGGGAAGGTTTCCTCCAGTGTCCACTGTGGGTCAGAGAAAAAGCAAGAGGCTGAATTCCTCAAGTATGGAATCTGCCTGCTAGTTTCCACCGGGTTGGGAAAAGACCTGGAGTCTACAAAGAGTGATGGTTCAAGGTCACCATCACATCCCAGCCTCAATTCAGCCCAGGCACAGGTCAGTAGAGCTGGTGGGATGTCGTGGGGGTTTCACAGTCAGAAACCAGTGGGCACACCCCAGCTCCACACTCATGAGCTGCATGACCTCAGGACAGAGCTTGACCATCTTTGAATCTCCAAGTTTCCAATGTAAAACAGGAACACCACCCCCATGGCAGAGTCAGCGTGAAGACCAGAGACACCTGGTGCCATGCATGGCGCATGATAGGGCAGCAGGAGGAGCCTGCACTGATCTTGAGCATTCCTCAATTCAGTCCCCTCCAGACAACTTCAGTAATGACAAAATCCAATCCTGAGGGGACTTCTGCCTCACACATGCCATCTCCCTGGCTTGCAGAACTGGCTGCTGGCATCCAGGGCTGGAGGGACTCAGGAGCATGGGGGCAGGTGAGGTGCAGGGAAATGAGGCACTCTGTCATAGCGGGGTCCCCAGAGTTCTGGGATGCACTGGAAAGCCATGGTCAGCCTCCGATGAGGTCACCGCCTTGACTCGTGCACCCTGTAGCAAGCCCCACCTCCGGAGGAATTCTTGGCCCGGGTGTCTGGAGGAACCATCCAAGTCCCTTTACCTCACGGCAGGCCCTGGCCTGGGGAGGGGAGGCCCACGCACCTGGGAGCCGCTGACCTCCACGCTGTGCATGCCCGTGATGGTGTCGATCAGGTTGTGCGCCTCGTCGATGATCACCACCTGGTCCTGCAGCCGGATGCCGGCGGCCTGCCGAGTGGCCGCATGCAGCAGCATCTGATAGGGCAGCACCACCAGCTGGGAGGGGAGATGAGGCCACCTGAGCAGGGCGGGGCTCCCCTGCAGGAGGCTTGCCTGCCTGACACTGAGCTCCTGATGTGAGTGCTTCTATTTCCTGCCTGGACTGTGTAGAGACGTTCAAAAAACAGCTTCTGACAACGGACAAGCTCTCCTCGAGTTTCACATGAAAAGCCAATACATGAAACACAGGAAACTAGGGCTGGTCTGACTCCTGAGTAAACCAAGGGCAGGGCTGGGTGAAGGGAACCCCTGCTTAGCCTTGTCCATGTCCTCAAGGTCGCCCCGGAGGCCCCCGAGTTTCCACAAAACACCTGAAGACCATCGGTGCACCAGGAAGCGGCCCCAGCTTCTGCTCCTGGAGCTGCTACTTCCCAGCTGTGTGACTCTGGAAGAGTTGTCTAACCTCTCTGACCCTTGCTTTCCTCATCTGCAAAATAGGGTTGATACATCCTATTTCAAAGTGAGGGTTAAGGCGTGGAGCTGGGGTAACAAAAATAAAAGCAACTCTGCAGGTCTTTAGGTGTTTGTTGTTAGGAAAGTTTCCAGTTAAAGGAATACTCATATAAAAAATAAAATATCGGAAAACTGAATGGCTCCATCACCCACGCTTGGTGAGAAAATATGAGTCACTTAACTTTTCTGGGCTCCAGTGTCCCCATGCACGGAATTTCACTGGAATACTATTAACATAAAAGCAAAATATGGTCAAAGTACTTTACAAATTCAAAAATCGTAAAGATTTTGGGCCATATTATGGTATTTGTGTATAAATGCCTATAGCACTAATCTTGCTCTAAAGGCAAACAGACCGGAGGGAAGGCCTGGGAAACCATGGGGCCTGGCAGCTTTCCTCAGTTTCTCTGCCAGCGCCCACACAGCTCAGCAGGTATGCTGGTGAGCATTTAGCTGCTGTGCAAACGGTTACTTAGTTCCCTGAATCTTTTAAAACCTTACATTTTTTTCTGGATTATACAGAATTTTCCACTAGTGATATCCCGTTTCCAAAGTCACTCAAGTTAAAGAAGTAGCAAGGAAATAGTGAAACTGCACCCACCAAGTAACAGTGAGATACTACTTTTCATCTGCTACATTAGCAGTTCTTCCTTCTGTTTAAAAATCAAGAGAAGTTGTGGCAGAGAAGACAGTATTCTCACGTGCTGCAGGTAGGTGTAAGTTAGGGAAAGCTTTCCAGTTAAGAGTACTGATATTACAAAAAGGAAAAACTGGAAAACTGAATGGTTCTATCACTGACATCCTCCATCACATCATAGGCATGGAAGTTGGGAGCATCACTTGGAAAGCCATTTGTAAATAGATGTATGCAGCACACTCTTCTCAGCTCCTGGCATCCCCCCTCTCCCTGTGGTTTCACTAGGAATGCACCGGCTTTCCTGGCTCCTAAATACCATCCCCAGTAATGCCAACTGGCCCTGCTGCCTGGAGACCCCAAGGGATCCCACGCGCCTCCTCCAACTCACGCATCAGGAGAGAATGGGTTAAGGTGCCATCAACCTGACCACGGTGGGGGGCATCCCCCAAACTACAGTGTGATGAGGACGCCCCTCATGGCCTAGACCACAGTGAGAGCCAAGAGCGGCTTTCTGGCCCTGCAGGGCCCTCACCTTGGCTGCAGGGATGGCAAGGCGGCTCCTGTAATAGGGACAGGCCCGGGCCTCCTTCCCAAGGGCCAGCAGCTGCTCCATGTCCTTCACCTCTGCCAGGGCCTCATCCCGGAGAAGGCCCATCTGCTCGTGGTTGTAGAAGGGGCAGGCTGCCTGCTTCTCCTGCCTCCTCCTCTTTGGCTTCTCCTCCTCAGCTCCTTTCTTCTTCTCTGAGGGTGGCACAGGCACAAAGAGAGAAAACAGAGAAGACAGCAACTGTCCACGGGCCCGAGAGGGGGTTGTGTAATGTTGAGACCCACTTCCACAGGGTGGGGTCTATAAGACCCTCCCAAGTACTGCCTACTGTGTCTCATCGGAACACTAAGGTTTTACTTTTGTTCTCCAGAAAGAGCCCGTAAAATCATCTCCAAGCCAACGATTCGGACCAGACGCTCACCCAGAGAGTAGGAACACTTTTTCCCAAGGAGAGGGGACTCAGGAAGGAACTGGGGTCTCCTCTGCCATTCTTTCTATGAAAGACACTGAATGGTCTTCAGTCACTGCCACCCCTGCCTCACTCTCTCCAGACCACCTGCGGCTACACCATGGTCCCGGTGGCTACCGTGCCTGCTTCTCTGCATGTCCACGCAGCGGTCGTTGATAAGCTGCACAGAACCTAGGCTTCTCACGTCTTCATTTACACAAAGGTTCTGCAACAAAGGAGAAAGAAAGAGGCAAAGAGATGGTGCCAGCTAAATGACATCCTACCAACACACGTGGACCTGCCCCCGCCACCTCTCCTTTGCCTTCCAGTGATGGGCCGGCCAGGCCAGGGAGGGGGCTGCTCCTCACACGGTTCAGCCTGTCACAGACCCAGCGTCTCCCAGGCCTGGACGAGCAGGACAAAGTTGTGGGGAAAGGAGCAGGATGGCCCCTGGTGGAAATACTGGCTACTGTTTACCTGCCGGGAGCCGAGGGAGACCAGCCGAACATCCTTGCCAAAGGGGCTCTTCTTCACCTCATGCACAAACTGGGCCAGCTGGGAGTGTGTCCGACTACAGTGATAAATCTAGCAGAGAGAAAGAAAGGCACTTCAAAGAGGGAACCAAAACATCCCACAGCATTCTCTAACATCAAGGCACGCCAGGGCCTGAGAGGCTGAGGGAAAGGGAGTGGCTCCCAATGCACAAAGCCGAGGCAGGACAGCAATGTCCCATGTCAGGCATCTATCGAGGGACCCAGGGATTCCCAAGTCACCCACAGCTCCAGAAGTTCAAGGGAATGCCCCACAGGCAGCTCCTTCCACGAGTCATATCCAGCACCACCCAGCAGGGACAGAAAACACCCAGACTTCAGCCCAGAACAGCTGTTCCTCTATGCCCTGGGGTGGCAAGCATGGCCCTGCTCCCAGGAAAGGTCTCCCCAGGAGAGGACTCCCCAGGCCCTGACCCCAGGAGAGGACTCCAGGGTCCACTGCAGCTGACCAAGGGAGCAACTCAGGACCAGGGTTGCGTGCAAGAAGCAACAGAGTCCAAGTGCTGGAAGCTCCTCCTTTGTGGAGAGGAGGGTGAGAAGTAGCCGAGTG
Source organism: Homo sapiens (assembly GCF_000001405.40). Classification (NCBI taxonomy): domain Eukaryota; kingdom Metazoa; phylum Chordata; class Mammalia; order Primates; family Hominidae; genus Homo; species Homo sapiens. The sequence goes on along the minus strand of NC_000012.12, from coordinate 9,297,904 downwards.
ACTCCAGCCTCTTCCCCAAGGGTACACAGCCCAGCCCACAGCCCCCAGCACAGCACCAGCTGAGGACACTCGTGTTACCTTAGTTATGTGTTCTTCCTCCAGGTCATCCTCATCCTCATCCACTCTGTGTGTGTGAGAGAGAATAGAAAACAGTCTTCCCTCAGCAAACTCAGCAAAACGCACTGAGCATCTGCTGAGCGCTGGTGCTGAGCCCTGGCCATTCCCAGCAATGGGTTCCACCAAGGTAGCAGGTGCTGCTTGCTCAGAAACTCCCCCAGGCAAATGCCAACCCCAACCTCCCGTGGCCGCTCAGGTCTGTGGGTAGGGAAATGTAAAAAGGAGACATGAGCTCAGCACCCCAAACCCAAGTCTTGAGTTGGAAGCCTCGGGACTCATGGCAGGCTGCTCTCCTCTCTGCCCTCCCTCCAGCAAGCTGGACCCCTCTGAGGCCCCAGGGGGGATATTTGCTCTTCATCATCTCGGGCCTTCGGATGTTCTGTGCCTGGAATGTTGTCTCCCCTCACCAGCTCCCAGTCAACTCTGAGATAGCAGCAGAAACATCACCTCCTCCAGGAAGCCTTCTTTGACCTTCCCTGGTAGGTCTGGCTGCTCTGACACAGATTCATGGCCCCTTCACACCCATCTCATTCAAAATTGCTTCCTCTCGGTCTATCTCCCCAGACTGTCATGTCCACAAGGGAGGACCCAGGTCGGCCTTGTTTCTGCTGAGTCCCCGTGGCCTCACCTAGAGCTTGGTATGCAGCAGGAACCCCATGACCATCTCCTGGATGAAGCTACAACTGACCAATCGAGTGAACAGAGGATGCTGTCACTTATGACCAGCTGCAACTCTTCTTTTGTCAGCGCCTCAGTCTGCCCTTTCCAGCAATGCGGGAAGAATCCATCAGCGCCAGGCGTTGGCAGGGAAGCCAGCCCTGCATCCCATGGCCTGAAGCTGAGCTAGCTCTACTAGTCTATGCTCCTCAGAAAACACAAAACCATCTGACAGGCACACGCCACCTATGGCAACATCACATAAAAAGAAAACATTTTTGTTCACCTCGAAATTCCTTTCTAACAAAGCAGAATACAATTGTCTTGGGCTATCAGAAGAGTAATTATTACAGGCTTGGCTTCATGGTCACTAAAGAGCAGGCGGCTCTATCTTAAAAGGCTTGGATTCAATCTTATGTCGCATGCTGGACAAAGCCAGCAGGAGCTCACTGAGAGGCTGGGTGTGTGAAGAAATGAAGAGCAAAAATTTTCTATTCAGAACTCAGGTCCTCTGAGGCTCACGTTATCTCCTGAAACGTGAGGGCATGGGAAGCCCCGGAAGCTGACCTACAGGATCCACGGCTCTTGCCCAGACCTGAAGGAGCACTTTGTTCCTCTAATATTCACCACCTTCATCTCCACTCAAGTTCTCTGCCTTGTCCCCATGGGCTCTAAGGGAGAAGAGAGGGAGCAGAAACACGACCTTGGAGGTGGGCAGGAACGGTTCATGGAGCACAAACTGTTTATGACCCCCTCTCACCAGCGAGGCATAAAGCAACACGGTGGTCTCTGCCCTGGGCAGGGGCAGAAGTCGAAGTCCACATGGGCAGCCTGGAATTACACTACCAGACTGCAACGAGGCAGCATCTGCTCATTCATGTCAACTCGATTTTATTGAGCACACCCCTATGCCAAACACTGGGTCAGCTCTGGGAACATCAAACTGTAAAGACGTGGTTCCTGCCCTGAAGCAGCTCGAGCCCAGCCAGGGAGAGGAGGCAACAACAGAAGCACAAGCAGGTGCGTGAGCAAAACAGAGCAGCTGACACCCGAAGCCACCAAGACGACACCTGAGCCAGGCCTTAAAGGAGAGGAAGACATCTGCCAAGGGAGGAGGGCAGGGTGTTTGGCCACAGCACGTTGCATGAGCAAATCCTCAGACAGGACAGAGGAAGGCCTGGTGCGCTGGAGGAAGTTCAGGGCAGCGGGGAAGCTGGCGTCTGGTGGATGGCGGCTGGAGGTGGCGTCAGAAGGCGCCCTGCAGACAGACCGTGAAGGCCGGGGATGAACCTTCAGGAATATCCACGGAGGGTCTCTGGTCTTGCAGTTACCCTCCCACAGATGTGGTGGCCAGGATGTCACAGGACACACGGGACTCATCATCAGGTGCAGCCCCCCACCCCATCCACATCACCATTTTGTTTTCCTTGTAGGCAAACATGCTGACTTCACATAGGTGCTATTTGTTTTCATGTCTATTAACTGTCCCCTCCATGTCTTCTTCCCTTCTACGTCCACAGCATCTGGACAGTGCCATACTCAGAGCAGACACTCAGGGATGGTGGTGAGGTTCCAGTGTGAATGGAAACGGGGCTGTCACCAGGGATCCTGTGGGCCCGAAATGGCCTGGGTGGCCTGCTCAGGGCTAAGTCACCCAGCAGCTCATGGCTCATCAAGTGGAAACCTTGAGTCTGGACCAACAGAGGCTTTATGGGAGAAGGAAAGCTCAGGCTAAGGACGCCTTGACGGTTGGCACCTCAAAGGTTACCCAGTGCAGTCAGCTGCCTCAGAGCCTGAGATGTAGAGCCAGGCCGGCTGAGTTCTAGCCCAGCTCTCCACTGCCGAGGCTTGTGGCCTCAGCCAAGGAGTCTCTCCTTGTGGGGCTGCAGCCTCCTTGTGTATAAGGTGCAGACACAAATGTTCCTGCCCTGCCTGAGCTGCTGTGAGGACAGCTGAGAGGACACAGGCCAGGCCGGTGACTGTCCTCACTGCCACTGGCACTCATGGACCCTAGGAGGGACCCGGCTTAGAGCAGAGGGCAGAGGCCACCATGCCTCTTGCCAGGTGCTTCATGGCATCTGTGGCATGAGGGAAAGAGCTGTCTTCAAGGGTGTCCCCTGGCCTGGGGCAGGGTAGTGCTACCGCCTCTGTCTCACCCGCTCGCCACCTTTTTCTCCTCATCACTCTCGTATTCGGCGAGGACCAGCTCCTCCTCCCCAGACTCCAGCTGCTCCAGCCGCTCGGCCTCCGGGCCTGTCTCTAGCATCTCCCTGCTGAGGCGGAGGAGATTCTCTGTTTCTTCTTCTTCCTGCCTCTGGACAGGGGCAGTGGAGGTGGGGAGGGAGGAAGAAGTCTCAGCACCAGTACCCACCTCCCCACGTGCCAGAGACAAAGCACACCACGCCCATTCACATAGGCCTGGCTGCCTGGCTGGAGAGAGGTCGACTCCTAGGATCCACGCCTCAACCACTCACAGCCCAGCTTCTGTACGGGAGCACATAGCCAGTGAGGGTCATGGAGGGGAGACCAAGACCCTGGCCACGCACCCATGAGCCTCCAAGCAGGGCGACCCTGCCTGGACATAATCCTGCCCCCCAAGAAATGAGGCTCACCAGGCGCTTGGCTGCATACTTGAGCTGCACCCTGTGCTGCAGCTGCTGCAGGCGTTCTTCTCGCTGCTTCCTCCTGGCCTGCTCCACCTACAGGAGGCAGACATGAAGGAAAATCACCAGGAAGCCCAAAACCAGGCCTCTCCTAAGGAGTCTGGGCCACTCAGCCCGGCGCCTCCTCACTGCGGGCAGCTCTCCTTCCCCGACCAGCACTCAAGGGCTGCCGCATCCCCTCCCGGGACCTCATCCCTGCAGGTCCCAGCCTCGCTGCTCACTGTGGAAGGCGGCACGCTCCTCCCAAAGCCACACGCTCTCCATCAGATCCATTTGCAGCCATTGAACCATGCTGCCAATGGCAACGATCAGGTCCTTTCCCAGGTGAGTAATAAATGGGCACCAACAGTTCCTTGTGTGGAGAAGGCCCTGCTGACCTCCAGCTCAAAAGAGACAGCACAGCGGCAGCACCATCGACCCAAGGAGCTGAGGGAAGAGCTGAGAGGCACAGCAACGGCAGGGGAGCATGCACTGCCTGAGTCTCGGAATCGCCCCACAACAATCGCTGAAGCCCTGTTTCCTCCAGCACTCCCACTTCCGGATACCCCAGGTCTCACCTTCAGTCGGTCCACCAGGTCCCTCTCTTCTTTCTTCTGCACAAACTGAGTAACCCAGGCCGGTTCTCCAGCAGGCCTCGGGGTGCCTGCAGCCCCTTCGCAGGAGGAAGACAGACACAGGGATTCATCTTTCTCATCATGTAAGGGGCCAGTTCCAGTTTCAAGGAGTCGTGCCTCTTCTTCACGCTTCTTCTGTTCAAAGTCACGGAGCCAGGAGAGGGCCCCACAAATAAGACTTAAGGACTTCCCCTGCAGGAAGAAAAATGATCTTTAGAAACAGGAAAACAACAAAGCCTCCCAAATGACCTTTCCCCATTTTAATAAAAGCTTGAAAGAAGGTCTGGCTGTACATAGGAGAGGATGCTCTAAGGCCAGCCTAGGAAAGGAAAGGAAGGAAACTAGCACTAGAATAGCCAGGAAAAACAGAAAAAAGGAAGAAATGGAAACTGGGCCCAAGAAGCAGGAAAAAGCTTCTTTAATTATCCAGCTCACTGTTCTGAAAACAAATTTGAAGCAGTTTATCAGATTCTATGTAAATATCGCACATAATTAGAAGAAGGGGAGACATTAGACAAAAAGTCCCCTAAAAGAATTAAGGCCCCAAACTGCTGAGCAAGAAATCCCAGGTACTCGCCAACGGGGAGCCACAGTGACCGCGCGGCCTTCGTGCAGCTCGTGCGTGGATACAGGATGATCAGTCACGAGTGCCAGTGTTTACGGTTTGTGTTTTTTTTTTTTTGTTTTTTTGTTTTTTTTTTTTTTTAAAGCAAACTAATCACTCTGGAACACCACTTTTTTTGTCTGTTTTTGAGAGGAGGTCTTGCTATGTTGCCCAGGCTGGTATGGAACTCCTCCTGGGCTCACACAATTCTCTGGCCTCAGCCTCCCAAGTGGCTGGGACCATAGGTGTGCGCCTCCACATACAGACTGGAGAACACTACTCTTGACTTAAGACCAGAATTGTCCATAAGCCTGATTGAATTGTATTCCTCCAAATTCCTGTGTTGAAATCCTAACCCCCAGCATCTCAGAATGTGGCCTTATCTGGAAATAGGACTGTCACAAATGTAATTAGTTAAGATGAGACTACTAGGACGGGACCCAGCCTAAAGGGCTAATATCCTTATTGGAAAGGGGACACGTGGATGCAGACATGCACAGAAGGCAGGCGATGTCATGATACCCAAGGAGAACACGCCCCTATAAGCCAAGGAAAGGGGCCTGAAGAGATCTTTCCCTCGCGACCCTCAGAAGGGACCAAGCATGCTGACACCTTGATCTCGGACTCCAGCCTCCAGCGCTGTGGGATGTCAGTTTCTGTTGTTTAAGCCCCAGTTTGTGAAGCTTTCCTCTAGCAGCCCCAGGGAACCAATACAGTTCTTCCAGAGAGGACCCTTCAGGGAGCGCCACAAGGAGGCGGCCCTGGTGTCCACAGGGGAACTCAGCTCAGGGGAGTCTCTGGAGGACCCCATGCCTTCTGCTCCAGGCAGTCAGCTCTCTGAGCCTGCTGAACCCAGAGGGGATCTCAGAGTATCCAGGGCGGGGTGAAACACCTCGTATGACTAGGGTTGGGGCAGCAGCGCGGCGCAGGAGTCAGAGCCTCAAACTCCACAGCCAGGCGCCAGGGTTCCAGCTGCCTCCCCTACCTGCAGCTCTGTGGCTCAGGCTGGCCTCACTACGCTTGTTTCCACGAGTGCAGAAATGGAAATGACAACAGTGGCACCTTCCTCATACAGCTGGTGCAAGCAGGACATTAACACACACAAAAGGCCAAATCCTCTGGATCAGAGGATTACCTGGCAAATAACAAGTGAGCGGTTGGAGTTAGCTAACTTTTTGCTATCATTAAGTAATAATAATAAAATTATTAATAGCATTATTCTGGAATATGGGATCTATTAGTTTTCACCAAAATCTTGAAAGGCCCTGGGATAGGATAGAATGACATTGCTGACAAATGGATGGATCCCATATTTTTAGGAAAGCCCCATATGTACCATTTCCCTCAGCTTTTGATAGAAAGTAAATGGCAAAGGGTTCCAGGCAGCATTTCCCAGCAGCACCTGGAGGGCGGCTCTTCTGTGCTGCCTGTGATATCGGAAGCAGACAGCTTCAGCTGTCACTGGGCTGGGAGACACAATGGTTAGAAAGCCAGTGCCCTCCATTTGAAAGTGAGCTGAGGAAGTTCCTAAGGGTATGGTCAAAGTTATCTTTCAAAAACAACCGTGGTATACTCCGGCACAACAGCAAAAGAATAACTGAGGCCCACTGTTTTCTACATCCTGTAATAAGACCACAAAACTTTTAGACTGGAAAATGTTAAAAGGATTTATAACCAAAGGCTCACCTTCCTGGGGTATCATCAACAGTTACATGATTTATGCCAAGATAAGCAAATTCATTCACTCTGAACACCTGCTGGTTGCAGCAAGCATGGGGCTCAGAGCTGAGAACACAAAGGTGCAGAGCCCCTAGAAAATGCTCACAGGTTCACATGTAACATACAATTCGAGGGCATCATAGATCCCCGCAAAGCATGCATTCCAGGTTGGAGGACTCCCGGAACTGCAGTGTTACACAAGGCACAGCACACACCAAGTGGTAATGGTGACTCAACTTGATAGACCTGTAGAAGGCTTAAAAGGTGACTATCAAGGATAAACAGCATCTCGGGCAGCTAAGGTGGGGCACCTGTGCATCCAAGGCGGGGAAGGGCATGGTAGGCACAACAGGTAACACAGACCCCACTCAGGGTGTCCCACAGCATGGCTGCTCCTATGGGCTGGGGGACACCCAGGACAGGAGAAAACACTCTATTCAGGAGATGATTTAGAAGACAGAAGAATGTCAAAGGTAATAAAGCCACAGGGTACATTCACAGAGAGTGCACACAAGAAGATGAAGCTATAGAACCAGAAACATCGACAATTAAAGGCTGAGCATAGGAGGAAGATGCAGAAGCCTGGAGTGCAGAAGACTGAGATGGAAAGACCTGAGAGGGAGAAGATGGGTTGTCAGGCTAAACAAGGTAAAAGGGGTCAGGTACAGTGGCTCACGCCTGTCATCTCAGCACTATGGGAGGCCAAGGAGGGAGGATTGCTTGAGCCTAGGGGTTTAAGACCACCGGCCTGAGCAGCATAGTGAGATCTCATTTCTACAAATTAAAAAATTAGTTAGGTGTGATGGCGCACACCTGTAGTCCCAGCTGCTCAGGAGGCTGACGTGGGAAGATCACTTGATGCCAGAAGGTCGAGGCTGCAGTGAACCATGATCTTAACACTGCACTCGGCCCTGGGCAACAGAGCGACACCCTGTCTCTAAAATTAAACAAGGCAGAATGAACATGCACTCATCTGTGTTCCAAAGCACACTAAAATTAACCAAAGTAATATGGAGGCTTACACCCACAAAAACAAAGAAAGTGGAAGGAGTAATATGTTTTAGGAGAGAGGGAAAGAAGGCAGAGACATGGAAGTGATTCGGCAGAGACACTCAAGCCCAAGTGTCCCCAGAGATCTCCCCCACTCATTCTCAGAAAGACTCAGGAAGTGGTAGGAACACAGCAGGCCACTGAAAACAAAGGGACGGGTTGAAATTCTGTTTAAGAACAATTAGATTCCCAGGTTGCAATCCCTGCTCCTGCTCCTTGCAGAACACAGGAAGTGGGCTCTAAGTGGAAGCTGAGCTAGGAGAGCCCTGGAGGCAACTGGCAGATTGAGGAGGCAAGAGGGAGGGAGAGGAGGGTCAGGCTGAAAGCAGGCACTGAGGGGGACTCTCCACCTGGATCCCCTTCCCCAGACCACCTCCCGGAAGACCGGCTATTGGGCTTCAGCGTCTGTACCTGCTGGGCCAGAGCTCAGAGGCACCTGCTCTGGAGAGACCGAAGACTCTAGGGAAAATCCCACAGATGTGCTGGCAACTGGAGGCCCCCAACAAAGGAGCCCAGCCTGGCAGCCACAGCCAGCCTGCCCTGCAGACTCAGCCTTTCTGTGCCCTCTTCTTCAGCATACACAGGCAGTCCAGGGCTGCCAGACGTTTGAGGAAAGCCTCCAAACGGACATATACCCTGATGTGGTGTGGGTGCGGCCGTCTGTCCCCACTAACACTCATGCTGAAATCTGTCAAGTCAGTCTGAGGAGCAACTAATTCAAATGACAGGGAAAGGATGGAGGATTCCAGGAGGGCTCCAAGGTAAAAATGGAATTGGTCACTGCTGTGGACTGAATTGTATCCCCACCAAAATGCATGTTAAAAAAAAGTTTTTAAAGAACAAAAACCAAACAAAAGAAGCTGTGTATGGTGGTGTGCACCAGTAATCTTGGATCTTGCCAGCCACCAGGTACTTGGGAGGCTGAGAGGGGAAGATCGCTTGAGTTCGAGACCAGCCTGGGCCACATAGTGAGACTGCCCATCTTAACAAACAAACATATGTTGAAATCCTAACCCCGCCATGTGACTGTACTACAGATCTGGCCTTCAAGGGTAAAGGAGGTCATAAAGGAGCAGCCATAAGGGAGCAGCCCTTGTCCTCATAAAAGAGAAAGAGACACCAAAGATTTGTTTTTCTCCTCCTCCTCTTTTCTTGCTCCACAGTAAGAACGCAGCCATCTGCAAGCCAGGAAGAGACCCCCTCCCCAGAACCAGAACCCTGCCAGAATCTGGATCTTCAACTTTCCAGCCTCCAGAATGGTGAGAAAATAAATTCCTGTTAAGTCACCCAGTCTATGGTATTTTACTATGGCAGTCCTGGCCGACTAAGACAGGAGTTATCTGTATGGAAAATCATATTGAGAGGCCACTGGATGATGTGGGAGGAACTGGCATAGGTATATTAAAAACTAAACTAACTTTAAAAGGGCAATTATTAACTAGAGAAAACAGAATATTAAGACATATTGTTCAAGACAAAATTATGTTCAAAACATAATCATAACGCACTGGTTCACTCAGCAGAGACTAAAACTTAGAATTATATTTGAAGGATGGGGAACCGGAGGGAAAAGAGTTGGTAAGAAAGCCATCTCATCTACCGTAATAGGTAGGCACCAATGACTTCAGCCTAATTTTTCTCAGACCACAGAGCTATGTTTAAGACTTTAGGCACGGTGGCTCATGCCTGTAATCCTAGCACTTTGGGAGGCCGAAGTGGGCGGATCACGAGGTCAGGAGACTGAGATCATCCTGGCTAACATGGTGAAACCCTGTCTCTATTAAAACTACAAAAAATTAGCCGGGCGTGGCGGCGGGCACCCGTAGTCCCAGCAACTCAGGAGGCTGAGGCAGGAGAATGACGTGAACCCGGGAGGCGGAGCTTGCAGTGAGCCGAGATCGTCCCACTGCACTCCGGCCTGGGCGACACAGCGAGACTCCGTCTCAAAAAAAAAAAAAAAAAAAAAAAAAAGATTTTAATAGAGGAAGCGACTATTACTCAGAAAGATAAACTGAGAGAGACTACTCTGCCCAACTTCAAACTATGAAAATCTCTGGATGGGCAAACAGGAAAAGCTAGCACAGCTGCCGTTAAGTTGTCCTTTTCAGTATCTCTCACTGTTCATACTCACAGTGCCAGTTGGACTCTCAAATATCCCAATCTTGCCAGCCTCCAAAACCCGGTACAGCTCTGCCATGAAGTCTTCCTGGATGGAATAGGGTGTGAAGGGAAAAGGAAAATGGATGGCACCAACCTTCTGTGTTTCATTAGCCATGGACCTAGGAAAAATAAATACAACATTAGGGAGCTCTCTCATGGTCCAGGAAGAAGTGGCTTGAAATCTGGAGCATTATTTAAGAGCAGTCTCCACACTTGTTACCAAATTTCTCCTTTTTTTCTGGGAAGCAGAGACCATGTTCTCTCCATCCTTCGCAGGTCCACATGAGGCCATACCAGAATCACGCACTCCATCTAGCGGCATTTAACGGCTGTAGCAGAATGCAGACCAGGAAAGCCCCTAAACCCAATCTCCCCTGCATTTCACCGTGGCGCCGATACCTTTCTAATGCCTCTACAAAAGGCTTAGAGCTCTCTTCTCAAAGACCAGCACCCCTAAGATCAAGGGTGTTGCTCATAATGACTTTTGCAGCTTTCTTCTCCCACGTCTCTGCAATGCACATTCACAAGCCGAAGCTACTTCACTTTATCCCGTTGTGAAGTCCTGGAAAATCATGACGCACAGGCAGAGGACCATAAGCACAGCTTGTTTGGATAGCGCAAGTTAACATACACGTCCTTATCTTTTTTTTTTTTTTTTTTTTTTCCCAGACAGAGTCTCACTCTGTCACCCAGGCTGGAGTGCAGTGGCGCGATCTCGGCTCACTGCAAGCTCGCCTCCCGGGTTCACACCATTCTCCTGCCTCAGCCTCCCGAGTAGCTGGGACTACAGGCGCCCGCCACCACGGCCGGCTAATTTTTTTTTTTTTTTTTTTTTGGTAGAGACGGGGTTTCACCGTGTTAGCCAGGATGGTCTCGATCTCCTGACCTCGTGATCCGCCCGCCTTGGCCTCCCGAAGTGCTGGGATTACAGGCGTGAGCCACCGCACCCAGCCTACACGTCCTTATATTACAAGTATCTTTAGTTTGCTTCTTAGTTCATCCTGGCCTCCATTTCCAGCACCGACCAGAGCCGCCACCTACTAACTTTTCTGGCCTCAAGACCTATGAGCTTTCTGTTTGGCTCCAGACAGGAGAGCTCTCTTCACAGCCACGGGGCTCTGGCTGAAACAGCTTCCCAGCACTGAGACCAGGCATTTCTCTTTCCTTGCTAGGCTAAGGTCTAAGAAAAACTCTGCTCCATGTTGACGTCATCTTTTTTTTCCTCCTCTTCTGAACCTAATTATCTCTGAGACAGTGATTCAAGGAAGAAAGGAGAAGTAAACGCTATCTGGAGGCCTGACTCTTCCATCCTGGTTCCCACACCTCTCTCTTTGGAACTCACTTCTCCAAGCTCTTTGCCAGGTCTGTCTCTTCTAAGCACAAATGTTAGTAAGTCCCAAACCCATTTTACTAATATTAGTAGATCGAGAGCCCATCTTTATAACTTTGGCCTCAGTAAGACTAGTGATAGTGTCACTCTACGAGGGGAAAGGTAGTTGCCATGATGCTCTTCGGTTTAGGGGCAATTAAAATGACTACAGATTGGTGGCAGTTTATGGATTTGCACAAGAAGAGAGAACTCACAGAACTAGCATTATTTTACCCTCTGTCTTTACAGAGGTATATTTGGCTGTTTTGTTAGACATTCTGGGGACAAGAAAAAATGAAAAAAGAAAAACATGACTACAGAGGTAGAGGAATTATTACAAGAAGGGTAATTAAAAAATATGACTTACAATTCAATCCTGAGAGAGGGGTATGTACTGAAAAAGCTTTAACACATGAAGGAAAGGGGAGGAAAGGTACCTAACAAATTTTTGAGTACCTCCTATGTGTTAAACACTCTACAGTGGTCTTTTGCTTTTATTATCTCATTTAATCTGTACAACACTATAAGGATACAGCTACTGGATACTGATGCTTACAGAAATTAAATAATTGCTCAAACTCACAGCTAAAAAGTGGAAAACCAGGGATTCGAATCCAGATCCAAATGACTGTGCTTTAGTGAAGCTCATCCAGTCGCAAGAGATATCCAGCATAAGTAAAGGGAGGTTCACTGAAGGGAGGTTCACAAACTGAGAGTAAGAATTGAAACTATCTGGGAAAGCCAAAAACAGAAGCAGACTAGAGCTGCAAGGCAGCTCGGACTTCAAGACAGCTCCAGGAACGTCACCAGCAAACACACACCCACGGGGTTCACTCTCCTGCTCAGCCAGGCGCCGGATACAGCCACAATCTCACTCCCTCAGCGCACTCGGTTTCTGCTTATCCCAAACTTTCGCTTACACGTGGCCTCATCAGCCCCTGGACCTTTCAGCTTCAGCTCCCACTGCCAAGTAAAAAGTCTTTATGTCTCCTCGTTCTGAATCCCAAGACAAAAAGCTGACCAGCAGCTCCTCTCAAGACAGAGCACTGGTCAGCCTAAGACTGGTCTGGCTCCCAGCCTCATCTACTCAGCTCGGGCCTTGCACTTGCTGCTCCCCTTGGCCTGGAGAAGGAGTCCTCCTCAATATCCAGGCTTTGGCTCACCTCCTCAGAGAAGCCTCTCCGGCTGTCTGGCCGCTGGACAGTGGTCAAACACCACCCCCACTCCTCACCCCCTAGCTTGCTCTAAGTCACTTTTTAAAAATCACATTACTCTGTATTTAATTTATTCATAGCTCTTAGCACCATCTGAACCTATTTATTCTTCCTCACTGGAATATACATTCCATAAATAGAGGAACCTTGTCTGTCTTGCTCTTCTCTGGCTCCAGGACTCAGAACTAGGTGCTTCAACACCTCATAGGCATTCAACAAAAATCTGATGAATGAATGAGGAGCCAGCCAGACATCGGGGCTGTAAGTAAAGGTTTCTCTTCCGAGGCTGGGTAACGGAGGTCCCATGACTTGAATACCTATTAGTTAAATGGCCAGTTCTTTAATGGTTTCAAACCGTTTTCAGATAACCCCACAAAAACCCTGTGTGGTATTTTTATAAGCTCTATTTTATAGAGAAAGAAACTGAGACTCAGTAAACTTATATGACTTGCCCAAGGTCACTCAGCAAGTGCTTGAACTCAGGATTTGAACCACATCTGCCAGACCCCCAAGCCACCTGAAACTTTCTATCTCCTCACTTTTCCTCCCACCAGGGTAAGTGGGATAAAAAAGACAGATTTGGTGACCAAACTCTAGAATGACAACACTAAACAATACAGAAGAAACGTTAAGTATTATTTCACTTCCCCATCAGTGGTAATTATGGATCTCATTATTCCAGAAGCAGCACAGGCTAAATCATAGAGGTTTAGATAAATCTGAGTATAACGGATTCACTAAGCCCTATTAAAAACATTTGCAGCGACTTGTTCAGCCCTCTTCAGGTTGGCTGTGTGGAGGACAACCATCACCTCCCAGTGCCAAGGCACACACCAGGACAGCAAAGCTCACGCTCATAAAACGAGGTTAGAGTTGTGAAAGCACTTCAGGAACATATTAGTTCTTAACGTGTTCATTTTCTTCAGTCCCCAATTATCACTCATTACCGAGTACAGACTATTGTTGTGGGCTCAGTTGTGTCCTCCCCACATTGATCTTGGACATCCCAAGCCTCTGGGACTGTGAGAAAACACATTTCTGTGTCTAAGCCACCCAGTTTATGGTATTTTGTCACGGCAGCCGGGGCTGACCAAGACAACTATGTGGCAGGTACTACCTACCGTATGGCCCTAAAATGTTTTAACTTCACACACCTGGAAAGCACCACAGCCCCAAGAGAAAAGCTTTTCCGCACTGCTGTTAAGCCAGGGCCACACACTGCAGTGCTGCGGTGCTCCACCAGCTGGAGGATGGCCTGGCCCATAATACCCGCATTCCCACCTTGCTCTGGCCCTGTGTCCCCTCCAACGTGCATCCTGAGCTCGCAACCTGTGTGGAACCCAACCAGCTGCTTATCAACATTTAAGTCCACTTTTATGACACTTCCGTCAACAATCTGGTCAACTGCACTCATCCCTGGCCTCCGTACTGTACCCTGCTCCGCCTCGATTCCCGCCCCGGGGGAAGCTAGACTCACGCAGCTAACTTTATCGGCTCTGGGCTCTGATCGCCAAGTTTAGGATCCCAGCTGTATCCTTGCTAAAGTTAGTATCGCTGGGGCTCAGTTTCTGTAAGAGACAGGTGGGTTACAAGCGCTCACTCACTGTTGCAGTGTCTTATCTACGTAACATAATCCATGAAAAGCTCAACACAGCTAGGCCAAATCTAAGACCCAGACACGCGGCTGCTGTTAATGCCGACTCCTGCGCACCGCGCCGTTCCACCGCAGGCACAACCTTCCTAGGCCGGCCCCGTCCCCACACAGGGGTTCCCGCTTGTCAATCACGCTGGCCCGGCCCTCCACTTCCGGAATGTTTTTCCGCTCCGGACGGGCCACCCACCTTTGCAAACAGGGGTCCGGTGCCGGAACAGACGCCCAGTTTGCGATTTCACCAGTCTGCCCTTCCTCGTCCCGCTGTTCCTCGTCCTAAGGACCTCTGCTGCCACACAGCACTGCGCTCACCTTCTTCGCCGGCAGAATTGCTACGCTGAAAGCCAGGCCCCGGGAATCAGGGCAAACGCCACTGAATTTGAAACTGGCGGGTGGCCTCAGTGAAAGGCTGCCGGAACAACCCCCGCCGCTGCGCATGCGCACTCCGGGACGCGCGCTAACACGCAACAGCCAGAATCTATTTTATAATTAACCCAGCAATATTTTCTCAAGAAATAATAATAAACTAGAAGAATGTAAATGAGAACCGCATTCTTTCTTACATTAAGTGACATTTTTAATGATTATACAGAATATATGTGTGTGTGTGTGTGTGTGTGTGTGTGTGTGTATTCATCTATGTCACTAACAAAAGAGAAAGAAGGCCCTGTGATCTGCTGATAAAACTATATAATTGACTCTGTTATGTGATTGCTTGTACAAAGACTGACTTCACATCATCTGAAGTTATTCTTAAGTCATTCTCCTTGAAATATTATTGCTTCATTCTATATTAAATATATGCATACAATTCAATTTATCCATTCATCTTTTTATATACTTTTAAGAAAGAAAAAGCAAGTGTTGTTTCTCATGGGCACATAATTCTTTTCATTTATTTATTCAACAAATAATTATTGAATGCTTGTTATTAGTGGATATACTTCTGAATAATAAGAAACAGTGAAAAACAAGACATCTCTGCCTTATATTCCAGAGAGGAGAGACAGGCAATAAACAAGAAATATAAGTAAGTTCATTTTATAACATGTCATAAAATGACAAATGTTATTTTTAAAAAGGCACAGCAAGGGAGATCAAGAGTATCATAAGATTGGGGTTAGACTTTGCAGTTTTAAATGCTGTGATCAGGGTAGACCTCATTGAGAAGCTGATAGATGAGCAAAGGTTTAAGGCAGTAAGGAAGTTAGCTATCAGAACATATACAGAAGAACAATACAACAGAAGATAATAAAAGGTGTGAAGGCTTCAAGTCAAGTAGAAAGATTCTCAACTGCCAAAGAAAAGCAAGGAGTTTAGTATGGCTGAGGAGGTGAAGGTAGGAGACCCATCAGGTTGGGGTTGTGGTAACTGGGGATCCCAGTGTTTGCATGTACAAGTATGGGACATTTCATTCTCCTGAGCAAAACTTCCATTGGTGATTCACTAAGAGCAAGAAAGAAGACTAGTCTGGATGACTTAGAATGAACACACCAGTGTTTCTGTAAATAGAATTATATGATTTGTAATGTGTTTGTGTATACGTGTTTGTGTGTGTGTATGTGGAATCTTTTGCTCAGTTCTATATTCATGGGATTCATTGACACTGATGCAGTTAACATTATTCTATTTCATTGAAAAACACTATAAAGTTTTAATTGTATGAATATGCCACAATTTACATATCCTGTTGTGGGACATTTGAGTTGTTTTCAATTTAGAGCTATTACAAATAATGCAACCGCAAATGTTCTTATACGTGACTTTTTGCACATTTGCTGTCACTCTCCTGGGTATTTATGTAGCGGTAAAAATTGCTGGGACAGAGGCTCTGTGGATGATGAATTCTAGTAGATAATGATGATTCATTTTCACAATTGGATGAGAGATTCGGTTGCTCCACATCCTCACTAAAACTTGGCATTATGAATCTTAACTTTAACCATTTTGGAGGATATGTAGAGATTTCATTGTGGTATTAATTTGCATTTCTCTGGAGACCAAGTACCTTTTCATATATTTATTAGCTATTTGGATGTTTTGTGTAAGGTGCTAGGTCTTTTTCTAATTTATTTCTGGAAGTCTTCAATATATTCTGGGTATAAGCACTTGTCAATTATATATACAGAAAATATCTTTTTCTTCTCTGTGACTTTTCCTTTCACTCTCCTAATAATGTTTTTAATGAATAAAAATTTTAATTCTAATATAAAAAGCAAGACTGGGCTGGTAGAAGATTATTTTCCACTAGGGCAGTTTCTAATAATATGTATAGAAGGAAGCGCCATTGCAGTATTGACTAAAGCAGGCTGGTGGAATTACAGCTCAGTTGACAAGCCCACTGGCCTGATCTCTGAATATTAATATAGTGTCATATTAAGTGTGAGTCTTTCTAATAAGACAAAAAGCACATTCATCATGTTCTTTTTATCATTTGTTCTACGTCTCAGTATCCATGCAGGGAAATACTTGAAGGATGGAAACGTAGTCTGTAATCTCCTGATTTTTCCAGCCTGTTCTCTGCCAGCCCAAGTATTCACAAGGATAGAAAACGTACAGGATTATTCAGCATATTAACATGGTAGATAAATTTTACAACCAATAATCCTGCTTTTTTTGTTTATGAAAAGTATTGCTATTCACATCCCTTATGTGCTAATACATGCATTAATTTCATTCCACATATGCCAATGATTCCAGCTCTGCCTCCCCCAATGTATACTCAAGTGGCAAGGATACTTTCGGTCTCAACCCACCCAAAGTTGCTCAATGCTTCGTAAACACATTTCTCTTTGAAAATAAAGTTGGTTTAGAAATATGTCCAAAGGTAATAATGTCTTTTGTAGAGTTCCTTTGAAAAGTAGCTTTATTTTGGATCATTTGAAAAATCTGTTATACAATTAATGTATCAAAACTATTCTCAATTACAAAGTCAACTTTTTTCACATATATCTCTTCTCTTCTAGTCCCTATATTTAATGCTACAATTACAGTCGTAACTTACCTTTGTCTTGTCTTTTTCATGAAAGTTTTTGTTGTTGTGATGACATCTCCAGGTTTATCGCTTTTGATAAACATATACTATTTGTTAGGGCGCTATGACATTTATCTTTGACTTTGACATTTGGCTAAAATCTTTTAGTTACAGTCAGCTTTGCCCTCAGTTTATGTCAGTGTCATTTCTGGGATCCTTGAAATTATGAATGATCAATAATCTTACGATTGTTGTAAGCAATGTTATAAAACCACTGTCATCATGCTGTAATATAATCAAGGCATAACTTATGAGTTGATTTTAATATACATTTTCTCTTTCAGTTATAATATGTATTTTAGATGTATCTTGGAGTGAAAAACGCCTTGCTTGTCTCTTACAAAAAGATAAATCAAAATATTAATATTTGCACAAATTCTCTTTTGCACAAACTCTCTTAATCAAGGCATCATAAGCCCATTGTAGGTATCATATACCCATCTGTCTTAAAACAATTTCTGGTATAAGAAAAACATGATGTTAGAAATTGATTCTTTTGGCCTGTTCTGAAATTTTCAGTACTCATACATATTGTAGAGGTGACAGAAATGATTACAATTCACATTTAAAATTCCCCTCTTCCCTTTTCCAACTCTTGTCAATGTTGTATTCCCCCTGAGAGTTCCATAAGAATAAAGCAGAAAGCATGGAAAGAAATACCAAAGTAGGGTTGTCTTACTTCATCTAGGTAACAAATATTCAGCACAACTCTTCATCTTAGAATTGCAAAGTGGGAGAGTCATCCCGGGAATATATATTAGTGAGTTTATTGAAATTAAAAATAATGCAACATTTTTTTCTGTTAGAAATAAGTCCAGTTTGACTGGTTATTTTGACAATAAGGACTGGCTTTGCAAATCAGGTTACTGGTGGAGACTTCCTTTAAATGAAATGAGCTAAATGTGCAGGTTATGGTTCTGATCAGATAAAAGCCTTTTATGAGGCTTTATATTGACAAAGTATATTAAAATAAATGATATTTCAAAATTTCCAAACTTTCTGAGTATATTTGGTAAAAGTTGTGTTTTTAAGTAAGAAAGTAATGATTGGTGGCCGTTTATAAGTCCTTTTAAGCCTTTATTGAATACTTTCTAGGAACCGAGAATAAGAATGATCATAATGGCTGATTTCCAAATCCTGTTGCAATTGACCTGGTTTAGCACTTTGCTTTCAATAAAATTACAGAGGACTTATCAGCTGATAGATAATTAAAAGTAATTTTTAATGGTTATAATGTGACCTTTGGCTTTTAACATGGAAGCCTAAATAATTAGATAACATTGTTATAATAGAACGTCCCCTATTTCTATTTCTCTCTTTATGTGAACAGGTTTCCTTAGTGCTTACATCTATACAATAGAAAACAGAATAGCAATATTCTAGAATTGAAATAGAGCAGGGTAGAACAAATAGAGAATAGATGAAACTTGTTTTAATCCAGCAATAAGCAATATTCATCCAAGAATACACAATCTTAGGGAGCCAGCTGGAATACATGATTTATTTCACTAAAAAATTATTTTTGAACAAAATGTTCTCATTTTTAATATCTATTAAGATTATAGCAGATATATAATTTTATAAATAGTATATTGATAATAATTTTAATGATAATGCAACCTAGAAAACATTTATTACTAATTAGAACTTTACAGGCTCAAGAATATTTTTATAATAATCTTTGATGATCTTTAGTTGCAGAAACATATAATAGGGCGATCAATAAAATATATTGAAGTATGCAACTCCAGGATAAAATTACCTGAGGAAGTAGAATGAAAATATAAGACCAAAAAGAAACAAGAGTGATATAAAATTTCCTGCTGGTGAAAAAAGTGTTCATGTGTGTTTTACAGGAACGGTGGTGGCCAAAAAAAATCACTGCAGTGTCTACATTTCATCGGATACATTTAAAAAGTGGTATTACATTTTATTTTTTAAACATCAGTATTATACTACACTTATTTTAGTGTAGACACTTTAGATGTCAAGTGTATGTAAGATATTACATGTTTAATAAAATTCTTTTAAGGAATACAAGGAAAATGTTTGAAGATCCCAAGAGTATAGAAGCCTTAGCTGACAGTGCTGAGAAAGTATTGTGTTTACCCTATAATGTCAAATGTTTCAAATGTATCAACTAAAATATTTTAATTAAAAATTAAAATGATAAAATTCTGATAATTCTTGAGATTTATTCTTCTATTCCAGAAGTTCAAACTGTGATGACAATTTTTGCTTCATACGTACAAAAAAGGATTTTATGTTTAGTCATTCAGCATTTGGTCAAATACAGGTTTGGTACGTATCTAAAAAGTATGATCATGCCTGGAAAAAGTGATATAGAGACCTCTTAAAAGTCATTTACTGCTTATTATAGGTTAATTTATCCCATATTAAACTGATAGAGAATAAGCACGTTTATGGTAATCTAGGGGTGAGGGTGGGATGTGGGAAGAGCTGGGAAGATGAGTGGAAGTAAGAGAGCATACAAATGGAGCCAAAATAAAGCAGAAGAGTTTTACAATTACCCAAGCAAGCATTTGTCGACTACAAGGGCCAACACAATGTATTACTACAGTTTATTCCATTTGACTTGGCATTTTTTTTAGCCATAGTTTATCATCATTGGAATTTTAATAGCTTACATATCTACAGTTTTGCAGTCCACCAAGGGTTGTCACATACATCATCTTTACTTCTCCATCACTCTTTCAGGTCATATAGAAAAGTGTATGTCAAGATCTGCCTAGCCCCAATTTAGAAAGGAACACAGTAAAATATTCCCCGTTCTCAGAAGTGCCTATTTCTCTTCACATCTTATTTTATAGTTGAAATCAGTTCTTTATTCAAAATATCCAGACTTCAATTTTATAAGGCCCTAGTTTTATTAATTTAACAATGGGACCTTTCTTATTTTCAGTGTTCCATAAAAATAAATTCTAACATCTGAATCCCCTTTGGAAAGCAAATAGGATGATGCATCACTGTTGATAAAATATTTTCTATCACTCAGGATAAAATTAAATAAGAATGTTCATCAGAGAGAGATCATTTTCTTAGAGAATAAAATAAATTAACTGAATTTATATTCTAGATGTTGAATGAATTAAGAAACAGTAATTATATATTACATATGTTGTTATACCCAATGAACTGCCCTTTTTAAAATAGTAAATATAAGAATACTTATACAGATCAAAAGTGAATCTTTCAAGCAATGGAGAGGTTGCTCCCAAACTTGTCTTATTTAAAATTCTATGACAGATTTCACTTCCTTGTTTCACTGAAGAGCCAGTTAGGATGAATCTTGGGTGAAGAATGTATGTTGTGCTCCCTAGACTACCAAAACATATTTGGGATATGGATTTACATTAATACCTCTTTTTAAAACTGCAAGAATATTGGTTTATTTCATCAAACCATGTAATTTGTTTTGTGTTTTCATGAAAATAGTTTTAAAACTGATTAATGACCTGAGCTAGTGGTAGCCTCAAACTACTATTTTTCAGGAATTTAGAAAATTTGGGAAAGTGGATAAATTAATACATATGGTCATGAAAATGATCTGGAATTGATTTTTTTATGCTGGAAGTAGTTAATATGTTACAAAAATAAATGATTGGCAGTTTACTTTCACTGCCCATCAGATGAAATAAAAACCAGTGAGTTGGAGCAAGAACAGGGTTAAAAGAATCGAGGGCTCAGGCTCCCATTCTGCCCTCTTCCTTTCTGTACCGTGATGGGAAATCAACTGCCCCCGCCAGTCTTGATCCTGCTTTTCCTGCTCCTTCCCAGTGATGCTGCAGCTGCTGCAGAACCATAAGCATTATTTCCAGAAAATTAAATTGTCCTCCTTTTTTCCCGTTCTATTATCTCTTTGATCTGTATTTCCTAATTCCCTACACAATTTTCTGCTGTCAAAAGGGCCAGGAAGTATCAGCAAGTCATTACTACTCATGTGGAAAGAGACATCCTCCAATTTCAGGAAAGTCACAGACATAAGGCAGCAACATCTATGAAACATTTACCAAAAAAGAATATAGAATTCCTACCCAAAAAGGGATACATTTTTTTATTGATTCATAAAATGGATTGCACGTCGTGACAATTGTGAAATGACTCAGTATCTGTGTTTTCCTCAAATAAGGGATTGCCAAGATGAATGTATGCTCTACAGACAAGCCAGGATTTGTGTGTCAGTTCACTCAATCCTTTGGCACACCTTTAGGAGCTGGCATTGGGTCTTGGGAATCTACAGATTAGCAAAATTCAGACGCCGCCCTCAACACCTCACAGTATGGAAAAGTAGAGAGATGGTGCACAGAGAATGAACTATAGAAGAAAAACAGAAGCAGGCATTGCAGGATTCTGTCAGAATACTTCCAAAGAATGACCACTCTTCATGAGGCCTGATGTAAGAGAGAGGGCTTCACCAAATTCTGCACAGAGAAAGTCACTTTTGAGATATGTGTTATGAAGCAAACAGAAGTTTTCTGGGTAGACAGGGACACTCAGGAAGAGAGAGAAGAGTGTGTACACGTACAGCATCCCCAGATGTAGTGTGTCTGGGTGCTTGTGAGAGGCAATTGGTGAGAGGAGAGTGGTATTTTCCTCTGGGTGTATATGGCAATATGTCTGGTGATTAGCCTGGCTCAGCTTGCCTCGTCTCCATCACCAAAGAGCTAAAGAAAGAAAAGAAAAGAAAAGAAAAGAAAAGAAAAGAAAAGAGCTAAAGAAAGAAAAGGCCCTGCTCCCAAGGTCATACTGAAAAGCAATTCAGCTTCTCCCCATGTATTAAATGTTATATTTTTCCTAGTTTCCTGGAACAAAGAGATCTGTAGTATCATCCATGCAAAACCCAAGACCGCATGCAGAGAGGTTCTTAATGCTTTCAATGATGATTTGTTGATTGATTTGCATATTGAAATTATGAAATTTTTATCCAAAATATATAATAACTCATGGATTGCTTACCCATGGCTATTGACAGCTTTGCTAATATTATGTGGGTGAGTACTTCACAACAGAAGAGAAGCATATCTGGGGTTTAACTTCTGGTTTTCTCAGTTCCTCAGATCTTTTGGGTTGGCCTTTGGAGAATACACTCCTGCTAAAATCTGTCTCTGTTCTATGATTGGTGACAAAAGCAAAGATTATTTAGAAAATGGCCATAATAATGATGTCTTTTTGACCCCTCCATAGTTAATCTGGACTTCTCCCCTCCACAGGTAGTACCTAGTGCTGGTCCCATCACACCTCTACACTGGAGTTCCTGAAAAGACCTGTGTCATCCTTAATCACCTGAATGAGATGGTGGCACTGAAAGTAACTCTGATGTACAAAATGCAGAAGAGATCCCTCCTCACAGACCTGGTGACGAAGAGGAACTATTTCTACTGCAGTTCCTTCATGGTCAGTACTGATCCTTGAAATAAGGGAGCTGGATAGAGAAAGAGCACATTAGCTGATACCTTTGGTTCTAATCCTTTGAAAATAAAAAATGCATAATGAAAGAAAAATAAGAAGTACAGAGTGAATCTCAATTTAGATTTTAAGAATGGAAGTTCTACTGAATATGCTCACAGCTTACATGATATTTACAAACAGAGTGCCATGCATAAAATTTAACAGTAGTTATAGAAAGGATTTAATCTGATCTTAAACTTCTGAGGTAAATAATATTCATACCATTACAGATAGAAACACTGAGATTTATAAAGTCAAATAACTTATCTAAGATCTCACCAATGGTTGATAGTGGATGTATTGTCCTTTTAATCTTTTACTACTTAAGGTATTAATTGTTTAATCATATGTAGTTACCACAAATAATAACATAAAATTTTTTTTGAGACAGGGTCTCTTTCTGGCACCCAGGCTGGAGTGCAGTGGTGCCATCACGGCTCACTGCAGCCTTGACCTCCCAGGCTCAGGTGATCCTCCCACCTCAGCCTCCTGAGTAACTGGGACTATAGATAGGCACCACCATGCCTGGATGATTTTTTGATTTTCTGTAGAGGTGGGGGTCTCACTATGGTTCCCAGGCTGGTCTTGAACTCCTGGGCTCAAGCAATCTGCCCACCTTGGCCTCCCGAAGTGCTGGGACTATAGGCATGAGCCACCGTGCCTGGCCAGATAATATATAATGTTGTTGACCTTTGAAAAATAAAATTTAATAATTATTTTAATATCACCATTTTGCTGTGAAAATGCAAGCATCCCATTTCAGTCATAACTGGCTTGAAGAATTAGCTCATTTTATTGCAATATTTTCTCCTTCAATCATGTTACTGTCATGTTACAACATCATAATAATCTACTTTTAAGACAAGGAGCATTATCCTTGACTTTGTCCCTTACTAATTCTCAGGGACTAACCAGGAAGACAGAAACTCCTAATGGCTGAGAAATTCAGAAGTAAGTCTGGGCAGATTCTTCAGCTCATTTCTGTTTTACAGATTCCAGAATTACCATCTTCCTGGGTGGTCATTGCTGTGGAGGTAGAGGGGGCAACTCTGCATTTCACAAAGAGCAAATCAATATATATAACTACAGCAGAGAACCTAGTCTTTGTCCAGACAGACAAACCCATATACAAACCAGGACAAACAGGTATGAGGAATCAAATGAGCAAGGGGAACTTTGGGAGAGGGGAGGAGCTTCTTTATTACTTTATTCTGCAATCCTGGGAATTCAGGCATGCTATTACTACCCCAGGCTCCACGGGGTGATTTCACAGGAAAATACCTCTGTTTCAGTGAAATTCCGTGTTGTCTCTATGGATGTCAATTTCCACCCTTTGGATGAAATGGTGAGTCTCGTAATGATGGGTGATGGCTGAGGGAAAAAGGAAGGCCTATTCTTTTGGGAAACTTGAGACCAGTTAAAGAGGTATTTTAAGCCCACCACATGAAGATCTCATAAGGGTATCTCTGCTAGAAGAATAAGGGATGTCAGAATCAAGGCACTCCATAAACTGCATTCTTAAAATGAATTCAGTATGCAGTTGAAGCTGTCCTCTTAAAGATTCCAGTTACTTTCATTGAATAAATGTGTGAATTTGATTTCCCTCTTAAACAAATATAATCTGTGAAATAATAATAAACTTATTATTCGGACCTTTTTATCTAAATAGGTTTCCTCAATTGTATGTTATTTAACAATAGGAAAGTCATGACTTCGTGAAAGATGTATGTCCCAAACTAAACATACAAAGTGCTGTGAACCAAATGGGGTATTTCCTCATTTGGAATATAGAGACTTACTTTCTCTGGCCCATATACTCTGTCAGTGCTGGTGTCATGGTTTTCTCCTTCTATATTCTACCATGTGCTCATACTATCTTTTTTTCTTTTCAGTTTCCGGTGGTTTATATTGAGGTAAGTGGTATGTTGTACATTACAACTGGAATGAGGACTCTCTACAAGTTACATTAAATTGCCTCTCTCCCTTCCCTCACCATTTCACCAAAGCTAAACAAATACTGTTTTTCTGTCCACTTTAAATTCTAAGTGGATAACATGTAAATGCAGGAACATTTCTTGAGATGATGCAATTTAGTGACTCATCCAATATTTCTGACCAAAATAAATATACATAATACCAAAAAGAGGCATCAGTACGAAATGTTATCTGTAATATCTCATAGCTAGTAAACTTATTGCCCTTATCTCAGGTTGGAATTCCTATAAAACTTTGCTAATACCTTTGGGCCAATTTACCAACCATCTGTGATACAGCTGCCTATGTCGTTCTTACCCGCAAAGCTGCCCTTCTACTCAAAGGTATATATTTCAATTGTTTCTATGAACTCATAATATTTTTACCTATAGGACCCCAGGAAGAACCAAATTTTCCAAAGGCAAAGTCTCAAATTGCAAGGGGGACTCAACCAACTCTCTTTCCCGCTATCAGTGGAGCCCATTCTGGGTTCCCACAAGATCATGCTGCAGAGAGAGTCAGGGAAGAAAATACAGCACTCATTTGAGATGAATGAATATGGTAAGAATGCTCTATGTGTAAGGCATTTATAACGTCAGAGTATTTAAGATTAGATAATTTTTACATATAGGTAAGAATCAAAGGTCTAGCATACAATAGTTGAAAATTAGCAAGCTTTTAAATTTACCCATATATTTGCTAAGTGCTTTTTATGTACTACCTCATTTAATTCTCACAATGCCCCTCTGGGACAGATACTATTATTATTCCCATTTTGCAAATGAGCATATCAGTACTGGAAAAGTTAGTAACTTAAAAAAATCACAGAGTCATTAAGGGGTAGGAAAGATTTGAATTGATACTCAAACATAAATTGTTAACCAATACATTGTGTCAGCTACATACACTATGTATGTTTTTTATATTTTATAACTGAAAGTATTTCCAGGGATTATTTTATGGTTGTCTATAACCTACACCTATACTACTCTAATCAACTATGATTCCTAAACCATATAATTTAGTAATCAACTAAACTATAGTTCAACTAAGTATGGTAGTCAACTAAACTTTAACACAATTGATCTAGTCAGTACTCAACCATAGTTGATTACTAAGTCAGACATTGAAGCCATCTTATTAGTTATCAGTTATGTGGATTTTGTAATGTAAATTAAATATTTTATGCCATGGCTGAGAAGTCCTATCACAAAACATGGTTCCCAAAACTCGTCAGAACTGCCATCAAAATCACAGAATAGTATTATATTGTAGGAATAACACCTTACAAAACTGTGAGAGAAGCTAGAAAAGTAAGAGGCCATCAGGAGGAGTTGACAGGTGAGAGAAAATTACTAGCCAGTTCTGAAGCATGATTAGGGGTGTATAAATGTGAGCTTGCAAAGGTCTGGGAAGCGAGGGACCCTCAGCTGCCCAAGTGCACCAACCATGCAGAGGAGCTGACAGAAGAATCTGTGGAAGATTATTACCTCTGCACTCTGCATAGCTACCACTTTAGTAGGCTTATAGCCAGGTGTCAGATGATGGGCCTCAGACCTCTGTTAGTCAGCAGGGCTGGCATTTGGGAAGAAGAGCTGGGCCTAGGGAGGGAAAGAATAAGAATACATTGAAACCTATTGGTCCCTCTTTACCACATCTAACTGTGATGATCTTCAGGGACTAATCATGCTGCCTTCCCTCTATCTGGGAAATCTGGCACAAATTCAGAGAAAGAGAGTCTAGGGAATGTATTATCAAGTTAACCAAGTGAACATAGTACAAACTGCTCATGGTAATGAATGGCTTCTCCTTCTCAGTATTGTCCCTGGGCTCCCTGTTGTAGCTGAAGTCATTTCATGTGACCACATGTTAAAGGTTCTGTCATAGCATCTACTACCAATACTTGTAAGATCTCTGGCCCACTCTCACCTTTTTTTTTCTTTTTTATCAAAACAGTTTTGCCTAAATTTGAGGTCCAAGTAAAAATGCCCAAGGTTATTGGTTTTCTAGATGAAGAATTTGTGATAACAACCTGTGCCTTGTGAGTTGCATTTTTTTCATCTCATTTCTATTTCTGTACTCTATCTGAGGGGAGGTATTGTAAATAACAGTTACTGAAGTTGGAAGTGTTTTAATTAGGAGAGGAATACCTCTCTTTGTAGCTTGCCTAAGCTCACAGTAGGGAGCAGGTACAGTAGCAGATGACACACATCTGCTAATCATAAAATCATTTACTGGACATTTAAAATGGGCCAGACAATGTTCTAATTGGCTTGTGTGTACTAATATTTTTATTCTGTAAGTAATCCTATAAAAAGGAGAAGCTTGGGGAACTGACCCTACACCTTATCTGCCCCATCATTTGGGCTAAAGCAATAGGTTTCAAACGTCAGTGTTCAACAGAATCTATGGGGTGGGGAGTGTGCTTACTTCAAATGCAGATTCTCTGGCCCCATGTCCAAAGATTCCAATCATACATCTGAGGAAAGTCTCAGAAATCTGCATGTCAACATGTATCCCAGATCGTTTCAATGCTGGTGGTCCACAAAACACGTTTTGAGAGACAACAAATTAGTTATGGCTTTGTGTCATTTCCTTCTATCATATTAGGCAGAATCAAACTGAGTCATGATACAACATTTTTGTTTTATAGCTACTACTTTTCCATCTAACTTCACATTTATTTTCTTAAAGTACCTATAAATCAAGGAGAACTCAGAAATACACTCTCTACATAGTCTTAATATGTTGCCCTAAGACAATGTAGGAGGTGTTGTCAAAGCTGGAATCATGACCTAGATAATCTGACAGCAGAGAAAGAGGGAAATAGGACCATCTTATAGTAAAACCGCAACTAAGAGGGAAGAAAGATCTGAGAAAAACTAAATTGGTAATTTTCCATTTGGAGCTGTTTCAAAAAGATTCTTCCAGTACTTTTTCTGAGAGTTATGGACAATTAAGACACGGCCTTTCAGAAGAAGGGTTTATAAAATGGAAATAATATGGAAGGTAATACAACAGCTTAAGGTGGATGTATGAAAGGATCAAGTCAGTTGAAGAAACATCAGTATTATTTCCATTAAGTAGCTTTTCGCATGGCCACCTTATTGTTATAGGTACACATATGGAGAGCCTGTCCCTGGTCTGGTGACACTTAGTGTATGCAGAAGATATTCACTATGCCGTTCCGACTGCCACAACACACATTCACAAAGTATCTGTGAAGAATTCAATCAACAGGTATGTGGAAACCACTCTCCTCAGGACACTAATACCAAGGTTTTCTCTTCTCATGGATTACAATAGTGAATACAATACAACAGAGAATAGTGTTTGAAATACCCATCAAGCAAAATGGTGGAGTGGGGGAAAATTGTAAGATGGTCTGGCAGTGTTGGGGGCTCACTTGAGGGTTGGGCTCGTGGGTATCTAGTGGTATTTATCTGGTTAGTTTGGTAATGTCCTTCCAACGGCAATCCAAATGCCAGATATAAGGGCATAAAAGGATGTGGAAGGATCCAGAGTTGTCTTTTATCAAACAGAAAACAGAAAAATGTGTGTGGCAGGTGTTAAGAATTTGGCTAGTGGGAGAATCAAATGGAATGTCGTGGAAAGTAAACTGCGCTGGAGGAATGTTAAACCAGTATAAGGCTGAAGGAAGGAAGGCTTCCAAGGACAATGGATTAGATGCCCAAAACACGTCAAGGAAGAAGTGGAATAAGAATAATTAAGGGGAACAGCTGAAAGTAGAATGTGATGTATTAAAAAATAAAAGGCAAAAATTACTGATTCCAGAGGCAGAGTATGTAAAAAGTCCAGGGTGTGGCAGTATGAGCAGACCCTGTAAGGGTGACGCAGGGCAGGTAAGCTCCCAAATGGGGTTTTAGCCCAAGAGGGTTCTTTTCTTCACCCAGGAAAGAATTCAAGGGCAAGCCAGAGGTGTTAGAGACAGCAACGTTTATTGAAGCAGCAGCGTACAGCAGCAGCAGAGGTACTGTTCCTTGCAGAGCAGGGCTACCCCATAAGCAGTGTGCCCATAGTAGCAGCTCAAAGGGAGTACTGCAGTCATATTTACACCCATTTTAGTTACATGGAAATTAAGAGGCAGATTATGCAGAAATTTCCAGGAAAAAGTGGTAACTTCTGGGTTGTCAGGCCATTGCCATGGAAAGAGGCATTAACTTCGGGTGTCGCCACGGCAATGGTAAACTGACATGGCACACTGGTAGGCACGTCTAATGGAAAGCAGCCACCCTGCATCCCTGTTTTAGTAAGTTCTCAATTTGGTCCGGTGTCTGAGACCTGCTTCCAAAGTTGAGTCCCACCTCTTACCTCAAGGGTATGGAAAAGAAAGTTATCAAAGCTGCAGAGAGCAAATGAATGAGAGGCCAGAGTAACGAATATAATAATGAACACCAAGGCAGACACTGACAAGCAAGATACTATAAGAGGAATCTAGCTGCCCAAATCTGTAATGTATCAGGGAGACTAGTATTAACTTCTGTTTTCAAGTGAGTCATGACATACATCTATATAAAAATAAATTAATATGATTAAATTTATTATGCAATAAAGATTTTCTTATAAATAAATTTAAAATGAAAACAAATCTTTATTAAAACATGTACCCCAACATTTAGTTTGAAAACTTGGTTATGGTGAGGATTCATCTATTTAATAAATGTATATATTCCTATTAATATCCTAGATATTGAGAATATACAGTTAAGAACATAACAATCCTGGCTGGGTGCAGTGGCTTACACCTGTAATCCCAGCACTTTGAGAGGCTGAGGTGAGAAAATCGCTTGAGCCCAGGAGTTTGAGACCAACCTGTGCAATATAGTGAGACCCCTGCCCCTATAAAAAATAAAATATCAGCCAGGTGTGGTGGCACATACCTGTCGTCCCAACCACTCGGGAGGCTGAGGTAGGAGGATCACTTGAGCCCAGGAGGTTGAGGCTGCAGTGAGCCATGATCATGGCCACTGCACTCTAGCCTGGGTGACAGAGTGAGACTCTGACTCAAAAAAAGAAAAAAAAACAAAACAAAACATAGCAATCCTTAGTCAATATTTATAGGAATGAAAGCCTTCTCAGAATATGTTATGTCTGAGTTAAGTTTTGAGGAGCCTAACTGTTGGCTACGGTAAGAATGGGAAAAAGAGAATTATCATTTGAGGAACAACACATGCATAGAGATAGAATTATGAAATACCATGGCACGTTTGGAAACTCTAGAAAGTTGAATATGGCAGAAATGGAATCAGTTTTCAGAAGAGAGGGGAGAAGCCAAAGGTTGATAATGAATAAATCAATGATGAACGAAGAAACTTTATGTCATTCTTGGGCTTGGGAAAAGATAAGCACCAAAAGAATGGTCAGAACATTTGTTACATTTATTTTTATGGCCAGTAAAAAAATTCTCATAAATTGACAGCTGACTTTTTAAGTAGCAAATTGGAAGACCTGAGAATTCTCTTTCTTTCTCTTCAGGCAGACACTGAAGGATGTTTCACACAACTTGTAAACACTAAAATATTTCAGCTGAGACAAAAAGAGTATGACATGACGATACATGTCAAAGCGAAGGTCAAAGAGGAGGGAACCGGTTTGTATTATTTTTAAATATTTATTAATGTGATACATATTTATCAAACTTCCATTCCATGTAAAACACTTTATAGTTTCTGGAGATTATGAAAATAACACGGTCCCTGCCCTCAAGGAATTAGGCACCTAAAAATAGAAATTAAGTGTGTGTGTGCACATAGCCATAATAAAATTTCTGCAAGAAATACAAAAAAGGGCCAAGTGAGTATGAAGAGAGGTAATTAATTCTAGTATACCTTCTAGAGCCCAAAGAAAACCTTATTGCTAAAATAGCATTTCAACTGATTTATATAGGGTAGGTAATACTTTGAAAGATTAATGATGGAAAGGGAAAACGTGATAAGCATCAAAAACTATGATCTCAGAAGAATCTGAAAATGGAGGCTGGTGCTAAGCTGTGGAGAAAAGTAAATCATACACTAAAGAGTTTAAATTTATTCTGAAAAGCTTGGATATCTTTCAATATATTTGAGAAGAATCGTCTAAATAAATTGATATTCTTAAAAGGTAAGTCTAGCAGACCTGAAGAGGATAGGCTAGATGAAAAAATGTGCTACCATGTGGTACGTCAGACGATTAGTCAAAGGTGACCCCAAAGATTCCAAATTTGGGGCCTGGGAAATGGAAATACCATTAACCAAGATAATGAGTCAATGAAAAAGAACTGTTATGATGAGATGTGTTAAAAATAATTTTTTTTTTTTGAGATGGAGTTTCGCTCCTTGCCCAGGCTAGAGTGTAATAACTCGATGTCGGCTCACTGCAACCTCCACCTCCCAGGTTCAAGTGATTCTCCTGCCTCAGCCTCCTGAGTAGCTGGGATTACAGGCATGCGCCACCACGCCCGGCTAATTTTGTACTTTTAGTAGAGACAGGGTTTCTCCATGTTGGTCAGGCTGGTCTCAAACTCCCGACCTCAAGTGATCCGCCCGCCTTGGCCTTCCAAAGTGCTGGGATTACAGGTGTGAGCCACCGCGCCAGGCCAATGTTAAAGATAACTACAGCTTGGAATATCAAAACGGAAGTGGATGTATTTAGCTGATAATTTTAAAACAGAGCCAGAGTTAAATTAGGACCAGAAATGTAAATCTAAATCCATTCTCGTTGTGTCTATGTCCTCTTAAGAGTGAGTGCGGCCGGGCGCGGTGGCTCACGCCTGTAATCCCAGCACTTTGGGAGGCCAAGGCGGACGGATCACGAGGTCAGGAGATCGAGACCATCCTGGCAAAACACGGTGAAACCCCGTCTCTACTAAAAATACAACAAAATTAGCCGGGCGTGGTGGCGGGCGCCTGTAGTCCCAGCTACTCGGGAGGCTGAGGCAGGAGAATGGCGTGAACCCGGGAGGCGGAGCTTGCAGTGAGCGGAGATCGCGCCACTGCACTCCAGCCTGGGCGACAGAGTGAGACTCCGTCCCAAAAAAAAAAAAAAAAAAAAATAGTGAGTGCAAATGCTCTGAAAGTGAGCTCATTTAGCACTGCTAAATTTAGGATAGAGACAGGACAAAGAGGCGTCCAAGGACAGAAACAACTGCATTTAGGAGATAGACAGTAACAAATAAATCAGCATAATTAAATAAGAAGCCAGAGAGCTGGGGCAAAAACAACGAGGATAATTTTTTAGAAGCCCCTGGAAGGAAGAGTTTCAGTGGTACTTAGTGTGGAGTACTACCGAGAGTTCATGTACAATGAAGTCTGAGATGAGAATTCGATATGGAGGGCAAGTAGGGAATCTTTTAAGAATTTGATAGCACTGTGTTTTTGATAAGAACAAGATACAGAGTACACATCATTGAATGGAAAAGCACCAGGTGTTCACTATCCTTTGGATAGCTCACGCAGGGAAACGACAGGTCTTTCTGGAAATAAAGTTTGTATTAGAAATTCAAGCATATTTTGGGCCAGTGTGATTGTGAAGAATCCAACCATGTACAGAAAGTTGTGGAGGGAGAGCAGGGATGTGAGAGAGGGAAAAACAAAGATGGAGCAAGATCACAGAGGAGTTGAGAAAATAAAGAACATAGGTGGAAAACCA
The DNA here is from genome assembly GCF_000001405.40 of Homo sapiens. Classification (NCBI taxonomy): domain Eukaryota; kingdom Metazoa; phylum Chordata; class Mammalia; order Primates; family Hominidae; genus Homo; species Homo sapiens. The sequence continues at coordinate 9,265,962 of NC_000012.12, read as the reverse complement.
GAGGAATGAGGGATGATGGATACCAATAATGTTTCATGTGAAGGTGAAGCTAATGTCCAGTTGCTGGTCAAATAGCTTGTAAATGTGGGAAACTGGCAAGAATAAAGAAAAGAGAATGTGGATGGTATTTTGTTATGATGAAGTGAGGCTGAGGAGGAAGTAGGAGGTGAGTTTTTAATACATAGAATGGTTCAACTTCATTTATTTTTCAGGATTGGAATTAACTGGGCATGGATCATATGAAATCACAGATACCTTAAGGATACTGAGATTTACTAAAGTAGATTCACATTACAGAAGTGGACTCCCCTGGTATGGACAGGTAAAAAAAAATGTTTTTAACATAATCACAATTTGGGGCATGAGGTTTTTAAGAAAATGAAGTTTTAAATCACAAAATCAAAATTTATTTAAAAAAATAATATTTCAAATAGGAAAAAAGTACAGCAGATTATAATTTAAAAAGCAAATATAATCACAAAATCCAGAAAAACAAAGCATGTTTTATTAACTTCCTAACACACCTCTGTAATACATTTGTGTAGTTCAGCTGCATACTCTTTGATTGTCTCTTTATAAACAATGATTTTGTAACATAATTTTTATAGGAAGAATTCAAACACATTCTTTCATCTAGATGATTGAATTTTTTATTACTGGTAGTTTTTAAAGTTGTTTTCCATTTCAAAGTTTCATATAGATACCAATATTGATACATTTTAGAGCCAATAATTTAGTAAACTATCCATTTTCTTTCATATAAGAGATGCAAGATTTCTAGGTATTTTAAATTATATTTTGTAGTAAATAATCTTTGAATTAACAGTTCATGGGCAAATGCTTCAAGCTGTATTTTGAATTTTATATTTGATATTTTATACTTGAATTTTACATTTTCTTCATTTATCCTAGTATTTCATATTAAATTATCAAGAAATTAATAACTATATAGATATAGTTTCATATGGCCATTTCAGGTAGAGAGAAGATCATGAGAAAAACTGATGACTTGAAAGGTGAGTATGACATGGTCAGAAATGTAAGATAAAAGGGAGAATGTCTAAGGCTCTGGGTATGAAACAGTTTTTCAAGAGCAAAGAACTAAAAAGCAGCCAGTGTGATGACAGCTAAGGTTAAAGACATGACCGAATTCACTGAATAATTGCAGGCAAGCAAGAACAGTTATTAAGGTCTTTTAAGATATGGTAAGAATTTTGGATTGAGAAGTGACTAATGGTTTTAAGAAAGAGAGTAACATGATCAGGTTAGCTCAGGATGTATAGAATGGTTTAGACAAGAATGAAGCAGCAAGGAAATGCAGAAGATTAAATAGCTACTGGAAACCAGATGGGAAAAAATGTGATTTTAACTAGAATGGTAGCAGCAGATTTGGAGAGAAGCAGATAGAATCAATATATATTTGATGGGAGATGGGGAGAGGAGATAGCACTTGACAATGAGTTTGAGATAAGCAGTGAAAGAAAATGACTCATTAAAAAAAACCCAATTCCTCAGTATTCCTGCGTCAGTTACCTGATAGATGGAAGACCCATATACTGAAAGAGAGAACAGTGGAAGTGGAGAAAGTTTGGGAAGGTAGTGTGATGATCCCACTTTTGGATGTTCTCAATTTGAGTCCCCATGAGATATCCAAATAGAACTATTCAAGATTTTGAGATGTATTGCATAACAGGATAATTATAGTCAGTAATAATATATTGTACATTTCAAAATAATAAATTATAAATGTCTCATCTGAAAAAGTGGTAAGTGACGTGATATATATGTTAGTATATTTAATCATTCCACGTTGTATACATATATCAAAACATCACATTGTACCCAGGAAATGTATATAATTATGATTTGTGAATTTAGAATAATAATGGAAAATAAACTGCCATTTAGCTTTCAAAATAATTTTTAAAAAGAAGTATTAAAAAGAAAAATCATAGTTTAGAGCTCAGAAAACAAGTCTCGTTTTCAGATTCTAAGATCTTCAGTAAATGACAGGGAGTGACCTGGCGGTAAATGTGACGGAGTGGAAGATGTTATTGCCATATGACAATTTAACCAGCTATGACTTTTATATCTCTAGGTTCTTCTAGTCAATGAAAACCATCAGCCAATCACCAACAAAACTGTAGATGTTCATGTGAATACTAGATACTATTTCAGTGCAACTACTGATGAGCATGGTTTGGTGAACATTTCCATGGACACCACCAACTACATATCACCTTTTCTCACAGTTTCAGTAAGTGGAAAGGGGCATCTGGGACCAAAAATAGAGAAATTACTGTGGCCAGAGATAATTTAAAGATATTTGAGAGGCATGTGAACTCTAGGAATTAAAAAAAAAGTGATAAAGAGTAAAATGTAGGCCGGGCACAGTGGCTCATGCCTGTAATCCAAGCACTTTGGGAGGCCGAGGTGGGTGGATCACGAGGTCAGGAGATGGAGACCATCCTGGCTAATGCGGTGAAACCCGTCTCTACTAAAAATACAAAAAAATTAGCCGGGCGTGGTGGCGGGCGCCTGTAGTCCCAGCTACTCCAGAGGCTGAGGTAGGAGAATGGCATGAACCCGGGAGGTGGAGCTTGCAGTGAGCCGAGATCGCGCCACTGCACTCCAGCCTGGGAGGCAGAGCAAGACTCCATCTCAAAAAATAAAATAAAATAAAATAAAAGAGTAAAATGTAAATTAAGCAATATGGAGACCTAAATTATAAAAAGAGAAAAGTCTGCCAGAAATCTTTTACTTGTAGGTAAACTCTGTTGACAATATGATTTAGGTTCAAGAGACATTGAATAGATCATCTTGATATTCCTTTGAAAAATTGAATATTTTTATGATTCTAATACAAGTAAGATCTTGCTTGGTTTCTTTGGCATACTACTATTTTGTTTTGTGTTGAATATTCAAATGTTCTTATGCAATTTGCAGCCATAGCGTGTTAAGAGAAAGTAATTGACCTTGTTTGTGAATGAATAACATCTACTAAATCAGTACAGCATAAGCTTAAATGATCTCGAGGGGAATCAGTTTACAGATTCTGCTATATTTAAGAAAGCAGCCTTCTTATATGGCTTTATTATATTGCTTTATGTATATATATACAAACATATATAATATGCATATTTTTATATATTTTTGCAATCATATATATATTATATATAAAACAGCTTATTTATTCTTCCATTAGGTCAAATACAAAGAGAGTAACAATTGTTCTGATAACTGGTGGCTTGATGAATTTCATACGCAAACATCTCATACTGCAAAGCATTTTTTTTCCCCAAGCAAGAGTTATATTCACCTCAAACCTATTATTGGTACTTTGACCTGTGGACAAACCCAGGAGATTCAAGCACACTACATTCTGAATAAACAGATTCTCAGGGATGAAAAAGAATTAACCTTCTACTATTTGGTAAGAATAAGACCCACTGTAGCTCCTTCTGATTGTGTAGACTCCAAAATTGCTGGGTTCCTGTCTAAGTAATGCCATTTATAAGATAACAATAATATATTTTGTATTGTTTTTGTGCTAGAAGAGAAGTTACTTCCTAACAAATATTAATGCTTTAATTTCTCATTTATGCTCTATTCACCACTGAAACTTTTAGAATTTTTCCTTGCAGAGTTCCAATGGCAACTTATTGAGCAGGAGAGGAAAGAGCCTAGGATAAAATGTTTTTAGTCAAAGAGAAAATGTTTTCTTAGAACTCAGTAGATAAAGAAGCAAAAGCTAAGAACCATGAACTCATTCAAAAGGAAATAAAACTTATAAACAATCTTCTGGAAAAATATTCAATTCTAATTATTTTACAAAGCTCATGACTGGTGTGATTGCAAGGAAAAGGTATATTAACAGGCAGACTATAAATTGGAGTGATACTTTTGAGGCCAATATTCCCACGAATGCCCCCAAATTGAAAATGTCCAAGGCTCATAGTTACTCAAATAAGTCATTTTAAGAAGAAAAAGTTAAATATAGGGAATTCTGTATAAGAGCATTAACTATAAATAACATTTTCTTAATTCCATAAAAAAATAGAAAAATTAACAATAAATTTGAATTTCCTAGATTTATTGCTTCCTAGATACATGACCTTGGATAACTTACCTAATTTCATCTGGAAAGAGAAATGTCAATCATCTCACTTTAGTCCTGGAGATAATATTAATACCTACTTCATGGAATTATAGTGTAAATTAACAGTAAATTACTTAGTTCAGTTCCTGGCATATAGAGAATGCTCAATACATTTAGTTTTTTTAAAATAGAGGCAATATTAGAGAATACTTATTTATACTTTATATCTGCCTTCACTATATATTGCTTTGCATAAGGTAGATGTTTGAAATGTTTGTTGAAAAAATACATAAATTCTGTTTACATATTTACATATATTTATTAGAAGTGATAAATATTAAATAAAATAATAAAACGTTATACAATTATATATTTTTTATTTAAAGTATGTAAAGACACATATATGAAGATATTGAAAAGGAAGTTTAGTGATCAAAATAACTTCTAGGTTGGGGTAATAAGATTATGGTTCACAAATATATCATGAATGTTTTAAAGTTAGGTTAAAATGTATTCTTTTAAACAATAATGAATATATTTCCTTCTGCCTTCAGATCAAAGCAAGAGGAAAAATCTCCCAATCAGGAATCCATGTGTTATCCATTGAACAAGGAAACAGTAAATGTTTTCAAGATTTCCTTTTTCTTTCCTCTTTCATCTTGTCAAATTCTGAACAATTTAGCAATTTGGAGCTATTCTCACATTAGAAGAAACAGTCACCAACCTCTTCATCCAAAGATGAAGAAGCTGATGTAATAGGATGACATACTGGGTTTGCTTTAGCCCAGTTAAAATTTTTTCTTCTTTTATAGCATTCCTACATTTTAAATTTTATTCCTAAACTAATACATATTCATTTTATGTCTTTAATGTCTTCAAAAGGCAGAAAATAACTGAAAAAATATGGAAAATAACCACAGAAAAATTTTACTTTGTGTGCTTGTGTATGCATTGCCTATTACTACTGTAACAGATTATCACAAATTTATGGGCTTAAAACAATACTTCTAGTTCTTCGTTTTAGTGCCTTAAAACACCACTTGTATCTTCTAGTTCTGGAGGTCAGAAGTCTCACTAGGCTAAACTCAAGGTGTCAGGACTGCATTCCTGCTGGAGCTTGAGGGGAGACTCTTTCCTTGCCTTTTCCAGCTTCTAGAGACCTCTTGCATTCTTTGCTTGCGGTTCCTTTCTCTATCTTCAAATTCAGCCACATACCATCTTCAAATCTCTCTCATCTTCCTGTCTTCCTCCTAGAAAGACCCTTGTGATTACATTGGGCCCACTTGGATAATCCAGAATAAACTTCACACCTCAAGATCCTTAATTTAATCATTTCTGCAAAGGCCCTTTTGCCATATAAAGTAACATATGCAGAAGTTTTGGAAATTGAGTATCTTCAGGGGCCATTATTCTATTTACCACAATCTTCCCATTGGCCCCAGAGATTCATATTCATCCCTCATGCAAAGTGCATTCACTCTATCCATCATAACATTAACATAAGATTAAAAGCTCACAGTCTCATTAGCTCAAAAGTTCCAAATCTCATCATCTCAGTCATCTAAATTAGGTGTTATTGAGGTCCTGGACATAATCCATCCTAGGGCAAAAAGAGTCTTTAGTCCCAAGAAGTGCTGATATCTGGCTAGGAAAACAGCATAGTTTTAACACCTGGGAATAATCCTCTTTAATTCATTTCTCTATTGTCTGGGCTCAAGGATCCACTCATGAAATCATTTGCCCTTTTTCATGAAGGATGTGTTTGCAGCTGAATTGTTTTATCAGATCTCGTTTCCTGCTTGCATGATTTGAGAGGTCTGATATTCTTCTTTTATTCTATACTCTCTCTGTCCCTTTTAGTTGAAGCTGACAATGTTTCTATTAGTATAAACTTTTCAAGAACCATGTAGGTCTCCTGTGTGTCACAGAGATTCATTCCGTTAAACAAAAAGCCTTTTCATTGACATTTGATGGATAATTCTATCTCCAATTTTGGCTTTTGTTGTGATGGGTAAGGGTATCTAAGAGTCATGCACTTAATCTTTTCGAAGAGCCCTTTTTTTGTGGCTAAATTACTCTGACATTTTAATTTTTCTGCAAATCAAGTCTTTAGCAAAAAGTTGTCCAGTCACATCATAGCTTTTTTTCTAGAGCACAATTTCCTGACAGCGAATGTCTTAATTTTACCGATTTTTGCAATTTAGATAAGCTGAGAAATTTCCGAATTATCAAGTCCTAGTTCATTTTTGATGACTACTTCCTCATTCAATTTATTTTTCTCCTCTCCAGTTTTGTTATAAGCAGGAAGAAGGAAGCACTTTTCTATAAAAGCTTTAACACTTTTCTGTAAAAGCTCCTCCCTAAATATCTGAATTCATTAATATTTGGTATTTCTTTTTCTTAAATATTTTGTTGAATTTACCAGTGATCTGGACATAGAATTTTCTTTGTGAGAAGATTTTAAATACAAATTTATTTTCTTTAATGAAGTGCAAGGTAAGTTTGCTACTACTTTAGTTAATTTTTTGGTTGTGTATGTCATTTAAAATCTTGTCTATTTTTCTAAACTGTCTAATTTATTGACATAAAATAGTCCATAATATTGTTTTAAAATATCTGTAATTTCTATAGTGATAGAAGCTCTTTCATTCAAGATACTTATAATTTATGTCTTCTTTTGATCAGTTTGGCTAGAAGTTTCTCAATTGTACTGATCATTTCAAACAACTGGTTTTTGGTTTAATTGATTTTTCTTGTTTTTTTTTTTATTTTTATGTCATTGGTATCCACTGATCTTTATCAATTAAAGATTGATTTTAATTTAGTCTTCTTTTTATACTTTCTTCATGAGGATGTTGGGGTCATTGATTGAGACCTTTCTTCTTTACTAATACAAGTGTTTATTGTTACACATTTTCCTGTTAATAATGCTTTAGTTGCATCGTTTAATATTTACATGTGAAACTTTCATTTTGAATCAGTTCAAGATATTTTCTACTTTCTTTTTTGATTTCTTCTTTGAACCATGAGTTATTCAGAAGTGTGTTATTTAGTTTCTAAATGGGAGATATTTTAGAGATCTTTCTGTTACTGATTTCTAATTTAATGACATTATGATTGTATGACTTTAATTCTTTTAAATTTATGGAGACATTTTATAGCTCAGAAAATATGGTCTATCTTGATAAATGTTAGAATGTGTATTCTGCTGCTATTAAGTGGAGTGTTCTCTGAACGTCATTGAGGTCAACTGGGTTAATAGAGTTTCTCTATCTTAGATCACACTTTTCTTCTTTATTTCTTTGAATCATAAATATCTTTATTTATTTATTTATTTATTTATTTATTTATTTATTTATGTATTTTGAGACGGAGTCTTGCTCTGTCACCCAGGCTGGAGTGCAGTGGCGCGATCTCGGCTCACTGCAAGCTCCGCCTCCCGGGTCCACGCCATTCTCCTCCCTCTGCCTCCCAAGTCCCTGGGACCACAGGCACCCGCCACCACGCCCAGCTAATTTTTTGTATTGTTAGTAGAGATGGGGTTTCACCGTGTCAGCCAGGATGGTCTCCATCTCCTGACTTCGTGATCCGCCCGCCTCGGCCTCCCAAAGTGCTGGGATTACAGGCGTGAGCCACCGTGCCCGGCCTAAGATACCTTTTTAATTAATCACGAATTTAAGTTTGATTTCAAAATATTAATGTTTGTTTGTAATTTTTTGAGTTCCAGATTAGCCTCTTAATAAATTTCCTGTAACTCTACTTCTAGATGAAAACCTTTTTTTCATAGACTTTCTCCCAGTCTTTTTGAGCCAGAAAGAGGCTTCTAAGGTCATGATAAGGATGCAGTACCCACACTCTAAAACGCCACTCACCATAGGTTCTTCTTCGGTCTGTAACATCTCTTAGGTCTATATAATCTCTTACTGATTGTTTTCTTTCTGCTTGAAATAAAGCACAAAATTTGAATACGTTCATTCAAATATGAAACATCGACTCTAAATTTCCATTTAATCCCTGATTTTATGTTATTGGACATTGTATTGATTTTTTTAGAGCAGGTAAGGTTGTCTCTAATAACATATGAAAAAGTCACTGCCTCACAAAGCAGTATCTTCAAAGTTTGTTTCTGCAGTAGAGTTTAAATCCTGTATGGATTGGGTCCTAAGGTGGTGGGATGGGAAGAAGAAGTGTCCCTCTCTTTAAGAAAAAATATACTTCATTTTATTTAATGACAGCTATGTAAATGATTGTTTTGACTTTGTCTTTGACATTTCGGAAACTCAGTGAAAAACTTAAGTACTCTAGTGTAATAACCATTTCATTGCAGCTTCCTAATAAAATTAACTCCTATGTTTAACCCTGCTTCAGAATTCCACATTCATTTGGCTTTCGTCTTACTGTTTCAAATTATTTTGACTCTGCTGTTTCTCTGTATTTTCATGAAAGCTGCCCTCAAATCTTTTATAGATACAGGAAGGGTACAATTTTTAAAGAATAATTTTATGCTACAAAGATCAAACTTAGAACATTTATGAAAATAATCAAGTGGAATGTTACATAAGCTCTATGTAGTTCACACAGAGGACAACCACTGAGATGAACACACAGAATTCTATTATAAAAATCAAAGGCTCACAAGGCTTTTTATGTGATTTGTATCTGTATCCCTGCTGTATTATAAATGGCCTGAAGGAAAAGACTGTTGCATTGTTTATATTGCCCTTACACACACAAGAATTATAACCAAACATGTCTAGAAGTTCTCTTTCTTCTCTCTTGACTCCTTTCTCAATAATATTTTTCAATTTAGAAATAGAGACAAGCATTAAATGTCTTTTTCCTACTTAAACAGAGGAAATGAACAATTAAACCTATATCTTTAAGGGAAAATGTCATTAGCTCAGCATATATTTATTGAACACTACTACCTGCACAGTGGTATAAAGTCTTTTCTTACTTCAGTGTGATCCAAATGTAAATAAAGTCTATAGTTGGAAATGCCTTTTTAAAAAATCAAATTGATAATTCTGTTGCTAATGTGTTATTCTGAACTTGTTCTTCTTTTTAAATTCTCCAGTGAAAGGGGTGTTTTCCTTCTCCTTTCGAGTGGAATCAGACTCTGCTCCTAGTGCTCATCTGCTTGTTTACACTGTTTTACCTAATGGAGAAATTGTTGCAGACACTGACAAGCTTGAGATTGAAAACTGTTTTGCCAACAAGGTGGGTTGTTTTGTTTAAGACTAGTCCTTTTATTCTTCTCCCATTGTGATGTGTGGAAAAGAAGGAAATTAGGAAATTAGGCATACAGTGCTCCTAAAACATTCCTCCCAGCTACTTCTAAAGGCAGGGGGTGATGTCATACTGAGAGGTCTAGTGCTGACATCCAAAACAGGCAACCACAAACACAGTTTTTTAAAAGTCTCTTGTTTTGTTATAAAATTCATATGAATTTCAAAATCAAGTCACCTATAAGCCTTTAATAGTTTTAATTTTAAAATGTTTTGTTACTAATATTTTGATTAAAAATGATGCCTCACAAGGCTGTGCCAATTTTACCCCATCATACACTGGCACACTTCCATGTACCACTACAGACAGCAGTAGGTTGTCATGAGTTTAAACTCAGCTTAATAATACAGAACAGATGAGAAACAGCCTGGACACTTTAAAAATAATGATAGCACAAAAATTTAACATAGGTTCAGATGGCATATTTTTTATTTAAGGAATACAAAGCTGCCATGTGAAGCTCACTGAGATATAAGTATGCTTTATTCCAACAGAACTTGGTGCTGTTTATCTGATTTTCACTACTCTAGCAGCATAATCATAACATTAGCGATCAGATAAGAGCCGCCTACTTCAGATGCCTGTTTTCAAATACACCTGGAAGGATTTTTTTTTTAACATGGGCTTTGTGGAGATTAAAACAAAATGTGTTTATAGCAAGTGAACATTTCTGCCCTGAGATCTATATTTAGGTTGTCTTGTTTTAAATATACAGTGAAATAAGAAAAATACACAGTGTATTCTGATGTAAACCTTTAATTCCACCTTACTAAAGAGTGCTATTAAACCTGGATGGTGTGTCCAAGAAGCTTAGTGTCTGTTCTGTTTGGACTTCTGTGTGTTTCATACCCACTGAGAAGAGACTCCTTCATGCTTCAATACCTTTACTGTTAATGATGGGTAGTTAGTTTGTTGTTAAATCTTGGGAATGGCCAAGTTATGCTCCGGCTTTCAGCACATCTTATTCGTTCTAGCAGTGGGGTCTCTTTCTGGTGGGTCAGTATCCTCTTCACACCCTAGAAATGAGAGAAGCATTATAAAACAGAATTGGCAGAAAAGTAATTTTCTCCCTGGAATCCAGTCTGAAAAACAATTCTGATTTTGCAAAACATATGACAGTCCCTGTGCAACAGTATAAAACTTCACCATAGAAGTAAAAGCCCACGGACATTATATTCAATCACTTCACGTTAAATACCTTTAAAATCATCATTGATCAGAATTGAAGATCAGCTGTAAAAAATAATATGAACAAAGATTCATAAGAAGATTCAGAAGAAAGTTGACTACCACAAAAATTAGAAAAACAGTAGATCTATTAAAATTACAAATTAAGCACCCTAAAAGTTAGACATCTTGGTGGGATGATGAGCAAATAAATAGTGCACTGAGGATGTGAGGAAAGACCCCAAGTCAGACATGCATCCCTGCAAAACGATACATTTAAATTTTTTTCAATCTTTGCTGAGACAGAGAAAAATAGTTTTCTATTCAAACTTCATATACTTATTTCTTCACTTACAACAGATTTGGCATACACATTAAAAATTATGTAATAGTTGGAATCATTTGTTATACTCAACCAGATATAATTATTCATTAAGAATAACATTGGTAGTAATTAATATAATATATGAGGTACAGACTCCTTTGAAATATGCCTTAAAGTTATGTTTTGGTTTTCATATCAGTAAAACATTTTCTATTTTCTAACATGTCCACTTCTTGCTAATAGTGTTTTTAGTTTATTATAATCCCAAATTACCTGTTCTTTTGACATGGACAGTAACTAACATATTTTAATGAACTTAAATTTTCTAAAAATAAAAGCAAATATATTTTAAAGAGATTCTCCATAAGCAATGTTTTCATAGTATATTGAGTTAGAAAGATGAATACTATTGCATCTTGAAGATAAATAATTATTGATTTTTTTCATATATGTCTTATGATAAGTGATTCCAAACTGCTATATTAAATTCAGTAGACCATAAAGCTGGATTGTCATAGTGAAATTTAGCAACCTAAGTCAGATGTTATTTAGCTAAACATACTGATATTTCATTCCAATAAAAATCAGTTTTCAGTCCAAGAATCAAGGAAGTTACCTGATGCTACTACTATATAACTCAGATACTACTCAAGAAATGTCGGTATCAACAGAAGGAACTAATAGATTATCTTGCCAATTAATTTTTTTGGCCAAAGTAGAAGCAAATCTTTGGGAAGATTCTGCACAATTTCCTGTTGTTCTTTATTCACCATTTTTTAAATTGTCTGAACCAATGAACTCTTAGGCTGTATATTAGATATTTATTTTTTTTAAATGGACCAGTAAATCTCCAATCATGATGAACAGTTCCACACTGCTTTAGAATTTCAGGTGACTGAGACTGCCAACTGGAGGAGACTTCTGTTGGCTGGTCTCAGGGGTGGAATGTGATTTTCACATCACCGTGCAAACTGCACACAGTCTTCACATAAACACTGCACAGAGATAGGTCAGTGATAGCAAGGTATGCATCTTTCTTGTACGTGTGTTTTCAATTCTATGCAGCATTTTATTTCTATATGATTAAGTCAATTTATATTTCATCATTTATATAAGGAATGGAAAACCTGAGTTAACTGGAATCAAATTTCCAGGTTGTTCCAGAGACACTGAATTGGTAGTTCCTAGGCTGTTCATCTCTTAATCCTGCTGTAAGATGAATAAAGAGAAAGGAAGTATAGAAAAGGCTACTCTTAGCCTGGAGTAGAAGAAGGGCCGGTTACTGTAATAATTATAAAATGGCTGCTTTAATCATATCCTCTTTACAGGTAAATTTGAGATTCTCCTCAGCTCAGAGCCTGCCAGCCTCAAACACCCGCCTGAAGGTGAGAGCCACCCCCCTCTCCCTTTGTGCCCTCCGTGCTGTAGACCAGAGTGTGCTGCTAATGAAGCCTGAAGCTGAGCTCTCACCTAAATCTGTGAGTCACGTTCCAACCTTGGAGATCATGAAATGCTCACGTGATAAGATCATTTTTGGAAGTTAAAAGTTCCAAAAATGTTTGCAAAAAACAAGTTCTTCAGAGTAACAGGCATAGTGTAATTCCACAACAAGCAGAAACTGCATAAAGTACTTTACATATTTTAACTCATTGTATTCTCTGTTATATTCTCCTTAAGGGAGCAATCTTGCTTACCAAGACAATCTGTGCCATGCCTGGCACAGAATCTTTTTTTTTTTTTAACTTTTATTTTAAGTTCTGGGGTACATGTGCCAGATGTACAGGTTTGTTACATAGGTAAACATTTGCCATGGTGGTTTGCTGCACAGATCAACCCATCACCTAGGTATTAAGCCCAGCATCCTTTAGCTATTCTTCCTGATGCTCTCTCTCCCCCTGCCCCCACCCCAACAGGCCCCAGTGTGTGTTGTTCCCCACCATGTGTTCATGTGTTTTTAGCATTCAGCTCCCACTTATAAGTGAGAACATTCAGTGTTTGATTTTCCGTTCCAGCGTTAGTTTGCTGAGGATAATGGCTGCCAGCTCCATCCATGTCCCTGCAAAGAACATGATCTCATTTTTTATGGCTGCATAGTATTCCATGGTGTATATGTACCTCATTTTCTTTATCCAGTCTATCACTGATGGGCATTTAGGTTGATTCCATGTCCTTGCTATTGTGAATAGTGCTGCAATGAACATTTATAATAGAATGATTTCTATTCCTTTGGGTATATACCCAGTAATGAGATTGCTGGATCAAATGGTATTTCTGCTTCTAGATCTTTGAGGAATCGCCACACTGTTTTCCACAATGGTTGAACTAATTTGCACTCCCACCAACTTTGTAAAAGTGTGCTTTTTCTCCCCAACCTCGCCAGCATCTGTTGTTTCTTGCCTTTTTAATAACCACCATTCTGACTGGTGTGAGATGGTATCTCATTGTGGTTTTGATTTGCATTTCTCTAATGATCAGTAAAATTGAGCTTTTTTTCATCAGTTTGTTGGCTGAATGAATATCTTCTTTTGAGAAGTGTCTGCTCATGTCCTTTGCCCACTTTTTAAGGGGGTTGTTTGTTTTGTTCTTGTAAATTTGTTTAAGTTCCTTGTAGACACTGGATGTTTGATCTTTGTCAAATGAATAGATTGCAAATATTTTCTCTCATTCTGTAGGTTGACTATTCACTCTGATACTCTGTGCAGAAGCCCTTTAGTTTAATGAAGTCCCAAGTGTCAATTTTTTGTTGTTGTTGCAATTGCTTTTGGAGATTTTGTCACAAAATCTTTGCCCATGCCTATGCCCTAAATGGTATTGCCTAGATTTTCTTCTAGGGTTTTTATAGTTTCAAGTTTTACATTTACATCTTTAATCCATCTTGAGTTAATTTTTGTATAAGGTGTAAGAAAGGGGTCCAAGTTTCAATTTTCTGCATATGGCTAGCCAGCACTCCCAGAATCATTTATTAAATAGGGAATCCTTTCCCCGTTGCTTGTTTTTGTCAGGTTTGTTGAAGATGAGATGGTTGTAGATGTGTAGTGTTATTTCTGAGTTCTCTATTCTGTTGCATTGGTCTACGTGTCTGTTCTTGCGCCAGTACCATGCTGTTCTGGTTACTGTAGCCTTGTAGTAAAGTTTGAAGTCAGGTAGCATGATGTCTCCAGCTATGTTCTTTTTGCTTAGGATTGTCTTAGCTATTTGGGCTCTCTTTTGGTTCCACATGATTTTTAAAATAGTTTTTTCTAATTCTGTGAAAGCTGTCAATGGTAGTTTAATGGGAATAGCATTGAATCTATAAATTTCTTTGGGCAATATGGCCAGTTTCACAATATTGATTCTTCCTATTCGTGAGCATGAGATGTTTTTCCATTTGTTTGTGTCCTTCATGAATTCTTGAACAGTGGTTTGCAGTTTTCCTTGAAGAAGTTCTTCACTTCCCTTGTTAGCTGTATTCTCAGGTATTTTATTCTCTTTGTAGCAATTGTGAATGGGAGTTCTTTCATGATTTGGCTCTGCTTGTCTGTTGTTGGTGTATAGGAATGCTAGTGATTTTTGCACCTTGAATTTGTATCCTGAGACTTTGCTAAAGTTGCTTATCAACTTAAGAAGCTTTTGGGCTGAGATGATGGGGTTTTCCAGATATAGGATCATGTCATCTGTCAACAAAGATAATATGACTTCCTCTCTTCCTATTTGAATACCCTTTATTTATTTTGTTTGCCTGATTGCCCTACTCAGAACTTCCAATTCTGTGTTGAATAAGAGTGGTGAGAGAGGGCATCCTGGTCTTGTGCAGGTTTTCCAGGGGAATGCTTCCAGCTTTTGCCCATTCAGTATGATATTGGCTGTGGGTTTGTCATAAAGGGCTCTTATTATTTTGAGGTGTGTTCCTTCAATACCTAGTTCATTGAGAGTTTTAACACAACGGGATGTTGAATTTTATTCTAGGCTTTTTCTGAGTCTATTGAGATAATCATGTGGGTTTGTCTTTAGCTCTGTTTATGTGATGAATTGCATTTCTTGATTTGCATACATTGAACCAACCTTGCATCTCAGGGATGAAGCCAACATAATTGTGGTGGATAAGTTTTTTGATGTGCTGCTGGATTTGGTTTGCCAGCATTTTATGGAGGATTTTTGCTTCGATGTTCATCACGGATGTTGGCCTGAAGTTTTCTTTTTTTGTTGTATCTTTGCCAGGTTTTGGTATCAGGATGATGCTGGCCTTATAAAACGAGTTAGGGAGGAGCCCCTCCTTTTCAATCTTTTAGAATAGTTTCATTAGAAGTGGTATCAGCTCTTCTTTGTACCTCTGGTAACATTCATCTGTAAATTTGTCTAGTCCTGGAATTTTGGTTGGTAGGCTATTTATTAATGCCTCAGTTTCTGAAATCATTATTGGTCTATTCAGAGACTCAACTTCTTCCTGGTTCAGTCTTGGGAGGGTGTATGAGTCCAGGAACTTATCCATTTCTTCTTGATTTTCTAGTTTATGTGCATAGAGGAGTTTATAGTATTCTCTAATGGTTGTTTGCATTTCTGTGGGGTCAATGGTGGATTCATTTATTTTTTGAAGGGTTTTTGTGTCTCCACCTCCTTCAGTTCTTCTCTGATTTTGGTTATTTCTTGGCTTCTGCTAGCTTTGGGGTTTGTTTGCTCTTGGTTCTCTTGTTCCTTTACTTGTGATATTAGTTTGCTGATTTGAGATCTTTCTAGCTTTTTGATGCGGGTGTTTAGTGTTACAAATTTCCCTCTTCACACTGCTTCAGCTGCATCCCAGAGATTCTGTTATGTTGTCTGTTTGTTCTTATTAGTTTCAAAGAGCTTCTTGATTTCTACCTTAATTTCATTATTTACCCAGGAGTCATTCAGGAGCAGGTTATTCCATTTGCATGTCATTGTGTGGTTTTGAGTGAGTTTTTAATCTTGAGTTCTAATTTGATTGCACTGTGGTCTGAGAGACTCTTTGTTATTATTTCAGTTCTTTTGCATTTGTTGAGGAGTGTTTTACTTCCAATTATGTGATCAATTTTAGAGTAAGTGCAATGTGGTGATGAGAAGAATATATATTTTGGGTTTTTTTTTTTTTTTGACAGAGAGTTCTGTAGATATCTATCAGGCCCACTTGATCCAGAGCTGAGTTCAGGTCCTGAATATCTTTGTTAATTTTCTGTCTTGATGATCTGTTTAATATTGTCAGTGGAGTGTTAAAGTCTCCCACTATTATTGTGTGGGCGCCTAAGTCTCTTTGTAATTATCTAAGAACTTGCTTTATGAAGCTGGGTGCTCCTGTATTGGTTGTATATATATTTAGGTAGTTAGCTCTTCTTGTTGAGTTGAACCCTTTACCATTATGTAATGCCCTTCTTTGTCTTTTTTCATCTTTGTTGGTTTAAAGTTTGCTTTATTAGAAACTAGGATTATGACCTATTCTTTTTTTTGTTTCCTATTTGCTTGGTAAATTTTCCACCATTCCTTTATTTTTAGCCTATGTGTGTCTTTACACATGAGGTGGATCTCTTGAAGACAGCATACTGATAGGTCGTGACTCCATCATCTTGCCTAGCACAGAATCTTATGTACAATAGATGATCAACACATTTTTAATGAGTGAGTAAATGAATAATAATTATTTGAGATGGGTATTATTACTTTAATATTATGAATGAAGAAAACACAACCAGGAGACATTAAAAATAGGGTTAGCCTTTCTACAGGAAAGTGAACAAAATAACAAGCTGGTAGGTTAAATTGTTCCAATAATAAACATTCCCTGAGCATATAACCTATTCCACTTGAGAAATAAGGCAACTATAAGAAATTGACGATAAAAACAATACATTTTAAAGGAGGAATTCCATTCTCATTTCTTTTCTTTTAAATCCACTTCCTAACCCACCACTAATATAATTTCAAGAAATTATGCAAAAATTTTATGCCTTTCTTAAAATCCAGACACTCACTCACTGGTTTTAAGTGTGGACAAAAGAGAATTTCCATTCAATGTTGTCTTTAAAAATGTCTCTTGCAATGAAGCAATTTCAGAACAGCCCTATATTTTATTGGCTTCATGGTTCACTTATTTATTTAAGAAATATTTATTGCATCTTGACTATAAGATGGACATTGTTTTGAGACCAGGATTATTAATTATGGACAATCCAGATTTGGTCTTTTACTAGTTTTGATTTATAATCTTGTGAGATATACAAACAAACAAGCAAGCAACAAAAACATATAAACATATAATAATTCCAGATTTTTATAAATACTATGAAAAGAATAAACGGAGTATTGATATCAAGCATAAAGGTGCTGATAAATTTTTGAAATAATTGAGCAATTTTGAAATGTTTACATTGGAGAATAGTGGAGAGGCCAGAGCAAGCTTACAAAAAATGGAAGCAGCATGCCAAAGGTTTTGAGTCAGAATGAATTTGGAGTGTACTGAAAAGGAAAAGGTCATCACCTAATATGTAGCAGTGAGAGGGGAGGATGATAGAGGCTGCAGGTAGGATGGAAAACGGAAGATCATGGCGAGCTCTGTTTACTTGGTGTGGAGTTTGGAGTTGATAGTAAATGCAATGGTAAATCAATGAGGAAATTTACACAGAAGAGTGGACAATTGAGATGAATCTATTAAAAAGATCATATTTGCTGCTAAGAGTATGGGAGCAAGAATGAAAGCACAAGAACAGTTACGAAGTTATTACAGTAGCACAGATGACAAGTGACAGAAGCCACATTAGAAGGTCTGCAGGTGTGTTTAATGGCCTGAACACTGTATAGTAAGGCCACCTGAACCCTGAGCACATGGCCTTAAACTTGGCTCTGGGCAAAACCAAACTGGAATTGAATTATTTCTCAGTTGTCCCTGCACCTAGATTTTTCTTAAGCTAAACTTGGTCCTAATACAGTAGACTAAAAAGAAAACTTGGTACAGCCTTAGTCATATGAAATGGAAAAAGGAAATGAATCAAGTATTTATGGGGATTATTTTAGGTGAGGGGGCTGTGAGAGGCTTTTATTCTTTCATTATGTGCCTCTGCTGTCCACATTTCCTACTTTCTTTTAAAAGTAGGCATTTTTTTTTGTGGGAAATAGAGACGGTTTTATTTTTACTCAACCAAAATGAATTTTGAGATTTTGATCAATTCATTTCATCTCTCTATATATTACTTTCTTTTGCACAACAAAAGAATTAGGATCCATGACCTCTGATATTACTCCATGATTCTCTGTGTTGCTTTTCATAATGTAAGCATGCACATGTTAAATAAACACCATAATCTTTTAAATTTCCTAAGGGACATTATCACATTTTAAAATCTGTTAAAAAGAAAGAGATTTCCTTTGTTCTCTCCATGTTGCAGGTCTATAACTTGCTACCAGTAAAGAGTCCATTTACCTTTAGAGCTGGAGGTCCTGCGGATGAATATGATGAAGAGTGCAACAACGCAAAAGACACAACTCACAGCGGAATCACTTCCACACCGAAGCAAGTCCTGGAGGGGGATGACATTTACAGTATCTTCACGGTAATTTTTTTTCCCCAAAAACATAACAAAAACTGATTTCTACGTGTCTGTTTAGATGGAGAAACAATGGACTTCTAAGCTCTAGGATCTTTTCTCCCCTCCCTCTAACAAAATGATAACTAACAGAAAAATATTGAAATCTCAGAGACAGATAACTCTGTGGACACACAGATGTTCACACATGAACTTCTCTACCACCTTAAATAGAAAGTGGTTTACTTTTAGGCTGCAAACCTTAACCAAATGGATCCCAAAGCTGCTTACCACCATCGTATTCCCCTCTCAGTGACTCTTGGGGATTCCAATATGTAAGAAAACCAAAACAAAATATTTTCCATAATGTGTCTGACACTCTTGGAAAGGTGAGCACCTTGTTGGAGGCCATCATCTCAGTCATTTGCACCATAAACACTTGTTGAATGAGGCGGGGCGCGGTGGCTCACGCCTGTAATCCCAGCACTTTGGGAGGCTGAGGTGGGTGGATCACGAGATCAGGAGATCGAGACCATTCTGGCTAACAAGGTGAAACCCCGTCTCTACTAAAAATATAAAAAAAATTAGCCGGGTGTGGTGGCGGGCGCCTGTAGTCCCAGCTACTCGGGAGGCTGAGGCAGGAGAATGGCGTGAACCCCGGAGGCGGAGCTTGCAGTGAGCCGAGATTGCGCCACTGCTCTCCAGCCTGGGTGACAGAGCGAGACTCTGTCTCAAAGAAAAACAACAAAACAAAACAAAACAAACAAACAAACAAAGAAAACACTTGTTGAATGAATACAGGATTGAATACATAAAATGCAAAACTTCAGTCCTCACAGGGCAGTAAAATTCCAGGAAAATTTGAAGTTGTCTTTCATTAAGAAAAGATTAACAAAACTTGTATTAGAAATGTTAAGATGTCTTAAAAATGTAATTCTTTAGTATTAACTATAACTGAGCAGAATTATCCAGGTCGTGAAATTAAATCTTATCACTATCAAAAAGCACTAAAAACTTTCATCATACCTTCAGGAAAATATGTCGTTCATCTGCTAGAGGTCTACAGCTTAGCTGAAAGCAATTTAAATCTCTCTCTTCTGGACGTTCTGGAATCACAAATCAGATGGTAGAAGGATGAAAAGAATACTTCTTGGTTTATTAACCAGCTGTTTAATCTCTAAATATTTATTTCTGGTTTATTTCTTTCTGTTGCGTACACAACCCTCACTGACAACTGTGTTCAAGAGTCCCACAGTTTCCCAAATACTCTGAGATAAAATAGCAAATAATATTTATCTGTGACTAACATTGAAGAAGGGGGAAGCTGGAAACAGGTGGACTGTAGACAACCGTGGGCATCTGAATGTGGGTTTTAGATGCAGACATTTGAGACGACTAGAAGAAACTGAGAAAAAAGAGGAAAGGACCACAGGAACGAGTTAAGCATAGATATTCAGGAAAAGCCATATCTTCTGGTAAAACATAAACAAAACAGAGTTTACTAAGATTGTAAAGAACAACCTCCGATATGCAAACCTTCAATTTAAAATGACAAGAAACAAGCAAAAAAATGCTCTTTGTAATAAAGCCATAAGGAGAGCTGTTTATATGCATACACAGACATAGATATTTGTTTCATGGGGAAAAAGAAGAGAAGAAAACATCTAAGTCTAAAATATTCAGTTTTATGGATGCAAAAAAGAGTTAAAGAGCATTAGATTATACCAGACAATATTTAGAAATAAGAATCAGAAACGGGTTTGAATTCCCACTCCTATTCACTCAATAGCTTAATGAACTTGACCGTCTATGACTCTGTTTTCATATTTATAAATAGCTCTCCTCATTTTGTGTAATTTTCATGATGAGCGTATGAACTATATGTAACATAATAGTGAAAGTACAATACAAATTCAAGAAACTACTTACAGTCTCAAGATTGGATTGCCGCTATGCTTTAACAATTTTTTTCAGTCCATAGGATTAGATATTTTTACCAACTCAAAAATCCATAAGCCAACTTTGTGTCTACCACGAGGATTGCGTATCAGCATAATAGGAGGTAAAGGTGTGATTTATTTGTCTGACAGAATAGAAGAAAAATGGTGCTTTATTGGGTTGGTTTAAGATGAAAACCTGTTTTTCTAAGTATTGGATCTTGAGACTGCAGCAACTTCTTGGTAAGTTAGCCCCAAATAATACTTTTTCCTCAAATAGAGGATTTTTAAGCAATTATTATTTTCTCTTTGACATCAAAATCAACTAACTTTTTGTTTTTGCTTTTAATAGTCTTGCCATTTTAGATCTTCCTTGTCCATGATGGAGTCAATACCTGAATTAGTCAGAATTAGATTCAATGGCAGTAACAAACAAACTCCCACATCTCAGCGGGTAAGCACCTAACGGTTTGGTTTTTGCTCACACAAAATCTACTTGTGAGTTCAGACACTCTCCAGAACAGCCCCGTGCCAAACAGTGAGTCAGAGAGAACCAGTCTGCTTTCCTCTGGTGACTCTGCCATCGCCAACGTGGCTTTCAAGGTCATACCCATGGGGAAGGAGGTTGCACTTGACTCTTAAAGCCAGGAGTGGGAATGGTATACATCACTTCCGCCCATGTTCCTGCCCTGAATGCAAAGGAGGCTGAGAAATGGGAAGGCTCATGTGGATATTAACTGTCTCTGTCATATCTTCTTATGGAAAGAGAAGGGATTTATGTAATATTGAGCAAAAGAGAGTAATGCAACTTTTGGCAGATACGCTACCTCTGCATAGTCTCTTTGTGTGTTTCAAGTATACCTGGAAATCAGGAAATGTTGCAAAAGGCCTAACTCAAAATTCTTTTCTACTGCCATCAGGCCTAGAGAAATTTTTCTCTGCATGCTTGAATGTCTACCAAATTTACTTTTTAATAAAAAATGAGGATGGCAGTAAAAAGTGTTAAAAAAAAAAAAAGAATAAACACATTTTAATACAGCAGATTCACTGCCTGGGAAGGCAAGGAGTAATGTTCTAATTGAAAACAAAGGAGTCATTAAGGATATTTCCTCACCAGAAAAAAAAAAAAAATCCTGTATAGTGAAAAAAGAACACTGTTTTAAGAACAAAGGGACAATTTTTCATCACACTCCTATCTGCTATGACTATGTGACTTTGGAAATTTGCAGACTCACTTAACCTTTTAGAGGCTCAGTTTCTTTAAATCTGAAGTCAGAATGACAACACCAAACTCACTGAGGTATTGTGACCATAAAATGAAAAAAAAAAAATCATGATTCCTTTAATGGCATGTTTGTTTAAAAAAAAGAAACTGAAAAGCATGATTAATTGACTTTCATTTCACCAAGTGTGTATTTTCTTTCCAACCTAAGAGAAAACAGATCAATGGAAACAAAGGTATGATTCAGAAAACCTGAAAACTCAGAGTACATCGTTACACTTTGACCCCAAATGTTCTGTAATATTCTATGCAAATTTTTCTTTTGGTATTTGTTGCTTATCCTTTTCTTCCTTCTCATTTTCAGTTACAGCACTTTAATCTGTCTGTCATTATTTCATAACTAGATTACTGAAAAACCATTCTAATTTAACTTCCTTGCCTCCAGCTTTTCTTTACCTCTATCTGTCCTGCATACTCTTAAACACTGCTTTTCTCATGTCACTTGTTTCTCAAACATAGTCAATACTTCCAGAATTCATAAGATTATTGCATTTAAGGTTTTGAAAGAGCACATCTAACTCTATTATCTTATATATATATCATATATGTATTTATAATTACACACGTATATAATTATCTTTAAAAAGTGATGCCCCAGAGATCAGAAGATATATTATAGAATAATATTATAATAAAGATATTTAAGATAATGTTAACAATATGTAAAGATTATATATATCTTATATATATGTATATCTTCTGATTTCTGGAATATCAATTTCTTTTTTATCAAGCTAACTAACTCCCACTTAACAGACCTTATTCATTTGTCCTAGCCTTATGTTTTATTATATATTATACCTTCTGTTTACCTAATTATGGGAAACACACCCTGAAAATAGCCATTCTACTCTAGAGGGTAAATTTTTACTATCCCTGTGAAGCACCCTTCCACCTTTGTATATATATTTGCACAGTCCTTTCCTGGGAATAACTCCCCATTCTCCTCCACCTCCCATCCATGAATGATCATCTTAGGTTCCGCTTTGGTAAAGTCTTTTCCGGCCTAACTAAAGTTGATTGTCTTTTCATTCCTGACTCCCTATTGTCTATACTACATACTTTACTGAATCCTGTTGCTTATTGTTTATGTCTCCATATTAATTCAATGTCGAAACAAACAAACAAACAAAAAATCATTCCCGAAATCATCTTGCTTAGCTAATATCCATTCCTCGTTTGATTCTCACTGCAAACAGAAGACATGTGAACACAATTTCAGTGTAAAAGCAATATTTGGTGTATTAAATTACTCTTTATCCTTCCCTTCACCAGTTGAGTAATCATCTTAGAGAGAGCTACATTTGTTTTTTTTTAATCAACTTTTATTTTAGATTCAGGAGGTACATGTACAGGTCATTTGTTTTTATTTATAAAGAAAAATATATTTAGCTCTAGATTCTATTTGAAGAAAAAATAGGATTAGCCTTTTTATAGGAAAGTGAACAAAATAACAAGCTGGTAGGTTAAATTGTTCCAATAATAAACATTCCCTGAGCGTATGACCTTATTCCATTTGAGAAATAAGGCAGCAATAAGAAATTGATGATAAAAATGAGGTTCACACTGAGGCCTGTGTGTTGTCTTCCAGGACCAGGTCTGCGAGGTGTACCCCCAGGAGCCGTAGAAATAATGTACCCAATGATCGAAGAAGAACCTCAGATATTGCAAGTGAAAGAGATAGTCCGGAAGTACTTCCCTGAGACCTGGATCTGGGATTTGGTGGTAGTTGAGTAAGTTGTGTGTTGCCTGGAATTTAGTTTAGGAGAGGGTTTGAATCCTGCTGTATGACTGATGTTATCCTGGATTCCTGATCCTTTTAGTTCTGCTCTGCTCTTTTCTGGTAAATATTTAGGTTTATAGTTCATTTATCTCATAATTAAACAATGCTAATTTTTTTTCTAATTTAGTCTATTGATAACTAAGATAATAGAAAGTAGGATGCTACCAGCCCTCTTAAATAAAGGAAAGGGAAGGGGAGGGGAGGGAGATTGAAAGAAAGAACAAAAGGAAGGAAAGAATGAAAGAAAAGAGGAAGAAATAAAGGGAGGGAGGGAAGGAGGGAGTAAGGGAGGTAGGGAGAAAAAAAACTTTAAACCTCACCAGGAGCACCAACCCTTAGATCAAGTTTAGCATTTACCACACTAGGTTACTGAGTTATCATGTTCTAGGATCAGCCATGCTTTGTGTTAAAAAAAAAAAAAAAAGATTTGCTTATACTCCTCTTCTCTGCTCCTTCACTAGCTCATTAGGTATAAGTGAGCTGGTGACCAGGTCCCTGAAACCATCACAGAGTGGAAGGCCAGCGCATTCTGCTTGTCTGGAACCACAGGGTTTGGCCTCTCTCCTATCGTGTCTCTTCAAGCCTTCCAGCCTTTCTTCCTAGAACTCACCCTTCCTTATTCTGTGGTGCGAGGAGAAGCCTTCACACTCAAAGCCACTGTGTTTAACTGCTTGTCCACCTGCATTCGGGTAAGGACACTTCTCTGGAAGTGAATGAGAATAGAAGATAGTCACCATTCATTACCAGGTCTCCTAGGTAACCCAGGAAATCAGAACTGCATATGATATATCCTAATTTTGGAGCAGACCTGGTACTAAGAGAAAAGGTACCTGACAGGCCCAAGGTGGTAAGGTTATATTCATTCAGGCTCCTATATCTGTGTATTCCTAAATTCAGACATTATGTCCACCTGATTGTTTCATGTTTTTCACTAAACACCTCTTTCTTCTGTTGGCACAAGGCTAAATCCTAAACACTTATCCTAATTCCTGTCAGTTTTTCAATTTTCTTGTTTCAAACACCTAAACTACAAAGTGTCTGATAGAGCTGACCATATTTGCACAGCTTCTCAGCGCCTCTGGACTCATGGACATTGTCCCTCAGTCCATTTACCTGATGCACAGAGCATCTTTTGCAGTATTCATGCTGTTCTGCATCCCTTCATAAACTTGTGGTTGGGTGTGGGGGACAGGTCGTTGTGCAGCTGGAGGTCTCTTCCGCTTTCCTGGCTGTTCCAACAGAGAAGAATGAAGAATCTCACTGTGTCTGTAGAAATGGGCGGAAAACCGTGTCCTGGGTTGTGACTCCGAAGTCACTGGGTGAGTAGTAATGCTATTAGCAAATTCCACTTCGTGTGCTTGGATGATTTGTTTTCTGCACTGACCCCAATACACACTTTTTCTCCTCCTTTAATATTAATCAAGAGGAAGACAACCACTGGATACACTGGGGAAACTGGAAAAGAAGAAACTGTTCAATATAGAATCACCGTTTAACTCTTAAGAACTTTATTCCCCAGGAAAGGTGAATTTCACAGCCACTGCGGAAGCCATGCATTCTCAGGAAGTGTGTGACAATGAGTTGACTGACGTCCCACCACTTGCGCAGAAGGACACTGTAGTCAAGGCCTTACTAGTTGAGGTACGTAAGTCTACTCTCTGTGAGTCTCAGAGCCCTTATTATTTCATACAGTATTATCTAACATGCATCTCACAGTGACATTTAATTCCCAAGAATGTGGATAGATCTACAATCCAATTTTTCACCACCATTTTCTCCTTTGCTTTCAAGTGTTTAATTTTTCTTTTATACATTCAGTATCGCTTTACTTTTTTTTTTTTTTTTTGTCAATATAAAGCCTGAAGGAATAGCAAAGGAGGAAACTTTCAACACGCTGCCCTGTGCATCAGGTAAGTGTAATATATAGAGAAAAATTTCATGTTAAGTGACTTGCCAGAGTATGCAGTTGTGGAATGTCTTTTGGGGGCATGCTTTTCTCTGAGAGAGAGAGAGAAAAAAAAAACAACTCTTACCCTCCTCCAAATCTAAGGACATTTGATGAAAAACATTGTCCTGCCCCACTGGCTGCTCTGAAAAGCCGTCTTTGCATTGTGCGTCGTCAGCCTCCTTGCTCGCCGCAGCCGCCTCCGCCGCCGCGGACTCCGGCAGCTTTATCGCCAGAGTCCCTGAACTGTCGCTTTCTTTTTTATCCCCTGCATCGCGTCACCGGCGTGCCCCACCATGTCAGACGCAGCCGTAGACACCAGCTCCGAAATCACCACCGAGGACTTAAAGGAGAAGAAGGAAGTTGTGGAAGAGGCGGAAAATGGAAGAGACGCCCCTGCTCACGGGAATGCTAATGAGGAAAATGGGGAGCCGGAGGCTGACAACGAGGTAGATGAAGAAGAGGAAGAAGGTGGGGAGGAAGAAGGTGATGGTGAGGAAGAGGATGGAGATGAAGATGAGGGAGCTGAGTCAGCTACGGGCAAGCGGGCAGCTGAAGATGATGAGGATAACGATGTCGATACCCAGAAGCAGAAGACCGACGAGGATGACCAGACGGCAAAAAAGGAAAAGTTAAACTAAAAAAAAAAGGCCGCCGTGACCTATTCACCCTCCACTTCCCGTCTCAGAATCTAAACGTGGTCACCTTCGAGTAGAGGGGCCCGCCCGCCCACCGTGGGCAGTGCCACCCGCAGATGACACGCGCTCTCCACCACCCAACCCAAACCATGAGAATTTGCAACAGGGGAGGGAAAAAGAACCAAAACTTCCAAGGCCCTGCTTTTTTTTTTTCTTAAAAGTAGTTTAAAAAGGAAACTTGTATTTTTTATTTACATTTTATATTTTTGTACATATTGTTAGGGTCGGCCATTTTTAATGATCTCGGATGACCAAACCAGCCTTCGGAGCGTTCTCTGTCCTACTTCTCACTTTACTTGTGGTGTGGCCATGTTCATTATAATCTCAAAGGAGAAAAAAAAAACTTGTAAAAAATGCAAAAATGACAACAGAAAAACCATCTTATTCCGAGCATTCCAGTAACTTTTTTGTGTATGTACTTAGCTGTACTATAAGTAGTTGGTTTGTATGAGATGGTTAAAAAGGCCAAAGATAAAAGGTTTCTTTTTTTTCCTTTTTTGTCTATGAAGTTGCTGTTTATTTTTATTTTTTGGCCTGTTTGATGTATGTGTGAAACAATGTTGTCCAACAATAAACAGGAATTTTATTTTGCTGAGTTGTTCTAGCAAAAAAAAAAAGAAAAAAAAAAGAAAAACATTGTTCTGATGAAAATCACTTGGAATGAGCCTCTTAGGGAAATAAATAGAAAGTACTTTTTAGGATAAATTATTATTATTGTATTTTAAGAATAAAGAAATGGGCATAGAGAAATAAAAGACTTGCTTAAAAGCTTAAAAGCTCTTGCCTAATAATAAGGTCTAAGGCTGTTGACCTCAGGACAGGATTCTTTCTGATACCTCTGTGTTTCTCAAATGTCTTCCTAAACCATGTTCAAAATATTGAAATATCTGTGTGACACTAGTATGATTTACTGTTCAATTGACAGTTTAAATGCACTCATGTTTTTACTTAAACAAGTTATTTTAAGAGGAACTCCAGGTTACTAACTTGTATAGAAAACCAGTATTTTACCAATATCATTAATATAGCAATACAAAAATTACCACTATATTGAAAGAGAAGGGGAAAAGCTAACACTTTTTTAAGTTTATTTAAATTATCATTAAAAACCCAACTCTGTGCCACCTATAATCATCTTGACGATAATGCTCAGTCTGCAGATCTCTCTTCTCTATACGAGGATCCCTTGATAAAATCATCTAGTCAATGGCTTTAATAACAACTATGTACTTGTGTCCAAAACTGTACAACTTTGATCCACACCTTTTTCCTGAACTCAAACTCATGTATTCAACTGCCCACTCTCCACTTACAGGCTTGTAGGTCTCATAGGCATATCAAAATCAGCAAGTTTAAGACTGAGTATCTGCTCGTCCTCACAAACCTGCTCCTCCCTCAATTTCCTTCATCTCAGATGATGAAAAATCCATTCTTCTATTTGCTAGGGAGAAACACTTTGGAGTTCTTTACTACATTCTTTCCCCTATCTTCCCTACCCAATCCATGCACAAATCTAGTCGATTCCACCTTCAAATTGCATCCAGAATCTACCCACTTCTCTCCATCTCTACTATTCTAGTCCTTTCTCTTGCAGGCTCTCAATAGCTTTCTAACTGGTCTCCTGATCATCTCTTCTTGTTCCCCTTCAGCGAGAGGGATCCTTTAAAACATGTGTCAGATCGTGTCCCTCCTCTTCTCTAACCCTTTCAGGAATCTCCCATATCCCCCCTAAGTTAAAGCGTAAGTTTTTAATGCCACTTAGAAACCCTTGCTACCCCATGACTTCACGTCTTCCTAATCTCTCCTTCGCTTAACCCGTTCCGGCCACACTGACCTCTTTCTTCCTATTGGAATACACCCAGCATGCTTCAGTCTCTGGAGTCCTTTTACTTTTTGTTCCTTTTTCCTGGAAGTATCTTCCCCCAGGTTTGGATAAATCTGGCTCCTTGACTTACTTAAAGTCTCTGCTCACACAGGACTTTTTATCAATGAGCTTTTCCATAGGGAGCCCCCTCCCCACTTCCTGACCTGCCTTGTTTTACTAGCTCACCATAGAAACACTTGCCCTGCTTTAATTTTCTCTATAGCACTTATCAACATCTAGTATACTAAATATACTCTTGCTTTTTTATCGTAGTCTTCCCCTAAAAATGAAATCTCCAGGAGGCCAGGAAATTTGTTTTGAAACTTTCGGTATCATTGCACTTAGAACCTGGTACATAGTATACACTGAATACAAATGAATGGAATGAATGTAATTCTTGAAAAGCACTAACAGTAGCAGGAATTAATATAAACCATGAAGAGAAGGAAATAAGCATACCATAAGTATATGCCCATAGGAAAAGCCATAGAAATTTAGCACAAATGTATATGATGAATATGAATTTCACTGAGAGATGAATCATGGCTTTAAGGGAAACTTGGATTGTATCAAAGAAATTATGTAATAACTGAGCCAGGCATGGTGACTCACACCTGTAATCTCAGCAGTTGGGGAGATGGAGGCAGGCAAATCGCTTGAGATCAGAAGTTCAAGACCAGCCTGGCCAACTCTGTCTCTATAAAAAATACAGAAATTAGCCAGGTGTGGTGGTGCATGCCTGTAATCCCAGATACTTAGGTGGCTGAGGCACAAGAATCATTTGAACCTGGGAAGCAGAGGTTGCAGTGAGATCACGCCACTGTTCTTCAGCCTGGGTGACAGAGGGAGACTCTATCACAAAAAAAAAAAAAAAAAAAAAGTTATATAATGACGAAGGAAAATAAAAGGTTGGATCTAGATGATGTAGAGAAACATGATTCATAACAAAAATAGAACATTTCTCTCACTTTCCCCTCCTTTATATGTGTGTTTTTCTTCTTTCATTAGATACTGGAGTACCTGAAAAGGTGTCACTGAATGTTCCTTCAAATGTGGTTGAAGGATCTCCAAGGGCAACATATTCAGTTTTAGGTGATTCTTTCAGCCCAAGGGAAGCAGCTGTCTGGCTGTATAATTCTAGTGCATGGGCCTCACCATCCACGATTAATGAAGTTTCTGACAACAGGCAATGGATTGAGAGAAAGCACTAAGGGTTACACTATGTTACAGTTGGAAAGGGGCTTGAATAGATGTTGTGCTACATATTATGCCTTGATATATTCTAAAAAGAAAGGGTCACCTCTCAGTGCCCTCATCTTCAAGCAATTTACTAGGTGGTAATGCTTCCTAGTCAGTTTGAAAATGGTTGTGGTTGAGTTTTACCAGACATGTGGCCCATGAGAAAAGATAGATCACCTACCATTCAGTTTCTTCCCCCCTTTCTCCATCCTTAAACCGTCTATTTTCTCACCTTTTGTTTTCCTCCCTATTTCTTGTTTTTTCACCTTTTTTAGTCTTCTTGTCCTTTTCTCTATAGGTTATTTGGCCTCTCAGTTAGCTAATAATCTATTTTCCTAGCCTAATACAAACCATATCTGATTTCTTTACAACTTTTATTCCACAGGTGATATACTAGGCTCTGTAGTGCAAAACCTTCAGAACCTTCTTCAGATGCCCTATGGTTGTGGAGAGCAGAATATGGTCCTTTTTGTCCCTAACATTTATGTTCTAAACTATCTAAATGAGACACGACAGCTGACAGAGAAGATCAAGGCCAAAGCCACTAGCTACCTCATCAGTGGTGAGAGATTACCTCAAAAAGAAGAGCCATAATCTCTTAAATATTTTTTGGTGAACGAAAATCAACATCTGTTTCATTAAGATTCGATAGTCATTGTCGTGATTTTCAATAAAATGTCCCAATATACAAGTAGAAAATTCAATAGTATCATCAAGCCTGTGATTGGGGGTTGCGGGAAATTTTAACTAAATATTAGTTACCCTATGATTCCTAATAGCACTGAGAAAAAAGCTCAATAATCCTCCAATGTCTTTGCCATTTCAATAAATCTATGAACACTTCCTCTTCAGGGTACCAAAGGCAATTGAATTATAAGCACAGAGATGGTTCCTACAGCACCTTTGGGGACAATGATGGTAGCAGTCAGGGAAACAAGATTATTTTTTCCCTATGCTCTCTGTAGATCCATGACATTTCAGGATTCTAGAAACAGCTACTCTCTAATATCTGGAGTTTTTTGTGGAAAATTGTTAGTCTTTAAATAACGCATATGCTGTATGTATCATTCCTGTTGGGTAATCTCACCGTTTCATCTCTGAAAGCTTACCTGCTGTGATAACACAGCTGAAAATGGTGAAATAAGGATCTTCTAAATGGAAATATAAAGCAGAAAATGTCATTCTATAAAATGACAGGGGAAGAAGCTCCCACACTGTGCATTAAAGAAGGAGGGGAGGGCGAGGACAGAAGGAGACCGTGATGCAGTAAAGTCAGGACAAGTCATTCTGGAAATGCAGTTTTCATGGTGGGGAGGCTTGGAGGCTCCAACAAATGTTTCACAACAAAAAAATTAAAAAGCATCAACTCAGAGAAACCAATAAAGTTGAGATATAATAAAAGATATTGAGGTGTTTGTTGGACTAGAGTATATTCAGCTCTTAAATACTATTTCCCCATCAATACCTCCCAGTAATCTCCTCCACTGAATTGTGAAGAGCAATGTCTGGAGGCAGTGCACAAAGTGAGCTATGAAAGTGAGGTGGTCCTCATGTGTGTGTTTCTGTTTTGCTCGACGGGCTCACTGCATTTGTGCTCAAGTCCTTTGCTCAAGCCCAATCGTACATCTTTGTGGAGAGCTCACACATCAGGGATGCCCTCACCTGGCTTTCACAGGGACAAAAGGCAGATGGTTTTTTCGAAGGCTCTGGATCACTGCTGAACAATGCCATTAAGGTGATGCCTTCTCTGTTTTTCTTCTGGTCCCTGAAGATAGTGATATGTGGGAGGAAATGATGTTTGAATTGAGTCCTTCAGTCTTAGCGACATAGATTTCAGGAAGAATGGTGGACTCTAAATCTCCTGAAATCTAGCAATACCTTAGTAGTTTTTTATTGAATGAAAATAGTGTTCAAAAAAACCTCAAAGCCGAACATACTATAAAAAGTGAGGGAAGGTGATCTGGGACAGACTCAAGAATTTTAGGGTAGAGGAGGAAGGGGAGAAAATCAACAATCTAGCACAAGACAAGAAACAATCTAGCACAAGACAAGAAACACTCTAGTGAAGATGTCAAAAAGAAAAGAAGTGTTAGCAGATGCTGTCTCATGACTGTTGAAGTGTTTGAGTCTCTCTGCCTCTGATCCTTACACGGTGGGGTGAACGATGAGGTGACATTCTCTGCCTACATCACCATTGCTTTGCTGGAGATGCCTCTGCCTGCCACTGTATGTTCAAGCACATCCTCTGTACCTCCTTCACACACGTAAAGAATAAAATTATAATATGGTGAATCCCTGAGGGAAATTAATTGTGATTTTTATGGTATTTAATTTTGGTACATTTCACTGGAATGTAAAGGACCAGATCCTTTTGGAAGCAGCAGAGGAAACTCCTCTCTGGTCAGAACTGTGAGGTTATACAGGCACATTAAGGTTTTTAATCTGCAGTTAGCCCGGGAATAGCTCATTTGCCTGGTTCTGCTGTTTTACAATAGCCTTTCGTCTTCTTCATAGCACGCAGTGGTCTGCAGTGCCCTATCCTGCCTTGAAACGGCCTGGAGCTCCACCTCAGAGGCCCAAGGAAGTGTTGTCTATACCAAAGCATTATTGGCCTATGCCTTTGCCCTAGCAGGAAACAAAGTCAAGCGAAGAGAGTTGCTTGAATCATTAAACAGAGAGGCTATGAAAGAAGGTAAGAGCTGCTACTGCAAAGTTTACTTCTGACAACCACCAGTGACCAAAAGAAGGGACAATACCTCTACCGAGCTCATGCTTACCATGCTATCTTAATTTAATGACAGAATAATTATCATTGATCTAAGACCCGAATTCTCTGGATAACATGGATCATTTTATTAATCCACACAGTATAGACTCTATACAGTCCCACCTTCTAATATCACACACACACATGTAGTAGACACAAAGGCTCAATGTTATTCCCTGGAACTTTACTTTCTTGATAAAGATTTGTTTGATAGTGACTATTTAATGCTTTCACTTTGTTTAATGCTTTCACTTCATTAAAATGAAATGTCAATTTATTAGGTAAACTGTAATTATAATTATCACTTATGGATTAGATTTTGAAATCATCCTTTAAGCTAAAAATTCTACCCTTTTCTATGTCAAAGAGGATTCGATCCACTGGCAACGTCCTGGGAAACTTCACGAAGCTAAGACCCTCTATTCTCAACCCTGGGCTCCCTCTGTGGAAGTAGAGATGACATCTTATGTGCTCCTTGCCTATCTTACTGTCCAGCCTGCCCCATCTTCAGAGGACCTGTCTGTGGCATCACGTATTGTGAAGTGGATTACCAAGCAGCAAAATCCCCAAGGGGGCTTCTCCTCCACTCAGGTCTGTGGGAAGACTCTAGAAGGAAACATAAATATATTCACATATATGAAGACACAACCATCTGGGAGTTGAATAATGGAATGGTTAGTATTTCCAATTCACACTTTCTCCATCCCTCCATCAGCAGACAAGTTCCAGCCTTACTATCTTATGTATGGATTACTGCTCTGTCCTTTTTATACTCTCTCCTCTCTTAACTCCCTAGGGGCCCCCCAACCATGCAGGTAGGTTTGTCTTCACAAAGCAATATTTTCAAGGGATTACTTCCCTTAGAAAATAAATCTTTTTTTCACTCAAAGCCTAAAATTATCTAATATTTTATCAAAAATATTTCCTCTCTCCAGTAAACATGAGTGCACCAATCTGATTAGGCAGATCCCTTTGCTTCTTCTGGAATTAGCTCACCGCAGTTTCCATGACTTCATATAGAGCATTCCCCACCCAGGTCCCCCCCCCGATGCCTCTCTTCTGTCTACATAAACCCTGCTCATTATTCAGAGATAATCTTATTTCTCAGATAACCTTCTTCGGTCTTCTCTTACTATTCTAACCCATATTTTCTTCTCTCTTCTCTGACCTTTTATAACAAATATTGTTACATAAATTTATAAATTATTGAAATAGCCTGGGCTTGTGTCAGATATCTAAGTCTTATCTCCATATGTCTATTTAAACTAGCTGAATGAAGAAACTTTTTAAAAATATACCTTCAAAGTATCTAGAATAGTTTATCATTACTAACCAGATTGAACTGAATTGAAATAGAGTTAGTGGACTGCATTTATGACTAAATAATTCTGAAAAAAGAATAGTGTTGTTATGGTTTACATCCAGTGTGAGTTTGTTACTTTCCTCTTCTGTGATTTCTCTACTCATTTTTTTTTTCAGGACACAGTGGTGGCTCTTCAAGCGCTCTCCAAATATGGAACAGCAACTTTCACTAAAAGTGAGAAAGCAGCTTTGGTCACCATCAAGTCTTCAGACACCTTTTCTAAAGACTTCCAAGTTGATGATGGCAACTGCCTAGTGCTGCAGGAGGTCCAGTTGCCAGAGGTTCCAGGGGAGTACAGCACAACCATGTCAGGGTCAGGATGTGTGTACCTCCAGGTGAGACTGCTGGGGTTTAGGAGATGCTGCAAATGGGAGAGAAAGTCTCAAGAGTTATATTTGAATTTCAAAATAAGAAAAAGAAGTGTGTGCTAAGGGAAGGTATGAATCGTCTGGAACAGATTATGAGACAAGTTCAGTGTAAAAATTAAGGATTTTTTTTCCATTTGTTTTAGACATGCCTGAGATATAACATCCTTCCCAAGAAAGAAGGGAAAACACCTTTTGCTCTGCAGGTTAATACTCTCCCCACAAATTGTGATGGAATGGATGCTCACAGAACGTTCCAGATTCACATCAACATTAGGTAAGTCCTAGATCATGACCAGACCTTTTGCACCAACCGAATAGAATATGGAGAAATTGATTTTCTTATGTGGAGAAACTCCACTGTCCAAAGCCACACATAATGAATATGGAATTCTTGCAGTGTTTATTAATGAGAAAATTTTCTGAAAAAGACTTAACATTGATAATATGGTATTACAATATCTGAAGAGTGTGAGCTTAAAATGATGGGTTTTCCAAACAACCATAATAACAGAAACAGATACAGTAGACATAGTAACTTAGTGTTAGAAATAGAAGGTAAAGAGAGAGTTTGTCTTGAATGAATTCCAAGAAATTTTGTTTGAATTCCTTATTCTTATGCTTTGATTTTATAGTTATACTGGGGACTGACCCAGTTCCAACATGGTCATTGTTGATGTGAAGATGGTATCAGGCTTCATACCTATGAGAGCATCAGTTAAAAAGGTAATCCCTAGATCCCTTACAAAATAGCAAAGCCATGGTAAATGCTGGCATTTATCGTGTCAATTTGACTTTATTGATGCACTTTTCAAGAGGTGTGCTCCCTCAAAATTGCTTCTCTAGAGGGTGTCTCTATCATTTTAATAGTGTGTATCATGATTATATGGTGTCAAGTATAGGGTATAAGTCAGAAACATGATAAATAATGTTCCAACAGGCCCCAAGACACCTAGTTATGTGGAATGGTATTGAATTATTTTCCAGCTATATATAAAAAGAGAAAAGGATATATGGGTGTGTGCATGCATATATATATCACATATATGTATCTGCACATACACTTATAGCATATATAGAGAATAAAAGTTCAATAAATATTGCTACTGTTATTTTCATTATTATTCTTGAAGAAATCAAAATTAGTAGTTTGGATGCTCCTGAGAAGCTGTTTATATCATAAATACCTGAAAACTACTGCCAGTATGAAGTTTTCTCATTCCATATTTCTGGCTTATCCTCTTGGTCAACAGCTCCAGAAACAGCCTCAGATTCAGAGGACTGAAGTGAGCACCAACCATGTCCCAATCTACTTTGAAAAGGTAAGACTTTCTGTGACTCTGCTAGATTTGGAATAACAACTAGAGGTTCTATAAAAAGAAATGAAGCCGGCCGGGCACAGTGGCTCACACCTGTAATCCCAGCACTTTGGGAGGCCAAGGCAGGTGGATCATGAGGTCAGGAGTTCGAGACCAGCCTGGCCAAGATGGTGGAACCCCATCTTTACTAAAAATACAAAAATTAGCTGGGGGCGGTGGCAGGTGCCTGTAATCCCAGCTACTTGAGAGGCTGAGGCAGGAGAATCGCTTGAACCTGGGAGGCAGAGGTTGCAGTGAGCCGAGATCGTGCCACTGCACTCTAGCCTAGGCGACAGAGCGAGACTTGGTCCCCCCCACAAAAAAAAAAAAAAAAAAGAAGAGAAAAGAAAAGGAAAAAAGAAATGAAGCCTGGACTGTCAACAGGCTTGATTCATTACATTTGGCTGTCTACAAAATGTCTCTTTTGTCCTTCTTTTATCTGTCATTGAGTATGTTATGCAGGTCACAGAATTCCCCTTTCTTTTCATAGGTTCTGGTACAGATATATAGCATAACTACAGGGTTTGATAATATCTTATGAAGAGTGGCCAGTAACTAGTAACTAGTTAATCAAAGATTAACTAATCTTTGATTCCAATTGTTTTCCTGTCTCTCCAGCTAACCCATCAAACCCTGCATTTTTCCTTCTTTGTGGAACAAGACATCCAAATAAAGAATTTAAAACCAGCTACAGTAAAAGCCTATGATTATTATGAGACAGGTAAGATTCAGACATGCTGAGCTTTGAAATGAAAAAAAAAAAAAAAAAAAAAGACTACTAACCTAGTAAAGGATTGCCTTAACTAAAGCAAAACTCCACAGTGTTTCACTGGGGGAAAAAGTGAGTTTGTGTGCACTGGATAATCATGTTCTTGTATATTAACCTCTCATGTCCCCCCACTAAACAAGTGTTAGAGTCATTCTTATAAATTGACCATAAGGCAATAAGAGGGTCCATTCTATCTTCTATCTAAATTTCCCTATAAAGTTGTTTGTCCTGGGCTGAATTACTCCAAAGAGATAAGAAGAGTACAATAACTGAAAAAACACATCTCAGTGCTGATGTGTGACATGAAAAATTTGATCTGTTTTTGACTTGTGCTTCGGATAGTCTCACACAATTTGGGAAACTTTGTGATAATCAGGAAATACTTTGATTTGCTCATGGCTTTGAGCTAGAAAATTACCACCATTGTAGCATGATGGTAGTGCTAAAACTGTTCTTCTTTGATTAAGGAAAGGTTCAGAGAGCAAGGTGCAATTCCAATGAGAAAAACACAGCTGTGAAAAGGTACTATCTACGGAGTCCTGTAACTACTGTAACTATTCTTAGGCATGCCACCCGTGTACCCGGCCTTTCAATTCTGTTCCCAAGCCAGATTTTCTCTTAGTTTCCTCCCACCAATCCCAAATAGCTTAATAGAGAAGTCATTTTTATTGGTTCTATAGCGATGCTGTCTACTTTCTTTCTTAGCTTACATAGTTTATTTACAATTCACATCTTGGGTGCTTATGCCTGAATGTCTTCACTCTTTCTCTCCAATAATTTCTGTGTTTCAGATGAATTCACCTTTGAAGAATACAATGCCCCTTGCAGTGCTGGTAAAGTATAAATGATTCAATCTAATGCCACTTGAAAGAAAATAAATAAGCATCTCAGTTAAACAGTAAAGTCTAATCCCAACTTCAAAATAAATAAGCATCTCAGTTCTCTGCATAAGGCTGCTTCTTGAGAAGACTGTACCCTTTCCATATCCTAAAAAAACCCTGATGTACCATGTATAAATTGAACTATATCAAATGTATTATAAAATTTCTCAGAAAAAAATGCAAGTTAAATACAATTACTGGTGTCTGGGGTGACTTGTTTGAAGATGAATCCAAGAATTTCCCATATGTAAAAACTAAATTATCTAACATGTAGTTTCCATTCTATACCCAGTGGTGATATATTCATCCCCTATAGCCTTTCTAGGATATTTCTAAGTGTATACTAAAGTCAAAAAACTTGTCACTGTAATTATCCATATAGCACAGCATGAAAGGTGTGGTCTATAAGACCTTCCTTTAGGCTGATTGACAGGGTTCATCTTTGACATAGAATTTGCCATGAAACCTTTGCTTCTCCATTTTAAAATATGAAAACACGGAGAACATCCCTATCATTAAAAATAATTAAAAGTTACTAAGTTCAAGTATTTATAACTGAAATATAAAGAATTATTCTTAAGTAGGTCACATAATTTCCCTTTCTCCCTTTTCTTTTACTACTTAGAATCTGAATAAAGAAATGCTTGAAAACAGCAACTTACGGACCTCATTGGGTGAACTTCTCCAGAAATGAAGAACAGACTCATCAATAGAGAGGACAGTGAGAGAAAGAAGGGAAGATCATTGGAAATACACAAAATTTGTATGTTGAATAAATTTATGGCATTTATAACTCTATCTTTTCTTTTGTTCTTTATCAATATCATATTCACTTTTCTGAATATGAATCTATTCTCCCTAGCATTTATTAAATCACAGAAAAGCTATACAAAGAGGTACACTCAAAAACACTATAGATGAATTAAAGCGGAATTTTTAAAAATGTCAATTAAACCACAAAAAGGAAAAAGAAAACAGTTTTTCCAAACATTGGAAACAACAAAAAGTTCATCAGTAGATGAATGGTTTGGCAACCATACGACATAGTTCTGCTGGACAACGAAGAGGAACAAACGACTGACATACACAACGACTTAAGTGGATCTCAGAAGCATTAGGCTGTGTGGGGAAAAAGCCAATCTCAAAAGGTCACAATCTGAATGATTTCTTTTATACAACATTCCTTAAATGACAGAATTATAGAGACGAAAAACAAATTCGTGGTTACTAGGGGTTACAGAGAGTACGGGAGTGGGATGGGTGTGACCGTAAGTGAGTAGCATTAGAGAGTTTTTGTGGTGATGAAATCCTGCATGTGTGGAAGCAAAAGTCCTGCTGCAGATTTTTCCATTTAATTCCATCTCAAATTATTTTCTTGTTTATTGGGTGGTGAGCAAGAAAGTATCTAAATTAACTTTTTTTTCCATGTAGCTTTCTAATAGCCCTATTAATATTGATTGACCAACTCAATCTTTCCCTGCTAATAAAACATGCCTCCTTTATCACAAATTATCACGTATACTAAGGCTTGTTTCTGAATGGTCTATTCTAGTCCATTGAGTACCTGGTCTATTCTTTCATAAGGATTACAATATTTGAATTGCTGTAGCTTAATAAAATGTTTTAAAAACTACTGTGGCTGATGTCTTTTCATTTCTCTGTTTTCACTTTTTCTTTGCATCACTGATTTGTGTCCTCACCAAATCTCATGTTGAATTGTAATCCCCAGAATTGGAAGTGGGGTCTGGTGGGGGGTGATTAGGTCATGGGGGTGAATCCCTCATTAATGGGTTAGCACCATCCCCTTGGTGGTGTTCTCATGATAGAGTTCTAGCAAGTTCTGGTCATCTAACAGTGTGTAGCACCTCCCCCACACCTTGCTCATGCTCCCACCACGTTAGAAGCCTTGCTCCCTTTTAGCCTTCTGCCATGATTGTAAGTTTCTGGAGGCCTCCCCAGAAGCCTAGCAGAGGCCAGCATCATGCTTCTTGGACAGCCTGTGGAACTGTGAGCCAACTAACCTCCTTTCTTTATAAATCACCCAATCTCAGGTATTTCTTTATAGCAATGCAAGAATGGACTAATACAATTACTAAGATCATTATTTGTTCAAGTTAAAACTCTAGAATCTTTTAAGTTCATTATCCCCATAGTCAACTAGGTATTGTTTGGAATTGCATTGAATATATAAATGTATAAAAGGTTTTAAGGTTATGAATATATAAAAGGTTTTAAGCACAAGTGTCAATTTTTTGCATTTCATCTTCCCTATTCAGACTCATTTTATATTTATTCAATTCACATGAAGCAAATTCTAATTCTGACTTAATTTCTAATTTTGGACTGAAGTACCAAGTTAAAGATTAGCTTCATAGACATATATAGTAGGATAAGTTGAAAAATAAAACAACGTATACATGGAGGCAAACGATTTTCACAAGATAGTGAAAAACTAGAACAATATTTCTCATTTGTTGATGGATGTCATTGAAAGGTTTTAAGCAAGATAATAGTTCCTATTTGCATTATGGATAGTCATCAGAAGACGGGTGATTTCTGCATTTCCAACTGAGGTACCTGGTTCATCTCACTGGGACTAGTTGGACAGTGGGTGCAGCCCACAGAGGGCGAGCCGAAGCAGGGCAGGGCATCGCCTCACCCGGGAAGCACAACAGGTCGAGGATTTCCCTTTCCTAGCCAAGGGAAGCTGTGACAGACTGTACTGGGAAAATCAGGACACTGCCACCGAAACACTGCACTTTTCCAAAGGTCTTAGCAAACAGCATACCAGGAGATTATATCCCATGCCTGGCTCAGTGGGTCCCACACCCACAGAGCCTTGCTTACTGCTAGTCCGAGATTGAATGGCAAGGCAGCAAGCCTGGCTGGGGAAGGGGCATCCGCCATTGCTGAGGCTTGAGTAGGTAAACAAAGCAGTGGCGACCAGGAAGCTCAAACTGGGTGGAGCCCACCTCAGCTCAAGGAGGCGTGCCTGCCTCTGTAGACTCCACCTCTGTGGGCAGGGCATAGCTGAACAAAAGGCAGCAGAAACTTCTGCAGACTTAAACATCCCTGTCTGACAGCTCTGAAGAGAGCAGTGGTTCTCCCAGCATGGTGTTTGAACTCTGAGAATGGACACACTACCCCTTCATGTGGGTCCCTGACCCCCGTGTAGCCTGACTTGGAGACCCTCCCAGTAGGGGCTGACTGACACCTCAAACAGCCAGGTGCCCCTCTGAGATGAAGCTTCCAGAGGAAGGATCGGACAGCAATATTTGCTGTTCTGCAGGCTCTGCTGATGATACCCAGGCAAACAGGGTCTGGAGTGGACCTCCAGCAAACTCCAATAGACGTGCAGCTCAGGAAACTGATGGTTAGAAGGAAAACTAACAAACAGAATGGAATAGCATCAACATCAACAAAAAGGACATCCACACAAAAACTCCATCTGTAGGTCACCATCATCAAAGACCAAAGGTAGATAAACCCACAAAGATGGGGAGAAACCAGAGCAGAAAAGCTGAAAATTCTAAAAACCAGAGCGCCCCTTCTCCTCCAAAAGATCACAGCTCCTCACCAGCAACAGAACAAAGCTGGATGGAGAGTGACTTTGATGAGTTCACAGAAGTAGGCTTCAGCAAGTTGGTAGTAACAAACTTCTCCAAGCTAAAGGAGGATGTTTGAGCCCATCGCAAGGGAGTTAAAAACCTTGAAAAAAGATTAGATAAATGACTAACTAGACTAAACAGGGTAGAGAAGATCTTAAATGACCTGATGGAGCTGAAAACCATGGCATGAGAACTACGTGATGCATGCACAAGCTTCAGTAGCCGATTCGATCAAGTGGAAGAAAGGGTATCAGTGACTGAAGATCAAATGAATGAAATGAAGCAAGAAGAGAAGTTTAGAGAAAAAAGAGTAAAAAGAAATGAACAAAGCCTCCAAGAAATATGGGACTATGTAAAAAGACCAAATCTACGTTTGATTGGTATACCTGAAGGTGATGGGGAGAATGGAACCAAGTTGGAAAATACTCTTCAGGATATTATACAGGAGAACTTACCCAACC
The DNA here is from genome assembly GCF_000001405.40 of Homo sapiens. Lineage (NCBI taxonomy): Eukaryota > Metazoa > Chordata > Mammalia > Primates > Hominidae > Homo > Homo sapiens. The sequence goes on along the minus strand of NC_000012.12, from coordinate 9,225,254 downwards.
TAGCAAGGCAGGCCGACATTCAAATACAGGAAATACAGAGAACACCACAAAGATACTCCTCAAGAAGAGCAACACCAAGACACAAAATTGTCAGATTCGCCAAGGTTGAAATGAAGGCAAAAATGCTAAGGTCAGCCAGAGAAAAAGGTTGAGTTACCCACAAAGGGAAGCCCATCAGACTAACAGTGGATCTCTCAGCAGAAACCCTAAAAGCCAGAAGACAGTGGGGGCCAATATTCAACATTCTTAAAGAAAAGAATTTTCAACCCAGAATTTCATATCCAGCCAAACTAAGCCTCAAAAGTGAAGGAGAAATAAAATCCTTTACAGACAAGTAAATCCTGAGATACATTGGTGTGTCCAAGAAGCATAGTGCCAAACAGCAGATACCATCTCACACCAGTTAGAATGGCGATCGTTAAAAAGTCAGGAAACAACAGGTGCTGGAGAGGATGTGGAGAAATAGGAACGCTTTTACACTGTTGGTGGGACTGTAAACTAGTTCAACCATTGTGAAGACAGTGTGGCGATTCCTCAAGGATCTAGAACTAGAAATACCATTTGACTCAGCGATCCCATTACTGGATATATACCCAAAGGATTATAAATCATGCTGCTAGAAAGACTCATGCACATGTATGCTTATTGTGGCACTATTCACAATAGCAAAGACTTGGAACCAACCCAAATGTTCATCAATGATAGACTGGATTAAGAAAATGTGGCACATATACACCATGGAATACTATTCAGCCATAAAAAATGATGAGTTCATGTCCTTTGTAGCAACATGGATGAAGCGGGAAACCATCATTCTGAGCAAAACTATCACAAGGACAGAAAAGCAAACACCGCATGTTCTCACTCATAGGTGGGAATTGAACAATGAGAACACTTGGATGGGGAACATCACACACTGGGGCCTGTCGCGGGGTGGAGGGATGGGGGAGGGATAGCATTAAGAGAAATACCTAATGTAAATGACGAGTTAATGGGTGCAGCACACCAACACGGCACGTGTATACATATGTAACAATCCTGCACATTGTGCACATGTACCCTAGAACTTAAAGTATAATAATTTTAAAAAAGAAAAAAATGATTTATTTTCCTCTCATCCATATACTCATACCTCTTTGAAAGCCAAACCTGTATCTTAATCATGTCTGTGCAGCCTGTTCACCCAACACAGTGCTGGGAAGGTTGTAGGCACTCATTAAAACAAAGGGGTGATTAAGTGTGTCAGTGCCTGAGTAAGCGTATTCCTGTAGGTAGGGAATTAGAGGAGAAATGGAGTAACACTAAGGTGTTAGCACACACCAGTAGGAAACATGAGCTAGAAAAATCATTTTGACTCGAACCTGGTTTGAGTTGCTTAATGTTTCACAAACACTTTAAGGAAGAAGATTTTGATATTTTCCCAAAGTCAAATAAACGAGAAGGAAAAAAATGGTTATTTATTGGGACTTTGAGCAAAACTTGTTTGAAAGTACATTTTATACATTCAGTGAGCTCTACATGGGAAATCATGGCCTCTATCTTGCAAAAGGAACTGTTAACAATTATCAGAAAGGTAAATACAAATGATCTTTGTTGTAGTTTGATTTGTGTCCCCAAAAAAGATATGTTGAAGTCCTAACGCCTGGTACCTGCGAATGTCGCTTTATTTGGAAATAGGGTCCATGGAGTTGTAATTAAGATGTAAGTTAAGATAAAGTCATACTGGAGTAGTGTGGGTCCCTAATCCGGTAGGACTGGTGTCCTGTAAGAAGAAATGATACGTGTACAGAGGAAAGGTGATGCAGACAGACCACAAGGAAAACTCTGTGTGATGATGGGGGCAAACACAGGAACACTAAGGATTGCTCACAACACCAGAAGCTAAGAGAAAGGCATGGGGCAGATTCTCCCTAGAGCGTTCTGTGGGATCATGACCCTACCAATACCTTGATTTTGGACTGTGAGCCTCCACAACCAACAGAGAATAAATGTATGTTGTGTTAAGCCGCCCACTTTGCAGTATTTTGTTATGGCAGTCCTAGAAAACTACTATAATCTCCAATTAAAATAGTATCTTTTCATTCGTTGGCCAAGTTTACTTAGCAAATTTTTAATTGTCTTTTAAGCAGATCCAGATGGTTGGGTGGAGGAAGAATACATGTTTTACATATTTCCACAGAGTTTAACTTAACAATGAAAATGTCTTGGCTGGGCGTGGTGGTTTATGCCTGTAATCCCAGCACTTTGGGATGTCGAGGCAGGTGGACCATGAGGTCAAGAGATCGAGACCATCCTGACCAATGTGGTGAAACCTCGTCTCTATTAAAAATACGAAAATTAGCTGGGTGTGGTGGTGCACACCTGTATTTCCAGCTACTCAGGAGGCTGAGGCAGGAGAATCACTTGAACCCAGGAGGCGGAGGTTGCAATGAGCCGAGATCACATCACTGCACTCCAGCCTGGCAACAAAGTAAGACTCCATCTCAAAAAAAAAAAAAAAAAGACAAGAAAATATCTCATATAATTTAAAATAAGCAAACAAATATTAAAATCTGGCCCAGTGCAGTGGTCTTACACTTATAGTTCCAGCTACTCAAGAGGCTGAGGGTGGAGGATTGTTCAAGCCCAGGAGCTGGAGTCCAACCAGGGCAACATAGTGAGACCTCATCTCTATTTCAAAAAAAAAAACCAGATAATAAATAATAAAATCTGAGACGTGGGGTTCAGCTTTCCATTTCTAGACCTCTGTCATGCTTAGAGCGTATCTCAGAAAAGACACATCTCTTTGTGTTCTTAAAGTTCTCCAGGAAGAATTTTCTTGTTTATTTCTGTGTTAATAAGGAAAATTAAAAGATGATTTATAATAAAAAAGCAAATCTGGCCGGGCGTGGTGGCTCATGCCTGTAATCCCAGCACTTTGGGAGGCCGAGGCGGGCGGATCACAAGGACAGGATATGGAGACCATCCTGGCTAAGACGGTGAAACCCCATCTCTACGAAAAATACAACAAAAAATTAGCCGGGCGTGGTGGCGGGCGCCTGTAGTCCCAGCTACTCGGGAGGCTGAGGCAGGAGAATGGCGTGAACCCGGGAGGCAGAGCTTTCAGTGAGCTGAGATCATGCCACTGCACTCCAGCCTGGGTGACAGATTGAGACTCCGTCTCAAAAAAAAAAAAAAAAGCAAGTCTATGAATGAATGTTTGGGTGAAGTGTTGATTTATTCATTTTAATCTGTCTGGCACACCCCCAAGGCGAGGTTTGATTATTATTTAATGCAAAGTAGAAGTATTGTAAAAGACCTTTCTTAGGAATTTTTAAAACGTAAAGGAGTCACTTAAACAGCAATAATATGAGAAATATCTTTATGCATTTTACTTAATAGTCTCAGACATCTTGTAAAATTTAGGAATGGGAATTAATGCAATAACAAAGAATATTCAAGGTACTAAAGGCAAGGGTTCTATGTGGATTCAAATTATTGTTGAGCAAAGTTTTGCCTAAGAAAATCTGTGCCAAGATTTAATGTGTACTTAATCAGACAAGATGAAACTTGTCATTTCCAGTAAACGATCTCTGATTACTCAAAGTCTGTTCATATATTAACAAAAGACTTTCATCATCAGTACACTTGAATAACACTTGGCCCAAAAATACTCTTTCCACATCACAGAGCAGCTGAATGAAAACTTAAATTGCTTCTTTGTAGCAGGCATAAAAAAGTAAAATATTGAAAATAAAAGAGAATGCCTTTGTCAAATTGTATAAAGAGTACTTTTCTATAAAATATTTTATAATTCATACTGAGGCTCATAGGTAAGTATTATTAACTGTGGTAACTTTCTTTCTTTCTTTCTTTCTTTCTTTCTTTTTTTTTTTTGAGACATAGTTTTGCCCTTGTTGCCCAGGCTGGAGTGCAACGGCGCGATCTCAGCTCACTGCAACCTCCGCCTCCCGGGTTCAAGAGATTCTCCTGCCTCAGCACCCCAAATACCTGGATTACAGGCACACATCACCACCCCCGGCTAGTTTTATATTTTCAGTAGAGACGAGGTCAGGCTGGTCTTGAACTCCTGACCTCAGGCAATCTGCCCACCTTGGCCTCCCAAAGTGCTAGAATTACAGGCGTGAGCCACCGCACCTGGCCAACTATGGTAACTGTCTATTTTGACAAATTTTTGGTAAAAACATAATTTGAAAAGGATAAAACCATGATTCTTAGGCAAATGTAAAAACAACACACATGTCAAAGAAATAACCAGTAGGATGTTATTACCAATTCAAAGAGCATATTAAAAAACTAACATATTTGCATACAATTAAACAAACAAACAAACAAAAAATCTGTTAGGATAAGAATGACATGTTATGTATAAAACTGGTTAATGTTACAATATGGTAAAAATCTTAGGTTTCTATTCCATTGGACAGAAATGATTTATACTGGTACTTGATAAAAGTCAAAAAGTAACTTTAGTAAGTTTGGAATCTTTATGATAAATAATGAGATGAACTAAGGATATTCCCCTAGATAATACTTAAGTGACCCTTACCCCAAAATAGTATTGAAAGAATGTACTACCATCATTTTACCTTATTTTTGAGTTTCTGATACTTTTTTTCAGAGTCTCCCCTCACCAAAAATTGTTCTTTTTTAACTTGTATTTTAGGTTCAAGGGTACATGTGCAGGTTTGCTATATAGATAAATTGTGTGTCATGGGGGCTTGGTGTATAATTATTTTATCACCCACGTAAAAAGCATAGTACCCAATAGGTAGTTTTTCAATCCTCACTCTTCCATTCTCCACGTGCAAGTAGGCCCTGGCATCTGTTGTTTCCTTCCTTATGTCCACGTGTACTCAATGTGTAGCTACCACTAATAAGTGAGAACATACAGTATTTGGTTTTCTGTCCCTGTGTTAGTTTGCTTAGGATGATGGTCTCCAGCTCCATCAATTTTGCTGCAAAGGACGTGATCTCATTCTTTCTTACGGCTGTGTAGTATTCCATAGTGTATATGTGGCATGTTTTCTTTATCCAGTCTACCATTGGTGGGCATTTAGATTGATTCCATGGCTTAGCTATTGTGAATAATGCTGCAATGAACTGCATGTATGTGCCTTTACGGTAGAATGATTTATATTCCTTTGGGTATATACCCAATAATGGGATTTCTGGGTCAGATGGTAATTCCATTTTAAGATCTTTGAGAAATCACCAAATTGCTCTCCACAGTAGGTGAACTAAATTACATTCCCACCAGCAGTGTATAAGCATTCCTTTTTCTCTATGACATTGCCACCATCTAATAGCCATTCTGACTGGTGTGAGATAGTATCTCAATGTGGTTTTGATTTGCATTTCTCTAACGATTAGTGATGTCGAATATTTTTTCATAAGCTTATTGGCCACATGAATGTTTTCTTTTGAGAAGTGTCTGTTCCTGTCCTTTGCCCACATTTTTATGGTGTTCTTTGTTTCTTGCTTGTTAATTTCTTAAGCAAGTTCCTTATAGATGCTGGATATTAGACCTTTGTCAGATGCATAGTTTGCAAATATTTTCTGTTTTGTAGGTTGACTGTTTCCTCTGTTGATAGTTTCTTTTGCTGTGCAGATGCTCCTTAGTCTAATTAGGTCCCACTTGTCAATTTTTGATTTTGTTGCAATTGCTTTTAACATCTCCATCATGAAATCTTTATAAGGGCCTATGGCCAGAAAGGTATTTTCTAGGTTATCTTCCAGGATTTTATAGTTTTAGGTTTTACATTTAGGTCTTTAATCCATCTTGATTTGATTTTTGCATATGGTGTAAGCAAGAGGTCCAGGTTCAATCTTCTGCGTATGGCTAGCCAGTTATTCCAGCACCATTTATTGAATAGAGTCCTTTCCCCCTTGCTTGCTTTTGTCAACGTTGTCAAAGATTAGATGGTTGTAGGTGTGTGGCATTATTTCTGGGCTCTCCATTTTGTTCCATTGGTCTGGAAGTCTGTTTTTGTACCAGGACCACGCTGTTTTGGTTACTGTAGCCCTGTAGTATAGTTTGAAATTGGGGACTATGATGTCTCCCGCTATGTTCTTTTTGCTTAGGATTGCTTTGGGTATCAGTTGTTTATCAGATCAAGGAGCTTTTCGGCAGAGATGATGAGGTTTTCTAGATATAGAATCATATCATTCGCAAACAGGGAGAGCTTAACTTCCTCTCTTCCTATTTGGATGCCTTTTATTTCTTTCTCTTGCCTGATTGTGCTGGCTAAGAATTCCAGTACTATGTTGAATTAGGAGTGGTAAGAGAAGGCATCTTTGTCTCATCCCAGTTTTCAAGAGGAATGCTTCCAGCTTTTGCCCATTCAGTATGATGTTGGCTGTGTGTTTTTAATACATGGTTTTTATTATTTTGAAGTATGTTCATTCAATGCCTAGATTTTGTGGGTTTTTAACATGAAAGAATTTTGATTTTTATTGAAAGCCCTTTCTGCGTCTATTGAGGTGATCATGTGGTTTTTCAGTTCGGCATTCTGTTTGTGTGGTAAATAACATTTATTGATTTATGCATGTTGAACCAAGAATAAAGCCCACTTGATAATGGTGGATTAGCTTTTTTTTGGCATGCATTTATTTATTTATTTTTATTTCCATAGGATTTTGGTGAACAGGTGGTGTTCAGTTACATGAGTAAGTTATTTAGTGGTGATTTGTAGATTTTGGTGCACCCATCACACAAATGTTAGCGGTAGAGAGTATCCAAGGTTCTTGGTGTCTTGAACAAAGAATTGGACAAAACTCACTAACAAAGCAAGGAAGGAATGAAGGGTTTTATTGAAAATGAAAGTACATTCCACGGTGTAAGAGCGGGACTGAGCATAGGGACACAAAGGCTCCATTACAGAACTTTTGGGAGTTTAAATACCCTCTACTTGGGGTACACCCTATGTAAATGAAGAAGATGAAGTAAAGTTACAAAGTCATTTACTTGGCCTACGCCTTATAGAGAGGATATTTCCTGTTATAGCTGAAGTGTGAATCAGCCTTATGTTCCCTGCCTCCAGACCCTATTTTCCAGCCTCACAACCAGAATACACCGAACCCAGTTTGTAGTCTTTTATCCCTCACCCATTTCCCACCCTTTCCTCACAAGTCCCCAAAGTCCACTGTATCATTTTTATGCCTTTGCATGCTCATAGCTTAGCTCTCACTTATGAGCGAGAACATATAATGTTTGGTTTTTCATTCCTGAGTCACTTCACTTAGAATAATAGTCTCCAGTCCCATCCAGGTTGCTGTGAATGCCATTAATACATTCCTTTTTATGGCTAAGTAGCATTCTATCATATATATACCACAGTTTCTTTATCCACTCATTGATTGATGGGCATTTGGGCTGGTTCCAAAATTTTGCAATTGCGAATTGTGTTGTTATCAAAATATCATCATCATTCTTCACAGAACTAGAAAAAAATCCTAAAATTCATATGGAACATAAAAGGATCCCGCATAGCCAAAGAAAGACTTAAAAAAACAAACAAATAAAAACAAACAAACAAACAAACAAAAAACTATGGAGGCATCACATTACTTGATTTCAAACTAAACTATGAGGCCATAGTCACCAAAATAGCATGGTACTGATATAAAAATAGGCATATAGACTAATGGAACAGAATAGGGAACCTAGAAATAAACCCAACTATTTACAGCCAACTGATCTTTGACAAAGCAAACAAAAATATAAAATGGGAAAAGGACATTTTATTTAACAAATAGTGCTGGGATAATTGGCAAGCCATATGTACGAGAATGAAACTGGATCCCCATCTCTCACCTTATGCAAAAATCAACTCAAGGTGGATCAAGGACTTAAATCTAAGTCCTGAAACCATAAAAATTCTAGAAGATAACATCAGAAAAACCCTTCTAGATTTTGGCTTAGGCAAGGATTTCAAGACCAAAAACTCAAAAGCAAATGCAATAAAAACAAAGATAAATAGGTGGGACTTAATTAAACTAAAGAACTTTTACATGGCAAAAAGAACAGTCAGCAGAGTAAACAGACAACCCACGGAGTGGGAGAAAATCTTCACAATCTATACATCTGACAATGAATTAGCTTTTTGATGTGCTGCTGGATTCGGTTTGCTAATATTTTGTTGAGGATTTTTGCATCTATGTACATTGAGTGTATTGGCCTAAAGTTTTCTTTTTTTGTTCTGTCTCTGTCAGGTTTTGGTATCAAGATAATGCTAGCCTCATAGAATGATTTAGGGAGGAGTCCTTCCTCCTCAACTTTTGGAAGTAATTTCAATAGGAATGGTACCATCTCTTCTTTATGTATCTGGTAGAATTTGGCTGTGAATCTGGTCTTGGGCTTTTTCTGGTTGGTAGGCATTTTATTACTGATTCAATATCAGAAATTATTATAGCTCTGTTCAGGGATTCAGTCTCTTCTTGGTTCAGTCTTGGGAGGTTGAATGCTTTCAGGAATTTATCCATTTCTTATAGGTTTTCTAGTTTGTTTGCACAGAGGTGTCCTTAGTAGTATCTGAGGTTCTTTTGCATTTCTGTGGAGTTGGTGGTAAATTCTCATTTTCATTTCTGATTGTACTTATTTGGATCTTCTCTCTTTTTTTCTTTATTAGTCTATCTAGTGTTCTATCAACCTTATCTATCCTTTCAAAAATCCACTCCTCAATTCATTGATCTTTTGTATTTATTTATTTATTTATTTTGCATCTTAACTTCCTCCATTTAAATTCTGATTTTGGTTATTTCATTTCTCCTGCTAGCTTTGGGGTTGGTTTACTCTTATATCTCTAGTTCCTCTAGATATGATGCTAGGTTGTTACTTTGAGATCTTGTAACTTTTTGATGTGAATGTTTAGCCTTATAAACTTCCCTCTTAACACTGCTTTAGACGTGTCTCCGATATTCTGGTATTTTCTATCTTTGTTCTCATTCGTTTCAAAGAATTTCTTGATTTCTGCTTTAATTTCATTGTTTACCCAAAAGCCATTCAGGGCATGTTATTTACTTTCCATGTAATTGTATGGATTTAAGGGATCTTCTTAGTATTGATTTCTATTTTTATTGCACTGTGGTCTGAGACTGTGTTTAGTATGATTTTGGCTTCTCTGGATTTGCTGAGGATTCTTTTATCCAATTTTGTGGACAGTTTCAGAATATTTGCCATGTGGCAATGAGAAGAATATATATTCTGTTGTTTTGGGGTAGGGAGTTCTGTAGATGTCTATTAGGTCCATTTGGTCAAGCGTCAAGTTCAGGTCCTGAATATCTCTGTTAGTTTTCTGCCTCAGTGATCTAATACTGTCAATGCTCTATTGAAGTCTACTGCTATTATTGTGTTGGAATCTATGTCTCTTCATAGGTCTGTAAGAGCTTGCTTTATGTATTTGGGTGCTCCTGTATTGGGTACATATATATTTAGGATACCTAGGACTTTCTGAAGTCCTCTCATAATGGGCTTATCATGCCTGATTAAATGAGTATTTTCAAATACTAACACACAAGGTATACTTTAATATAACTGTATCGATGTATCCAATTATATACAGGTTAAAAGGAAAACAGATTTTTATTAAATAATGTAAATAACTACATGCCATGAAAAGTAAGGAGACTCAGTAAAAGTATTCTTTTTTTCTGAATTCTAATGGAGTCCACAAAAATCAGGTATCATTTAAAAATGTTTAATTCAACCCACAGATGTAAAATCTTCTAAATTAAGAGTTACATATTGTATAAAAAGAAAGAGAAAGGACTTTTTTCGTATTTATTAAAAACGTAATTAAAATAATGCCTACCATATTCCAAAAAAGTAATCACAATTTAATTTTTTTCTCAGTTTTTTTTCAGTCCTAGTAATTCTTCTTTTGTTTGATCTTGTGTCAAGCATTCTTTTTTAAGGAAGTATGTTTGCTTCTGAACTAAAAAGAGTCTTGGAAATCCTGCCTCAAGCCACTGGTACAGTCTGAAAGTTGACAAAAGAATAACACCTCAGAGGATTCAATTCAAGGGTCCATTGTTTGAAATATCAAAGTTCACAGTGTCTAATAGGGTTCTTTCCAGATGCCTTCAGCAAGCATAAAGAAGCAACAATCTGCTTCATAATGAGATTAATTTATTAGTATAACCAATAATGTAAGAATGGAGGAGGGCAAAATTTTCTATTGGAATACTAACAAAATGAATAGGAAATCTATGGAATGAGAGGGAAAAAAATTCAAATCATATATCTGATAATGGGTTAAATGGGTTAACTTTCAAAATATATAAGGAACCCCTACAACTCAGTTGGAAAAAATCAAATACCTGATTTTAAAACTGACTTAAAAATTTTTTTTTAAGATTCTATTTTTGGAAGGCAAAAGCAAGAGTTGCCACTGGTTACTCCATTAAATAGCATTATATGCCCAAGAAGTAATACTCAGTTACACTTATGTAATCAAAATGACAAGCAAATATTTTAAAATTAGCATTAGAAAAGGTAACATAACTGTAAAGTCAACACAAAGCAGAGAGAAATATTCTAGTGAGTCATCAAATAACTGCTATCTGGACGGACGCATTGCAACAAAAGGTAAGTAATAATCTCATAACCTTTGTTAAGCACTCTAAAAACAATATGTCATTTAAAAAAAAGAAAGTAAAATTATTTCTGTATAAATATATTTGGCAGTAATCTTTTATAAACCTTTAAATTAATAAGCCAATTAAAATTAAGCCAAAGGTGACATTAGCACAAAAGGCAGAGTAAGGAACTCTAAAATACCTCCATGCTCACGAGTTGGAAGACTTAATCGGATAAAGATAACAAAGATAGTCCCCAAATTGATGTACAGATTCAACACAATTCCATCAAAATTACGACCGTCTTTTATACAGAAAGGACAGACTGATTCTTAGATTCATTTGGATATTATAAAGATTCATATTAGTCACAACAATGTTGAAGGGAAAAAAAGAACTAAGAGCTTTTCTACTTTCTAATTTTGAAACTTACCACACAAGCTGTAGCAATCTCAAGACAGCATGGTACTAGCATAAGGATAGATATATAGATCAATGGAAGAACATTGAGAGTCCATAAATAAATCCACACATTTTTGGTCAGTTTATTTTTGAAAAGGGTGCCAAGAACATTTAATGGGGAAAGGATAATATTTTCAACATAAATGATGAAAAAAACAAATACCCATATGCAAAAGAAAGATTGGAGTTGGACCCCTAACACACATTATATACAAAAAATTAACTCAAATCGATTACAAACCCAAATGTAAGAGCTAAAATAATAAAACTCCTAGGAGGAGACATAGGTATAAATCCTTGGGACCTTGGATTAGGCAATAATTTATTAAATATGACATCAGAAGCACAATGAACCAAAAAATGTTTTAAATTGTATTTTATTAAAACTAAAAACTTCTATGTGTCTCAGGACGCTATCATGCATGAAGAGACAACCCACAGAACAGGAGTAAATATTTGCAAATTATATATCTGATAAAGATCAAAGATCCAAAATATGTAAAGAACTCTTACAATTCAACAATAAAAAGATAAACAATTGAATTAAAAGATGGGCAAAGGAATTCAACAGACATTCCTCTAAAGATGATACATAAATGGTCAGTAAGCACATGAGAATATGCTCAAAATCATTATTCACTAGGAAAATACAAATTAAAACCATAAAGAGATACCTCTTTATATCCACTATGGCTATCATTCTAAAAATTAAATATAGACAGAATAACAAATGTTGCCAAAAATGTGGAGAAAATGGGATGTTCATACACTGCTGGTGGGAATTTAAAATGTTTCAGCCACTGTGAAAAATAGTCTGGCAGTTCTGCAAAAAGTTAAACACTGAGCTACCATATGACCCACAGATTCACTCCTGTATATATTCCCCCAAAAAATGAAATCATATGCTCATGCAAACACTTGTATACAAATATTTATAGCAGAATTATTCACAATAGCTAATAAATGAGAATAACTCAAATGTCTATCAACTGAGGAATGGATAAACAAAATGTGGTATGTCCATACATTGGAATATTGTTCAATATCGTTCACTCATGTAAAGGAATGAAGTACTATATATATGCTACAACATGGAAGAACTTTGAAAACATCACGCTATGTGAAAGAAGCCACACAACATAGGCCACATATATTATGATTCTATTAATATGAAATGTCCAAATAGGTAAATTCATAAAAATATAAAGTAGATTAGTGTTTGCAGAGAATGCACGAATTAGTATTTCTACTTGTTGAAAATAGGAAGTGACTACTAACATGTATGTAGTTTCTTTTGGGGGTGATGGAAATGTTCCATAATTTCATAGTGGTAATAATTACATAACACCATGAGCATACTAACAGCCACTGAATTGTACACTGTAATGTAATAAATGTTATGTAATGGGAATTTGTGTCCATTTAAAAATTGTAAAAAATAGCCAACTATGGAAAAAATTTACTGGTTTTTTTTTTCAGATTCAATGTTATAAATGAAGGAAATAATTTCCTTTCCTGCAAACTTTATTGCACATTCATTCAGATTTTCTCTTTCACTGTCCCATTTCACATTCTGGAAAAATCAGATATTTTAAGACAAAACTACTCTTTTCCTCATTTGGAAAACATTTGTCCTATTATCTTGCATAGACAGTTATGTTTTTTGTCACTACTGTTTCTACCATGGCCTCAACTATACATATTAGTTATAACATTTAATGAAAGAAAATAACTAACATAAAAAAACTAGAAAAGATGATTGGCTACTTTCTTTCTTATACAGTGAATCCTAAAATGGCCTTGAAATCTGGTACCAGCTCCTCTATGATGCAGTCTAAGAGCAGTCTTGCCCTCACAGGGACCTAATGGGAGAAATGCTCACAAGTGCCCTGGTAGGCTGAACTTGGTCCCACTGTGGATCTTAAAACAGCACTGTATACTGGCTCCAGGCCCTCTCATCTGTGATTTGAGAGCAGGCCTGCCCACTCAGGGACCCAGTGGGACACATGCCCATTCATGAACCCAGAGGCAGGCCTGAAGACCTGGGTCTCAGCTGTAGGCCCTGAGGCAGCCCTGTTACTTGGTTCTCTTTTCTCTCAGCTGCAATCTGGACCAGCACTGTCTGCCTAGGAACCTACCCAGTGACCCAGTAGGAGCCCTCCTAAGGACCCAGAGGAAGCCACATTCATCCACATATCTCGTAACTAGCCTACAATCTGTGGACTCTAAAGTAGACCCTCATCCCAGTGCCAGACCTACTGACCAAGGTCTAGGAGGCAGTCCAATTTACCCAGGGAACAGACAGAATCTAAGCCTACTAGAGCCCCAGTTAACAGGCCTGCCAACCACAGACCTCACTGTTGACCCAGCAAAACCATGTGACCTGGCTCTACCTCCAGTTGACCACAATTCTGGAAGCAATCTTGTCAATCCTGGGAACCCAACAGGAGGATCCTGAGGATCTTTACCTGTAAAACCAGTCTATAAAGATGGGAAAAGGTGTTTGCTCCTTCAGATGCATAGAAACCAATGCAAAGTTACACAGATAATGATGAACCAGGCAAACATAATACCACCAAAGGAAACCAATGAAGTTCCAGTAACTAATCTCCACCCCAAATGGAGATCTACAAATTTCCCCCCAAAATTCAAAATAATCATCTTAAAGATGCTCAGTAAGATGCAAGAAAACACAGATAGACAACTAAATAAAATTAGAAAAACAATGTATGAACAAAATGAGAAGTTTAATAAAGAAATAGAAACCATTAAGAAAAAACACACAAAAATTATATAAGAACAGAACTGAATATTTTAATGGAGAGCTTCAACAGCAAACACAGTCACACAAAAGAAAGAATTAGTAACTTGAAGACAGGTCATGTAAATAGTTAATTAAAGGTGAAAAAAGAAAAAAAATTAAAGAAGAGTGAAGAAAGTATAAGGGACCTATGGAATACCATCAAGCATGCAAATACACATATTATGGGAGTCCTAGAAGGAGAAAAGAGGGAAATGAGCAGAAAGCTTATTTAAAGGAATACTGGAAGAAAAATGTAAAAGCTAGAGTATTGGTGGCAATATGGGGATACGAAAATCCTCATGCACTACTGGTAGAATTGTGGTGTGATGCAACCATTCTGGAGAGTTATTTGTCACTATTTAGTCACTTAAGTACATGCCTCTCATACAACAATCTCACTCCTGTGTATGCGTCTTGCAAGAGGATTTACCTGTCTCAAAGGGTATATGTAAAAAGATATTTATCAAAGCATTATTTCCTCATGGCAGGACAATAGAGACAATCCTGTTTTTATCATTAGGAGAGTGGAAACATTAAACCTCTTGGATGATCACCAAAGAGGGCTATACTGTAATAAAATGCAATTAATAAAATACATACATATAAACATATAAACATGGGAGGATGTTTTAAAACTAGCAATAACTAAAAAGAATAAGAAACAGGCAAGGTCTTTTTCCAATACTCTTTATATAAAATAAAAATACACACTTAAGACTTTCCTTTCCAGTAATGGTATACAAGGTAATTGAGACCAAACTTCCCACTTAAATTAGGAATGGTTGGTTATATATATATTCACTGGAGGTATTGAAAAGCAAAGACTGTGAAGAATTATGAATCCAAAGTTCAGAAGCAACATAGCAACCCAAAGGGGCAATTCTGTGTTTAAGGGCACTTTCCCCTTAGGGTATTTAACAGCTCCAGAATATTTGGCTGAGAGATTTAGAAGCACATTTTAAAGCCTTTAGTAAATAAAATTGCAGCGTCTAGAGTCCAAGGCTCATGAAACTGGGGCAAGGAGATGTTCCTGATAGACCCTTTACATATTGTGTTGAGATATCAAACTGATGGTAGAATTCAAATGGTCCATAAACATATGAAAAGATGTGTAAAGTCATTAATAATGAAAATTAAGGCAAGATACTGCTTCACTCATCAGATTGATAAAAAGTAAAATGCCTAGCAGAGTAAAACGATGGTAAATATATAATAAACTGAAAATATCCACTGTTGCAGATGGGTATTCAAATCCATGTAATACTCTGAAGAGCAATTTACCAATCTGATAGATTTCAAGATGTACATACATATATAGCCTATAACCCAATCTCTGCTATATACCCTAGAGAAAGTCTTGCAAATATGCTTAAGTAGACATACCGTATTTGTAGCAGTATTATTTGTAATGTTGAAAACTATGAAGAATCCAAAATTCAGCACTAGGGGAATAGAGTAACAGGTTCGGCCACATTCATACAATAGAATGTCGTATAGATGGTCATTAAAATTAATAAATTTTATCCTCATTATCAATGCTAATAAGTCTTAAAACCATAATAGTGATGACATATTTTACAATATGTGCATACCACTTATACATATAAAATACAAAACACAAAATTATGCTATATATTATTTACATAAATATGGATTAAAAACATAAACACATCTTGAAGAATACATATCAACTTCCTAATCCCACAACATTGGAAGGGAAATGAGATTGGAGAGAATTACAAAGGAAACTCCAACCATATTTGTCTTGATTTATTTCTTTTTTTGGGTTGGTGGATCTGGTAAAAACTGGAAAAGCTTCTAGACAAATTTTAAAAGAGCACTACCATTGCCATCTTTCATTTCTTAAGAAGAAATGACCTTAAACAAACTTGGCAAGTGTTTAATTTTATTAAAGTTGGGTGCATGTAAGGTACGAGTGTCTTTTATCTTGCTCTCTATATTTGTGAGTATATATATATATAACATTTCATAATTTAAAAGAAATTATTTCATTCTATGATAATGTGACAAAAGAAACAAAGATGTGAAATAAAAACTAATAGGAAGGAATCCACTTTCAGCAGTGTGGCCAGGAATTTGCTCTCCAAAGAAGGGATGATTAGGCTGAAATATGGAGAAAGAGAAAGAAAGTTGATTTAAAAAGTTTCAAGCAATACAGTATGTAAACAGACACCAATGTCTGCAGTCTAAGGATGGCATTAAATCTGCTGGTGGTTTATATGTGATCATCATTGTACTACAAGTTCTATGAGAGCATGGATACTGAATATCCTGTTCAATATTGTATTTTCATCACCAGAATAGCACTTAGCACACAGTATGGCTCAAAAAAAAAATCTCAGATAAAGTCAATGACATGGTTTAAGGGACTCAAACGTTAGAGTGCTCAGACAGTAACAAGGACAGATAGGATCAACTAAGAATCTGATCAGGTCAATGCTGTGAAATAGACAAGTGTGATCTTTGATAACTCCTTTCTAAAATCTCTTTGATCTTTTATCTCTTTTATCTTTCATTGATCCTCTACTCTTGAAATCCTTATTTTATATCACTTTCTTCCAGGACCATGTACTCAATCAACTGCTAAAAAAGAAAACCCAAAAACCCTAAAGTCTATAGTTATAACTCACTCAGTCCCAGAAATGAATCTGCAATGCATGAGCTACTATCATGGTAACATGTCCCTGACATTCTTTGTCAGCATCCTTTGTCACCTGCTTGTAAGGATTTTGAAAGAGATGGAGAAAGGTAGGTTGAAGGTTCCTTATCAGGAGGTTTGCTGTCAAAGCTCATTCTAAATGGAATACAAATTTTATCTTCCAGACATGCCTCAGTACCTATCAGAATTTAGCCTTGAGAAAAATGAGGCAACCACTGAGAGTAATGACCCTTTTAGGGAATCTGTGCTCAATTCTGAACTCTATTCAGAGGCCTTGGGGTGGGGCTTGTTTGTACATAGTGGCCACATAAAGCCTGGTAAACTCAGCTGGTCTCCAGGGCGAGGCTGAGGGCAGAGAGTTGGACACAACCCTGAGATTTATCCCTCACAATGCGGAAAGACAGACTTCTTCATTTATGTCTTGTGCTACTTCTTATCCTGCTTTCTGCCAGTGACTCAAACTCTACAGAACCGTAAGTCTCACTCAAGACCCCTTCCTCCAGAGTGCGTTTCAGTCTCTCCCTTGTGTCTTCGCTTTGCCTTCCTTTGTAAATGCCACCTTTCCACTCATTACAATACCTTCCAAATATAAGAAATTATTCCAGTTAATCCCTTGTTTGTCTTTCATTTATCCTCTATTCTTGAAATCATTTTTTCTACACTGGGCCAATCAGAGTCATAAATACGATTAGTCACTAGGAAGCATGATTAAATAAAACACTAGATCCCAACTTCACAGAACAGTTCTTTTGGATGGAAGGCACTGAATATAGAGATATTCGAAATATATAGTGAAGTGCAACTTAACATGTATTGTAGGCCATATATATATATACAGAAAGTATAGCTCCTTTATTTTTCAATCATGTATCAAGTCTTCACCAACAGCCCCCAGTGGGGGACCAAAGCAGGGAAAATAATTTTAACCCTATCCAGTTGTAAGTTGGTACAACTCAATAATTGTAAGACTTCTTTTCCACCTCTCCCCAGTTCCTCTCCTCTATAGTGTCTAGAGAACTGTGGTCTCCATTAACTCCTAATAGAGAAAACTGTCAGAGTCCTTGGTCTCAAAGTTCTCCGTCCTTCTTGGCTACTGTCAGTCTGACTTCTCCTTACTTGCTGGCATGCACTGTTGAAGTTTAGCCATCTGGTTTCTCTTGTGTGTTCAGGACCCAACAGTCCTCTCTAACTGACTGTCTCACTTCAGCTGTTTCATATCCCATAGAACTCCTACCTTTGCATCCTGCCTCAAATACTATGGCTATTGTTTCAACACAGCCTGTGATGCAGGGTCACCTTGCCCCTTTGCAGTCCAGGCCATTTAAGGTCCCTGGCCTTAACCCAGCTGCCTTTACATTTCTTCCAGAGAATGGTGAGAACTCTTGGGTCCAATAATAGCACATAGGCACTGAGGTGTCCTGGAGAGGTTAAACTTCTACCTCTCTCTTGCATACCCACACTGCACTTCTAGATGCCTATCGTGTCTCCTGTATTCCAGACTGATACAGGGAAGTCTTCAGAGTCCCAAATCGGGAAAGGGATAAGGGGTCCCTCTGCTCTGTGTGTTACCCTTATCCATCTAACACAAATAGCCTTCTTCAGGCCAAAGCGCAGAAAGCAGAAATAAGGAGTTCAATCCAGTAAGTCTCCTGCTTTCCTCAGGCTTTTTCCTTGCACAATTTCCTGGCAACCGGTAGGGGTACATTTCTCCCCCACTATCCCTCTACCTCATCTACAGCAGTGGGCTCTACTACTTCCAGCTGCTCTCCATCCAGAAAGCATATGGGAATATGTGGAGGCTATTTTGCTTTCTGAGAGCAGACTGAATGGATAAAGCGAGTAGCGTGTATTGGGTCAGAAACATTAAGCAATTTGTGGTTCTGGATGCATTCCTACACTACATTGGACCATGCTGCCATTGAAACCATCCTTTTACGTTGTGTCTGCCACTGAACAAAGAACAACAAGCCTCATGCCCTAGTTGTCACAAGCAGAAGGGGTGTTTTCTCCCTTTATAAGGAGAAAACTTAACTTCATCCCTCCAGAATTAACCCTTGATGTGATAAATGTGAGAGACTACAAAAGAGAACCAATAGCCATTCTCCCCTGCCTTGGGGCAGTAAGCTTCAGAAAGATGAAGGTTTCAGGGGAATAAAATGAAAAAGAGAAAATTAAAAGTTATCACTTTAATATTTGCTACATTTAGTCCCTGCTAAAGAGGCAAATATTTAAAATGCAAACATTCATGATTGAGTAAACATATATTAAAACATTTTAGCAGCTCACTACCAATGACATCTTGGGCAAGTTTGTCAACCTGGATTTGTTCTGATTTCAATATCTGTTAAAAAAATATTAACTGAACTCATATAAAATAGTTCTTTAGAATATCAAATATATGTGGAATTAATTTTTAATCGTGATATCTTTTAGGCTTATAATTTATAAGAATAAAAATAGTAAATAAATTATAAATATATATATACCTTCTTATTAAGATCAAAGAACTAAAGGAAAAATTTTTTGATGGGGATGTAAAAAATGATACATTTTTATTATTTATTATGCTGTTAAAAGAGCAGTGATCAGGAGATCAGAAGCATCCAGATACCAGAAAAAGATTAAGACATAAGAGACTAGCTGAATGACTATCAGTGAGTTACTGAACTGCCCTCAGCTTCTCTGCTAGAGAACAAAACCTTACTACTCATACAGTAAAATCATCTGAAACTTGGATGATTTCAGAGTGGCCCTGGAGATTCATGGCATATAGTTTTGCCCAGGAACACTTTAAAACACATGTAGCAAGACTGGTGTGCTGGAGCAGACTACATGGAGGATGAGGGGACCAAATTTGAGTTCCACATTCCACAACTCAATTATCCTTGGATTCTCTCCTCCTAGTCTCACACCTATTAATTTTGTAAAGCAACAATATTGGGTTTCTTGTGTCAAATTGCCTGTCCAGAAAACAATTTAAAAAGTAAGAGTTTATGTTGGCAATGGAAAGTAAGGGTAGTAAAATAATATAAGAAAATAATAGTTTTTACTTGCAAATTTACTCTATAAATGGCCTAACCCTGCAGATATTGAATCATGAATCACTGAATCATTAAAGCTTTGAAGAGTTACATTTTAGTCACAATTTACTGATTTTACTGATTTGGCATGGGGGCAGGGATTTTATCTATCTGTTATGGATTCAAGTTTTGGGGACTGATGAGGATCTCATGTTTTAGCTTCCATGAACATGGAGAGTATCATGCATGTACCTTACAGCATTGCTGGGAAGATTAAATGGCTTAATACAGAGACAGCTTAACAATTCTTGTCATGTGGCAGATGCTCAAAAACAGCAACAACAAAAACACATTCTCTTTCAGCCCATGGGATTTCAGAGTGTGGAGAGATTATATTGAATTGGAGGCTTCTGGAAAGTGACAGGAAAATATGGAGTGGGGGGCATTAGAGACAAAGGACACTCATCAATAAAGCTAAGGCCAGAATGTGAGGCTTACACAAAAAATTGCCTGTGCCTCTGAAAAACTGAAAACTTTCAACAATTTAAATAAAAAAGAAAAGACTTTTCAAAATAATATGACTTTTAGTACTCATATAAACTTTGTTTTGTTTTTTTTTGAAACAGGGTCTCACTCTGTCACTCTGAAAGCACTGGTGCAATCATAGCTCACTGTAGCCTCAACCTCGTGGGCTTAAGTGATCCTTCTTGCCTCAGCCTCCTGAGTAACTGCTACTACAGCCATGTGCCACCTGGCTAAATTTTTTATTTTAATTTTTGTAGAGATGGGGGACCTCACAATGTTGTGCAGGCTGTTCTCAAACTCCTGGCCTCAAGTGACTCTCCTGCCTCAGCCTCCCAAAGTGCCGGGAACTAGGTATAAGCCACTTCTCCCAGCCTGAACCTGTTTGTTTTTTTTTATTGAAAAGATAACCTATCCACCCATGTGATTCGAAACAAACATGTTTATAAACATGGACATACTAATATTAAATTATTAATGTTAATTGCCTCAAGAAATTGAGCATAAAGGGAAATGATAATAAAATACAGTGTGTGTTTGTGTAGTGTGTGTGTAGCAGGGAGTTGTGCATGTAAATAATTGACAAAATTTTCAAACTCGTTGATAAAATATTGACTTTGACTGAGCTGTATCTGAGGAGCCTAAGAGAAACAGCAAATACTTTTTTTCAGTGTTGCTGATATTAAGAAAATGATTTTGCAATATAGACATGTGTTATTTTGTGTAATGATATATGCTTACTGAAGTTCTTTCAGTTGAATTTCTGTAAATCTAGTCACGGTGTTCATTCCAAAGTGATGTTTATCTAGACAGATTTTAATGTAAGTCCTTTTTACAATGAATAATCACTCCCAATTTTTTATATATGTGTGTGTGTTTGTGTGCGTGCACTTTTATGGATATATATTCAAGAATTCAGATTCTTTTTAAAGGTCAAAGTTAAAGTTTAAAGAGCTCAGACTGCTCTTTACAGCAAGGAATGCCTGTGAAATTGTAACATCTTGGAAAGCAATCTCCAGTGTTGTATGGCTCCAGATTGTGTGGCTGAGGCATGGCTGATGAGTAAAAGATAAAATTTTTGTGCTGATCTGTGACAGAACCTCCATTGACTTAGTCCATTGACTTTTAGAATAAAACTGATTGCACCAATTAATACATATTGTTATGAAAACACATTTATGGATGAAAACGCTTACTATCATCAGTTTTTCTCTAATTTAGACTTCTTCCTTTCCCAGGCAGTATATGGTGCTGGTCCCCTCCCTGCTCCACACTGAGGCCCCTAAGAAGGGCTGTGTCCTTCTGAGCCACCTGAATGAGACAGTGACTGTAAGTGCTTCCTTGGAGTCTGGCAGGGAAAACAGGAGCCTCTTCACTGACCTGGTGGCGGAGAAGGACTTATTCCACTGTGTCTCCTTCACTGTGAGTGCTACGGTGCCAGCTGGCTATCCCTGCTTGATACATTTTATTGAGCTCTATAGGTCATGGTGATGGAGCTCTGGTGTGCGATCCCAAGGTATGACTTTAAGAATGTAGTTAGGACTTCAGGGGCCAGGTGCGGTGGCTCACGCCTGTAATCCCAGCACTTTGGGAAGCCAAGGCGGGCAGATCACGAGGTCAGGAGATCGAGACCATCCTGGCTAACAAGATGAAACCCCGTCTCTACCAAAAATACAAAAAATTAGCCGGGCGTAGTGGCAGGCGCCCGTAGTCCCAGCTACCTGGGAGGCTGAGGCAGGAGAATGGCGTGAACCCGGGAGGCGAAGTTTGCAGTGAGCCGAGATCGCCCCACTGCACTCCAGCCTGGGCGACAGAGCGAGACTCCGTCTCAAAAAAAAAAAAAAAAAAAAAAGGAATGTAGTTAGGACTTCAGAAAGGACTAAAAATAGTGAGTTTTCAACTATTAAGGAACAAAGCATTTTTTACCAGAGTAAGGAAGAAATACTCTTCTAAATTTCATTCCTAAATAATAATCCTATTGCCCACAAAAATTTCATGACTTAGAGGAGTTTTCTAGTTTTGATTGTAACTGTCTCTTTAAGGATCGGGCTGGACATTTCCTAGAAATAGATCATATGAAAATTTCATGATAAAAACTTTGCATGCAACATAATTTTTTGCACATGCAGGATACCCTAAGCAAACACCTAGTACCTCTTTAAAGTTGCCTAACTTGGGAAACTCAGCTCCTATGCTCTCCCATATTTTTTCAGAGATGTTTCTCTCCATTGCTTCAGAATATACATACTCAGTTAAAAGGCATCTAATTTAATAACTAGAGCTCTAGGTGAACTCCATGGAGATCTGGGTTCTATTGATGGCCACTCTTACTGATACCATTCCTCCATCTCACATTAATATCGTCACTCTTATGTCTGAAGAAATAGTCACACCTTCCTTCTCCTTGGTGAAGCTGAAGGAGAGATAGGAAATAGCAATGACTGAAGAATGCAGAGGGAGAAGACTGCACAGTTCCTCAGTAGTAAAAAATCCTTTGCTTTTTAGCTCCCAAGGATCTCAGCCTCTTCAGAGGTGGCATTCCTTAGCATCCAGATAAAGGGGCCTACGCAAGATTTCAGGAAGAGGAACACAGTTCTGGTACTGAACACCCAAAGTCTGGTCTTTGTCCAGACAGACAAACCCATGTATAAACCAGGACAGACAGGTAAGTAGGGAAATTCCACTGTTTGGGGCAACACTGAGAAGGGCCACCTGAACAGCCAAAGTCTCCATTATCCTAGCCCCGTAGCCTCCTGTCTTATTACCCAAATTACCTGCTTTATCATGTCTGAATCTTATCGGAGAACTACTTTTCCAGTAAGATTCCGTGTTGTCTCCGTGGATGAAAATTTTCGCCCTCGAAATGAACTGGTAAGCATCCACTATCTGTGGTTTGGGTTGTGGGTAGAGTGGGAATACTCACCCAGAGTGAGGTAGAAAGGTACAAGAAAAGCGAGAGGATGAAAGACACTTGTTTTTGAACTTGGCTCCAGCCTCAGCACAGATTTGCAGTCTTATACAAAACAAAAATTGAGGGACAAGAGATGAGGAAGTTCTTTCTCTTATAACAGTATTTAATCAGTCTGGCAATAGCTGCATTTGTTACTCTGAACACACTGCATTAAGAATATTAAAGAAGCATAGAAAAAAGGCACTATTCCTATTCATACTTTCAAGGAATTTATGATTAAAAAAGCAACACAGAATTATGCTTTTATGAATATATAGGTATATACAATAGACCATATTATAATTTTATTATATATTCGATACATATAGTATAGAAATATATTATACACAAAGACTTTTTTATGCTAATTGAATTTCCCTTTTTTCAACTTACCTTCAATATTAGTGCAAAGGAACAAAGCTGCTTTTAATAGGTAGAAAATAGACAATGTTGAAATTAGAAGAAATATTCTTGGTTTACTTTCAACCAAATGATTCTGGGAATTCTATTTCTGTTAGGTCTAAATCATAATGACATATAACTCTATTAATATCTATTTCCCAACTTATGAAAGTAAGCAGTATAGTCATATTATTCACTAGGAGAATTTTAGTATCCAAATAATATTAATACTTAAAGATTCAATAATATCATTCACCAATAATAATTTTCAGGGAAATGGCAACACATAATAATAATTATTGAATATATTGTGTATGCTCATCCTAGAACTATTTAATAATTTCCCTGAGATTTTTCCAGTTCTGTTATGTTTCTTGTTGAATTTAGCTACAGATAATATTCTTCCTCAGTTTGTTGTTTGATCACAAGTCTGAAATTGTAGCCTTTGCTGGAATTCTAATCACATCTCTTCTTTCCTTTTATCATATAGATTCCACTGATATACCTTGAGGTAAGTATCAGAAAAAGTATCTTATAAGGAAATTAGTGCTTTTAGAGAGTAGGAGGTTCTGATAATACTCTAGACAGATGAACTACTTTAAAAATTTTCAGATCTGAATTCCTCCTACTCCCAGTTGTCAGGTTGATTGTATTTTCTCTTCCTTCTGTATTTGTCTTTCCAGAGGCAATGCTAATTATCACCTTCAAAATCATTTGAGTTGCTCAAGGACTATTGTGACTAAATGATTACCGCCCATGTTTCTTGTTTCCCTTCAGAACCCAAGAAGAAATCGAATTGCACAATGGCAGAGTCTCAAGCTAGAAGCTGGCATCAATCAGTTGTCCTTTCCCCTCTCATCAGAGCCCATTCAGGGCTCCTACAGGGTGGTGGTACAGACAGAATCAGGTGGAAGGATACAGCACCCCTTCACCGTGGAGGAATTTGGTATGGATTATGGAAGATGAAAAAGGCATAACATTTTGGTTCCTAGAGTGTGAGCTCACTTAGATCCTTTGAATTTCCTGTAGATATGTTGAACTTGCAGTAGAGTCAGACTTACTGCTTCTAAGACCATTAGGACGGTGTGAACACAGAAGCTCATAAGAGCTTGCTGATTTTCAGTAGCAAATTACGCTTTGCCAAGTATGAAACTTCTTGTTTCAGTGAAACCACCATCATTTGTTAACGTCACTGAGACCCGCTGTGCTCAAGAAGTCAGTTAGATTCTGCATGAATTGTTAAACCTTACCATCTTAAAGTTGATACATTGGAAAGTAAATCTAACATTCAGAGTGTTATTTTGGGAAAAATTATAGACATACTGAAATTATTTGTATTTCCAATAAATGTTTACCAACCTTCCTTATTCCTATTATCTCTATT
Organism: Homo sapiens; assembly: GCF_000001405.40. Lineage (NCBI taxonomy): Eukaryota > Metazoa > Chordata > Mammalia > Primates > Hominidae > Homo > Homo sapiens. Next base: position 9,200,453 of record NC_000012.12, on the reverse strand, counting down.
AACAGTGCTTCCCAAGTTTGAGGTCAAAGTTCAGGTGCCAAAGATAATCAGTATCATGGATGAAAAAGTGAACATAACAGTCTGTGGAGAGTGAGTTACATTGTTTTTATCTAAAATTTTATATTTTGCCTCAATTTTGAGGGATTATGTAGGTACAAAATTATAAATTTACTTTGCCTCAGCACTTTTGTAATATTACTCCTTTGACTTCTCTTTATTTAACGACTTACTATTAAAATTTTCAAATACATAAAAGAATAGAAACACACTTAATTATGATTTAACAATAAACATCTTTCCGTATTGTTTCATCATATATTTTGCTTTAACATCTTAGGATAAATCACAAAGATCATGATATTTTTCTGTACATGCAGTAGTATGTACCTCTAAAATACAGAGACATTGTCCACTTCTGCGACAACACGATCACTTAACAAAATTGGAAGTAATTTTCCAAAACTAATTGCAAGTTTACAGTCAAGTATCTTCAATTGTCCTAAAAATGGTCTCATAAAGCTGGGTGTTCGCACATTGGTTTTGGTTATTATGACTCCTAAGTACCTTTTCTTTTTCCAAACTCTCTACAACGGAAATTTTCAATCACGTGCCAAAGTTAACAGAGAAGTAAAACACAATTTCATGTACCTATCACCTATTTTTAAAATTGTAAAATTTGCCAGGTTCTTTTTGTCCCATTTCCTCCTCTACAGTAGTTTTTTTGCTCTAATATTTTAAAGCAAGCCATAGGAATCTATAAATATCTTAGAGGTTTAAAAGTCTATAACCTCCTTTTTTTAATGACATTTCGCTGAAGATCATCAGTTGGCCTCTAGAAGTCTTGCTTGCAGAATCTGCCTGTTTGTTTTCTCATGGAACATTGAATTAATTATGCCTAATCTTTCCTCTGGGCAATTTTAAGAGGATACATTGAATGTTTTACATTGATCTTTTTGATAGAACAATTGTTCAATAACCAGAAATAGTGCAATGGTAGAACAAATTGTTTAATAACCTGAAATAATCTCTCCCCCAGAAATTTCCACTCCAGGAAATTTCACTTTCTCCTTTTCTTCATATGTATACCATAAATACTAATCCTGTCATTGAGGAAGGAGGATGCGCTGATACGATGGACTAAAAATGTGACAGAGAAACCTAAAGATCACAGGTCACAATTACTGGGCAAAAGCCAATGATTAGGATTTTATAGAAGTGACTTAAACATAATATAAATGATCCAGTGACTGATGTCATGATTATGAAGGGTACTAGACTCAGAATCGGCAGTGATGAGTGTGCCTCCCCTATCAGAACTTACTGTTTTCACTAGGCATTCTGCTGCTTCTCTGTGCCTCCATCTCTTAAGCAGTAGACAGAGGGCATGAACCTTACCTATGATGTTCCTTTCCACTGTTGCCCTCTGTGATTACAGATACCTCTTACAGTTCCTTTTAACCTGAAGAAGCAAAACTGATAGCCTACAAACAAACAGTCCCAGAGGGAGCACGCAGGGTAAAGGAATATGCCAGCCTAAATATTATATACCAGAAACACCAAAACGCCTAGATCTCTGCCTCATTTCAGCCTCAGAGCAATGGCCAAGGAGTTATGTGTCCAAATTAATAGTGCCGTAGTGCAGATATCTATATGTTGGAGAAGGGCTTCAGAATAAGCTGCTTTGATTCTATCTTTTTATTTGAAGTAATTTCAGAGCCATTTGCAAATAGGAAAGAAAACCAATGTCCAAAACAAAATTATTGTGTATTATTCTGTTACCCATTATCTAATCAGAGAAAGGACTAATATAACATGTGCACACACACATAACCCCACTAATTATTTTGTATTTACATGCCTCATGTGTTCCTAGGCTTCTTTTTCTCCCTCTCTCTCCCTTCTCTTCTCTGTGCATGTGTGTCAGTGCACGTGTGCGTGTGTCTGTGCATTTTGTGTTAGATTTGCTTAGTTATTATGTACTTATTTTTATTCAATTCATCATCTACATTTGCTCACTTGGTATACAGAATAAGCTTTGATATTATTAAAACAAAATAAAGAAGAATGATAGAAAATAAGTAGGTTAAAAGGAAGAAACATTTTTTTAGTAGACAGAGTCTCTCACCCAGGCTGGAGTGCAGTGGAGCAATCTTAGCTCACTGTAGCCTCAAACTCCTGGGCTTATGTGAATCTCCTGCCTAAACCTCCTTAAGTAGCTAGGACTACAGGTGCATGTCACCATACCCAGCTAATCTTTTTAAAAAGCTTGTAGAGATTGGGTCCTGCTATGTTACCCATGCTAGTTGGGAACTTTTGGCCTCAAGCAATCCTTCTTGGCTTCCCAAAGTGTTGGGGTTGCAGGCATGAGCCAAAGCACCTGGCCAAAGGAAAAACATATATATATATATGTTTGCATATATATATGACTGCACTGTACCACCACATTCTCTTTGGGATTAAATATATATATAATATATATTAATATATAATATATAAATATGTAATATAAATATAATATATAGATAACTTATATAATATATAATATAAATATATATAATTTATATATTATTAATATTTATATTATATATTATATATAATTAATATTATATATTATATATTGTATAATATATAATTATATATATTATGTATTGTATAATATATAATTATATATATTATGTATTGTATAATATATAATTATATATATTATGTATTGTATAATATATAATTATATATATTATGTATTGTATAATATATAATTATATATATTATGTATTGTATAATATATATAATAATTTTATATTATATTATATAATATAATATATAATATAATATATAAATATATAATATATATTATATTTATATATTATATTATGTCATATATTATATATTACATTATATATTATTAATCAGTACTCTAATAATTAATAATTATTTTCAACATTATACATAATATATTTATATATAATATATTATATTATTATATATTATATTATTATATATTATTAAGCAGTACTCCAATAATTAATAATTATTTTAATTAAACATTAAAATATAATAATTATAATATTATATATTAAATATATAAAAATATTTATATAAATATATATATTCAATCCCAAAGAGAATGTGGTGGTACAGTGCAGTCAAGTTTCAAAGGTTTTAATGGCTAATATTTTTGAGGGAGACATTTTCCAGACAGCTTTCTACTTGGTGGGCACCCAGATGATAAAGATGTGTAGGCAACTCTAAAGAGGGACAGTTCTGTGGAGGAGTGGTAGTGGAAAATGCAAACAGCCATTCTCAATTCCTGATTTATTTCTCATGTACCAGATACACTTATGGGAAGCCTGTCCCAGGACTTGCAACTGTGAGCCTGTGTAGAAAATTATCTCGTGTTCTTAATTGTGACAAGCAGGAGGTCTGTGAGGAATTCAGTCAACAGGTTAGTAGGCGGTATTCTCCCTCAGTGCTATCACTGTTTACAACCAGTGAGACTCCATTTTACTAACTAGAAAGAGGGCATCAGGACAAGCTTGTCGCAAAATATCCCCCACCAAAAAACGAATTTCTGTTCTTAGTCAACAAGATTCTCATTTGGACGACTAACTTTGGAGGTTACAAAGCAGATATGAGTATTAAGTTCTCGAAGGTCAATTAACTTACTTAATGCAAAAAAAAAGTTTTCTTGTCATTAGAGACAGAATAGTAGATTCAGTGACTATTGATCTCAATCAGTTTGACATTTATTGGTTTTGGTATTTTTCTCAGCTTAACAGCAATGGCTGCATCACCCAACAAGTACACACCAAAATGCTCCAGATTACAAATACGGGCTTTGAAATGAAGCTTAGAGTGGAAGCCAGGATCAGAGAAGAGGGGACAGGTGTGAGTAATGAACGAATATGGGAAATAAAACAATAGTTTACTTTCCATAACAAAATAAAGGTCATTTGTAAGAAAGAAATTTTATGACTAAAGTAACTTCTAAAAGTACTGACTCTTTATATTTTTCAGACCTGGAAGTCACTGCAAACAGGATCAGTGAAATCACAAACATTGTATCCAAACTCAAATTCGTGAAAGTGGATTCACACTTTAGACAAGGAATCCCCTTTTTTGCACAGGTAAGATATGTTGTAATGCACAGGTAAGCAAAGTATCCAGTTGCACCTAAGCACAGGACACAATGATGCAGCCCACACTTGGTTAGTGTTATCAGTTAATTAATATGACCAAAAACCATGAAACCAAGGAGAAATACTTTCCTTTCTAAATATCACTGATGAAACAAACAGACACATACTAAATTATTATGAGAATCAGAGATAATATTTTAATATGTAGCTAATAAAGATACTTAATGTAATGTGACTTAGTTGTTATATCAAACCTCTTCTTTCATGCAGTTTAGAATAAATGATATTTCTATCATGACCTGGGCAGCATCAGAATTTTCAGAGTTTGTAACATTTATGGCTGTCAGTGTTCTTTTTATATCTGTTGATCTCTTCTGACATAAATAAATAAGTCTTTAATTTTAGGCATAGGTATTAAAATAACATGCATTTCATGGTTATTATTATTATATTTTTATATGTTTAACTTATATATTTTAACAATAATAAAGCCAATAAAATATTAATTTTATTCATATTGATAATTAATTTTACCTGTTTTATAATTAGTAAATTGAGACATTTGGCCAGGCATAGTGGCTCATGCTTATAATCCCAGAACTTTGGGAGGCCAAGGGGGGAGGATCGCCTGAGGCCAGGAGTTCTAGATCGGCCCTAGTAACATAGTAAGACTCTACCTCTGCAAAAAAAAAAAAAAAAAAAAAAATTAGCAGTGGGCTGGTGGCGTGCACCTGTAGTCCCAGCTGCTTGGGAAGCTGAGGTGGGAGGATCCCTCGAGCCCAGAACTTCGATGCTGCTGTGAGTTATAATGGCACCACTGCACTCCAGCCTGGGCAACAGAGACCAGTTGTGAAAGAAAAGAAAAGAAGGAAAGGGGAAGGAAAAGGAAAAGAAGGAAAAAGGGGAAGGGGAAAGGGAAGGGCCAGGGGAAGGGGAAGGGAAAGGAAGGGAAGAAAACATTCTCATGTGTATTTTCTTAGCTGGTTTGTTGCAGGAGATAATAATAACGTTAGTAACTAACATTTATGGAATAATTATCGTACACCAAATATCTTCTAATGTATTTTTATTATTTTAAATTTTTTAAAAATTGATACATCATAGTATCAATTTTGGGGAGTACATGTGATTATTTAATACATTCAAATAATTTTTGAAGATCCAATCAGCATAATTGAGATATTCATCACCTTAAATATTTGTCCTTTTTTTGCTAAAAATTCAAATTATTCTCTTCTGGCTATTTTTAAATCACAACAGATTATTGGAAAACTATAGTCGCCCTACTCCTCTAATGTATTTTTAAATAATTATTTAATCTTCAATACTACCATATAAAGGAGGCACAACTATTATCCCCCTTTTAATGAAGGTGGAAAACTGAAGCGCAGAGAAGTAACTTTTTTAGCTAGTAGAGTTCAGAACACAGCCAAGCATTCTAGCCTCCGTCTATGCGAAAAGGGAAAAACAGCCAGTTTAAATTCATTTCTTTTATTCTTATTCCAAGTGCATATTAAGTGGCAAGTTGTAGTTATTAAAAATCTCCCTGACTTTGGCCGGGCACGGTGGCTCACGCCTGTAATCCCAGCACTTTCGGAGGCCGAGGCGGGCAGATCACGAGGTCAGGCGATCGAGACCATCCTGGCTAACATGGTGAAACCCCGTCTCTACTAAAAATACAAAAAATTAGCTGGGCGGGGTGGCGGGCGCCTGTAGTCCCAGCTACTCGGGAGGCTGAGGCAGGAGAATGGCGTGAGTCCAGGAGGCAGAGCTTGCAGTGAGCCGAGATCGCGCCACTGCACTCCAGCCTGGGCGACAGAGCGAGACTCCGTCTCAAAAAAAAAAAAAAAAAAAACTCCCTGACTTTACTGGAAATACTACAAAGTTTCATAGATAAGCTATGTAGGACATGAGGATCCAAATGGAAGGAAACATTTTGTCGTAAATATGAAGGTTTGGTGGGGTTTTTTTGAGGGGGAGGTTGTTGTTTTAGTTATAGCAGCAAAAGCATTTGTTCACATGAGTTCAGTCCTCTCTGGGTGTTGTTCACATCAACTATCAAGTACTTTTCTTCTTTAGGTGCTTCTGGTGGATGGAAAAGGTGTGCCCATCCCCAATAAACTCTTCTTCATCTCTGTGAATGACGCCAATTATTACTCCAATGCAACCACCAATGAGCAGGGTCTTGCACAGTTTTCAATCAATACTACCAGTATCTCGGTTAATAAACTTTTTGTCCGGGTAAGTATAGAAAGACAAATCTCTGAGGACAAAGGAAATGTTAGGAACAGTGATATATTCAGAAGAAATGTACAGATTGCATTTAAGAGTAAGAAATAAGAAGATATCTAACTTTGAGTTTACAAATTTGAGGATAATAGAATTTCATGAAAAACAATAAAGGCATTAGAAAAGGCACTGCAGAAGTGCCTGATAATTTCACTATCATTATCTGTAACATTTTATATAGTATGAAAAAAATCTTATTTGATTTGGGTCGTGAACAATATCAGCTGCTTCAGTAATTCATGTACTTTGTTTTATGTTATTTTTTCCAGGTCACTTAGAAATTTTGTAAAGTGATCACACACACACACACTTAATATACACTGTCTAATGACGATGATCAAAAGATTTCCCTAGCTAAAAAGTTTTCATGCTTGTTATCTCAAAGAAGTGATAAAAGACTATAATTTATGGATTTCAGTGTCAATAAATAACATATACATTATTTCTGTTTCTCAGTTTCACGTGTTAACTCAGTTTAAAAACATGTAATGATGTTTAATGTTTTCTATGTGATAGACACTCACTCTCCCTAGGATTTAAAAGGTGACTAAATAGTGTCCCTACACTTTAAAATTTCCTATTTTCATGGAGTTAAAAGATCTGTAAATTATTAGTATGATGTGTTTATGCGCAAAAGGTTTTTTTAAATAGGAACTTTATTATGAGACCAAATAGAAGAGTCCACAAAATATGCCTAATAAATTTAGAAAAAAATAAGTGCACTTTGAAGAAAAGCTAAGGAGCAGTTACCACAAGGGAAATAGAATTGTGCGCAAAACATTATCTGCAAGGCTTAAAGTTTCAGAAATCACATAGGTCTTAAAGGTTGGAAGTCACAATAATGATAAGAGGCATAAATGCTAATTTACTAAGGATTACTAAAAACAATTTTGAAGCTCATAAGGTAATAGAATGTTTTATTAATACAAACCCTAATTTTAATTAAGCCAATTCATGAGGTAATTCTAATATCTGAAAAATCCCTTTTCCACTTGTTTGAGTTATTTATCATTCTCATTTTTCCTCTAGTTCTGAGGGGCAGGAGGAAAATGTCAAAGTAGTAATGAGTTAGCAGAATCAGGGCAAAAGAGATAAATTTGTGGATGATTTCCTTTTAATATTTGAATGTTGGGAGACTGAAAATTCATTTATTTGGCTGTCGACCAGTATGAGGGAGAGGCATAGTGTATTTTAGAGTGGAAGACACCGTTGTAACTATTCATTTTGGTGAGAAGCTAAGGTGAAGAATTTCAAGACAGTATTCTTTCTTTGCTTTTCTGTTTACTCAGGTTTTCACTGTGCATCCCAACTTGTGTTTTCACTATTCATGGGTAGCAGAAGACCACCAGGGTGCTCAGCACACTGCAAATCGTGTTTTCTCCTTAAGTGGAAGTTACATTCACCTGGAGCCTGTGGCTGGTACCCTGCCCTGTGGCCACACGGAGACTATCACGGCACACTATACACTGAATAGACAGGCCATGGGAGAGTTATCGGAGCTCAGTTTCCATTACCTGGTAAGAATGAGGCCATGGAATACAATTGCAGCTTATCAGTAGGACAAAAGTGGTCAATAGGCTCAGGAATGTCAAAATAAACTACTTGCACACAGCCACCTTGTGTTCTTGTTGTGCGTCCTTCATTCCATGAGTTTTCTTGAGGTTGATTCTCTCCAGCACAGACTTGACAACTGAAAGTGGGTCATGTGGGGAATAGAAGGCTGAGAACTGTGTCCAGCTCAAGAAATTTCCTTCACTGTTTTTTCATTTCAGATCATGGCTAAGGGAGTCATCGTCAGATCTGGAACCCACACTCTGCCTGTGGAGTCAGGAGACAGTGAGTATCCTCAGATTCATCTCTCCTTGCTCCCCTAACACATCCTTACCCTTCCCTCGGTGACAGTTCATAAATGGGAAATCGTTTCCATCATCCCTTCACAATAAGGAGGACACGCAGGAAAATACTCGTCTTATGACTCTTTGGCATTTTAAAATTCAACAGTCAACAGATAAATGTGATTGTCTACTCTGTATCAGTCACTCTGCTAAGGTACACTAGTTTTTCACTTTAGTTTGTTTCTTCTAACAGCAAAACAAAGCTCTTTTCAAAATCTAAGCTGCCTTCTATTTATCTCCACCCCCAATAAAGTGTACATTGATTAAATTAACATTGCAGAGAAGAAAAAAGTAATTATCATGGGAAATGGGAAGGAAGAAAGGTGATAGATTTTTTTTTCTTGTGCCAGGCCATGAGTACTTTATATACGAAATTGGATTCACTTCAAGAATAAATTGAGGCCTGGGGAACCAAGATCGTTTTCTATTCTAAGTCAAATAATCTAGAGGTTAAACCACTGAAAAGAGAACCCGTGAACATTTTTGTAATTAACCTAAACTAAGGGAAACATTTTACCAATTTCCACCACACCCCTAAGCTAAACTTAATAACCATTAGGATTTGCTCCATGCCTAATATTTTCTATTTATGTAGTTTCTCTTCCTGCTAAGCTGGAAAAATTAAATATTAATTTTTAATTTTTATTTTTCAGTTTTGAAAATTGAAACAATTTTGAGAAAGTTAAAATTTATGCATTATTAATCAGTACTCTAATAATTAATAATTATTTTAATTAAACATTAAAAACTGCTGCCAGTTTTGAATATCAGTTTTTTCCCAATACTAGTGTAGAGGTAGTTAGATATGGAGAATGGACCCCACTGTGTACATTGTTCTTCAATTTTTGTTGAATAATTTTCTTCTAATACTGGTCTATGTATCACATTCACAGAAATAATCAAAGGTTTTAAAACATTTATTTGATTTTTTCTTTTATAATATTCCAATTTGAATTTTATTCATAACAGGAAGAGTCTGTATGAAAATCTCTATATAGTAAAATGAGGACTAGTTATTTAATCATTTACTTTGTGAAGATGCCACAAAATTTTATTGAAAGTAGCTGAGTCAACAATTGGAAAAAATTTCTCTATATAGCTAATTAAATCATAATTGTTTCATCATAAAACAATTTTAACCACATATTTTAATAGTTATTAATTACCGATTTACTCTTCACCAAAGAATTATCAAAAGCACTTACACCTCTATGATAAAAGAACAAATTTTATTCACAATTTGTCTAAATTCAACTTTTTAAAACTTTTCAAATTGTCCAAGTTGAGCTTCCTCATATTGTTCTCTTTTCACACTATTCTTCATACTGTCCAAATTATTATTACCTAAATTATTTGCCTATTTAATTTTCAGAATTGAGATTTTAAATAATGAAATCTTCTCAAATTTTATTATTTATTATTATGTTTAAAACTTTTATTTTAGGTTTGAAGGGTTCATGTTCAGGTTTGTTATGTAGGTAAACTCGTGTCATGGGGTTTGTTGTACAGATTATTTCGTTACCCAGGTTCTAAGCCTACTACCCAATAATTATTTTTTCTGATCCTCTTTCTCCACCTACCCTCCACCCTCCAATAGGCCTCAATGTCTTCTGCTCTCCCTCCTCCCGCCCTCCACCCTCAGATAGGCCCCACTGTGTGTTGTCCTCTTTGTATCCATTATGTTCTCATCATTTAGCTCCCACTTATAACTGAGCACATGGAATATTTGGTTTTCTGTTCCTACATTATTTTGCTAAGAATGATAGCTTCTAGCTCCATGTATGCTCCTGCAAAGGACATGATGGCGTTCTTTTTTATGGCTGCATAGTTCCATGGTGTGTATGTACCACATTTTCTTTATTCAGTCTTCCACTGATGGGCATTTAGGTTGATTCCATGTCTTTGCTACTGTTCATTGCAACAGGGTTGCAATGAACATATGTGTGCATGTGTCTTTATGACAGAACAATTTATATTCCTTTGGATATATACCCAGTACTGGGATTCTTGGGTCAAATGATAGTTCTGTTTTTAGCTCTTTGAGGAATCGCCACACTGCTTTCCATAATGGCTGAACTAATTTACATTCCCACCAAGAGTGTATAAGCATTCCCTTTTCTCCACAACCTTGCCAACATCTGTTATTTTTTGACTCTTAATAATAGCCATTCTGACTGATGTGAGATGATAATCTCATTGTGGTTTTGAGTTGCATTTCTCTAATATTCAGTAGTATTGAGCTTTTTTTCATTGGCTTGTTGGCCACATGTATATCTTCTTTTGAAAAGTGTTTATTCCTGTCCTTTGCCCACTTTTTAATGTGGTGGTTTGTTTTTTCCTTGTAAATGTGTTTAAATTCTATACAGATGCTAGATATTAGACCTTTATTGGATGCATAGATTGCAAAAGTTTTCTCTCATTCTCTAAGTTGTCTGTTTACTCTATTGATAGTTTCTTTTGCTGTGCAGAAGCTCTTTAGGTTAATTAGATCCCATTTGTCAATGTTTGCATTTGTTGAGATTGTTTTTAGTGTCTTCTTCATGAAATCTTTGCAGTTCCTGTGTCCAGAATGGTATTGCCTAGGTTGTCTTCCAGAGTTTGTATACTTTTTGGTTTTACATTTAAGTCTTTAACCAATCTTGAGTTGATTTTTGTGCATTGTGTAAGGCGGGGATCCAGTTTCAATCTTCTGCCTATGGCTAGCCAGTTATCTCAGCACCATTTATTGAATAGGGAGTCCTTTCCTTGTGTTTGTTAGCTTTGTTGAAGATCAGATGGTTGTGGGTGTGCAGCATTATTTATGGTCTCTGCATTCTGTCCCATTGATTTGTGTGTCTGTTTTTGTACAAGTACTATGCTGTTTTGGTAACTGTAGCCCTGTAGTATAGTTTGAAGTTGGGTGGTGTGATGCCTCCTCCTTTCTTCTTTTTGCTTAGGATTGCCTTGGCTATTTGGGCTCTTTTTTTAGTTCCATATACATTTTTAAATAGTTTTATCTAGGTCTGTGAAGGATGTCGTTGGTAGTTTTATAGGAAAAACATTAAATCTATAAATTGCTTTGGGCAATATGACCATTTTCATGATATTGATTCTTCCTATCTATGAGCATGGAATATTTTTTCCATTTGCATCATCTCTGATTTCTTTGAGCAGTGTTTTGTAATTCTCATTGTAGAGATCTTTGGGCAATATGACCATTTTCATACTGATTCTTCCTATCTATGAGCATGGAATATTTTTCCATTTGTTTGTGTCATCTCTGATTTCTTTGAGCGGTGTTTTATAATTCTCATTGTATAGATCTTTCACCTCCCTGGTTAGCTATATTTCTAGGTATTTTATTCTTTCTGTGACAATTGTGAATGGGATTGCTTGCATTCCTGATTTGGCTTTTGGCTTGACTGTTGTTGGTGTATAGGAATGCTAGTAATTTTTGTACATTGATTTTGTATCCTGAAATTTTGCTAACATCATTTTTCAGCTTAAGGAGCTTTGGGGCCAACACTATGGGGTTTTCTAGATATAAAATCATGTCGTCTGCAAACAGGGATAGTTTGACTTCCTCTCTTCCTATGCTGATGCCCTTTATTTCTTTGTCTTGCCCGATTGTTCTGGTGAGGACTTCCAATACTGTGTTCAATAGGAGTGGTGAGAGAGGACATCCTTGTCTTGTGCCAGTTTTTAAGGAGAATGCTTCCAGCTTTTGCCCATTCAGTATGATGTTGGCCATGGGTTTGTCATAGATGGCTGTTATTATTTTGAGGTATGTTCTTTCAATATCTAGTTTATTGGGAGTTTTTAACATGAAGAGGTGTTGAATTTTACTAAAATCCTTTTCTACATCTGATAAGATAATCGTATTTTTGTCATTGGTTCTGTTTATATGAATGAATCACATTTATTGATATGCCTATGTTGAACCAACCTTGCATCCCAGGGATGAAGTCTACTTGATCGCGGTAGCTAAGCTTTTTGATGTGCTGCTGGATTCAGTTTACCAGTATTTTATTGAGGATTTTCGCATCAATGTTCATCAGGAATATTGGTTTGCAAATATTTTGTTGAGGATTTTTGCATCAATGTTCATCAAGGACGTTTGGCCAGACTATTTTTTATGTGAGTCCCACTTCTCCTCATGGGGGCAACCCCACAACCTGGGACTGCAGCCACCACCACCCCACCCCCATCAGGGTTTTCAGGCTGGTAGCAACTTTACATTTCCCTGGGACGGAGCTCACAGAGGGTGAGGCTGGCTGCCATTTTTTCCATCTTGAAGCTTCCGTTGCTGTAACTTTCAGGTTCCGAAGAGCAAGTAGTGATTAGGGTGTAGCATGGATCACCTGCACAGCACAGCTGACCCACTAGTTCTTTCAGTTGTGATGTGAGGTTAAGTTGAGATCTTTCTAACTTTTCGATGTGGATGTTTAGTGCTATAAGTTTCCCTCTTAACACCGCCTTAGCTGTGTCCCAGAAATTCTGGTGTGTTGTATCTTTGTTCTTACTGGTTTCAAAGAACTTCCTGATTTCTGCCAAAATTTCATTATTTACCCAAAAGTCATGCAGGAGCAGGTTGTTTAATTTCTATGTAATTGTATGGTTTTGAGTGATTTTCTTCTTATTGAATTCTATTTTAATCACATGGTAGTCCGAGAGTGTGGAGTGTATGATTTCATTTTTCTAAATTTGCTGAGGATAGTTTTATGTCTGATTGTGTGATCGGTTTTAGAGTAGTGCCGTGTGCAGTTGAGAAGAATGTATGTGTTGTTGTTTTGTAGTGGATAGTTTTGTAGATGTCTATCAGATCCATTTGGGTCCTGTGCTGAGTTCAGATCCTAAATTTCTGCCTTGATGATCTGTCTAATACTGTCTGTGGAGTGTTGAAGTTTCTCAATATTATTGTGTGGGAGTCTGAGTCTCTTTGAAGGTCTCTAAGCACTTGTTTTATGAATCTGGGTGCTCCTGTGTTGGGTGCATGTAGATTTTGTTTAGTTAGGTCTTCTCATTGAATTAAACCCTTTACCATTATGCAATTCTCTTGTCTTTTTTTTTTTTTTTTGACCTTTCTTGGTTTAAAGTCTGTTTTGTCTGAAATTAGTATTGCAACCCCTGCTTTTCTCTTTTTCTTTTTTTTTAAATTATACTTTAAGTTCTGGGATACATGGGCAGAACGTGCAGGTTTGTTACATAGGTGTACATGTGCCATGGTGGTTTGCTGCACCCATCAGCCTGTCATCTATATTAGGTATTTCTCCTAATGCTATCCCTCCCCCAGCCCCCCACCCCCGACAGGCCCCAGTGTGTGATGTTCCCCTCCCTGTGTCCATGTGTTCTCATTTTTCAACTTCCACTTATGAGTGAGAACATGTGGTGTTTGGTTTTCTGTTCTTGTGTTAGTTTGCTGAGAATGACAGTTTCCAGCTTCATCCATGTCCCTGGAAAGGACATGAACTCATCCTTTTTTATGGCTGCATAGTATTCCATGGTGTATATGTGCCACATTTTCTTTATCCAGTCTATCATTGATGGGCATGTGGCAACCCCTGCTTTTTTCTATTTTCCATTTGCTTGACAGATTTTTCTCCTTTCCTTTATCTCGAGCCTATCAGTGTCATTGCATGTGAGATGGGTCTCTTAAAGACGGCATACCACTGAGTCTTGCTTCTTCATCTGGCTTGCCACTCTGTGCCTCTTAATTGGGGCATTTAGTCTGTTTACATTAGAGGTTAATATTGAGATGCGTGAATTTGAATCTGCCATCATGTTGTTAGCTGTTTGTCAACTTGTTTGTGTAACTGCTCTATAGTGTCACTGGTCTGTGTACTTCAGTGTGGTTATGTAGTGGCTCGTAATATTCTTTCCTTTTTATATTCAGTGCTTCTTTCTGGAGCTCTTGCAAGTTGGATCTGGTGGTAACAAATTCCCTCAGCATTTCCTTGTCTGAGAAGCATCTTATTTCTCCTTCACTTATGAAGTTTAGTTTGGCTAGATATGAAATTCTTGGTTGGAATTTATTTTCTTTAAGAATGTTGGCCAGGTGCAGTGGCTCATACCTGTAATCCCAGCACTTTGGGGGGTCAAGGTGGTCAGATCATGAAGTCAGGAGATCGAGACCATCCTGGCCAACATGGTGAAACCCCATCTCTACTAAAAATACAAAAATTAGCCAGGTGTGATGGTGCACGCCTGTAGTCCCAGCTACTCGGGAGGCTGAGGCAGGAGAACTGTTTGAACCTGGGAGGTGGGGGTTGCAGTGAGCCGAGATCATGCCACTGCACTCCAGCCTGGTGACAGAGTGAGACTCTGTCAAGAAAAAAAAAAAGAAAAGAAAAGAAAAGAAAAGAAATGTTGAACATAGGCCCCAAATCTCTTATGGCTTGTAGGGTGTCTGCTAAGAGGCCCACCATTAGTCTGATGGGCTTCCCTTTGTAGGTGACTTGTCCTTTCTCTCTAGCTACCTTTAACATTTTTTTTTTTTCATTCATTTCAACCTTGGTGAATCTGATGATTGTGTGTCTTAGGGATGACTTTCTTGTGAAGTATATTTTGGGGTTCTCTTCATTTCCTGAATATGAATTTGGCCTCTCTAGCTAGGAGGGGAAGTTCTCATGGATGATATCCTAAAATATGTTTTCCAAGTTGCTTTCATTATGCTCATCTCTTTCAAGGATATCAAGGAGTTGTAGATTCAGTCTTTTTACATAAATAATCCCAGATTTCTCAGAGGTTTTGTTTATTCCTTTTCATTCTTCTTTCTTTATTCTTGTCTGACTGTTGTATTGCAGAAAGTCAATTTTGTGGCTCTGAGATTCTTTCCTCAGCTTGGTCTGTTCTGCTGTTAATACTTGTGATTGCATTACGAAATTCTTGTAGACTGTTGTTCAGCTCTGTCAGGTTGGTTATGTTCTTTTCTATACTGGCTATTTTGTCTGTCAGCTTCTGCATCATTTTATTGTGATTCTTAGCTTCCTTAGATTAGGTTTCAACATTCTCCTGAATCTCAATGACCTTCATTCCTATCCATAGTCTGAATTCTATTTCTGTCATTTCAGCCATCTCAGCCCTATTAAGAACCCTTGCTGGAGAACTGGTGTGATTGTTTGGAGGAAAGAAGATGCTCTGGCTCTTTGAGTTGTCAGAGTTCTTGTGCTGGTTCTTTCTCATCTTTGCGGGCTGATGTTCCTTCACTCTTAGAAACTGCTGTTGTTTTGATTTTTTCCTTTTATCCTATTCGATGACCTTGGAGGTTTGATTGTGGTATAAGGTGAGTTCAGTCAACTGACTTTGTTACCAGAAGATTTGGGGGCAGTGGAGGCAGGGAGGAGCAAGGCTCAGTTCAGGACTCCTGGATTGCATGCTGTAACTCTGGGGAACTGGTATCTGGCTCCAGCTTTGTTCTCTGGCTCCTTGAGGTTAAGAACATGTTGCACTGAAGGGACCAAGGTGCTCCCAGACCACTGGTCACAACACTTCCATGGGTGATGTCAGCCAAAGCACTTTGCAGGATGGTAGCAGTGGGATCCCTCCTCATTCACATGTACCAGCAGCATGGCAGTGGCAGCGTGGTGGGGTACACGCTCATCAGCTGTGGCAGGGTGCTAGCAGGTGCCAGGTTGCTGGCCTTTGTGCAGGCATTCATAGCAATGATCATGGCAGTATGACTCAGGGGATTGGGGGATCCCCACTAGCAACTGTGCATGCATTTGCACTGACGGTGGTGTTAGCATGGGGGTGGGGCACTGGTGGGTGCAGGACTGTATGAACCTTTTGTGTGCATTCATACTGGTGGCAGTGTCTGTACATGGCTAGGGGTGGGTTTGTGTGTTTTGTGCCTAGTTTTGCACTGGCAGCTCCATTGCAGGGGCAGGGTGCTGGCAGGGGTGGGGTTGGCGAGCTTAGTGCCTGCCAATGCTCTGATGTCAGTGGCTGTGTGGTAGGAGTAGGGGTGATGGAGGACACTCACGCTGCCAGCAGTGGCAAGGCAGGGTGCACACACACACATGTGTTGGCAAATTTTATTATTAAAAGCTTTAATTTCCTACCACTATTCTTTGCCATAAAGTCACCATAATTTTTTTTCTGGTTTTATGACATTTCAATCTACCCCACTTTCCTTGTTGAACTCAAGACAGTGATAAAAGGGCTTCCTTCCTTTTAGAAGGGGAGCTTATTTCCTTTTTGAGGTCTGAGCTAAAACTTGATCTGTCCAACTGAACACAAATATGAATGGCATAACACTGCCTTAAGGATATTTTAAGCTTCCTTTCTTCCCAAACTTAAGAGCTTTGCAGTATAAACACATAGTGATATAAAATAAGTAATGTTAAGCTAAAGTCAAATTTGCATGAAGTTGGAAAAATTCCACATTCTACGTAGAGTTATAACAATTTTTAATTGAGTGCCACCAATCTCAGGCTTTAATATAATCATTTTAAAAAAGTAAATTTTGGCCGGGCACATTGGCTGCTGCCTGTAATTGCAGCATTTTGGGAGGATTGCTTGAACCGAGGAGTTTGGGACCAGCCTGGGCTACATAGCAAGATCCTATCTCTACAAAAATATATAAAAAATTAGCCAAACGTGGTGTTGTGCACCTATAGTCCCAGCTACTGGGGAGGCTGAGGCAGTACAATCACTTGAGCCCAGAAATTCGAGGCTGCAGTGAGCTATGATTGCACCACTGCATTTCAGCCTGGGCAACAGAGCAAGACCCTGTCTCAAAAAAAAATTACATTTATTTAAGGTGTACAACATAACGTTATGGGACACATATAGATAATAAAATGACTACTATAGTGATGGAAAGTAACATGGCCATCATCTCACCTACTTACTCATTTGTGTATGTGTGGCAAGAACAGCTAAAATGCACTCATTTGACAAAAATCTAAAATATAGTACCATTTTATTAACTACAGTCTTCATGTTGTGTGTTAGATAGCTAGCCTTGTTCATCCTGATATTATACTTTGTAAAATATTCCTAAGGGTATTAGACTTAATTTTTAATACATATGGTTAAGAAAAAAATAAAATCAATTATAGTTCTTCTACAATTCTAATTGTCCTTGTCCTACATTATTTTGAGTTTCAACAATGTCGAGAGACTCTGTTATCCTATGTATTGTCTAACTGCACCAAGAATATGTTACTGGAAAAGAACTTGGAAGCACAGGAATTTAAAGCCATATAGCTGGGAATCTGGGACAGGAGGGATGTAGAGAAAAGGAAGACATGGAAATAATACCAGAGAGTATCTGTCCTTTATGTACAGGCATCTCAGAAACTTTTCAGTCATTAAGTCTCTCGTGGTTTTATAATTACCGTTATTCAACTAAATGTGGGCCATCTACTCAAGTCCCCAGTGGACCATTCAGAAAATGGAACTTTTGTTGTTGCCCTTTTGTAGCTACCTGGTGGCCCTTCACCCTGCTTTAAAATGTAAAGTATTTTCTGAAGTGTTATCTGGTACCATTTAATGCTTCCAGTAGAAATATACCAATGTACTTATAAGAGTTTAACACTGCAATGAAAACTCCAAGAATTAAATATTCTTTTAGGAAGTTCAATTAGTATGAACTTTTTTTTACATACAGAGCTTTTTAAAAGTCATATATGACAAAATAAACTTATTATATCTTACAAATTATAGCTCTATATTTAAATTGAGAATCACCTCTAGTCTGAAATGTAAATAAAATAGTTGTCACATATATATGCAGAAAATTTGGAGCTACTGATATTTAATTGATTTAGGCAACAGTTAAGTGGAATATCAAATAAAAAAGATGTGAGTGAAAGGAACTTTGTTAACTTCTGCTATAATTAAAGTTCTGAAGGGAGACATTGGCCTACTAATTTCACCAAATAACTAATGGCACATAGAGAGACTAAGCCATTAGAATGAATGGACGCAGTTCTCAAGTGGATAAGACCAAGCAATAGTGTCCTTATGACACTATTTTTATGACCTTTTTGTCTCACTTATGACCATTTTGTCTCACTCTCTCCATGTTCCAGTGAAAGGCAGTTTTGCCTTATCCTTCCCTGTGGAGTCAGACGTTGCCCCCATTGCACGAATGTTCATCTTTGCCATTTTACCAGATGGAGAAGTTGTTGGAGACTCTGAAAAATTTGAGATTGAAAACTGTCTAGCCAACAAGGTGAGCGATTTAACATAAAATTAAAAGAACACAAATAAATGATACTGTAGGTGCCATCTATTTTACCCCAGAGAAAACTAAGTCCAGAAAAGTAAAATGAGTTGCCCAACAGTTCCCAACAAGTTTATGGCAGACCCAAATTTCTAGGGATCTAGTACAGCACTTTTTCAATTACACAAAGCTGCTACCAAATAAAATACAATCAGTTTTGTGTTCATGATGCTCTTCTCTGCTGATTCAGTTGTGTGAGTATGTAAAATGCTAAGACTCAAAAGTTCCCAAAACCTGAAGAATAAGTGTAAACACCTAGAATTACCTTATCATGTGTCAGAGATAAAGATGGCCATCTAAAAATCTAACAAGGTATCTATCCTTATTCTGCCTCAGTTATCTCCTTAGGACAAGACTAAGCTACCGAGAAGCTATATTTTGTTAAGATTCCCCACTTATGTAATAGTCATGTTTAAAAGAGTGAGTAAATTAATGTGTCGCCAAAGCATTAGATAATTTGGATCCTGTCTAAATAGAATCACTTTTGATCACTGGAGTAGGTAAGCTTGTTATAAAATTAATACTTGCAAACATAAGGGAAGTCATGTACCTTTTAACAGATCTAACTATTTATGTCTCTAGAGTTGTTGGGATCTGTGAAAGTGGTAATAAGTGATTTACAAATTATTTTCTATTTTTAAAGTGAAGGAAAGTTGTAAAAATAGGTTTCTGACTGACATTACCAACATAGTCATATGAACTGAATATAAGGGTGGCTTAGGAAATGCAGGTGACTGCAAGATCACAGAAGTAGGGAAAACACTGGTTGACGTTTCCTTCATTTCCCACAGGTGGATTTGAGCTTCAGCCCAGCACAAAGTCCCCCAGCCTCACATGCCCACCTGCAAGTAGCAGCTGCTCCGCAGTCCCTCTGTGCCCTTCGTGCTGTGGACCAAAGTGTGCTGCTCATGAAGCCTGAGGCTGAGCTCTCTGTGTCCTCAGTGAGTTTCCAGTGGCCTTGGGGACCAGGAAGGGCCATTCCAGAGGCTCAGATCAAGAAGCCTCTATTAGCCCTTTGTCAGATGAGTAGGTTGCGAAAATTTTCTCCCATTTTGTAGGTTGCCTGTTCACTCTGATGGTAGTTTCTTTTGCTGTGCAGAAGCTCTTTAGTTTAATTAGATCCCATTTGTCAATTTTGTCTTTTGTTGCCATTGCTTTTGGTGTTTTGGACATGAAGTCCTTACCCATGCCTATGTCCTGAATGGTGATGCCTAGGTTTTCTTCTAGGGTTTTTATGGTTTTAGGTCTAACATTTAAGTCTTTAATCCATCTTGAATTGATTTTTGTATAATGTGTAAGGAAGGGATCCAGTTTCAGCTTTCTACATATGGCTAGCCAGTTTTCCCAGCACCATTTATTAAATAGGGAATCCTTTCCCCATTGCTTGTTTTTCTCAGGTTTGTCGAAGATCAGATAGTTGTAGATATGCAGAGTTATTTCTGAGGGCTCTGTTCTGTTCCATTGATCTATATCTCTGTTTTGGTACCAGTACCATGCTCTTTTGGTTACTGTAGCCTTATAGTATAGTTTGAAGTCAGGTAGTGTGATGCCTCCAGCTTTGTTCTTTTGGCTTAGGATTGCCTTGGCGATGCGGGCTCTTTTTTGGTTCCATATGAACTTTAAAGTAGTTTTTTCCAATTCTGTGAAGAAAGTCATTGGTAGCTTGATGGGGATGGCATTGAATCTGTAAATTACCTTGCGCACCAGCATGGCACATGTATACATATGTAACTAACCTGCACAATGTGCACATGTACCCTAAAACTTAAAGTATAATAAAATAAATAAATAAATAAATAAGCCTCTATTGAGAGTAAAATATAACAGTAAAAATACGTACCACTTGCCGAGTACTTGATAGTTTCTCAAGCTGTCTCATATAGGTTTTCTCACTTAATCTGCCCAACATTCCGGAGAATAATAGTCCCATTTTAAGATTAGAAAAGTGGATTCAGAATAGTTGAGAGATTTGTTCAAGATAAGTGGCACAAGCTGAGATGTGATTTTGAAATTCTGAATCTGCCTGCAACTTTGATTCCTTCTATGACACAGCTTCTATTTCTGTAAAGAATCAAATCTTAACCTCAGTTATTAATGTCTTACAGTGATCTTAATGAAAGCTATATTTTGTTAAGATTCCCCACCTACGTGATAGTCATGTTTAAAAGAGTGAGTAAATTAATGTGTTGCCAAAGTATTAGTTTGGATCCTGTCTAAATAGAATCACTTTTGGTCACTGGAGTAGGTAAGCTTGCTACAAAATTAATACCTGCAAACATAAGGGAAGTCATGTATCTTTTAACAGATCGAACTATTTATGTCTGTAGAGTTGTTGGGATCTGTGAAAGTGGTAATAAGTGATTTACAAATTATTTTCTACTTTTAAAAAATGACCTACTACACCTTTGTTAGCAATGTTGATTCACAGACTAAAATTTTAATTATCTGCTTTTGACTATAGTTATATTAATTCATGGGGGTGACACTTGGCATGTCGTGATGATTTATTTATTTTATTATTATTATTTCAAGCTTACTACATGCTGGATCTATTGTAAAAGCTGGGGAAACAGAAGGAAACATATCACAGTCCTTGTCCTTAGAGAGAGGCAATAAAAAAGGATATAGGTGGATCAGCAAAATAAAAGGTGAACATTGGTTAATAATTGCCATTTGGAGAAAATGATATCTAATATGGGGTTTTTGAAGAATAATTATCAGAAGGAAGGGAAAAGTTCAGAAACTACTTGTCTAACCTATTTAAAACTAGATTACTCGTGTTTGGAACTTTTTAACATAATGCAAGAAAAAATAATGTTATGATTTGATCTTTGATAAAAAGTTATGAGAAATTTTATAGCTTTAACTCCCTCATGAATCACCATTTAAAAGGGTCAATCAACTTATCTGTTTGGGAGGTATTATTACCTTTCAATGTTGGTTGGTAAATTCGTAATATGAAATTTTCTTTTGTTTATTCTAGTTTCTACTTCATGTCTATTAAAATTTTAAACTGTGAGATAACTATATCTGAGACCCCTGTCCTATTTTTAATTATCAAAATTAACATTCTTCAGGTTGGAGCATATCCACTAGTGCCCCCTGATCTGCAGGGGTGTGTCCCAAGACCTTCAGTGGGTGTCTGAAACTGTGGATAGCACTGAACCCAATGACCATCAGCTGGAACACATTTCTGTTCCTGTCTTCCACCCACAAATTTAATGCCTTTTCCATCTTAACAAAGCACTTATCGCGTGCTGTAGCCATAATTTTTGTAGTTTGAGATGTGACAGCAAAACAAGCATGATTTTCTTTTTCCTTCTTCACCATTTGATAGATAGAAGATTCGTTCTTACCGTAGATCTTGGCAACCTCAGCATACATTATTTTTTCTTTCCTTATCAAGTGGGGAACTTTCACCTTTTCACCTAAAGGAAGCACTTTACGGCTTCTCTTTCACCTCCCAATTGCCAGCATCAATACTCTGGTGCATTGGGGCCATGATGAAGTAAAATAAGGGTGACTTGAACACAAGCACTGAGATACTGTGACAATCTTGTAACTGAGGATTCTGGGTGACTAAGGGGCAGGGAGTGGCTACAGTGTGGATCCACCAGAAAAACAGAGGATTCATATCCCGAGCAAGATGAAGCAGGAAAGTGTGAGATTTCATCATGCTGCTCAAAATGGCAGCAATTTAAAACGTATGAATTGTTTATTTCTGAATTTGCCATTTAATATGTTTGGATCACAGTTGACCACAGATAATGGAAATCTTGGAAACCAAAACCGCAGATTGGGGGATTGCTATAATCAAAATTTTTCTTGATCTTGATTTGTATTTTATTAACAGGTCAAAATATCTCCTCATAGCGTAATAATTATTAGGCAAGAGACAATGACTATATTTCTGTATTTTAGTTAGAAGAAACAACAAGAAGTTAACCCAAAACAAGAAAACTTTCTCTCTGAGTGCTTTCTTTGGTAATATGCCTGATATTTTTACACTCTCTGTTTATGGAAGTCTAGTCTAAGCTATTAATTTCAGCATGTAGTACAGGAATTTAGTCTACCTTTCAACAGTTTATGTCTGTCTTATTCCTTTTAGTCACATAAATTTAACAGTCACTTCAGTAAGGTTTGGTAAACTTTGAGTGTTGTGGAAGTGAGAAGAAACTATGAACATAACTGAAGATTTCAGATGATAAAGTTATAGAAACGTTTAAGCGTGGTCGCTTTGAATAATAATAGAAATCATTAGTTCACCCAATATAAATAATACATGTTCATTTATGTACCTATTTAATTCTACTCAAAAACAAAGGTAAATAAAGAAGTAGAAAGGGTGTTTGCGTTACCTATCTACTGCTGCATAACAATTTTCTTCAAAACCTAGTGGCTTAAAACAATAAACATTTATTATCACATGCAATTTCTGTGAGTCAGGAATTCAGAGCAGCTTAGCTAGGTGGGTCTAGCTTGTGACCTGCCCTGGTTGCGATTAACATGGCGGCCAAAGCTGCAGCCACCTGACAGCTTGACAGAGGTTGGAAGATCTGCTTCCAAGACAAGTTTCTTGAGAGCTATTGGCAGGAGGCCTCAGTTCCTCACCACACAGAGGTCCTAGGGCTGCTGGTGTCCCACAATGTGACAACTGATTTTCTCCAGAGCATGTGATCCAAGAGAGCTAATGCGTTCCAAGAGTGCTAAACTTGCAATATCTTTTATGACCTAGGCCTGAAAGACATGTCCCCTCATTTCCACAATATCCCATTGGCTACAGAGGTCAACCCTATTCATTGTGCGACGAACAATGTTCGGGCATGAATACCAGGAGGCAGAGATTATTGTGGGCAATTCTGGAAGCTGTCTCCACAGCCTGACCTCTGATCCCCAGCAATTCATGAGCTCTCACATGTAAAATATACTCGATCCTCTCTCTGAGATTCTCATTGTAAAATAGGAACAGCTCAAAGGCTAAATATCATTTAAATCAGGTCCAAGTACAGATAATGCCTCTCAGGTGTGATTCCTCAGGTACAATACCTCTAGATACAAAGACATTGAACTAAAGTGTACTCAAGTTATTTGGCCCCACACACTTAACATGCAATGGTGGAACTGGCATAGAATAATCACTATTGACACTCCTGTTCAAAAAAGGGGAAACAAGAGGCACTCAGGAGTTACTCGTCCATAATTACTCTGAGATCAAGCCTGGCAAATGGAAGTTCTCTGATTAAGACTCAATCTTACATCTGTCCAGGGATAAATATTCAGGCCTCTGGCCCTGCCCTGTGGGTTCTTGAATCTGTTGAATCATCCATTTTCCATAAAAAGTACACTGCATAGACATTGGTCTATCCAATATAATGGCATAAGTTCATTTATGTGCCTATGTGGTTCTTTTATTTTTATTTTGAATATGGACTGCGTTTTATTTATTTATTTCTTTCTTCAACTTTTATTTTAACTTCAGGGGTACAAGTGCAGAATGTGAAGGGTTGTTACATAGGTAAACATGTGCCATGGTGATTTGCTGCACAGATCAACCCATCACCTAGGTATTAAGCCCAGCATCCATTAGTTATTCTTCTTGATGCTCTCCCTCCCCACACCCTACCTTCTAATAGGCCGGAGTGAGTGTTGTTCCCCCATGTATTCTCATCATTCAGCTCCCACTCATAAGTGAGAACATGTAGTGTTTAGTTTTCTGTTCCTGTGTTAGCTTGCTGAGGATAATGGCTTTCAGCTCTATCCATGTCTCTGCAAAGGACATGAACTCATCCTTTTTATGGCTGCATAGTATTCCATTGTGTATATGTACCACATTTTCTTTGTCCAGTCTATCATTGATGGGCATTTAGATTGATTCCATGTCTTTGCTATCGTGAATAGTGCTGCAGTGAATATATGCAAGCATGTATCTTTATAACAGAATAATTTATATTCCTATGGCTATACACCCAGTAATGGAATTGCTGAGTCAAATGGTATTTTTGCCTCTGGGTCTTTGAGGAATCACCACACTTTCTTCCACAGTGGTTGAACTAATTTACACTCCCCACAACAGTAAAAAAAGCATTCCTTTTTCTCTGCAACCTCATCAGCATCTGTTGTTTTTTGACTTTTTAACAGCAGCCATTCTGACTGGTGTGAGATGGTATCTCATTGTGGTTTTGATTTGCATTTCTCTAATGATTAGTGATGTTGAGCTTTTCTTCATATGTTTGTTGGCTGTATGTATGTTTTCTTTTGAGAATTGTCTGTTCATGTCCTTTGCCCACTTTTTAATGGGTTTTTATTTCTTGTAAATTTGTTTAAGTTCCTCGTAGACTCTGGATATTAGGCCTTTCTCAGGTGGTTAGATTGGGAAAATTTTCTCCCATTCTTAAAGTTGTCTGTTCACTCTAATGATAGTTCCTTTTGCTGTGCAGAAGTTCTTTAATTTAATTATATCTCATTTGCCAATTTTTGCTTTTGTTGCAGTTGCTTTTGGCATTTTCATCATGAAATCTTTGCCTGCGCCTATCTCCTGAATGGTATTGCCTAGATTTTCTTCAAGGGTCTTTATAGTTTTGGGTTTCACATTTAAGTATTTAATTCATCTTGAGTTAATTTTTGTATATGGTGAAAGGAAGGGGTCCAGTTTCAATTTTCTGCATAAGGCTAGCCAGCATTCCCAGCACCATTTACTAAATAGGGAGGCCTTTCCTCCATTGCTTGTTTTTGTCAAGTTTGTCAAAGATCAGATGGTTGTAGGTTTGCGGTTTTATCTCTGAGTTCTCTATTCTGTACCATTGGTCTATGTGTCTGTTCTTTATCAGTACCATGCTGTTTTGGTTACTGTAACCTTGTAGTAAAGTTTGAAGTCAGGTAACATGATGCCTCCAGCTTTGTTCTTCTTGCTTAGAATTGTCTTGGCAATTCAGGCTCTTTTTTGGTTCCATATGAATTTTAAAATAGATTTTTCTAATTCTGTGAAGAATGTCAATGGTAGTTTAATGGGAATAGCACTGAATCTATAAAATACTTTGGGCAGTATGGCCATTGTCATTACACTGATTCTTCTTATGCGTGAGGATGGAATGTTTCTCCATTTGTTTGTGTCCTCTATGATATCCTTGAGCAGTGGTTTGTAGTTCTCCTTGAAGAGGTCCTTCACTTCCCTTGTTAGCTGTATTCCTAGGTATTTTATTCTTTCTGTAGCAATTGTGAATGGGAGTTCATTCATGATTTGGATCTCTGCTTGCCTGTTGTTGGTGTATAGAAATGCCTGTGATTTTTGCACATTGATTTTGTATCCTGAGATTTTGCTGAAGTTGCTTATCAGCTTAAGAATCTTTTGGACTGAGATAATGGGGTTTTCTAGATATAAAATCAAATAAAGATAATTTGACTTTCTCTCTTCCTATTCGAATACACTTTATTTATTTCTCTTGCCTGATTGCCCTGGCCAGAAATTCCAATACTATGTTGAATGGGAGTGGTGAGAGAGGGCTTCCCTGTCTTGTGCCAGTTTTCAAGGGGAATGCTCCCAGCTTTTTCCCATTCAGTATGATATTGGCTGTGTGTTTGTCATATATGGCTCTTATGAGGTATGTTCCTTCAATACCTAGTTTATTGAGAGTTTTTAACATAAAGGGATGTTGAATTTTATCAAAGGCCTTTTCTGCACCTATTGAGATAACCATGTGGTTTTTGTCTTTAGTTCTGTTTATGTAATGAATCGCACTTATTGATTTGTGTATGTTGAGCCAAGCTTGCATCCCAGGGATGAAGCCTACTTGGTTGTGGTGGATAAGCTTTTTGACGTGCTGCTGGATTTGGTTTGCAAGTATTTTGTTGAGGATTTTTGCATCGATGTTCATCAGGGATATTCGCCTGAAGCTTTCTTTTTTTGTTGTGACTCTGCCAGGTTTTGGTATCAAGATGATGGTGGCCTCATAGAATGAGTTAGCGAGGAGTCCCTCCTTTTCAATTTTTGGAATAGTTTTAGTAGAAATGGTACCAGCTCTTCTTTGTACCTATGGTAGAATTCAGCTGTGCATCCATCTGGTCCTGGGCTTTTTTTGGTTGGTAGATTATTTATTACTGCCTCAATTTCAGAACTCGTTATTGGTCTATTCAAATATTCAGTTTCTTCCTGGTTCAGTCTTGGGAGGGTGTATGTGTCCAGTAGTTTATCCATTTCTTCTAGATTTTCTAGCTTATATAGACAGAGGTGTTTATAGTATTTGCGGATGGTTGTTTGCGTTTCTGTGAGGTCAGTGGTGATATTCCCCTATCATTTCTGATTGTGTCTACTTGATTCTTTTCTTTTTTTCTTCTTTATTAGTCTAGCTAGCAGTCTATCTATTTTATTAACTTTTTTTCAAAAAAACCAGCTCCTGGATTCATTGTTTTTTTAAGAGGGTTTTTCATGTCTCTATCTCCTTCAGCTCAGCTTTGATCTTTGCTATTTCTTGTCTTCTGCTAGCTTTGGGGTTTGTATGCTCTTGGTTCTACAGTCCTTTTAGTTGAGATGTTAGGTTGTTGATTTGATATCTTTCTAGCTTTTAGATGCAGGCACTTAGTGCTATAAATTTCCCACTTAACACTGTTTTAGCTGCATCCCAGAGATTGCAGTACATTGTCTCTTTGTTCTCATTAGTTTCAAATAACTTCTTGATTTCTGCCTTAATTTCATTGTTTACCCAAGAGTCATTCAGGAGCAGTTTATTCAATTTCCATATAGTTGTGTGGTTTTGAGTGAATTTCTTAATCTTGAGTTCTAAGTTGATTGCACTGTCGTCTGAAAGACTGTTATGATTTCAGTTCTTGTGCATTTGCTGAGGAGTGTTTTACTTCCAATTATGTGTCCAATTTTAGAGTAAATGCCATGTGGCAATGAGAAGAATGTATATTCTGTTGAATTTTGGTGGAGAGTTCTGTAGATATCAATCAGGTCCACTTGATCCAGAGTTGAGTTCAGGTCCTAAATATCTTTGTTAATTTTCTGTCTTAATCATCTGTCTAATATTGTCAGTGGTGTGTTAAAGTCTCTCGCTATTATTGTGTGGGAGTCTAAGTCTCTTTGTAGGTATATAAGAACTTGCTTTATGAATCTGGGTGCTTCTGTATTGGATGCATATATATTTAGGATAGTTAGCTCTTCTGGTTGAATTGAATCCTTTACTATTATATACTACCCTTCTTTGTTTGTTTGATCTTTGTTGGTTTAAAGTCTGTTTTGTCAGAAACTAGGATTGCTTTTTTCTGTTTTCCATTTGCTTGGTAAATTTTCCTCCATCCCTTTATTTTGAGCCTGTGTCTGTCCTTGCGTGTGAGATGAGTCTCTTGAAGATAGCATACTGATGATGGGTCTTGGCTCTTTATTCAGCTTGCCATTCTGTGTCTTTTAACTAGAGCATTTAGCCCATTTACATTTAAGGTTAGTATTTTTATGGGTGAATTAGATCCTGTCATCATGATGCTTTTTTGCAGACTTGTTTATGTGATTGCTTCATAGTGTTCTGGCCTGTGTACTTCAGTGTGTTTTTGTAGTGGCTGGTAATGGTCTTTCTTTTCCAAACGTAGTGCTTTCTTCAGGAGCTCTTGCAAGGCAGGCCTTGTGTTGATAAATTTCCTAACCATTCACTTGTTTGAAAAGAATCTTATTTCTCCTTTGCTTTTGAAGCTTAGTTTGGCCAGGTATAAAATTCTGGGTTGGAAATTATTTTCTTTTAGAATGTTGAATATTGGCCCCCAATTTCTTCTGGCTTCCATGGTTTTGGCAGAGAGGTCCACTGTTAGTATGATATGTTTCCTTTTGTAGGTGACTTGGCCTTTCTCTCTAGGTGTCCTTAACATGGTTTCTTTCATTTTGGCATTGGAGAATCTGATGATTTTGTGTCTTTGGGTTGATGTTCTTGTGGAGTATCTTACTGGCCTTCTCTGCATTTCCTGAATTTGAATGTTGGCCTGTCTTGCTAGGTTGGGGAAGTTCTCCTGGATGATATCCTGAAGTATGTTTTCCAACTTGGTTCCATTCTCCCTGTCTCTTTCAAGGATCCCAATCAGTCATAGGTTTGGTCTTTTTACATAATCCCATATTTCTCAGAGGTTTTGTTCATTTCTTTTCATTCTTTCTTCTCTATTCTAGTCTGCCTGTCTTATTTCAGATAGATAATCTTCAGGCTCTGAGATTCTTTCCTCCTCTTGGTCTATCCTGCTACTGATACTTGTGATTGCATTGTGAAGTTCTTGAGATGCGGTTTTCAGCTCCATCAGGTCAGTTATGTTCCTCTCTAAACTGGCTATTCTGGCTACCAGCTCCTGTATTGTTTTATCATGATTCTCAGCTTCTTTTCATTGGGTTACAGCTCAGCAAAGTTTATTGTTATCCACTTTCTGAAGTCTACTTCTGTCAATTCTTAGCCTCAGCCCGGTTCTGTGCCCTTGCTGGTGAGGTGTCACAGTCATCTGGAAGAGAAGAGACACTCTGGCATTTTGAGTTTTCGTTGTTTTTGAATTAATTCTTTCTCATCTTTGTGAACTTATCTACCTTTAATCCTTGAGGCTGCTGCCCTTTGAATTAGATTTGTGTTAGGTCTTTTTTGTTGATGCTGTTGTTTTCTGTTTGTTTGTTTGTTTTTCTTTTAGCAGTCAAGCCACTCTATCATAGGGCTGCTGAGGTTTGCTGGGGGTCCACTCCAGACCCCAGTTGCTTTGGTTTCTCCCGTACGTGGAAGTATCACCAGCAAAGGCCATGAAACAGCAAAGATGGCAGCCTGTGCCTTCCTCTAGAAACTCCATCCTGTGGGGGTACTAACTTGTTGCCAGCCCACATGCAACTGTTGGAGGTGGCTGGAGACCCTCATTGGGAGGTCTCGCCCAGTCAGGAGGAATGGGATCAGGGACCTTCTCAAAGAAGCAGCCTGGCTGCTTTTTGGTAGAGCAGGTGGGCTGCATTGGGTGGGATCCTTCCTCACCTGGATCACCTGTATTCTCCAAAGCCAGCAGGTTGGAGTGGCAGAGTCAACCAAACTGCAGAGATGGCAGACACCCCTGCCCCCCAGGAGCTCGGTCCCAGGGAGAGATCAAAGCTCTGTCTTTAGAACCCTGGCTGGAGTACCTGAAGCCCCCACAGAAAGGTCCCACTCGATGAGGAGGAATGGATCAGGGTCCCACTTAAAGAAGCAGTCTGATCACAATCTGGCAAGGCAGCTGTGCTGCATCGTGGGGGACCGTTCCTCATCCAGACCATCTGTATTCCCCAAGCCTTCAGGCTGGAGTGGCTGAGTCCTCAGAACCACAGAGATGGCACCCACCTCTCCCTGCAGGAACTCAGGTCCATCTCAGGTGGACTCCAACCCACTGCCGTCGGCTGGCTGAGATTCCAAGACAGTGAGTCTTAACCTGTGAGGTGCTGTGGAAGTGGGGTCCACAGGATGATGCTCTTTGGCTCTCTGAATTTAGCCCCCTTCCTAGGGATATATACAAACAGATTTCCTGCCTTTCCAGGGATCCCAGGGCCGGATTATGTAAAACTCCAGGGTTTCTGTGTGCCTGAGCAGCTGCTCTGCCAAGACTCCACATAGCTTTGTGTATCAGACCCAAGACCCTGGTGGCATGGGCTCACAAGGGTATCTCCTGATCCATGGGTTGCAGAGATCCTTGGGAGAAATGTGATTTCCCAGGCGAGGTCGCACAATCACTCACCGCTTCCCTTGGCTGGGGGTGGGGGTTCCTTCCGTTGCCCTCCCCCACCTCCGCCCCTGCTGCTTTTCATTGTTCTCTGTGGCTCAAGTTGCTTGCCTAGTCAGTCTCAATGTGAGAACCTGGGTATTTCAGTTGAAGGTGCTGCATTTAATAAGCTTTTTCATTCCACTCCGTAAGTGCTGCAGACCGCAGCTGCTTCTAATGGGCCATCTATACGATTTTCTGTCTGAGAATAAGCCTGAGTAGACATAGATGTTTAACAGGTGGCAATAATAATATGTAGCTAAATTCCTCAGGGCATTATGTATTAATTAAACACAGATGCAAGTTACGTCTTCTTTCTATATTTGGTCTATTTTTACCTCTAGACTCTACAATGAAGTTTTAATTAATCCTTCATAACTTAAGATTTTGTTAATCTTTGGAAGCATTTTCCCAAGTAGGTTTCATTTCTTTATAACAAAACAACACTGTTAAATATAAGGAAAATCTTCAACTATCTCTAAGGTACCAACTACATGAACGTACTCAAGAAAAGATTGGTGATAATTATTTTATTTCTCTCAGTTCATTCTATTTCAAAAGAAAAGTAAGTAACAGTTCTGCCTTTGATCCCCCCACTGCTACAGGTATATAATCTGCTAACTGTGAAGGATCTCACCAATTTTCCTGACAATGTGGACCAGCAGGAGGAAGAACAAGGACACTGTCCCCGTCCTTTCTTCATTCATAATGGAGCCATCTATGTTCCCTTATCAAGTAATGAAGCAGATATTTATAGCTTCCTCAAGGTAAAATTCTCACTACTTATTAACATGCTGGCTTGTGAGTTTTTGAATGTTAATAAAACTCTGTATCTATTCATAATCTTAGTAATTATGTAGCCTTGCCTCTCCATTTTTCAGCAGACAAAAATGAAGCCAATAAAAAGGTTAAAGTCTCTTGTGAGGATCACACAAAAGCTCAGTATGTGAGTCAGGGCTAGATCTAACCTCTGCCTATTCATCTGGATACTTTTTAGTTATATTTAGGTTTTTTTATTTGCAAACCAAAAAATAATGAATAAAGAATAAAATCTTAATAATCCATAAGTTTAGTAATTTCACTACTCTATATTTACTGTCAAGTGTTTCGCCATAGAATTAATATAAGGATACTGGAATTACATAGAGAAGTCTCTAAGGATAATATGTTTTATATATTCTAATCAAGCTTACAAGTAGATTGAACAATTATTTTTTTCCAGGGGATGGGATTGAAGGTGTTCACTAACTCAAAAATCCGAAAACCAAAGTCGTGTTCAGTCATCCCTTCCGTGTCTGCAGGAGCAGTAGGTCAAGGATACTATGGAGGTAAAACAGCAATTTGCTTTTAATTTTATTTCATGTCCAACAATATTACTATGCCCAAAATGCTAAAATGAGGTAATGTAGCCCTATTTCCACTTTATACACACAAAGAAACCAAGATTCAAATTAATTGTTTCTTGCTGAGGTGACTTAGCTGGTGATAGCTAGAACTGATCAGAGATTTTTTTTTAGATACATCCGATACTTCAGGGCACAAAATCAGATAAAATACAAGATTCTGATGTACTGTAAGAGAGGGAAAATGCTGACAATGGAAAGAAAGAGTAATTCTGATTATGGAAACAGGAAAGACATTCATAGGGATGCTGTATTTTAAAAAACATAAAGAAGGACAAAGGGCTTCACTGGTGACAAGAAACAACGTGAACATCACAGAAATATCTCATAATCCATGGCCAAAACCACTATTCAAATACAGCAGCCTTTTTCAACACCCTTGAACTTATTAAAACATCTGTCCCATCACCAGGTCTACTTACACTTGAACACTACCCAGCCATTTGTCATCCCTCTCTCATGAATCCAACTCCCTTTTTCTCCAAAATATCCCTGACATCCATCTGCTCACAAATATTTATATGCTCGGATTGGAAATCAGATATCCTATATGTGAAGTGGGTGTGTCATATCTCCTCTCTAAGCCTCAAATCCTTCATTAATAAATTGAAGGAATTTGACTAATGGCTCTTCAAGACCTTGCAAAACGCCCAATAAGATAACTAAATATAATGCACCAACACAAATTAAGAACTTTGATTGTTTAAATAGCATTTTCTATGTTCCTTGGCATTTAAGATTAATATCCATCTTTAAATGAGCTTTATTATTAAGAAAATGACACCTTTTAAAGGGCCATGGACTGTTTAAGTATACCTTCAATGATAGCACAAATTTCAAACAATTTCTCAAAAATGGTAAATATGATTTTGTCTTGTAACTGAGATGTTATATAAATAACGAGAATAAAGAATAAGGGAAAGGAAAATAGCCATGAGATTTACATAGAACAAACTTCAAGTTTAAACCATTGAGGTTTGGGGGGAAGGAAATGTTCTTGAATTTATTAAATTCAAGATGGAAAATTGACGGCATATAATAACACTCAGGAAAAAAAGAGCTTCTAAAATGTGTGATGAATACATAACAGGGATTGAAATTAGTAGCTATAAATGAATCAGGTATATGAGGAAATAAAAGAGCTAAGAAAACTGAAATATCTTGTGAAATTTCTTGATAAGAACTTCAACAACATGAAGCCATTTCCATGACTACAGAGAACAATGAAAAGCAGCAGGGGTGGAGGTGGGGGAGGGCAACGGAAGGAACCCCCACCCCCAGCCAAGGGAAGCGGTGAGTGATTGTGCGACCTCGCCTGGGAAATCACATTTCTCCCAAGGATCTCTGCAACCCATGGATCAGGAGATACCCTTGTGAGCCCATGCCACCAGGGTCTTGGGTCTGATACACAAAGCTTTGATGCAGAGACTATGAAAGGACACGTGGAAAGTCAAGTTGACAGTAAGAGTAGGAAGGATATAGCCATGGTCCACTAAATGGAGTTGAAATAACACATAATGCCATGGTTTGTTAACTGCAATAACTGGAGGAGTTGGAGGGCCCTTGACATATCCAGTAGAAAATGGAAAATAGTTCATTTAGGTGCATCATCCTTTTAGATATTTCAATATTTAAGATAAGAGTGAAGACAGAGAAGACAAAACAGTGAGAAATCAGAGTCAGAGATAGAAATTGTTACCACTTGGAAGGACATGGGGCAAGGTGTATGATATTCACTAAAGAAATTACTACTGATGCTTTCTTCAGTGGAGAAAACTGTTAGGGTGAAATTGCTAGAAATATATTTTTCCTTGTAAGTATTCTTTCACAAGGTATTTCTGAAATATCAGATGGGATACATGGAGGGAGATCTTAAATCAAATTCAATTAGTAAGCATGATTTCAGGCACAACGTGGACAAAATTGCTTTCATGTCTAGCTCTCCACCCTCTCACGTTGGTAAATGATTTCTTTGTCTGAACCACACAGCCATTCCAAATGGAAATATCTGTTTTTGACAACTGAATTGTTTATTTCAGATGTCAAAAAATAAGTGGAATAAAATCTAATGCTCTAATCTTATTTCCCAGAGAACAACAGTTTTGCAAAGTTCCATACAGTGATTTAAAGTAAATTTAATTTATGTAAAAGTAATTTAATGTAAATCATTAAATTCTGTTCACTCCACTGGTAATTTCATTTTTAGTATAGCAACCACTCTCAATGTCTAAAGAGCATTTTACAATTCCTGCTCAGTTTCTCTAAGAATGAAGCAATACTGTCTCAATTTCAAAATTGGTCCTTCGCCACAAAACCCATAAAACTGTCTCCAAGTGATCTCGTTTTTCCAGCTTCCATTCACATCAAATTATGCTATGTCTAGGATACATAGAATTTCCACCTTTGACAAAGACTCCTCTCTTTTCAGGGAATGAGGGATCACAAAGTATTTCCCAAGTTCTACAACTTCTACAAGACTTTTAGGACAGTCTGAGCAGGAAAACTGAAAATTTTGTTCTCTAACGTCTCACATGTGCACCATGAAATTAATGAATGTTTTTCCCTAACTAGACAATTTTCTCTTACTTTAGCAGGTCTAGGAGTAGTAGAGAGACCATATGTTCCTCAATTAGGCACATATAATGTGATACCCTTAAATAATGAACAAAGTTCAGGGCCAGTCCCTGAAACGGTGCGAAGCTATTTTCCTGAGACTTGGATCTGGGAGTTGGTGGCAGTGAAGTAAGTAACTTTACTTTCCTCCATTTGCTGGAGGGGAGGGAATGTGGTTCCTCCAACATTTTCAATTCTAAGACAATCTTCCTGAAAAGTTCTGAATAATTATCTTAACCTCTTCCTCTTTAGGATAGACCTAAGTAAAATGCGCAATTGCATAGGCTCATTAATACAATTGTCTCAGTGCTGAGCAATTCTAAAATAATTATTTCTGATACTGTCAAATAGTAGACATGAGAACTATAAATATTCAGTTCTATATATACTGCTTAATGTCGTTCAGGGAGCCTTCTGTAAATATCAGGGCTGGAGCAGGCACATAAACAAATCAGGCTACATTAATCCAGTGGTCTAATTGTTGGTCATGATTCTTAAAAATGCTTATTTATGGGATTATACAATAGCAAGGGAAGTTAAGGACTAAAATGAATCGCAATTCAAATATTTTTATTCAAAGTACAGACATGTGGGATATGATCATTTGTTGATAAGGGGGAGAGGTACCATTCAGTGGCTTTCATTTTCCCAACTCAGATCCCAGGACATAATCTAGTGTTCACACGAATGCACACTCGCATATACCCTTAAGTGGATTCAGTTCTTGACGTTAGCTTTATGCATATTAATTCTCACTTGAGAAAAGGTGGCTTACATTCATTATTTCTGTTCTTCACTTGCCCTCCTCCCCAGCTCATCAGGTGTGGCTGAGGTAGGAGTAACAGTCCCTGACACCATCACCGAGTGGAAGGCAGGGGCCTTCTGCCTGTCCGAAGATGCTGGACTTGGTATCTCTTCCACTGCCTCTCTCCGAGCCTTCCAGCCCTTCTTTGTGGAGCTCACAATGCCTTACTCTGTGATTCGTGGAGAGGTCTTCACACTCAAGGCCACGGTCCTAAACTACCTTCCCAAATGCATCCGGGTAAGGAAAATGAGGGTGAACAGGAAAGGTGGGTAGAACAAAAGATTCCTTTGATCAGTCAGCTACTGATTCTGTTCCTGAGACTAAGGATAATTCAAGGGATTGTGTGTTAGCACTGTGAATAATTAGTGCTATGCAAAGCAGGACATGATCAGAAAGATAATACAATGATATATGTGCTATGGGTGCTTAAATCACGGCTCTCTAAGCCACACCTTGCTTTTCTATTTCTTAGCGCTTGCAGAATTCTTTGCTGCAAGTTAGGTTATATGCCAGGAACATTCTTGAAGCTGACACACAACTCAGCTTTCTCAGTTCCACGAGAGTCATTCTCCAACCCGTCATCTTGAAATCTCCAAAATATATAATTTTAATTTATCTTATAGCACTTATCTCTTTGTAAATTATGTAATAGTGGTTGTATATAGATCATCTTTCTTGTGACACAATATCCTCAAGATCGGGAGCCTCTCATCTACCATTCCCAGTGTTTTATGTCTTGTATGGATTAGACATGTAATATATGTTGTAAGAAATAGGAGAAGAAAGGAAGGAAGAAACTATGAAAATCTACATAGCAGCAGATAGTATTCCCTAGGGCAATATACAATCACTGCTTTTCCCTTTCCTCTGCCACTGCCAAGCCTGCACGTCCACAAGCTACCCTAAGGCAAATGCCAAATCCTCCTAATACACAACCAATCTTGATTTGTATCATTGCCATTGCCATGCTTCTTAAAGCATGGATGAATCTATGTGACATACATTTTTCTTACAAATCCCAATTTACTGCAGCATCTCACACTTGGCCCCAATTCTATGTGTTCGTGTCGTTCCATATTCTGATCATTTCTGTCTCTGCCTCACATGGGGTGATAGGTCAGTGTGCAGCTGAAAGCCTCTCCAGCCTTCCTAGCTTCCCAAAATACAAAGGGAGAAGAATCCTATTGTATCTGTGGAAATGAGAGACAAACCTTGTCTTGGACAGTGACTCCTAAAACTCTGGGTGAGTGACAGTACCCAAAAGGGCCTATCAATCAACAAGGACGGTGGCTGTCTGAGTACTTTTTTCATCATATTCTCTCTTTTATTTGCCATAGATATAATTCTATAAAGTTAGTTTTTTTTCCTATTTCTATCCACTATGACCTCCTCCCACTGTTCTCACCCAAGCTAGTCCCCAGAATCACTATCTTGGACATTGGCTACTTAGTATACATTAACCTTGTGGGTTTCTTTTTTTTTAGCCTTATTTTCTATTCTGGACAACTATAAGTTTAAGGTGCAGCCCTTAAAGGTGATTGGACTATCAAAGTGGATACTCATGTTTTCAATATTCCTTGTTTTAGGGAATGTGAACTTCTCAGTGAGTGCAGAGGCAATGCAGTCCTTAGAACTCTGTGGAAATGAGGTTGTTGAGGTCCCTGAGATTAAAAGAAAAGACACAGTCATCAAAACCCTGTTGGTGGAGGTAACATATTTTTGGGAGTCCCTAACAACTGTAAGAATGCAACACCGGGCGGTCACTCTTGAGACAACAAAGAACCATTAATATCATGCTCACACAATACATCCTGTAAGACTAATGGAATTTCCTGCCCTAAAAGCATTGCAGCAGACAACATTGCCAGCTATTGTAAATTTTTTTTCACAAATTATTTGAGTGCAATTTCCTTTTTTTTTTTTGAGACGGAGTTTTGCTCTGTTGCACAGGCTGAAGTGCAGTGTTGCGATCTCGGCTCACTGAAAGCTCTGCCTCCCGGGTTCATGCCATTCTCCTGCCTCAGCCTCCCGAGTAGCTGGGACTACAGGCGCCTGGCTAATTTTTTTTTTTTTTTTTTTGTATTTTTAGTAGAGACGGGGTTTCACCATGTTAGCCAGGATGGTCTCAATCTCCTGACCTCGTGATCCTCCCTTCTCGGCCTCCCAAAGTGCTGGGATTACATTGAGCGCAATTTCTTGATCTCCACCTCTCTCCTAAGATTCACATATCTCTCATACCCATTAGCTTTGATTTACTGCCCTTATTATCTCTTCCCATTTTCTCTCTACCACCCTCCCTGGTTCTTCAATGTTTTATGGATTTGTAATAATTCAATAACAAGTAGGATGTTATGTTCTCACTTATAAGTGGGAGCTGAATGATGCAAACACATAGACACATGGAGGCGAGCAACATATATGGGGCCTGTCTGAGAGTGGGAGTGACAGAAGGGAGAGCATCAGGAAGAATAGCTAGTGGATGCTGGGCTTAATCCCTAGGTGATGGGATGATCTGTGCAGCAAACCACCATGGCACACATTTACCTATGTAACAAACCTGCACCTCCTGCACATGTCCCCTTGAACTTAAAACAAAAGTTGGGAAAAAAAGAGTAGGATGGTAAACATCATTCGTGTAAACCCTACCCATCAAAGAAAGGAATCCATGTGGTTCTCTTGTCACCAGGATGTTTCTATCTTTTCTCCTTTTCTTTCCTTTCATCCAAGGCTGAAGGTATTGAGCAAGAAAAGACTTTCAGTTCTATGACCTGTGCCTCAGGTAAGAGTCCATCTTCATAATCATAGTGAGATCAAAACCACAAAGGGGTATAAACCTCAAGTTACAATGCACATTCATTTTATCTCCCAGTTTTCAGAGTGTTCCATGAAAGTCAGCATAATACTAAATATTTCTTTATGTATGTTTTACAGATGAAGACATTGAGCCCAAGAGAGCAAGTTAATGTGACTCAGGTGGTACAGACAGGACTAATACCTGGGCTTTCTTGGTTCATACGTAGCCCTTTTACCTGGATAGCCCAGTGGCTGCTCACTGACAAGCCCAGCTGCAGAAGCTTAGAGTGTCCCAGGATGAGGTAGAAAGAGAGCAGGGTTAGCCGGGTGTGGTGGCTCACATTTGTAATCCCAGCATTTTGGGAGGCTGAGGCGGGAGGATGACTTGAGGTCAGGGGTTTGAGAACAGCCTGGCCAACATGGTGAAACCCTGTCTCTACGAAAAAAACAAAAATTAGCCAGGCCTGGTGGCGGGCGCCTGTAGTCCCAGCTACATGGGGGGCTGGGGCACGAGAATCGCTTGAGCCGGGCAGGGGGAGGTTGCAGTGAGCCGAAATCACACCACTGCGCTCCAACCTGGGCAACAGAGTGAGACTCTTAAAAAAACAAACAAGCAAACAACAACAACAACAAAAACTAAAGACAGCAGGGTCATGATAAGTTTGAATCCCAAGAGATAGTCTCTAAAACAGCTGCTGACAAAACATATAGCATTTCCTACCCATCTCACTAAAAATGTGTGTTTTCCGTGTAGAAAATAATTTACATTTAAGTTCATCATATCATTAAGAAGTAGTTGTAGCTTTTATACAGAACCGCCACATTATTAGTTCTATGTCCACAGTGTATACAGCACTGTATTTGTCATTTGAGAAGGACTAATTTAAGGTATATTCATGTTATCTATTTATAAACATGGGAATCCATTCAAATATAGTGTAAGGGAGGCAGTAAAATAACTTGTATTATCATGGTTATAAGTCTTAATATTGCTACAAAAGTGGAGAGCGATAGTTCCCCCACTAAGTCTTAGGCTTCTTTTAGAAAGCTACTGAGCACAGCCATGCAAAAATATAGTTAAATGAGAAGAGGAAGGACTCTGGAAGTCACACAGTGCCAAAAGCAATTAGACTATCAAAGGTAGTCTCATCATTAAGTCAAATTCTTATTCCTTGCACCCAGAGTTCCACAAGGAGATATAATAATATTACTGCTAACTCTAATAATAAAATAACTGCAATAATAACAATTGCTCACATTCGTTGAAATTGAATATGTTGCAGATACTGTTCTGAATGTTTTACATGTGTTTTTTCCTCAAATCATCACAATTTACCCAAGGTCACAAAGCAGGGCCAGTACCATATCCAGGGAGTGTGGCTCTGAAGCTCTCACTACATTATAATCACTAAATTATATTGTAATCATAGATGTCCTCCTTTAACATGGGCTGTCTGTTTCTAAAGGTGCTAATGTGTCTGAGCAGTTGTCCTTGAAGCTCCCATCAAATGTGGTCAAAGAATCTGCCAGAGCTTCTTTCTCAGTTCTGGGTGAGTCACCTTCCATTTAGTAAACCTGGGCCAAAAGAGTTGCCACTGTACATCTTATCTACGTATTTGTATTTGAATTATCAAGTTCTTGATAGCTGCTATTCTTTTTTATTTTTTTGAGATGGAGTCTCGCTCTGTCGCCCAGGCTGGAGTACAGTGACGTGATCTCGGCTCACTGCAAGCTCCGCCTCCTGGGTTCACGCCATTCTCCTGCCTCAGCCTCCCGAGTAGCTGGGACTACAGGCGCCCGCCACCACGCCCGGCTAATTTTTTTGTATTTTTAGTAGAGACGGGGTTTCACCGTGTTCACCAGGATGGTCTCGATATCCTGACCTCATGATCCGCCCGCCTCGGCCTCCCAAAGTGCTGGGATTACAGGCGATAGCTGCTATTCTTATTAGGATTCTGGAAGTCACACTCTGTGTATATAACTTTTCTCTTACCTAAATGATAGACTCTGAATATAAAGGCCATTTTTGTTAATAATGTTGGCTATTTATGAACTGAAATTATTCTGACATCTAATCTTTCACATTCCCCAGGTGACATATTAGGTTCTGCTATGCAAAATATACAAAATCTCCTCCAGATGCCATATGGCTGTGGAGAACAGAACATGGTCCTATTTGCTCCTAACATCTATGTCTTGAACTATCTGAATGAAACCCAGCAGCTGACGCAGGAGATCAAGGCCAAGGCCGTTGGCTATCTCATCACTGGTAAGTGAGACAGAGAAAAATTTACTTTGTTACTCTAATGAAACTTTTCCCAATTAAGCTTCAGTTATATCATCAAATATTAACCCATGATGATAATTTTTATGAAAACAACAATCTTCCCACACTCTAATAGGATGTTGTGTTTGATCTATCCATAACATTCACAAAACTATGGCAGATCACAGAAGGTCATAAAATGTCCATGGCGCCTGGATGCATGAGCCTAAACATATGGATGGCCTGCCTTTCTTTAATGCTTCATGAACAATCTGAAGCCTTCCATTTCAGGTTACCAGAGACAGCTGAACTACAAACACCAAGATGGCTCCTACAGCACCTTTGGGGAACGATATGGCAGGAACCAGGGCAACACTTGGTAAGAAAGAAAATCTATTCTGAGTTTCAACTATGAGTTCAGAACGTGCACATAGATTACCTGTCTTAGTCCATTTTCTGTTGCTTATAACAGAATACCTGAAACTAGGTAATTTATAAAGAAAAGAAATTTATTTCTTATAGCTATGAAGGCTGATAAGTCAAAAGTCTAGGGGCCGCATCTAGTTGAGAGTCTTCTTGCTGGTGTGGACTCTGAGGAGTCCCACGGTGATGCAGGGCATCATATGACTAGAGGATTGAATGGGCTCACTTGGGTCTCTCCTTCTCTTCTTTTCTTTTCTTTGTTTTACTTTGTAGAGACTGGGCTAGCATCTCCTCCTCTTCTTATGAAGCCACCAGTCCAACTGTCATGATAGCCCTTTAATCTAGGAATAGATTCATCCATTCATGAGAGCAGAACCCTCATGAGCCAATCACCTCTTAAAGGCTCCACCTCTCAATACTACCACATTGGGGATTAAGTTTTAACATGAGTTTTGGTGGAGAAACAATTTCTAAACCATAATGTTACCTTATTTAATTCTTATAGCTACCCTGGGAAGTGAGAGTTATTAGCTTCATTTTACAGAGGAGAAAACATATTCAGTGTGGATAAATAAATGTGTCAGGAGCAAACATCTAATAAGTGGCAAAATTGAGAACACTTTTAGGTTGATTTTTTTAATCCAATATACCCAGACCCTCTTCCTTCTCATGTTGCTAAGGGAACATTATAGGTTTGTAACTTGCCCCCTTAAATTGTTGCTCAGCCCTAAGAGGTGTTAGAAAAATGCTAGAATAAAACCACAACCATTACTGGCAGAGCATACCTTACTACCTTCTACTAGATGATATCCTTTCTCTCTCTCTCTTTGTAGTTTTACCACACAGGCAAACACAGGGGAAAAAAGTGGAAGGGCAGGATGATGGAGGGAAATATTTACTGAAGCAGAACATTAGAAGTTAGCTGATTAGAGTTAAAACTACAGAAAGTAAGCTAAGAAATCTAGGAAAGGAAATAAATTCATAGAGCCCACAGTGTAAAAGCAAATGACTTAGTTAACCAACCAAGAAAACTGGAAGGAACCTGAACCTCTGAAGTGGCATAGAAATGCTTTAGGAAGCAAGGACAAGCTGGTAATGAATTGAACAACATGTGGCAGCAAAAAAAAAAAAAAAAAGAAAAGAAAAGAAAAAAGAAAAAGAGATGTCTAAGCTAAAAAGAAAAAGTCTCCAAACTCTCAGTAACAGCTGATTGACTTTCTTGGGTGCACACTGTGATGGGGGAGCCTGTGTGTACAAAACAGAGCAGTAAAGTGCTCAATGAAAAGAGCCTCAGCACTGCATTTTTCCTCCCCCTAGGCTCACAGCTTTTGTACTGAAGACTTTCGCCCAGGCTCGATCCTACATCTTCATTGATGAAGCACACATTACCCAATCTCTCACGTGGCTCTCCCAGATGCAGAAGGACAATGGCTGTTTCAGGAGCTCTGGGTCACTGCTCAACAATGCCATAAAGGTGAACTGTTCCACAAACTTCTGAGCCTGACACACATCAACATAACATCCCCCAGGGGTGAAGGGAGGAAGGAGGCACAAGGAAATTGCAAAGATGAAGTCCTGGATGATGTGGGATGGCATCAGGGAAAGAGTATTACACTTTCTACAGAGAAGGAAGAAATTGGGCCAGATGCAGTGGATCACACGTAGAATCACAGCACTTTGGGAGGCCAAGGCAGGTGGATCACTTGAGCCCAGGAGTATAAGACTAGCCTGGGCAACATAGCAAGACCCAGTCTCTACAAAAAACATTTTACAAAATTAGCCAGGCATGGTGGCCTGTGCCTGTAGTTGCAGCTACTTGACAAGCTGAGGCAGCAAAATTGCTTGAGCCTAGGAGCTTGAGGCTGTCATGTGTGATAGTGCTACTGCACTCCAGCCTGAGCTACAGAGCAAGAACCTGTCGAGAGAGAGAGAGAGAAGGAAATGGTATACTTTGAATGGAAACAGATACTGAGGAGCGTTTCCATCAAACAACAGAAGAGAATATACTAACACTTGGCACTGGAATTAATCAAATCAATGTTGTATTCACAGGGAGGTGTAGAAGATGAAGCGACCCTCTCCGCCTATGTTACTATTGCCCTTCTGGAAATTCCTCTCCCAGTCACTGTAGGTACCAGCTCAATCCCATTCCCTACCATGAAAACTGTAGATTTGCTGTCTGGAATGCCACCCTGCTAAGGGTTGAGTCTCAAGTATCTTTTGGTTCAATGATGAGGGATTTCTCAGACTGATAAGCTCTTTGGTTGATGCATTAAGAGAGATTTACACTTGCCCAGTAATGCCCATAGACTATGTATCAAAACCAATCCTAAAAACAGGTTCTCTAGTCTTATTCTTTAAGACTGAACTATAAAGGGAAGAGATCGAAATATTTTTCTATTTAAATATGATGAATATCTAGCTGTCTGCCTATCTGTCTGAAATCTATTAATAACATCTGACTGTCAATATCCAGCTCTCAGCTTGCTCTGCCCTCTATTCACCCTAGTTTGACACAACCACATTTTGCCTTTACAGAACCCTATTGTTCGCAATGCCCTGTTCTGCCTGGAGTCAGCCTGGAATGTAGCAAAGGAGGGGACCCATGGGAGCCATGTCTACACCAAGGCATTGCTGGCCTATGCTTTTTCCCTACTGGGAAAGCAAAATCAGAATAGAGAAATACTGAACTCACTTGATAAGGAAGCTGTGAAAGAAGGTGAGAGCACTTATAAGTGGGAGCTGAACAATGAGAACACATAGACACAGGGAGGGGAACAGCACACATT
The DNA here is from genome assembly GCF_000001405.40 of Homo sapiens. Lineage (NCBI taxonomy): Eukaryota > Metazoa > Chordata > Mammalia > Primates > Hominidae > Homo > Homo sapiens. The sequence continues at coordinate 9,157,104 of NC_000012.12, read as the reverse complement.
GGGGCCTGTCTGGGAGGTGCGGAGAGGGAGAGCATCAGGATAGATAGCTAATGCATGGGGGACCTAATAACCAGGTGATGGGCTGATACATGCAGCAAACCACCATGGCACACCTATGTAACAAACCTGCACATCCTGCACATGTACCCCAGAACTTAAAATAAAATAACATTTAAAAAATAAATAAATAAATAGATAAATAATAAAAGTTTTTTTAAAAACTGTGCAAAAAAAGGTGAGAGCAAACAGCAAATGGTACCAAATTTCCATTTCCATTTACACTGATTCTACAAAAAGAAGAAATATATTCCTTCTGAAATCCACAAGCTTCATCTGTAATTCCTTAGCCAAGTCATACATTGTGAGATCAGAGCACCTCTTATAAAACTGTCTTCTCTGGGATTGCATATGTTACACAGAGCAGAACATAATAGACATAATGCTGCAGATAAATAATGCAGTTTTATTTCTACTTGCTAAAACCAATATAATAGACAAATAGATTCATTTTCTCATGATTTCTCTCTACTTACTTGAATGAAAAGAGGTACAACAGCTCTTCCATACCCCCTAAATTCCCACCCAATGCCGTCCTGGCTGCACCATGCTCACTTCATGCTCTGGGCTTCTCCTAAGCTAGTGCTGCTATAGTCTCCTTTCAGCTACCATCATAATTATCTACCAGGATCTCATCAGCCACGCTGAGATGTTCTCTGACATTTACAAGATCCAGAGATGGAGGAAGGACTGTGCCTGGAGGTGGAGGGGAAGATGGTCAGTAGGACAAAGGGTGACATTGATGACTCGCTTATTGGTGGAGATGCCTTCACTGAAGTTTCCCAAAGCGAAGGTACTGGAAGCAGAGTAATCATTGGTGTTGATATTGTCATGAACAATCACTTGCAGGAACTGACTTCACAAAAGAAGCCTACAAGAAGTACATCAAAGCTGACATAAAATCAAAGACAAACTTAAAGAACAGAGACCAGAAACAGTAAAACCTTTTATAACAGGAGCTGCAGAACAAATCAAGCACACTCTTTCTAATCTCAGAAACTACCAGTTCTTCATTTGATCTTAGCCAAAAGGTCAAGAAGCAATAAAAACTACCAGTTCTTTATTGGTGAAAACATGAACCCATATGGCATGCTGCCTCTGCTGGACTACCATGAGGATGGTGTGACTCCATAGATGATTTTCCATGGTTTAGAAATGGAAAAATGTTAACAAATTTGGCAGTTACTTTGGATGTATCACCTGTCATAACTGGCTTCTGCTTGTCATCCATACAACACCAGGACTTAGACAAGTAGAACTGATGTCATCTTGAGATCTTCATTTATTTTGACCATGATTTATTTGGAGCAGAGGCATTGTTTTTAAGGAAAAAATGTCATAGAGGTTGTCTAAAAACAAAATGCATTCAAACTCATTTGAAAGAGTGTCATTTAGTTTAGTACATATTTAAACTCAATCTATCTTGTAGTGTTCTTGGAGAAACTAGAGTCTGGTTGTAGACCACTACTAGAAAGAACACAACTGCCATGAGATAACTTCTACAGTGGAAACTATTTCTGAGTATGGAGTACAAAAACAACAACAACAACAACAATAACAACAACAAAAAACAAAACAAGAATCAAAAGTTTTAATTCTGAGTTGAATTAGCAGGAAAGAACATGCTTATAGCAGTGCCAACATTTGAAGTGGTGCCTTATACATTTCATCACCTACAATGGAAGTAGTTAACTCTGGAAGAGGTTACAAAACAACAAAAACGGACTGATTCAGTTGGAGAGAAAAAAAAAGAAAGAAAAGAGGTACAACAAACAGAAAATGCAATAACATTTTCAAACTATTTTTATCTCTATTTGCCAGAGAGAGCATCACAAAAGTCACATGAGGTCAATAGTTAAGTTTTATATTCTAGTCTATACTGCAATTCTCAGAAAATATCACGAACAATAAAAGAACTCTCTCTACCACTTTTCTCTTTCATCAGTCCAACTAAAATAACATTGGAGAGATTGGTGAGTATGCTCTATGCTTCTTCCTCCATCAACCTACCCTACCTTCGTACCACAGGACTAAATCAAGTTCAGCATAGAAGTGTGAGTTAGTGAGTTTTAGGAGTTTATGACATAGAAGACCTTGCTTCTCCTGTATTATTTTCAGCTCCATGTATTATGAATGTGCATTCTCTTATCTACCAGTTATAATTACTTATTGATGAGTTACAATTATCTCCTTTTTCTCACCCTTAAGACAACCTCGTCCATTGGGAGCGCCCTCAGAGACCCAAGGCACCAGTGGGGCATCTTTACCAAACCCAGGCTCCCTCTGCTGAGGTGGAGATGACATCCTATGTGCTCCTCGCTTATCTCACGGCCCAGCCAGCCCCCACCTCAGGGGACCTGACCTCTGCAACTAACATTGTGAAGTGGATCATGAAGCAGCAGAACGCCCAAGGTGGTTTCTCCTCCACCCAGGTCAGTGGTTCCCAAAGAGTCTTCTGCTCCAGGTTCACTTGGCAATTGGGAGGCTTAAAAGTAGAACAGTTAATGGAAAAGAGAAGGCAATTATTAAATCATTGAAGAAGTATTTAGGAATATTTGAGGACCATGAGAATTTAAAGGAAAGACTTAAGACATCCCCCATAACACTTTTCACTAAGCCCTATGTTAATATATTAGCAACATGGAGACGTACAACGAGCATCTTTACCCTCTAAAGCCACGCTATGGTCATTGGACACATTCTAGACCAGAGTTTTTCAGCATCAACACTATTGACATTTCGAGCCACATCATCGTTGTAAAAGGAACTATCCTCAGCCTTATAAAATATTCAATAGTATCCCTGGCCTCTCCCCATTAGATGCCAGTAGCACGTCACTTCCAGTTGAAACAAGAAAAAATTTCCTCCAGTTGGGAACCAATGTTCCAGACATCTTCAGAATCTAACAAGAAATCCTCTAAGATGTATTCCCCAAAAAATGTGTGATTAAAAGTACAGTGACTAAGTAGAATCCACTTTGATCTTTTTGGAATGAGAAGTTCCATTTCAACTACTCCAAGGAACTCAGCTTCTTCATTCCTTTCTACTTTCCCTGAGAGTGCTCTTCTTACTTTCTCTTTAAGTTGATCTTTTTTAAGCTGAAGCTCTTGAAAATGTATTTTTCTAGCATAATTCTAAAAGTATTTTATCGAGAGTATAAATGATTGTATTAAACACCCAGAGTGTCTGGCTTTTCCCTCCTACATGTCTTCTTTCAACAGTTAGGATCTCCATAGTGAAACTTTTGTTTTTCAGAGAGATTAGGTGGGGTAAATAAAAACAAGCTAGATGAAGGTAAAAAGAAACTCAAGAAAGTGCAACTTGTCTCATACCATTTTCATGTACAGTAAATTTTTATCACTCTTCCATCTAACTGGTCAATCATCTACTTAAAAATGGTCACTATTTTTGTCTTAACTTCTTAGTTTTAGACCTATTCTTTGAAGGACATATCCAAAAGGACTGTCAATGAAAATAAACAGTGACATTAATAAACATTATTAGCCTTTTATTTCATTTGGAGAAACTGCAGCATGATTTTGATAATGTCTGAAAGGCAGAGAAAAAGGAAAGGTAATTAGTGAAGATCTACCTTAGGGGTAAAAAGCCAGCTTCCCTCATGGTAGGCTAACACAGACTTTGGGGGAAAATCCCAGATGCCAAAAATTTACTCTTTGGGGCGGTTGTCCACTCGTCTCTTCCAGGACACAGTGGTGGCTCTCCATGCCCTGTCCAGGTATGGAGCAGCCACTTTCACCAGAACTGAGAAAACTGCACAGGTCACCGTTCAGGATTCACAGACCTTTTCTACAAATTTCCAAGTAGACAACAACAACCTCCTATTACTGCAGCAGATCTCATTGCCAGAGCTCCCTGGAGAATATGTCATAACAGTAACTGGGGAAAGATGTGTGTATCTTCAGGTAGGGCTCCAAGCTTATATGGGTGAGAGTCAACTTTAAACTTGCCAATTGAAATGGAAACTCTGTTCCTTCCTTCCTGGGAAAGTAAAAGGCACCTCTGGAGACGTTAAGTAATGAGGAAGTGAGGGGTCCAGAAAAAGAGAGAAACTGATAGTGTCTTTGCTGTTTCACAGACATCCATGAAATACAATATTCTTCCAGAGAAAGAGGACTCCCCATTTGCTTTAAAAGTGCAGACTGTGCCCCAAACTTGCGATGGACACAAAGCCCACACCAGCTTTCAGATCTCACTGACCATCAGGTAAGACGTTCTAACCTAATCACCTATCTTTGGCCCAAAAGCAACTTGGAATTAACAGAAATTAATAGTCCATTTGGAAGCTATGTTATTAGATTAATATAATTTAGAATTGATATATCTATAAATGAATTTAGGCTTTTATCATTATGACGTGATCCTTTCTCTACTAAAAATATAAAAGTAATATATACTAAATAACAAATGAACTGTATAGTGAGGTGTGCAAAAACCATAGATATGTTAAAAATGCCAATTAGCAAGATTCACTACCAAAGATTTTGATTTGATAGTTTTGGGGTGATGCTTAAACATCTGTAATTTTAGCAAGTGGTAGATCTGATGTATATGCATGTGTCCAATGTCAGTGTTGCACAAGTCCAGGGAACACAGACCTTTGTAGAATATTAGGGACAACTTCTTGAAGACAGACAGGCTTAAAGTGATGCTTGAAAGCAGAAATTTGGCTTTCTTTCACGTATAAAACCCTAAATTCTTTTTCCTTTGACACTACAGTTACACAGGAAACCGTCCTGCTTCCAATATGGTGATTGTTGATGTAAAGATGGTATCTGGTTTTATTCCCCTGAAACCAACAGTAAAAATGGTAGGTGTATTTTAATCCTAATAGACTTCATACAAAAGTATGTTCTGTATCCCCAAACTAAGACCATACCAATATCAAAACCATGTCAACATCATCCTGCCTCAAAAAAATATTTTTCCCAAACCCAGGAAGTAAATGAACTATTTAGTTGGCCGTAAGCTAAGGGACATATGTGATACCAGAGAAATGCACAAGGAGTACCTATCCTTAGGCCACTCATAGTTTAGTCAGGAATTTAAAGCACATGGGCACAAAACAATAAAACCACCCAAGAAAGATAGGATATGGTTTAAATCCCAAACTGACTGATATGCACTAAAAATTTGGGAAGGAAAAAAAATCAACGTGAACTAAAATTATCAAAGATGCCAGAGGCTCTAATGTGTTACTTGGATATTGAAGAATTGTGGAACTCCTGACCTGAAAACAATTAGCTTTCTTCTCTTCAGAGAATGACCATTTGTCCCTTATTACAATCTGCTCTAGATCTCACACCATTCTCACATCTGTTCTCTAACTTTAACTGAAGTTTTCTAATTCTCTCCAGCTTGAAAGATCTAGCTCTGTGAGCCGGACAGAAGTGAGCAACAACCATGTCCTCATTTATGTGGAACAGGTGAGGGCTCTGACATCCTGGCTGAGACTACATATGGGTCGTCTTTCTAAGTGAGTCTCTTTACTAGAATAGTCGGTAACATGAGGAAAACAATCATTAGTAATGCCCTTCCAGAAAGGTTTATCTATTCCAAGAAGAATAAGAGGGGAAACCTTTGAACTCCATGTAGTGTTCTGTTCTATTTTTAATTGTGTTAAAATTGGAATATGAATATTTCTATGAAATTTAAAGTACAAAATCAATAGAAAAAAGGTGTACCATGTATTCCTGTTGTTTTAAAGGCCCCACTCCCTGACGATATGAATAAATATTAAACTTGAAGTGATAAATCAATAGGACTAAAGGTTATCATGCATTCCTGTTATTTTAAAGACCACCTCCACAAAATGAATAAATATGACCCCAGTGGTTGCCTAATGATAATGTTAACATTCTAAAATGTCACCATAAAATAAAATGAGGATTTTATGAATATTATCAAATATGACCATAAAACAAAGAAAATGTTTTATGTATCCAAACAGAAAGAATACTTCGTTGTTTTAATTACAGATTGTATGAAACCATGTTTCTCCAGCTTAGAACACATTCACATGGGCCCAGAGAGTTAATCTCATAACAAGGGACTACAAAAGAATAGGGTTGGCTCAGTTGTTTAGAAGAAAATCTGTGAAAATTTGTTGACTGTAAATAGAGTTCCCAAGGATGCATTCTAAAACCCATCTTGACATCCACAAATGTCTGGTCACCTAAAGACACTGGTGAAAAAGAGTCAAAGAACAATAAGAATATGTTTTGCTCATGGGAGAAAGAAGGAGGTTTTCTAGGTTCTTGATTACTCCCACTTTTCCTTTCAGGTGACAAATCAGACGCTAAGTTTTTCCTTCATGGTTCTGCAAGACATCCCAGTAGGAGACTTGAAGCCAGCAATTGTTAAAGTCTATGATTACTATGAGACAGGTGAGTGAAAGAAAAATGAAACAATCTTAACCAGAGCCAAGAAATGGATCCTGTTGTGACAGTTGATCCTCTTCTTAGCCCACTTAGTCAACATTAATCTTTTGTTTCTTTCCTCCAAGATGTACACTATAAAAACGACTTACTACAGTCTGGCCAACATAGCAAAACCCCATCTCTACTAAAAATACAAAAAATTAGCTGGGTGTGGTGGTGTGTGCCTGTAATCCCAGCTACTATGGAGGCTGAGGCAGGAGAATCGTGTAAGCCTGGGAGGCAGAGGTTGCAGTGAGCTGAGATCACGCCATTGCACTCCAGCCCAGGTGACGGTGCGAGACTCCGTCTCAAAAAAAAGAAAAAACAACACAAAACAAAACAAAAACTTACTGAACAAATTTATCAATTAGTGTTTCTTGAGTCAGAAACTTAAGAATTAAAAAGAATGATAATATATAGTCACTGCTTTCAAGTAGTTTAGAGACATAGATAACATAATACAGATAAAAATATTACATAACAGGAAAGACTATTAGTGACAAATGAGTGTTAGTGAGCTAAGCAATAAGTTTGAGAGGCAAAAACAGCACAGAAGGCTGGTGCTCAGGAAGAACAAACAGGAAGAAAGATCTGATTTGGATCCTAGAGGATGAGTGGAGTTTTGGGGGTCTATAGAAGTAGGAGGAGTGTTTCAAGCTGGAACAATAATCTTTGAAAAGTAATTAAGGGAGCAAGCTGAACAAAGTGAATAGAAGCAGAGAGGTCATGGAAGAGAGAACTACAGGTTAGTGCAATTATGATCATCTTCCCAAGAATTTAAAATTTGAACAGCTGCCATCTGAACAGGCTTCAGTCCCCATCTCCAGTCTCAGGGAAAGAGAATATAAATATGTTAATGATCCTGTTTAATTCTTGTCTATTTACATGAAGTTTTGACAATTCTGATAGGGCGTGCTTTTCTCCAGTAGTAAAGTGACTAGACAGATTTAGCATGGTCCCTAGTTCATAGATCTTTCGTTTCTTCCTTCACCCAACGTTATCTTTCAGATGAGTCTGTGGTTGCTGAGTATATCGCCCCCTGCAGCACAGGTAAGAGTTCACCACTTATGACCAGTACTAGATGGCATTAACCCACTCTCCAAGGGCCCCTGCAATTTAAATTCTCTACAAGGCTTTTCCTACATCTGAGACAATCCACATGGCATGTCCTCACACCAAGACAAAACTGTGGCGTAGCATGCCTATTCTGTAGCGGACTCTCCAATTTCAGATATTCACTCCCAGAAAAGTCAATAAGCTTTGTTTATTTGTAGGACAGCTATCTCTAAAAGCGACATTTCACTTCACAGCTAATTGGGCTTCCTTCAACACAATGGTCAACTAATCACACACCTAAAACCAAATCTAGCCTTACACTTAATTTTGTAAATGAAGCTTTATTGGCACATGGCCACACTTATTATTAACATTGGCTATGGCTGCCTTTGTGTGCTGATTAGTCATGACAGACCACATGGCATATAAACCTAAAATAATTACCATCTGGCCTTTCACAAAGTTTCCTGACCCTGCATAAGCTCACTCTGCTGCCCACACTCAACTGAATGCTCCTCAGGAAATGATACAACCTCCTTACGTTTTTCTTTTCTCCATAGATACAGAGCATGGAAATGTTTGAGGACCATACAGGCTGTATATTTTGGTGGATTCTCTGTCCTATACATTTACTTAGAAGGAATGGAGTTATTTGTCTCTATAAAATAGACACTAAAAATATTTGCTGAATAAATATGTACTTCTGGTCAAACTATCACTTGTTGCATCATTCATTCATCAGACATTAATAACATGTTCACATGATGAGTTATATTCTTTCTGTTTAATTTTGGTGCAAAGGTTGGATTCTAATAGGTTAGCATTCTAGTAGGAAAGCAGAGTGGAGGTTGCAGGTAAAGAAATTGAATGAAAATTCAGTTGAGAAAGGTGGAAGGTGAGAACATAAGGGGATGATAGATAATATAAACGTGGTAATATAACTGGACTGGAAGGGTCAGAAGATTAGAAGAAGAGACATCAGAAGAGATGTTTGAGATGAGGAGAAGTGCTGTTATAGGAAAAACTAATATCTAGAGAATTGATAATTAAAGTGCATTTTAGGATAAGATTATTATATGGATTAAAAAAATAAAGAGATGAGAGTGAAGGATTTAGATAAACCATCTACAAACATGGATAATAAAATTAATAAGTTTAAAGATAAAAGTAACAGTGGTGAGGATGCAGTGACTCAAGGGTTAAAATCTTCAAAGAATAAAAGGGGAGTAACCTGCATCCTATAGATTATTTTAATAGAAAGAGACATGGTGGCTACAGTTAACCATATTGTATTCTTGAAAAATGCTAAGGAGTAGAGTTTAACCATATGACAACTATATGAAGTAATGTACATGTTAATTAGCTTGACTTAACCATTCTACAATGAATATATATTTCAAAACGTTGTACATGGTAAATATACACAATTTTTTCTGCTTAAAATAATTTCTAAAGTAATTTTTAAACATCATTTAAAAATAAACAAAGGTATAGCAGATGGTAAAATCAAATGGCATGAGAGTAGTTAATGCCTTTTATGGAGAGAAAAAAAATCAAGTATTTGAGAAGAGGCAAGAATGACATTATCCTATCTACAGAAACAGGGATAAATGTAGTGTGGGAGAAAAAAAAAACTGGTCACCTCTTAATGGAGACATAAAACAAGTCAAGGTCTCAATAGGAAGACATGCTTCAAATTCATACATAAAGGCAACATTTGGAGAAGGCTATAAGATATTTTGCTAATAATAGGTTCTGAGTTCCAGAAGACTTAGCTTGAAGGGTTCAAGGAGTCATAGAAGAATGGTGGGTGGATATACCAGAGTGGAGCCATAACACAGTAAGAAACTGGCTGATGAAAGATACATGAGTGGAGAAGTGAAGTCAGCAAGATGACAGAGTAGGAAACCCTGGTCTTCCCCCAGGCTTCCCCCCTGTCCCACACATGAACACCAGTTTAGTAACAATCATGGACAAATTCCCTTTGTGAGAAATTCAAAGGCTAATTGAAAGACTCCTGTATCCTAAACAAATGCAAAAGCAGACTCACCGAAGCCAGTAAGATTCAGGACATGCTACGGCTTATGAGAGGCTAAAAAACAGAAAAAAGAAGATTCAGAACACTCCCAGCATAGCATAATACAATTAGAAAGAGGCCCCCTAGCTCCCAGCTTCTCTTAGGGGAGAGAAGGGGTTACTTCACACATCTTAACTTTTCTGAGGGTTCTCCCCAGAGAACTGGTTTCTATCTTGCCAGTGATAGAGTTCTGACAGGACAAGCACAGTCTAGCTGCTTGAAGGAGAATGAAGATGGCAAGTTGGACTGGTAGGCACTATAGATCCTTCTCCCTGGTCAGCAGAGTGTGTGGACAAAAAATTTCCTGCTCTCAGCTTTCCCTTAGGGAGAGAAAGAGTTGATCCATGTGTCTAATGCCCTAACTTTTCTGTAGATACCCAAACAACTGACATCTGCCTTGCCAGTCGGGGAGCTCAGATGAGTCTGCACAGTCTAGCCCCACCTTGGAAGAAAGGAGGTGGCAGCTTGGAATTCTAGATGCCATTAATCCTTCCCCTTGCTAGCAGACAGTAAATGGATTTTTTTAAATCCCAGCTCTCAACTTCCGCCTGGGAAAAGAGTTGATCTTTGCATCCAATACTCCAACTTCTCTGTGGCTGACCAAAGAATTGGCACCTATCTTGCCAGTCAGGTAGTTCTGATGGGTCCAGCACAGACTGGCTGCCTGGGGGAGAAAGACAGCATTGATTTGAAGTGGTGAACACTATAACTCCCCTAGCTCATCACAAAACAAGCAGACAAGAACCACAGCTTCCTGCTTCTCCCTGAGAAGAGAAAGGATTGTTAGAATCTCCCACAACCTCCAACAAGGCTGATTGATAGGAACCTTCTCCTATACAAGACTAGTCTGTGAAGAATGGGAGAGGTGCCTTCCTTTGTCTAATGCAGAGGCAACAACACAGAGAGTCAAAGAAAATGAAGAATTAGGCAAAGATATTCCTTTAAAGAGGAACAAAATACATTCTAGAAATTAACACTAATGAAATGGAATTATGTGATTTACTTTATGGAGAATTCAAAATAATTCTCATAAAGATGCTCACTGAAGTCAAAAGAACAATGTATGAGCAGTGAGAATTTCAACAAAACCACAAAAAGTATCAAAAGGTACCAAGCAGAAATCATTGAGCTGAAGAACACAGTAACTTAAAAATTCACTATAAGAGTTCAATAGCAAACTAGATAAAGCAGAAGAAAAGATCAGTTAATTTGAACACCAGTCATTGGAAGTAGTTCAGTCAGAAGAGAAAAAAAGACAAAGAAATAAAAAGTGTAGAAAACCTAAGGAACTTATGTAGCACCATCAAATTGACCATTATACAAATTATGAGAGTCAGAAAAGGAGAATAGAAAGAGAAAGAAAGAAAAAACTTATTCATAGAAATAATGACTAAAACCTTCTCAACCTGAAAAAGGAAATGGAATCCAGGTTCAAAAATAACTAAGTAAGATGAACCCAATGAAATCCACATAAAAATACATAATCATTAAATTATCAAAAGTAAAAGAGAATTTTCAAAGCAATAAGAGAACAGTGACTTGTAAGATAGACAAGATGCCTGATAAGATGATCAGCTGGTTTTTCAGCAGAAATTTGCAGTCCAGAAGGCAGTGAAATTATTCACAGTGGTAAAATAATACAAACCTGCTAACCAAGAATACTATACCTGGGAAACCTGTCCATCAAAAATGGAGGAGTAATAAAGACTTTCTCAGACAAACGAAAGCTGAGGGAGTTCATCACCTCTAGATTTGTCTTACCAGAAATGCTAAAGAGAGTTTTTCAACTGAAAGAAAAGGACACTAAACAGCAACACAATATCAAGAGAAGGTATGAAACTGATTGGCAAAGGCAAATATAAAGAAAAACACATGATACTGTATTACTGTAATGCTAGTAAGTCACTTTTACTTCCAGTTAAAAGTTAAAAGAGAAAAGTATTAAAAATAACAAACTAAAATATGTTTTAAAACATAAAATAGATATCAATTTTCACAAAAATAAAGTGTGTAGGGACAGATGATAAAGGGCAAAGTTTTTGTATGTGATTAAACTGAAGTTGTTATCAGCTTAAAACAGACTGCTATAACTACAAGATATTTTGTGTAGACTCCAAGGTAACCCCAAAAAGTCTATAAAAGTTACACAAAAGACAGAGATTTAAAAATCAAAGTATATTGGTACACAAAAAAACAATAAAACACAAGGAAGACAGGAAGAGAGGAAAAGACAGACAAAATAATTACAAGGCTAACATAAAACAACTAACATGGCAAAAATAAATCTTCCCCTATCAACAATTACTTTAAATGCAAATTGAGTAAACCTCCCAATGAAAACACATATAGTGACTGAAAAGTTAAAAAAACAGACCCAAATATATTCTATATACAAGGTACTTACTTTAGATTTAAGAACACACATAGGCTGAAAGTGAAGGGATGAAAAAGATATCCCATGCAAATGGTAATCACAAGAGAGTAGGTGACAGGGCAGGAGTATCATCATCTTGGACAAGCACTGGCATTTTAAAGTTCCCCTTAATCAAAAACTGCCCCAAAGGGCATTGGCCTAATGGCTAACGTCAGCATGACCATAAACCACAAATGACATCTCTGACCAGAAACATTCCAACACGAAAATAAACCCTCCCCGACCAGAGATATGCCTGCCCCAAGATAACCTCCCCTCCGGCCAGAGAGATGTCAGCCCCAAGATAACTTTCCCTCTGACCAGAGACATTCCAACCCCACAATAAACTTCTCCTCCACACAGAAACATTCCAAGCCTGTGATAAGCTCTCTCACCCTAAAACCCTTAAATACTCTTAGTCTGTAAGAGAGAGTGGTCCTGACTAAAATTGGCCAGAAGCCCCTCTCAGGTTTATTCTCCAAAATAAACCTGTCTTTGACTGTTGAGCCACTAATCGTGTTTCTTTCCTCTTTCTTTAACTCTTACATTTGGTGCCAAAACCCAGGACGGGTGTTGTGGGTAGAGGCTCTCTTGCAACCCAGGAAGCAGTGGGCAGTGGCAGCTCATCCCACTGGATCCTGAGAGTCTCTGGCCAACCACCCCATCTTGCCTCTTACTTCACTTTTCAAGTGATTTACATGAGCAGGACAACTAACCTGAAGGGAACTGTGAGGCTCAGGCTGGGGCTACTCTCCAGTGGGCTCTCAGAGTCCTGAGACCTGACCACTTCTGACCACCCACAGTGGGTATTTTGCTCTCTAACACTTGTCCCCTCCTCCTCCCTCATCCTCACTTTCCTTTCTCTCTGTCTCTCTCTGTCTCTCTCTCTCTCTCTCTCTTCCTCATGTGGCTCTGGTTCAAGAGGCCCTTTGCCAATTCCAACTGGAACATCCAATATTGGACACTAATCCAGCCAACTGGTAAGATCTGCCTTCCCCTGACTTTCTCATGGTACCCGGGAAAGTCAGGTATGCCATCCTGATCCTCAGAGGACCAGTGGGACTAGGCTAGAAGAAATCTTGGGGACACCCAGTTTCTTCTCAGCTTAATTGTTCTCTTTAGAAAGAGGATTCTGGGTCTCTGTCTTTTGTCTGGGGACACCTACAACAAAAACAGACACCCTAGGCTTCTTCTTACCAGTCCACATAGGTGCTCAACAATCCAAAATTCCTATGTCCTCTCCACTGAGCTGTCTCCTTCACAGCCTTGCCAAACTTGGCTTATGGGAAGCATAAAGCCAAAGTGTTTGGCTTTTTATTGCAACGTGGCCGGGCCCCAGTGCAAATTAGATAATGACAGCTAATGGCCCGAAAATGGCACCTTTGATTTTTCAAATTCTCAGGGACCTTGACAACTTTATAACCAGGAACAGCAAATGGCAGGAGGTTCTTGCCTGAATATTCAGGCTTTCTTCTACCTAAGATCCTGACCCTCCCTGTGTCAAGCTTGCACCCCTCATGAAATCCTTCTTAATAAAACCCTCCCCAGGTTTCTCCTTCCTCTGAAATTCCTTCCTTCTAAACCCCTTCCTCTGAAACCCCTTTTGACCCTACAGATGAATGCCCTCTCTATCCTCATCCCCCTGGATCCACTTCTTGCCTGTCCGAACCCTCAGCCCCAAACTCCACTCTTCCTCCTTCTCCACCTGTTACTCATTCAAAAACTGCTTCAACCAGTCAAACCACCTCTGCCTTTCTCCTACTCTGGGAAGTGGCTAGGGTCGAAGGTATTGCTTGTGTTCATGTCCCTTTCTCCATGTCTGATTTGTCACAGATTAAACAGCACCTTGGATCTTTCTCTGAAAATCCCTCTCATTATCACAGGGAATTCCTGCACATAACCCAATCCTTTAATTTAACTTGGTATATTATTTACATAATTCTAACCTCAACCCTCACCCCTGATGAAAAAGAGCACTCAGCTTAACTAAAATCGATGTCCAAGCTATGAGTATATTCAAAGGCCTTTATGTTTTTCTCTTCATAAATCTTGTTTTCCTGGAAAAGGTTTTTTCCCAGTCAACTGAATTACTTTTCTCCATTCTTTCTTGCCACTCTTGGTGCAGGTATTAAAGACCCTAAAATGACTTCTGGTGGCCTGGGATTCCTTGGGAAAACAGAAAAGTTGCCACAAATCCCATTTGGGGAAAAACCTTTGTTTTCGTTGTGGAACCCCTGGAATTAGAGGTAAATAAGTACCTCTCAAAATCTGTCTTTGTCTCTCAGCTTTACTTGTTTATTAGGCCCTGGAAATTATTTTCCTAGCCCTGTTCTTAAAGGGCCTCACCCAAAGGCCAATAATCCAATTGGAAAATTAGAAAAAAAATCTTATAACTACTGGATTTTCTTCTGGTTGTCTGTGTGGCTATATATGTGTTAGGTGTGCAATGTCTATTTAAAAAGCTCTAATTGACTGGCCTAAGAAAAATAAGTGCTTAAATCAAATATTTTTAGAGGAAAAGTAAAAGCTATGGGACCTTTCAGTTCACGTGACTTTAATCTTTAAAACTTACTGGCACAGTAAAATTAGAAATGTTTTAAGAGTTGCCAGCATACATTTTTGTTTGCATTTATTAATCAAGCAATTTCATACTTATCTCTGCCAAATACTATTAGGTGTCAAAATTTGGCATAGAGACTACAAAACTATAACTCAGCCCAAACAGAATAATCTTTGCTTGTGTAATTTTTTAATAAATGAAACATTAATATTGGTTTAATAAAGATAGCTTCATCTTGAACTATTTAGTGAAATACCCTAACTTCTAATTTTGTGGCCTTAGGCAGTCTAGTGCACAGACATGAAGGAAGTTTGCTTTGGGAAAGGACTGTTATCATCTTTGATATTAAAGAAAAGAGAATTTATACAAAAAAGAATCATATATGGTAAATTCCTGTCCTGAAGTAAATTAACTAGTTGTTTAAAGAGAGGGATGTTTACAACAAAGTCGAGGCATGTCAGAGACTGTCCATGTAAGTCATGAAAAAATTTATAAAAGGGAATTTATGCAAGAAATGTTGTACAATTTAAAAGTGATTAGGACTCCTGAATGCTTTATAAAATGCCATATAACTCTTAGCTGTACAACTTGCCTGCTTTGCAGCTAGGTAAGACCTAGGACACATGGAGTTAAATGCTGGAATAAGTCGGACCTTATCTGAACTTCTGTCTGGGTCCTAGGCTCTCCACCTAGTACATAATTAAAATCCCAAACTTACCAACAAAAGTAAAGGTTGCTAAAAGTTAACAGTGTAACATGTATTTAAGACTATTGAAAAAACAGTTTACATATACTTTTGGTAAAAAGATTATAAGGAGGCATGAGAATGTGGATTTTTACCTAGATTAAAAGGTTAAAGAATTGTTTTAAGTTGAATAAAATAAAAATGAAGGTTTAAGCAAGTTTTGGAAGGTTAATTGTAAAGGAAATTCTGTGTGTAAATATATTGGCTAAAGTTGAAGAAGTATCATCCAGTTTTTCTGTAAACTGACATTAAAATAAAAGCACAGTGGGTTTGGTTTCTCTTAAAGCACTAACCTGCTCTTTAACAAAAATTATAAAGGGTTAAAAAGGGTCTATAGAAATCTTACCTTATGGTCAAACATTAAAATCGGGTAAATGTATCTACAAGGTTCTATTAAAAATTGAGTTTAACATTAGTAGCACACTAATATAAAGGTTTAGCTTATTTGGTATAAAATCATACAGGAAGCATTGTCAAATATAAAATGGTGTTTGGCTTTCTTTGGGCTATATTTGCATACATATGTTATTGGTATGTGTTCCAAAGTTATAAGAGACTCCTATATTTCTGATATATCTTAGTGTACGTTATCAGTAATAATTATAATTGTTATGTTAAAATATTGCATGCCACAAAGGTAACAGATATTCTTGTCAATTGTAACTTTATGGCTACTATAAAACTTTTTGTCATCCATAAACAATTGTTGTCTTGTTTTTGGTCCCCTAGAGACTGAAGTAATCTTTTTTACTTTTTGAGTATATTTAAGTTATGGCAATATAGTTATTTCCATCAGTGCAATAAGAATCTGTTTTATTTTGTAACAGAACATGATTTGAAAAACTGGTTATTTTACCAAGGCTTTGACTGGAGAGGTGTGCTGTCCTTTAAGGAATCAAACTTGACTTATGGAGCCAATAAAACTCTCGGGAAACTGGCCTCATATTTTATGTGCACAGTCCCTGTACAGGGTTTCTGACCTGTGGTAAGTAAAGAATGTCACTTTCTGACAGGCCAGTACCCCCAAGTTATCTTGGAACCTCAGGAGGAGAGGAATTCACCCAACTCATAGGTATTTAATGGTACAATTCCATGACTGGGCTCAGCTTTAAAAGGCCTTATCTCAGATTCCTTCTATGGAACAAAATTCCATCAATGCCAGTTTAAAAGGCCTAGGTAACAAATAATTATTCTTGCTGCACTGTATGCAAATAATTAAACCAAGTATAATAATGCAAACCATTCCTACCATGATTTATTTTTTAATAACGGTTACTGGCAGAAAATAACACGTGGCCCTTTCCAAACATGTGCCTCTGCCTCTCATTAGGTAAGGAATGTTGCTTCTATCTCAACCAATTGGGCCGAGTAAGAAACACTGCTAAATAACTTAAAGAAAGGGCCAAAGAGCTAAGGGAATTCCAAAACAACCAAATGGATTCTTGATTTGGGAAAAAAACCATAGCATGGGTCATCCCATTCCTGGGCCCCCCCCTACTACTATGCCTAGGACTAATGTTCTTACCCTGCCTAATTAATCTTTTCCAGAGATTTTTAACTGACAGGATCATGGCCATTTCACAGACAACTACCCAAAAACTGCCCCAAAGGGCATCAGCCTAATGGCTAATGTCAGCATGACCATAAACCACAAATGACATCTCTGACCAGAAACATTCCAACACGAAAATAAACCCCTCCCCAGCCAGAGACATGCCCATCCCAAGATAACCTCCTCTCCGGCCAGAGAGATGCAGCCCCAAGATAACCTCCCCTCTGACCAGAGACATTCCAACCCCACAATAAACTTCTCCTCCACACAGAAACATTCCAAGCCTGTGATAAGCTCTCTTACCCTAAAACCCTTAAATACTCTTAGTCTGTAAGAGAGAGTGGTCCTGACCAAAAATTGGTCAGAATCCCCTCTCAGGTTTATTCTCCAAAATAAACCTGTCTTTCACTGTTGAGCCATTTTTCATGTTTCTTTCCTCTTTCTTTAACTCTTACAGGAGGAGTGGCTACACTTATATCAGATAAAATAGACTGAGTTAAAAACTGTTACAAGAGACCAAAAGGGAAATTTTATAATGATAAAAGGGTCAATTCAACAGGAATATATAACAATTACAATTATATATGCATCCAACAGTAGAACACCTAAATATATAAAGCAAACATTGGAAAAACAGAAAAGAGAAATAGGGAGCAATAAAATAATAGTAGGAAACTTCAATACTATTTGCAATAATGGATACATCATTCAGACAGAAATCTGTATCCATAAGAAAACAGCAGACTTGAATAACACAATAGACCAAATGGACCAAACAGACAT
Organism: Homo sapiens; assembly: GCF_000001405.40. Classification (NCBI taxonomy): domain Eukaryota; kingdom Metazoa; phylum Chordata; class Mammalia; order Primates; family Hominidae; genus Homo; species Homo sapiens. Next base: position 9,139,424 of record NC_000012.12, on the reverse strand, counting down.
ATGCAGAATATTCCACCAAACAGCAGCTGAATACATACTCTTCTCATGTGCACTCAGATCCTTCCCCAGGATAAGTCACATATTAAGTCACAAAATAAGTTATAACAAATTTAGAAAGATTGAAATCACACCAAGTGTCTTTCTGGCCACAACAAAATTAAACTATAAATCAATAACAGAAGGAAGACTGGAAAAATAAAAAATACATAGATATTAAACAACAGACTCTTGAAAAGTCATTGAGTGAAAGAAGGAATCAAGAAGGAATTTAAAGTGCCTTAATACAAATGAAAACAAAAATAAAAAACACTAAAATTATGGTATTCAGCAAAAGCACTATTAAGAAGGAGGTTTACTGTGATAAATACCTACATTAACAAAGAACAAAGATCTAAAATAATCAACCCAAATTTATACTTCAAGAGGCTAGAAAAAGAACAAACTAAGCTCAAAATTAGCAGAGAAAGAAATAACAAAAATTAGAGAAGAAATAAATAAAACAAGAAAAGAAAAAAATCAAAGAGGCTCAGTGGGTTTTTTGAAAAAAATAATTAACACACCCTTATTTAGACTAAAAAAAAAGAAATGAAAGAAGATACATTATAACTGCTCTTTTAGAAATAAAAATGATCATAAGTGAACAAATATGTCAACTAATCGAATAACCTAGAAGAATTGTGTAAATTCCCAAATACACAAAACATGTCAAAAGTAAAAATCAAGAAAGTTTGAACAGACCTATCATTAGTATGGAGATTTAATGAATAACAAAAATCCTTCTAACAAATAAAAACCCAGGATCAGATAGCTTCACAGGTAGATTCTAATACACATTTTTTTAAAAAAGTGCCAATCAGTCTCAAATGCTTCCAAAAAGTGAGAGAACACTTCCAAACTCATTTTATAAGGCCAGTAGCACACTGCTACCAAAGCCAGACAAGGACACTACAAGAAAAAAAAAATGACAGGCCAATATCTCTGATGAATATAGATGCAAAAAATATTTTAAAAATATTAGGAAATAGAATCCAACAGCACATTAAAGGGATCATACATCATGACCAAGTAGTATTTATTCCCAGGATGCAAGGATGGTTCAGTATGTATAAATTTGTACCACATTCACAGAATAAAGGGAAAAAAAATCACATAATTATATAAATACAAGCAGAGAAAGCATTTGACAAAATTCAACATTCTTTCATGTTAAAAACTCTCAAGAAACTATAAATAGGAGAGTATCTCAACATAATACAGGCTATATATGAAAGGCCCATAGATAATATCAGACTCAACGGTGAAAAGTTGAAAGCTTTTCCTTTAAGAACAGGAGCAAGGCAATGATGCCCACTCTTGCCACTTTTATTCAATATAGAACCAAAGCCCTAGCCAGAACAGTTAGGTAAGAAAAATAAATTAAAGCCTACCAAATCAGAAAGGAAGAGATAAACTTTTTCCTGTTTGCTGATGCCATTATATTATGTATTAAAAATCCCAAAGGCTCCATTTTAAAAAACTGTTAAAACTAATACACAAATACAGTAAGATTGCAAGCTACAAAATCAACTTACAAAAATCAGTTGCATTTCTATACACTAGCAATAAACTCTGAAAAGGAAATTAAGACAACAATCCCATTTACAATAGCACAAAAAAGAATTAAATACTTAAGGAAAAACTTTTCCAAGGAAGTGAAAGACCTGTGTCTGGAAACAAAAACATTGATGAAAGAAATTAAGACACAATTAAATAAAAATATATACCATGTTCATTGATTGGAAGATTTACTATTGTCAAAATAACCATAATATCAAAAGCAATCTATAGATTCAATGCAACCCCTGTCAAAATCACATTGGTATTGTTTAAAAAAATAGAAAAGGAAATCCTAAAATTTATAGGGAATGAGAAAACACCACAAATAACAAAATCAATCTTGAGAAAGAAGAAGAAAGCTGGAGGACTCACACTTCCTAATTTCAAAATTTAGTACAAAACCACAGTAATCAAAACAGTATGGTGCTGGCATAAAGACAGATAAACATCAATGACAGAATAGAGATCTCAGGAATAAATGCACCCATAAAAGGTCAACTGGTCTTTGACAAGGGTACCAAGAATACACTAGGGGGAATGGATAGTCCCTTCAACAAATGGTGTGGAGAAAACTGTATATCCATAAGCAAAACAATAAAATTTGATGTTTATCTTACACCATACACAAGAATTAACTCAAAGTGGATTAAAGACATAAAAGTAAGGCCTGAAACTGTAAAACTGATATAAGAAAAAATAAAAGACATGCTTTATGATCTTGGTCTTGGCAATGATTTCTTGGATATGACACCAAAATCACAGACAACGAAAACAAAAACAAATAAGTTGAACTATGTCAAACTGGAAAGCTCTTGCAAAGCAAAGGAATAATCAACAAAGTGAAAAGACAACATATGGAATGGTAGAAAATATTTGCAAACCATGTGTCTGACAAGGGGTTGCTATCCAAAACATATAAGCAACTCCTACAACTCAACTCAACAGCAAAAAAACTAATAACATGACTTTAAAATGGGCAAGGATCTGAGTAGACATCTTTCAAAAGAAAACATACAAATGGCCAATAGGTATATGAAAAAATGCTCAATGCCACTAATCAGGGAAATGCAAATCAAAACCACAATGAGATATCGCTTCACACATGTCAGGATGCCTATTATCAAATAAAAGACAACAAGTGGTTGGCAAAGATGTGGAGAAAACTGGAATCTTTGTATACTGTTGGTGTTAATGCAAAATGGTGCAACTGCTATGGAAACATGGTGTATATATTCATCTATATTTGTATATATGTATATGCATATTATATATACATGCATATATATATGCACACATATATGCACACACACATGCACAATGGAATATTGCCTTTTTTAAATGCCAAGATAAGAAACAATTTATTACAGAAGAAAAATTTCTCATCCAAAATATAGAAATCAATACAACTTTGCCACAATCAATATACACGAACTGTACAAATGTATACCCATTCATAATTTACCAAATAAAAGATGATTAACAAAGTTCACAAAATAGATGAAAATACTTTTACCCAGGAAAGTTACAAACCAGACCTCCAATTTCTAAAATAGAAGTTTACTCAGTCTTAGAAAACTACAAGCTAGCAAATGTACGTAGAGCTGGCTGGTGCCAACACCACAGTTGAAACAGTCTTTCTAAGGGTCTTTTTAAAAACCCGTTGCCATGGCAGATTCTGGTCACTTGCTACTTTCAAGGTCAAAAACACAATACAAAGTCTGACCATTTTCCCAGGTCATGTTTGCTAGCTTGTCTTTATGTACATTTAGAAATATTTGCTAGGTAAAAGTCTTGTCGTAAAATTTCCAGTACTACTATGTTTAAAACGTTGAGCTCCCCTATTGAGCTGCCAAAAAGGTAAACAATAATTTTCAAGTGTGATAGTTCAAATTCCTCTGCGAGATCTACTACAGAGAAAGGTTCTTTGACATACGGATTTTCTTTAAAGGAATTGATGTAAAAATTTAAGTATGTCTGGGAGAAGCTGAAATCACTCTAGGACTTCACTCCCTAGCAAATAAAGTGATCATTTACTTGGACTCATAGGCTATTAAATTATTGAAAGATACTGTACAAACTATGGCACTGTCACTTTTAAAAAAATGTTTACCACTCTATCTTGTGCCGGATCTTCACAGCTGTGACATGGTTTAAATTCCATAATCCATCCCCAATAGGAGCCCACCCAAAGCCAAAATCAAATTTATCCATGCACTATAAGATGATCCATCTTAACCTGATACAGTCATCATACTGTAGTTTTTGGAAGGGCTGGTTCTGCCCAAGAGAAATTCGTCCTTACAGTTTATTCAGCTGTCTACCATTTGTATGTCGGTGCTGTTTTGAGTGCTACCCCCTGCTGGTGGGGCTTTCATACAGCACACAGATGGAGCCATCTTCTCCAATTCTGCAGGACAGACATCTCATAGGTTGAGGTGAGCGTGAGTCCAACCCAGAGTGTGAGTTCACTTGGGAAAAGCTTGAACAGCTCCTGACTGCTCGGTCCAATCCACTGTGCTGCCTGTCCAGGGGATCCATTTCATGGTTGATGCGAATACAAAGATAACTTGATCTTTTGTATGGCTTTTCTGGGAATCAGTGATGTTTATAATGTTCTGTCAGCAGTTCCTGCAGGCTGTGGCTGAAGGTCTGCAGCTGTTGCCCGTTCGTGAGCCCTTTGCTGTGGAGAAACTTGGAGACGAAGGACATGGAGGCGGCCATCTCGCCTACCCTGGTGGTGGCTCTGGGGTAGAAGGGATGCAAGGAGGCAGAGGTGGGGCGGCCCGGGAACGCCGGGGCTCGGCTGCGCTGCCTCAGCAGCTGAGCAGCCCCCAGGGCTTCCTCACAGAGCAGAGGGCTGACAGGAAGAAAGGGTGTGAGGGGCAGACAGCTACTTTTTTCTTTCATTAGAGTAAAAAAGTTATTTTCTAGACAGGAAGAGGCAGAAGAGAGGAAGAGAGGAGCGATGGCGGTTTGGTTACATGGCTAGGACCTCCCCAGCTGCCTCCACCCCTGGCTGCAGAGCCTCTGAAGATCCCAACAGTTGCCTTTCCAGCACCGAAGGGCGAACTTCTTTAAAAAGAAGAAAATTCTGTATACGACAAAACTAATGAATCTTGAGGACATTATGCTCAGTGAAATAAGTCACAGAAAGACAAATACTGCATGATTCCACTTACATGATTTATCTAAAACAGCCAAATTCATAGAATCAAAGAGTAAAACAGTGGTTATCAGGGGCTAAACTGAAGAGGGAACGGGGAGTTTGTAATCAATGGACATAAAATTTCAGTGAAGCAAGGTAAATAAGCTCTGGAGATTTGCTCTACAATGTTGTACTTATAGTCGACAATAATATATTGTACACTTACAATTTGTTAAAAGGGAGATCTCATGTTAAATGTTCTTACCACAATAAAATAAAATTTTTAAAAGAAAAAAGACACCTGGTGTCTTTTTCTTGTAGCAACCGAAGTAAATAGAGATGTATGGGTGTATAGGCATTAGTTTGATTTTCTCTTACGAAGAGGTCTGGATTATAGCCTCCATCTTGAGACCGGAGTCAAGCACTTGAGGTGGGGAATGATGGAGAGATTGGAAGTGGCATTCTTCTCCACAACACCATGGGTTCTGTAGTCCCTTGTGCAATTCTGCAATTCTGCCATGATAGTTATTGAGACCAAGACAGGCAAAGTCTAACCAGGGAAAGAAGAGTTCTGTAGACTTCCTTCCAATTCTACCAAGGTTGATATTGAGAGCAGGCTTCTTGCCAGCAGCATTAAACCCAACAATCTATACTTCCTAGGACAATCTCTACCTTTGATTTCTGTAAAATAACACTTTTCTGTTTTTCTTCTGAGGCCCCTCCTCCACAGACCAGTTTCTGGATATCTTCTTCTTTATCAGATCTCTAAATGTTGAGATTCTTCTAGATTTAGATCTATGCTGCTTGTTCTTTGCACTCTACATTTTCTTCATTCATTTCTACAACTTTTAATAGTGTGTATAGGTAGCTCCCAGATTGCTATTTTCACCGTGATTCTCTTGCCTCATACTTTTCCCCTCTTTGGTGATGATGTGTCAGCACATTGGCCCTCTCTCTAATCTTGAATACTTTATTTCTGTCTGGGGAGTTTAGCACATGCTTCCCTCTGCCTATAATGCTGTATAACTTGCCCTCTCCCTTTTTGCAAGGATAAATTCCCAGCTTAAATGCCATATCATAAGAGAGGTCTTGACTGAATGCACAATCTATGTTGGATCTCCCTGGATGTTCAGGGAAGAAAAGAAACATTTTTTTCTTTCACAGCATTTATCATCATATGGAATTACCTTATTTAATTTATTTGTTTATATACTTTGATCTGTATTCTTCCACAGGAATGTATAATCCCCAATGGCAGGAACATGTGGTTTTTGTTAACCACAGAACAGTATCTGATACAAAATATGCATTAAAATTCTTGTGAACTGACTAAATAATATCCATCTCTCCACTTGATTGCTTTACTTGCCACACATCCCCAGTACCTAATTCAAGAGCTTGGCTCATTGTCAGCCTTTAAATATTGACTGAACCCAATTAATCACTTTTTTCTTTAACTTCTGAACTCTGTGCCCAGCTCCCTACTTGAATAGCTTCACTGGATATCTCAAAAGAACCTCAAATTCAATATGTCTACTTTCCCTATCTGTTATTAGCAACAAACCCAGCACTTGCCCTAGTAGGAAATCTACAATCATCCTTTACTTATCTCTAAAATGAAAAAAAAACCCACACCTTTTTCATAAAGTTTTGAGTTCACTAAGTGAAATAAGCAAGGTGCCTATCACAATGCCTGGCATACAGTATCTATAAATATTAGTTTAGCTATACCAGTTTTCATTCATTCAAAGAGGCACATCTTTTCACATCTCTGAAATCAAGATGTGTTTTGTGATCAGTAGTGTTTCATAATTGGATATACATCTAATCATTAATCAGGTGGAAATTTTTTCTTTAAATACTTTATTAGAAAATTGTGTCCTTTACCTCAATGGTGCTTCAGATGTGATAATTTGCAGTAACACAACTTCTCTCTCCAATGTGCCCATATATATTAAAGTAGTTATTAGGTCACATCACGTACATTTGAAATCCATATTTTTTCTCACTCTTCCCACTGTTGTAATCTTACTTTGGGCCCTCATTTTCTTCCAACTGAACACTGAATTAGCCCCCTGAATGGTCTTCCTGCTGACTATATTGCCCTTCTCCAATGTGTGTGTCATATTCATGCCAGAGTAATCATGTTTCTCTCATGCCTAACTCACTTCATTATCTACACAACTGCCTGCAGAATGGAAACCAGATTCTTTCACATGGCACACAGGGCTCTGACTCTCTCTCTCTTTAGCCTAATCCCTAAGCCACAGTCAAGTTGACCTCCTTTCTGTACTTGCAGATGACTTAACACTGTATGTTGTTTCACAACCCATGTCGTTTATCACACTGACCTATCTTGAAAATATTTTGTATCAGCTGGAATCCCTCTGGCAATAAATAACAGAAAAGCAACTAGCAGCTGCTTAAACAAATAGGAAAGTCCATAGGTTGGTGTTCCAAGGTTGATAGAATTGCCCAATAATGCTGATGAGGACCAAGGCCCATTTTATCTTTCAGACTTCCTTAACATGCAGACCTTCATCCCCCTGCTTGTTACTTTGCTGTCTCAAGATGGTCATTGAAATATTAAATATCACATCTATTTTCCATTAAGTAAGAACAAGGAAGGACATTCAGGGGTATGCCCACTACAACTCTTCTTTTTAAGAAAGCAAATGTTTCCCATAAGCCCTACCCAGCAGTTTTCTACTTATATCTCATTGCCCAAACAGCACCATAGTCACTCTGGTTTGAAGATGCCTAGAGAGAGGGATGTTGTGGGTAGTTTAGCCAATGAGCAGTGTCTGCCACAGTCTGCTTGGAAAATATCTTCTCATTTTTTGTGAGATTCAACTCAAGAGTTATATCTTAGAAATTTAGAAATGTGTATATATATGTATATAAACTATATATGTATATAAATTATATTGATATTTATATAAGCATACATAAAACACAAATATATAAACGTATATATAGTATGTACCCTTTCATCATTAACTGAATATTTATCAAACACCTGTACACAGTGCGTGCTAGGTACTGTTCTAGGCACTGGGAATACAGCAATGAACAACATCTTATCCTTTGTGGAATTTACATCCTAGTGTTTACCCTTTGATCTAACTTTTTCACCTCTAGTAACTTACCTTACAGACTATACCTCAAAAACAAGGATGCTCATTGAAGTGATAACTAGAATAACAAAAATCTGATTAAATATCACTATGGGATTGATTATAATATACATAAAATTATAAAATGTAATTATTCAAATTACCTCTTAATAGAGATATACTAACATGGAAAGCTGTCCCCAACATATATTTTAATTTAAATAATGGAAGACCAAAATGTATAGTAAACTCTCACTTTTAAAAAGAAAATCCATCCCCAAATTCATACGGAATCTCGAGGAATCTGAAATAGCCAAAACAACTTTGGAAGAAGAATAAAGGTATTAGACTCACACTTCCTGATTTCAAAGCATATACAAAGACACAATGATCAAAGCAGTGTGGCACTGGCATAAAGACAGACAAATAAACCATCGTAATAGAATAAAGAGCCGAGAAATAAGCCTGTGTGTATATGGTCAAATGATCTTCAACAAGGGTGCCAAGACCACTCATTGAGAAAATGATAGTCTCCTCAACAAACGGTGTTGGGAACAATGGAAATGAAAGTTAAACCTTTATTTTACACTATCTACAAAATTTAACTTATAATATATTAAAGACATAAGCATAAGACCTAAAACTATGAAATTTCTAGAAGAAAACAGACAGGATAATCTCATGACATGGGGTTTGTCAATGACTTCTTAGATATGACACCAAAAGCACAGGTAACAAAAGCAAAAAAAGATAAATGGGACTACATCAAACTTGAAAACATTTGTGCATCAAAGGACACAATCAAAAGAGTGAAGGGCAACATACAAAATGGGAAAAAAAAATTTACAAAGAATATATTTAGAAGTTATTATCCACAATATATAAAGAACTCCCACAACTAAACAATGAAAAAAAAATCAAATAACTAGATTTTAAAGTGTGCAAAATATTTGAATAGATATTTCTCTAAAGAATATATACAAATGGCTAATAAACATTGAAAAGGTGCTCAACATTACTAATCACCAGAGAAATGCAAATCAAAATCACAATGACATACTACTTCACATCTGTGAGGATGGCTGCTATAAAAAAAAAACAGAAAGTAACAAGTGTTGGCAAGGATGGGGACAAATTGAAACCCTTGTGCGCAGTTGGTGGGATTGTAAAATGGTTTAACTGCTATGGAAAACACCGTCAAGTTTCCTCAAAAAATTCAAATAGAACTACCATATGATCCAGGAATTTTACTTATGGGTGTATATCCAAAAGAATTGAAAACATGGTCTTGAAGAGATATTTATATACCACAGTCATAGCACTAGTCCCAATAACCAAGAAGTAAAAGCGAGCCAAATGTCCATCAATAGAAGAATGAATACATACAATCAAATATTATTCAGCCTTAAAAAGAAATGAAATTCTGATACATGCTGCAACATGGATGAACTTTGAAGAAATTTTGCTAAGTAAAATAAGCTAGTCACAAAATGACAAATACTGTATTATTTCACCTATATGAAGTATCCAAGCCAATTCATAAAAACAGAAAGAAGAACGCTGGTTACCAGGGACAGAGAAGAGGAGAAAGGGGAAGTGTTTAATAGGTTGTTTAGTAGTTATAGAGTTTCAGATTTGCAAGATATAAAAGCTCGGAAAATCTGTCTCACAACAATGTGTATATACTTTACACTACTAAACTGTACATTTAAAAATGGTTCACCAGGCGCGGTGGCTCACGCCTGTAATCCCAGCATTTTGGGAGGCCGACGCGGGTGGATCACAAGGTCAGGAGATCTAGACCATCCTGGCTAACACGGTGAAATCCCGTCTCTACTAAAAATACAAAAAAAGTAGCCGGGCGTGGTGGCGGGCGCCTGTAGTCCCAGCTACTCCTGAACCCGGGAGGCGGAGTTTGCAGTGAGCAGAACGCGCCACTGCACTCTAGCCTGGGCGACAGAGTGAAACTCCGTCTCGGGAAAAAAAAATGGGTAAAATGGGAAAAAGGAAAACCCATACCTGCATCTTCATATATATTATTATATACAATAATACTGAAAATACTTTCAGTTTATGAATTTGGTGGGTAGCTCACACATTACTTTATATTTTCTTCATACTTATATATTTTATAATAAGTATACATTACTTTTTATAGTCAGAGAAAGATTAGAAAAAATTTAAAAAATTACAAGGTACTTTCTTCTCTATCTCTCTCCTCAAATAGTAATGACCATTTATTTGTACTTATGTAGTCACCAACAGAATTTATATGTATTGAATGAAATAATAAATGTATCATCAACTAGTGATAATGAATGCCTTCAATAAAAATTTATTTATATTTAGCACCAAATTAAGAAATTAATTTAATATAGTTCTTCATTTAATGAATACCGATTGTTATTAAGTGCCTAGGATATGCCCGATGTGCCTGTGTAGGTTTTGAGTAATAAACATGGTTATTTCTTGAAACTATCTTTTGATGAAGAAAGAGAAAAAGAGAAAGAGAGAAAGAAAGAGGTTATGGCTAGCTGGTAACATTCAAAAGCAAGCCACTTCATGAAACCCCATTACAAGTCAAGATAGTATAGTCCAGGTGTGTAGTACTCTGGTGGTCTGGTTTTATCATAGTTAGAGCCTAAATACATAGCAAAGAGAACAGATTTCACATATTTCAAAAACATGTAACAGCGAGTATGAAATACCCGCAGACCCAGTCACCCCACTCCAGCTTCTGCCAGAGAAAACTGGTGTAAGAAAAACTGGTTTGGAAGTTAATTGCATTCTTCCCCCCACCCCCTTGGGCCATAAAATTTTATTAGCAGGTAAGGGGAAGAGCCAGGAGTAAGGGTCCCTCCCTTCCCATCCCCTACCCAGGATCCTCCCTCTGAAGGAGAGCAGAAGCCCAGGAGCCTGCCACTCAGCGGACCTTGCAGGTGGGCAGGTTGCTGTAAGGATCTTTCTGGCGCTCGAGCAGGATGCGGTCGGCAGTGATCTCCTGCTCAGGCCTCCTCTGGCAGTCAGCACACACATTGCCCAGCTGGACTTCGGCACCGCTGCTCAGAGCCTGGATCCGCACCAGCTGGGCCTCAACGCAGGCCTCCGTTCCTGCAGTACGGTCTTCCAATGCGGTTTTCATGCTGAGCTGCGACTGCAGCTCAATCTCAAGACCCCGGAGGGTACGCCACCGGTCCGCGACTCGGACTTGTGCATCTGGAGCTGCTCCGTGTGGCCAGCGACCTCCCAGCTCAGATCCTCAGTCTGGCTGGTGACCAGGCTTCAGCATCTTGGGCATCTGCTCAGTTATGACCGCATACTGGCTTCACGTGTTGCCCGGGATCTTGGCAAGACCAATGCCTGGAGCAGAATCCACCTCCACACTGACCTGGCCACCCGCAGCACTGATTTCCTCGTTGTGGTTCTTCTCCAGGTGATCCAGCTCCTCCTGCAGGCCTTGGATGTGCGTCTTCAGGTCAGCCCTGGCCGGGGTCAGCTCATCGGGCGCCCTGCGCAGGCCTTGATGTCTGCCTCCAAGCTCCTTCGCAGAGACTGCTCCATCTCAGACTTGGTTCGGAAGTGATCTGCAGCCAGGCGGCGGGTGTCAATCTGCAAGACAATCCGGGAGTTCTCAATGGTGACACCAAGAATCTTGTCCCGCAGGTCTTCAATGGTCTTGAAGTAGTGGCTGTAATTGCCGGGGCCCCGGGGCCCAGTCGCAGATCTTCACCTTCAGCTCACCCGGCCTCCTCCAGAGCCCGCACCTTGTCCAGGTAGGAACCAAGTGGTCGTGGATGTTCTGCGTGGTGATCTTGGTGCCCGTCAGCAGCCTGTCGGACCTGCAGAGGACGCTGGCATCGCCGCTGCCATAGCCCCAGAGGAGGATGAGGGCACAAAGTGGGTGGAGGACACAGACAGGCTACGGCTTCGGAGCCCCAGTGGATGCTGGGCTCTAGGAAGGCGCCCCCGACTCCAAAGTGCACGGAGCCGCTGCCCAGCCCCCAAAGGACTAAGTGGCCAATGACTGGCGAAAGCTGCAGGAAGTTAGGGTGAGGCAGAGAACGGTTCAAGGAGCTGCAATCGGCAGGAGGAATCGGAAATTTTAATTGCATTATTACCAATTATAAGAATTTTTGTGCTATGAGTGGGTTTTGTGCTATGAGGGGACCCAAAAAAGGGCTGATAAAACACCAAAACCACTGGTGAGGAGAACTTAAGAGGGAACCAGGCTTCAAGCTCCTAAACTCACCATGGACTGCCACAGAATTTAAAGCACAGTCCATATTCCTCAGAAAGCTAACCAAGCCCACCACTGGGTGTCCTACCAAAGGCCGTTCCCTGGCATTATTCTAGACAGAACAACCCAGACGGCAAAAATGTACTGCTGTGGAGAGATGAATCAATTCCTAGGAGGACTGGACAGACATTCTCAAAAGTTTGTTGGAAAGATAGCAGAGAAGAGAAGAATGAGGTGCTTTAATAAAGGGATAGGAAGAAGGTGAGAACAAGGAACTGAGATTAGGAGCTGAGTGTGTCCATGACAGACCGCCTAGAAAGAATGTAGTGTCTAGAGCTTTTACTCATAGACCGCGGGACAAGGTATATTTACCATATAGCTCTGTATTTTCCCTCTTGTGTTATAATGTTTTCTGTAATTAATTACTCTAACCCTTTTAGCAAAGTCTAATACACTTCAGCATTGTCTCGTGATGATATACAGACTAAATGGACAGGTGAGTAAAAGAAAAAATTAAGGCGTCCTCACTGGTGGGAGCAGAATCCCAGGCAGAGAACTATGCACAGAAGTTTCAGGCAGTGATCAGCTGAAAGTCAGATTGCAGTCCATTGTATTCCATGGTGGAGACAAGAACAGGGAGGGAGCACCCATACTTAAAAGAAACTTCTAGGCTTGGAGCAGTATGGTATTTTATACACATCACCTCTGTTAGTCAAGCTTTGGATGGGGGCTAGATAGCAGCCCACTGAAAGACCTGGAGTCCCTGTATTCTTAATTGCTATGTCGGAAAGTTCCATATTTAGAAATCAGATGGGCAGCAGGTAAGTTAGGCATTCTTCTGAAAAAAATTAAGCCTCTACCAGGACTCTCGCTTGGTTTATAAAATGAGCCACAGAAGAAACAGCAAACTCAAGTTTTCCTCTCAAAAAGTCCTGTGTCACTTGAAAAGTTGCTTCATACACATTGTGTCCTAAATATGAAATCTAAAGTTGTTACTGTTTTGAAATAAAGTTTCAAGAGAATATATTTTATATAACATTCAAATGAGTTATAGTAAAAATGCTAGGTCTTAAGAGATTCACCGGATGAAATAACATTCTCCACTTCAGAAAATGAAACTAGTACAATATTAAATACTGTGATTAATAATAATCTCTAATATTTCTACATACTTTTGCTCCTAACAGTTGAGTTATATGCTCACCCTGTATGATTGTGGTATATTCTGTTATGCCAGTTGCATTATTGTAATTATAAATTTGAGGAATAAAGTACACGAACTTATAAAATATAAACATGGCCAGGCACAGTGGCTCACGCCTGTAATCCCAGCACTTTGGGAGGCCGAGGTGGGTGGATCACAAGCTCAGGAGTTTGAGACCAGCCTGCCCAATATGGTGAAACCCCGTCTCTACTAAAAATACAAAAATTAGCCAGGCATGGTGGTGAGCACCTGTTGTCCCAGCTACTTGGGAGGCTGAGGCAGGAGAATCATTTGAACCCGGGAGGTGGAGGTTGCAGTGAGCCAAGATTGTGCCACTGCACTCCAGCCTGGGCGTTAGAGCAAGATTCCATCTCAAAAAACAAACAAACAAACAAACAAAAAATATACATACACGCACTATTTTAAAACTCAGTTTTTATCTAAAACCTAGATTAAAAGTCTTTGGAAAGAGTCCATGGAGAGGAATACGTTAAAAATGCCATTGAAGCCATTCTGCAATGTATAATATTTCAGAATGACATGTTGCACACAATGTCTACATAATTTTTCGTCAATTGAAAATAATGTGATCAATTGGATTAAAAATATATCATTAACTCATGAATTTAAATATATTTAATGAGCTTAAGTTGATTGTATTTTCTGTATTTCTTAAACTCAAGGTATTACCTAGTGCTTTGAGGTGTCGATTTTCTGGCCAGAAACTTCTGCGGCTGGCGACAAGCTCTTGTCCTGCATCCAGGAAGAATGACAGGAAGAATGAGGTACACGAACAAGTGAAGGGTGCACAATAAGAATGAGGTACCCAGACAAGTGAAGGACAAGATGAAGATGAGCTTTACTAAATTTTAGAACAGCTCAGAGGAGACCCACAGTGGGTAGCTCCTCTCCGTAGGCAGGTCTTCCCAACATCTACTGCTCTCAGCAGAGAGGAGGCCCTGGAGCGGGTGCTCCTTGCTCCTCTCTGCACTGTAGTCCCGAAGTCTCTGCAGGTCTCTGAAGCTCTCAGCAGAGAGGGTAGTTCCTCTGTGCAGCTGGTTGTCCCATCGTCTCCTGCTATTAGCAGAGAGGGCAGCTTCTCTCTGCAACTGGTCTTCCTGTCCCTCCATCCTCTCTCTTGCTCTGCCTGAGCCCGAGGCTTTTATGGGGTGGAGGAAATGCCTGCTGATTGATCCATGGGCAGCCATAGGCAGGCCAAAGGAGGCACCACAAGTCCTAGGGACTGACTGCCGGGATCCCAACCTTCAGGTCCTCCCTGGCCTGAAGGTGGGGCCTTACAGGGGACCTGCCCCCTTCTGCCCAGGAGTCTGCCTGCCTCCCGCTGCCATTCATGGCCCCTGGGCTCAGCCCCAAGATTGGAGCAGGCTCTGGGAGAGGAGAAAGGCCAGGCAATGGGAGCAGACACCCCTGAGCCTGCAGGGTCGAGAGAAGGGGAGGGTCTTCCCGGCTCTCGAGGGTGCAGGCTGCAGAGATGCCTGGACCTGCACCTGTGAGGGTGCCGCAGCTGCACCAGGGAATCTCCCGCGCAGCCAACTGGGAATGGGCAGGTCTCCCGCTTGTCCCGGGCTCTCTCTGGCTCAGTGGAGCAGTAGGCCCAGGTCTGCAGCCACTGGTCGGGGTGCTGCAGCCGCACGGGGAGTGTAGATCTTGCCTGCTCCCAGCCCCTTCCAAGAGCACAGGGAGGCTCAGATCCACAGCCGCAGTTTGGGCGGGGCTCCTACCTGCTCCATAGAGCAGGAGGCCGCGGTCTGCAGCCTCGGTTTGGGCAGCTGCAGCGGCACCGGGGAGCTCTGGCCCCAACTCAGAAGGGACGGAGCTCCCACCGGCTCCACTGCAGCCAACATTATGGCAGCAGCGGCTACCATCAATGGTATCCCATCTTTGGCAAGTGGAAACATCTTAATGAATTTCCCGTTTGCCCCGAGAATCCTCTTGTCTCTGATCCTAAGGTAACATCACATACATGTCTGTTACACTAGGATTAGAGACAAGTTCTGTTTAGAAATAACTCCAAGAACAGCTTTTATATTTTATTTTCACATTGAAAATCAGTCAGATTTGCTCCAGCCTCAAAGAATGTGTTTACTAAAATTAAATGAATGCTGGCAGGGAGCTGCACTTTTTTTTTCTAAATAGGAAATGGGTTAAGGGCGGCAGCTGAGTCCTTTCGACATAACCCTAATAGTCTTTGGCAGCATCCTTTCTGTTTGGTAGGATAAGATATTCTAGGCTCATCTTGCATTTTCCGCGAAAAAAAAAAAGCCATTGAATTAGGCATAGAGGAAATTACTATAAAGTTTAAGGGATAATGTAAAGGATCTAGGAAAATACTCTAATTGCTTCACAAACAAGGAAGAAACTGAAACTAGAAATGTAGTCAATTAGTATTGCTGATGTGCTTTATGCAAGAAAGATAGTATATTTGTTCTCTCTTATCTGCAGCTTCACTTTCTGTGGTTTCAGTTACCCTTGGTCATCCAGGGTCCAAAAATATTAAATGGAAAATTCCAGAAATAAACGATTCATAAATTTTCAATTGTGTGCCATTCTGAGTGGTGTGATAAAATCTTGACACCCGGGATATGAATCATTCCTTTCTCCAGCGTATCCATGCTGTATATGCTGCTGTTATTCCCCCTAACCCCCACCCCAGTCACTTAGTAGCTATCTCAATACTGCAGGGCTTATGTTCAAATAATCCTTATTTTACTTAATAATGGTCCCAAAGCTCAAGAGTAGTGATGTTGGCATATTGTTATAATTGTTCTTCTATTATCAGTTTTGTTAATCTCTTACTAAGCCTAATTTATAAATTAAACTTCATCCTAAGTATGTATGTATAGGAAAAAACATAGTATATATAGGGTTAGGTACTATCTGTGGTTTCAGGTGTCCACTGGGGATCTTGGAACATATGCCCCTCGGATAAGGGGAACTACTATATACAAGATTAAATAAGGTCACTTAAAATTCATTTATAAAATTATGTCCTAAAATATTTGTACCAGTAACAAGATATATTCAAATTATTTTATCTAATAAAAATTAACATGTTTTATTTTCTAATAAAAGTTAAAATATGTTAGCAGTCTATACCACTTCTTTAATTACATGGAAAAAATTACATTATGATGTCTAATTAATAAATAGTTATTTATAATTACTGCCAAAGTCAAAAACCAGTTTGATACTTACATCTTAAATACCATGCCTTTTTATACCCTTTTCTTTATAAATAACTTGTAATTTAACCTTCAAATTATACTGCATTACTTTAAATTAAATAATGAGAGTACGTATGTATAACTTGCTTTGAAAATAAATGAATTATGAAAGCTACACTATTTAAAACTTGAGAACTTTCAATAATACCTTATACAATATATTCCATAATTACTTTTTAATAAATTTTTATAATATTACTGTAAATTGTGGGTTTAGGGACCGACAGTTCAACTATTAGCAAAATAATCTTTTAGCATAACAAAAATTGGAACATCTAAATCTCTTAGAACTTGTCTTAGCCCATTTATATAGTAAGTACTACGTAATTGCTAGCTGTCATTACCTGTTACTGTTGTAGCTATTGTTGTTAGCCTCATTATCATCAGCATCATCTGAGTAATTAAGTAAAGTTGGCAAACAACTTTATCTTTCCTACTTTTAAAATTTAACCCCAGTGTTTGCTCCCAAACTAAGTAGAACTCTCTAAAATGAAAGTTCTGACACTGGAAAGTTCCACAGCGAACATGAGCACTACAGTGAACAAAGGGGCTCCTATGGTTAAGGGTCATGAACCAACCTTGTGCAAACCCACACACAAACACGCATACACTTATTTTCTGTTCATCAAAGGAAAAGTAATCCTGTAACATTTCCCCCACCTTGCTTCCTATTCCAAAATAAACTGCAGATGAAGATTAAAATCTAAACACAAATACTTAATGTAGGAAAAAATGCAGGATAATATTTTTACAATTTCAGTATGCATATGCAGAAGGATTTCTTAATCAGAAAATAAAGATACAGTATAAACAAAAAGAAAGTTAAACAAAGATAAATTATAAGCAACAGGGTTCCTACAAGTGACAATGATGCTGAACATCACCAGTAATCATGAACTTGAAAAAGAAAAGACAAAATAGATCATGCTCCCCTCCCCATCAGATTGGTAAAATTTTAAATGAGTGCTGGGAAAATATATACACATAAGCATTGCTAGTGAGAAGGTAAGTTGGCATTTTAGAAAGTTGATGAGATAGTATCTATAAATTTGAAATGTATATACATAGCAAATTCACAATGGGGACAGATTCATTATACAAAAATACTTCGGCATGCCCCAAAGTATAAATATGTTAGGACAGCCATTGAATTCTATTGTTTGTAGTAAATTGTTTTAGTCCAAACACTAATTCCTCTGTAGCAAACATAGGATCTAATAAAATGGATTATGTGTGGAAATCAGTCCTCTTTAGAAACCTAAAGGACCAAGTGTATCCTGATTAAAAAGATAAAACGCTTTCTTTCTTTCTTTTTGTTTTTGTTTTTTTGTTTGTTTGTTTCGAGACAGAGGCTCGCTCTGTTGCCAGGCTGGAGTGCAGTGGCGTGATCTCGGCTCACTGCAACCTCTGCCTCCCGGGTTTAAGCGATTCTCGTGCATCAGTCTCCCGTGCAGCTGGGACTACAGGCGCACGCCACCACACCCAGCTAATTTTTGTAGTTTAAGTAGAGACGGGGTTTCACCATGTTGGCCAGGATGGTCTCAATCTCTTGACCTCATGATCCACCTGCCTCAGTCTCCCAAAGTGCTTTTTGATAATTTTGAGAAATGATGGAGGCATATTAGAATGAAAACAACCTGAGGATGTGCTTTTATCTTTGTATATTCAAATATTTTTTCTCATTAAAAAGCAGAAAGTCCGGGTATGATGGTTCATGCCTGTAACCCTAACACTTTGCGGGGCCGAGATAGGAAGATCCCGTGAGGCCAGGACTTTGAGGCTAGCCTGAGCAACATGGTAGGACCCTGTCTCCATAAAAAGCTTAAGAAAAAAATTAGCGGGGCGTGGTGGAGTGCACCTGTAGTCTTAGCTATTTGGGAGGCTGAGATGGGAGGATCAGTTGAGCCTAGGAGTTCAAGGCTGCACTGAGCTATGATCTAACCACTGTACTCCAGCCTGGGCAACAGAGCAAGACCCTGTCTCTGAAAAAAAAAAATACACACACACACACACACACACACACACACACGTTAGTGGGATAGCACAAATGAGAAAAACTCTGCTCTTTGATCACTGAGTACATCTCTGTAGATATATATTTCCTTCACTGCAGATTTTGCCCAAGATACTTCGTCAAAGACAAAGCCAGTACACCCTCTAATAGGGTGAATATGGTTATGCCACCTACTGAGCTTGTTTTTGATACTAGTTAATATGTAACCAGATGAAATTGTCATTATCGTCACTGTCAGGACTATGGGAAGCTTAAGTGTTCTCTTTTCAAGGACAATGTGCGCTAACTGTACAATTGGTACAATTAAATAAGTTATATTCAGTTCCTGGGAAGCACTATAGCAATACAAGGAGAAAATTTGATTCTATTTATTTTTGTTAAGGCCCACCTACCTCCTAATCCTAATTTCTCTCATTTCCCAAATATTCCTTGTTTGTTCTTACTGTTATGTGTTTTCCTGTATTTTGCTCTTCTACTTTCTTTTCCATGGACTATCTTTTTCCCTTCCTTTTTTTCGCTCTACCCCTTTACCTCAGCTTTCTAGCAGTATTTGCTAAATACTTCAAAACTGTATAGAACTGGTTCAAATTGTGTGCTCCCTTTTCTGTCAAGAACTTGCTACTCAGGTAACCCAATTGGTGATTTTTCCTGGAAACACTGATGGATGCTGTTCCTATAGCGAAACCCAGAACAGAGATGAAATAGATGTCATCCTCAGCCATTAGCATTCAAACTATAAAAATTAATTTACACTGGTATAGTAAGGATCAGAATGTCAAAGCTGTGTTACACCTAGCATCTTGTATGAAACTACCCCATTAAGGTGAGACCACAGATATTATTGCCCCACTATTGGCATGAAAGCTGAGGCTCAGAGCAGTTAACTGAGTTACCCAGGACCACACAGCTAAGTTAGAAGTAGGGCTCAGGTGTCCTGGCAACTAACTGGTCCAGTTATTTTTTCTCTCAAGCTCGTTTTCCCTCTCCTAAAGAATAGGAGGCTCTGTCGTGGTGAAAGGCGATTTTAGTAATACTTTCCTTTTTATCTGTGATTATAATGAATGCGGCATCTCTCCCATTAAGGATCATTCCTCCACCCACATTCTTAATACATCTGCTGCATGCATCCTTCAGAGACCTCCCTCTGGGATCATCCCTTCTCACTCCAAAAAGCTCAACTTCTCCCCTGTCATTTGTACCTCCCACTCAGCATTTTTAGAAGCAATATTTCATTCAAACTTATTCAAGTTTATTTCCACCTAAAGAAATATTCCTTTCACCCTGGCATCTCCGTCAGGTACTGCTCTGTTGTTTTTCTCCCCTTCAGACAAACTGCCAAACTGGCTCTAGTTCCTCACATTCCCCATCACCCTCAGCAAGCTTCTGCCCCACACCGGCACTGAAACAGCTGAATCCCAATGTCCTTGTCCTTAAACCCAGCAGAAAAAAAAAATCAATCAATTATTTGATTTCACAGCGGCACTTGACATGGGTAGCCAGGAATTTATCAATGACAACCTTTACAGATCATCTTTGTAATTTATCATGAGGCATCAAATGAATGCTATTAACATTAATCCCTCCTATTTTAAGTCATTAATCCAAGTAAATGCTCACTTATTTCTAGCGTCTTAGAAACCATTTAAATTATGTTACATTATGAATCAATACATTATAAAATTATACCATCATTTGTAATAATTTTTTAAAATGTTGTGTGCTATTAACATTGATGCCTTGGTATAAAGTCATGATCATTCTGGTCTAGTAGCAATCTTCTATTGACTATTCTCTTACTAAAGCGGTCCCTTCCGTGGGACTCAGAGACCTCACACTCTCCTGCCTGTGTTTCTTCCTCTCTAATTGGCCCTTCTTGCTCCACTTGGGTGCTCCTGCCCATTGCCTAGACAAGAGCATTCCCTGTAACTCTGTCTTGGGCTCTTTTTCTCTTTTCATCAACATCTTCTACGTGGGTATTATCATCCATTTCCATGGCATCAGCTTGCCCAATAAACTGATAAATCCATAGTCTCTATAAGTACAGCAGATCTCATCAAGCTAGTGGCATTCAGACTGCTTTAACTTTAACCAAAAATAAGGGATTTTGTACATGTTCAATAAGCAGTTCCCACTGTGACACTGTAATCACATTTTCACAATTGTGACCTAGGACACTTAGAGTAAAGGATACAGATGATTGAGACAGAAATAGTGACAAAGAAAAATAAGGTTAGGATATAGATTTTAATGCTGTAACAGACCTCAAAATACAATGGCTTAACTAAGAGAATGCATTTCTCTGTCACATAAAGGTCCCAACTGGCGTAGACTTTTGATGACTCAAGGGCTCAGGCTGTGCCTGGTTTGTGGTTCTGCCTTCCTTAACACATGGCTTCCATCTGATGAGCTACAGCAGTACCTATCACTAGTCAGCATGTCCACATTCCAGCCTGGGCAAGGAAGAAAGGGGAAGCGCAGAACTGTACCCTTCCTTTTTTAAGTCATGAACTGAAAGTTGCATGTATCACTTCCACTTGCCCTCCAGTCACCAGAACTTAGTCATATGCCATACCCAGCTTCAAGGGAGTGGGTTAAAAACATAGAAGTCAACTAGGCAGTCTGCACCCAGCAAAGGATCGGGAGTTCTATTATTAAAGCAGAATTGGAGAAGTGGTAACAGGAAACAACCACCAGCCTCTGCTGCATGTATATGAAACAGATGTTTCCCAAATCACTATTCTCACTTATTCTGTCTGATACACTGTATTTTTTATTATATTCTCTTTCATTTTTTAAAATCCTGGTCATGACTCACAGGGCATGATGTTACAACCCACTTAGATGCTAACACCATAATCTGAAAAATATTACCTATATTATGTCTAATATTGGCCACTTGAAGTATGGCTAGCCTAAATTGATCTATGTTGTAAGTATAAAATTCACACCAGCTTGTGAAAACAAATTATGAAAAAAAAGTCTTTAAGATATCATTAACAATTTTATATTGGCTAAATGTTGAAATGATCATATTTTGGATATATTGGATTAAATAAAATACACTATTAAAATTAATTTAATGTTTCTCTTTATGTGGTTACTAGAAAATTTAAAATTTAAAATTACACAGGGCGATCACATTCTATTTCTAGTAGACCACACTGCTGTAAGCTCAAGATTCAAATGTCAAACTCCTGTGAATATTAATACGTGAATATCCCACAAGCACTTACTCCATCTTCCCAACCCTCAGCCCTTCTGTCCTCCTTCTGCTCCCACCAATCTGTGTTTCTTCTGTTTCACTCACCCAGCTAAAGGCAACACAATTCACTCCGTGACGAGCCAGGAAAATGGAAAGACACATTTTCCTTTATTCCTCACATTGATATATTCACTGAGCACTATAATTACCTCTTAAATATGATATAAATCTGCAAGCTCTTTTCAATACCACCACAAATTCCATAGTTCAAAATGCCATCAGCTTTCACCTATATTATTACACCAGCTCCCATCTGGTCTTCCTGCATCCTGGATCACCTCTTTCTAGCTGCCCTTTCAAATTTCAATAAGAGCAAGCTTTCCAGGAAACAAACCTGAAGTCAATCCACTGAGTACTCCTCTGAATACCTTAATATTGTTGACAAATTCCTTTCTGATTTGAAGTATCAGAAAGGAATATTTCCTCCATACCAAATAGTTTTCATTTCATGCATGTGCCGTGATTCTTCTCCCTCCTTTGCATCTGTCATTCGTTATGCTTAGAAAGCTCTTTTCATCTCTTTGTTCTTCGAGACAACCACTACTCATACTTCAGAGCTTAATTTACATTTTGCTTTCCCTCAAAATTTTTTTAAAAGGTTCCAGGTCTGGGTTATGTGCTCTCTTATGTGCTCCCAGAGCATCCTGAACTTCTGCAATAATATGTTTGGCTACTGTATTTTATACAGTAGTTTTATATTGTATTTTATACTGTATTTTATACAGTAGGTGTTATATTGTATTTTATACAGTAGTTGTTTTTCTGTCTGTTTTTGCCCCAACAAGAATGTAAAATCTTTAAGTGCCTGTTTTCATACTTATTTGACCACCCTATCTCTAGAATCTTGCATGATGTCTAGCCCTAGTAGGATCAAAAAATACTTACAAAGCAACTGAATAGCTACATGAATAGATGGATGAATAAATGCATGGGTGGATGGATGGATTAATGAAATCATTTATATGACTTAAAGTTTGCAGAGGAGTATCATATTTGGAAGGCAGTAAGGAAGTCTGTGTAGTCGATGGTAAAGGCAATTGGGAAGTTTGTTAGGCACAATAGGTCAAAATTTGTTTTTGAAGTCCTGTTACTTCACGTTTCTTTGTTTCACTTTCTTAAAACAGGAAACTCTTTTCTATGATCATTCTTCCAGGGCCTGGCTCTTCATCTGCAACCCAGTAATATCCCTAATGTCAAAAAGCTACTGGTTTAATTCGTGCCATTTTCAAAGAGGACTACTGAATTCTGATGTGGCTTCAAACATTTAGGTTAGGCATATCTAATGGAGAACTTGCAGCCACACTGACTTGTAGTGAAATATCTATTTTGAGCCTGCCCAGTGTTGCTTAAATTGTAGTTTTCCTTGCCAGCTATTCATACAAGAGATGTGAGAAGCACCATAAAAGGCGTTGTGAGGAGTTGTGGGGGAGTGAGGGAGAGAAGAGGTTGAAAAGCTTATTAGCTGCTGTACGGTAAAAGTGAGCTCTTACGGGAATGGGAATGTAGTTTTAGCCCTCCAGGGATTCTATTTAGCCCGCCAGGAATTAACCTTGACTATAAATAGGCCATCAATGACCTTTCCAGAGAATGTTCAGAGACCTCAACTTTGTTTAGAGATCTTGTGTGGGTGGAACTTCCTGTTTGCACACAGAGCAGCATAAAGCCCAGTTGCTTTGGGAAGTGTTTGGGACCAGATGGATTGTAGGGAGTAGGGTACAATACAGTCTGTTCTCCTCCAGCTCCTTCTTTCTGCAACATGGGGAAGAACAAACTCCTTCATCCAAGTCTGGTTCTTCTCCTCTTGGTCCTCCTGCCCACAGACGCCTCAGTCTCTGGAAAACCGTGAGTTCCACACAGAGAGCGTGAAGCATGAACCTAGAGTCCTTCATTTATTGCAGATTTTTCTTTATATCATTCCTTTTTCTTTCCTATGATACTGTCATCTTCTTATCTCTAAGATTCCTTCCAGATTTTACAAATCTAGTTTACTCATTACTTGCTTACTTTTAATCATTCTTCCCCAACTCTCTGAAGCTCTAATATGCAAAGCCTTCCTAAGGGGTGTCAGAAATTTTTAGCTTTTTAAAAGAATAAATTTTAGATATTCACATTCATATTGATCTACTTGAGACCATGCTATTTATCTTTTCTTATTTCCTCTTTCTCAAGGGTCCATTTTCTATTTTATAAAAATAAAGACAATTCTCTCCCACAACCAAACATGGAACAATGCCCTGGAGTATAAAAATCTATAGAGTGCCAAATAAAGGAACAATTTGAAATACTGGTGTTGATATTGAAAAAGCAAGGGACTCTAATGTCAGAAGAGAAATCCTTTTGCAGATGAGGTGGTGATGAATTCTTTGTTTCAACACAACTGAAGGAGGAACTGAAGGAAATACCAGCTGATGAGTGATGAGAAGGGATTCTTGATAATAGAGTACTAGGTGATTTTTGGCATGTAATGCAGAAGTTGCAAGAAGTGGTAACAATGATGCAATTGTTTTACCTGCCATTTATTTACTTTTATGTGAGCCATTCTTCTTAGCACTTATAGCTACACAAAACAAAAATAGTAACAGAATTAATGTTGTTTAATTCTTGCAATCCATGGATGCATAAATTCACTGGGGGAAAAAACAGCTCATCATTCTCATTAAAGATGTGCTTCAAAAGTATTTTAATTTTATATCTAATATGTATGAATCATACTTTGTATTTATTTTGTTTTGATCAGTTATATACAAGTATTTTTGAACATAGCTCAGTCAGAAGGAAATGTTTAATATTTATAAATTTATGGTTACATTCTATTTAAAAGAGGAGTTAAAGTTAAATTTACCTACCCACATATGTTACATATATATGTATTTATGTATATGTATTCATATATGTATATATGTGAACATAAGTATACATACGTATATGTATAGATGCTTGACAATAAAGAAGTAAGAATAATTCACAACATTTTTTGAAATATAAAAATTTAGGATAAATTTCTGTATGGTAATTGGCATGGAAATTCAAATTCAAAAAGGAAAAAAGAAGAGAAAGATATTAAATATCAGACCATTAAAAGAATTTTTTAATGTACTTTTAAATAGTGATAGTAGGTATCTTATACTACAGTGTTTATTATTCATGAGAAAATTGTAAAAGTAATCTAAGTATTAATTTAAAATATCATCAAAAATAATATCTTTTGCTATTACTTAAAATCATGATAAAAATATGTTTACTTGAAAATATGTAAGGAGTGCACAGAGTCCAAAAATTATTTTAGGAGTTCTGTGAGCAAAAATGTATAAAAACTACAGGGTTGATCTTAAATTACATGTCAGGGTACTGAGAAAGTTTCTGTACTGCACATGAGTTACCAAGGTCTAAAGTCAATCACCAGAGGACCATTTTTGGATGGAGCCATTGTCTAATCATGAGCTGAAAGGCAAATATTTAAAATGCAAACATCCATGGTTAGGTAACACTCTTAAGACCTTATTAGCTGCTTACCACAACTGAGACTGTGAAGTAATGGCTCACTTTCTTTGAGGCTCAGATTCCATATCTGTGGAGTGGAAGCGAGTGCTTACCATACAATTTTCACAGGGCTGCTGAATGTGTGTATGTATGTATGTGTGTATATATATTTTAATGAAAATTCTATAATTTGATTAGTTTTTGTAATGTCCGCATGACTGAGAGCTTGCTTACTTTTTACAGCAACTTGAAGGTAAAAATAGATTTTACAACATGAACAAATGTAACTACATATTTTTATTTGAATTCAGATGTTCACAAATTGTTCCTTAAAGTGAAGCATGCCTACAAGTTTTAATCTGTTTAAGACCTACCTCAAGTAAAATGTTCACTGCCATGGCATGTGAGGGAAAAGGGAAATAATTCTTATGCATGGCCTTCAACGGCCAAATTTCATGCTCATCAGTACATCTTCTCTTGGTGTAGAACTGATGATGATAATTATGATGATGGAAAAAAGTGCTGTTGATAGCAATGCCTCTCTTCCTTCACTTTCCTCTAACTGAACCGTCTCATTCCCAGGCAGTATATGGTTCTGGTCCCCTCCCTGCTCCACACTGAGACCACTGAGAAGGGCTGTGTCCTTCTGAGCTACCTGAATGAGACAGTGACTGTAAGTGCTTCCTTGGAGTCTGTCAGGGGAAACAGGAGCCTCTTCACTGACCTGGAGGCGGAGAATGACGTACTCCACTGTGTCGCCTTCGCTGTGAGTGTGGCTGTTTGACTTAATATACTTGGTTCTTTTAGTCAGGGTCATAGGGATCTAGTATTCTGTCAGATGAGGCTTTGGGAGGTTGGTAAGAACTGCAGGAAGGAATCCAAATGTAGCAAACTAAGTATAGAAATTAAGGAGCAATGCATGACTCTCCAGCCATGGGAGACAAATATTTACAGGCAAACTAAAAGTCAGCTTAATAATCACATAGAAACCCTATTAGCCAGAAAGGAAAAAAAAAAAAAGAAAATGTGACTTCTTAAAATTAAGATGGAAAAAATATTAATAAAGCAAACTAGACCAAGGCTCAACATGAGCCACCCGTGGTGGACTGACAGGAACACATCACTCCACACTACTTCTAAGAGTAAAAATTGTAGAAATTACCCTGAGCAAAGGTGTAATATCTCTTCAGAGTTGTCCACATGTGAGATGCTTACAGCCTAGTGTCAGTAAAATACGGGGTTTTTTTCCATAGCCTGTAAAACATGCTTCGACCATGCCCTTTTAGCATGTAATATCAGCCTGGTAAAGCTCAGCGTATAATTGAATCAAGACTGTTTCTGTGAGCTGTATGAAGGTGTGAATCTCACTTACAACCTCTCTTACTGATTTATTTTCCTCCACCTTGTGTCCTGTCTCCCCATTTGTAAAATGGCAGAAGTGATTCCTGTCCATGCCAACTTTCCCTGCTGAGAACAAGGGAGTGAAGTTAAGTAAGAAGGGCAAGATCTCCAGGGAAGAGTGCAACAGCAAATAGGGGAGGAGACCTGCGGGTGCTGAATGGGGTTTCAGGATCGGTCCTGTATTTCAGGTCCCAAAGTCTTCATCCAATGAGGAGGTAATGTTCCTCACTGTCCAAGTGAAAGGACCAACCCAAGAATTTAAGAAGCGGACCACAGTGATGGTTAAGAACGAGGACAGTCTGGTCTTTGTCCAGACAGACAAATCAATCTACAAACCAGGGCAGACAGGTATGAAGAAGCCTACAGACAGGACAACTTCAAAAAGGAAAGATCTTCTTCCCCTGGATGTTCCCCAGGCAAAGTTCCTATAATCTTGGTTCCTTAATAGCTTGTCTTACCAGCCTACAGGCCTACTTTGGGTTTGGGGGCTCATGAAAAATATTTCTGTTTCAGTGAAATTTCGTGTTGTCTCCATGGATGAAAACTTTCACCCCCTGAATGAGTTGGTGAGTTTTCTATTATCTACATAAAATGATTGTCTGTATAAACAGGCTGGGAACCTGTTTTTTGTGCTGAGGGAAGACCAGGGAGAGGAAGAATCTGGTATCATTAACAGTAACTTCTGGCATTACAACAGCACAAGATCCTAATCTAAAACATCATTCCAGGTAAAGAAAGTAGGTAATTCTTTCTGTCTTGGTGCTGGTACTCAGTCAGTTGTCACACAATTAAATTTACTTTTCGGATGGTTCTTAATTAGGACAATTAGAAAGATACATTCAATAGCAGACACAGAAAAATCCTCAAAGAACCTAAGCTCAAAAAACATTTTAAAGATTTAGATTTTTTCTATACACATCTACCAAAATCTTCACTATAAAGGAAAGTCAGGGTAATTAATTTGTTCCTCAAGACTAACTCTTGGTATCTGTGATAAGAAACAGTTCTTTCTATTGTAATGCAGACATCAACCCAAAGTCTTCATTTTTCTCTCCCAAATTAACTTCTTCACATTTTCTTATCTCAAAAAGAGGCAACTCTTCTCTTCTAGCTCCAAAGACAAAAGATTATGGCCTAGTTCTTGTTTCTCTTTCTCTCATACCCACATCCACTTCACTGGAAAATCATGTTGGCTTAAAATATATTCAGACTATTTCTTATCATCTGAACTACTGCTGCAAGCTAGTCCTAGTCAATGTCATCTCTAAATAAGATCATTACAATAACCTTCAAAGTGGTCTCCCAGCTTCTACTTTCACTCCTCTGTCTAAAATGAGGCACCACACCCATCACTCTGTCAGCCTAACTTGGCTTTGTTTTTCTATTTGCACTTACCACCATTCTATACGTATTGATTTTTAAAAATCTGCCTATTTCTATTATAACATAAGCTCCATTAAAACATGGTTTATTGTTCTTTTGTGCGTGGTTATATTCTCAATACCTAGAATGATACACAGCGCATGAGAAGGTACTTAATAAAGATTAGTTTTTAAAAATGAATAAACATTCATAGTAGCTTCTTATCAATGTTTATTCATTTTTAAAAGTAATATTTATTAAACTAAATTTATTAATGAAATATGTCCATTCCTCCTCATTCTTAGAACTACGTAAGAATTCTATGACCCATCTTAATGATTACATCTGAACATATTTACTTATAGTTACATAAGTGTTTATTTCTCAACCTGTAAAATTGCATAGCAAAGGATTGATCTTCACTAGGATGCTATAAGCACTTAAGACATGTTAATCCATTTTTAGTAAATGGCACTTTACATGTATATTTGTTGCTGAAGGCCTAGTAAGTTCTTAACATTATTTATTAATTGCTTAAAATAGATTAATGAAAAGTTCTATAAAATTTAATCTGGAATATTTCTGTATTTCACTATAGAGGGAATTATTCTATATGAAACTAATTTAGATTTTTTAAACTTTTTATTGTTTTTAATTTTTGTGGAAACATAGCAGGTATATATATTTATGGGTTACATGAGATATTTTGATACAGGCATGCAGTGCATGATAATGATTATGGATGATAATCATTATCATTATCCATATCATTATCCAATCATGGATAATGATTATTATCATGCATTGCATGCCTGTATCAATAAATGGAGTACCCATCCCCTCAAACATTTATTCTTTGTGTTACGAACAAATCCAATTATACTTTTAGTTATTTTTAAATGTACAATTAAATTATTTTTTACTATACTCACCCTGTTATGCTAGCAAATACTAGCTGCTTTGCTTATAAATGAGATTTAAGAATATTTGAAAATAATTATAAACTTCTTTTTTCTTTTGTCTTTCAGATTCCACTAGTATACATTCAGGTAAGCAACATGAAACATTCCATATTAAAAGGAAAGCAATACATATAGGGAAAATGTTCTTATTTCAGAGGTTTTTACAATATCTCAGAAACTTGTCATTAAAGGAGAAGCCTTCAAACTCCCATAGAGCTAGATGGCTATAACTCATCTCCTCTACTCACCCTTTACTACTACCCCATTTGACCTTTTTGTAGATAACTTAGGGTTTCCATAGATATCTTTTATTAGCTCCAATGCTCCAGGTGCTTTTGTAAGTTATAATTAATTTACTCATATAGGATCCCAAAGGAAATCGCATCGCACAATGGCAGAGTTTCCAGTTAGAGGGTGGCCTCAAGCAATTTTCTTTTCCCCTCTCATCAGAGCCCTTCCAGGGCTCCTACAAGGTGGTGGTACAGAAGAAATCAGGTGGAAGGACAGAGCACCCTTTCACCGTGGAGGAATTTGGTATGGATCATGAAAAGTCATCAAGCATTATTTTTCTTCATATTTAAACTCTTAGGTCCTGGAATTTAAGTTCATTTGGAGTCTTTCCATTTCCCATGGGTGACATTGGGCTTGGAGTAGAATTAATTACACCTAAGTCCAATGAGGACATCAGTGATCTGTGAATAGGACTTCACATAGCTTCGTTATTTTCTGTAGCAATATTTAATACCAACCCCCAAAATTAAAACATTCTTGTTTTAATGGAGTTTTCCATAATTAATTAAGCACACAGTGATCTCTCATAGTCCCTCAACTGAAATCTTCATTTGAGAGGAGGATAGATAAGAATAGATTGGAGAGCAGAGCTACCTTTTCAGAGCCCTAAAATATTATTAGGGAACTGTTACAGGGAACCTGAAAATAGGAATTCCCCCAAAGTTGAAAACCAATCACCAACCTTCTTTATCACCAATCAACAGTTCTTCCCAAGTTTGAAGTACAAGTAACAGTGCCAAAGATAATCACCATCTTGGAAGAAGAGATGAATGTATCAGTGTGTGGCCTGTGAGTTCATTTTTTAAAAATCTTTTGTGGGGGATTATTTAAAAGAGACTCACCATTTGGGATATTTTAACTACTCTCTCCGGGAGCAGTGGCAACACAAAAATTTTAAGTGCTTTGACAGCATCCTCATCTGTAGAATGTTATTCTCCTGTTGCTTTTCTATTTTTATTTTCTTTCACGTTCTTATCAGTATTATTCTATCATGAGGTAAGAAACTGTTTCTAGAGAGGTTATGCTAATAGGATTGATTCTGAAAGTGACAAAACTGCACACACACACACACACAAAATGGGAAGGGTGGATAGTGTTGAAGGGTATTGGTTCTGCCTTAACCAAAAATAACCAAACGTATATTAGGGAGATAATTAACACATGGCTATAGGGGAAATTCAATCATCAACAGATCATTTACCTGACCTTGCATGCTTACTGGAAAAATCACTTAGATTCAGAATTTGTAGAGATAGGCATACAACTGAAATCTCATCTAACTCACTAGTCCACCTAAGGCGGGTCTACATACCTGTCTGCACTGACATTTTTACGAAGAGACTGAACGTGATTTCTCAAGACAGTCTGTTCCAACCTTGAAAAGTCTTGTTTCCTGGATCTTATGTTCCCATCCATGGTGGCACACAGTAGCAGTAGCAGGAAGAGCAGGTATAGTCCTGTCCAAAGATCACACATGTAATACACCTACTATTCAGCTAGGCCCCTGCTCCAGTTCTGTCTCACAGTGATGGCCAAGTTCCTGGTTCCTCATAACTGGTGTGATCTTGCAAATAGACATACAGAGGACATTCTCAAATAGGAAAGGAGACAAATGCACTTGGAAACCCAGCAATTGTCTATGACATATTTACGACACAATCCCACTTTTGTAAAAAAGTAAACAGGCCCGGCGTGGTGGCTCACGCCTGTAATCCCAGCACTTTGGGAGGCTGAGGTGGGCAGATCACGAGGTCAGGAGATCAAGACCATCCTGGCTAACATGGTGAAACCCCGTCTCTACTAAAAAATACAAAAAATTAGCCAGGCATGGTGGCCAGCGCCTGTAGTCCCAGCTACTTGGGAAGCTGAGGCAGGAGAATGGCATGAACCCAGGAGGTGGAGGTTGCAGTGAGCCAAGATCGCACCACTGCACTCCAGCCTGGGCGACAGAGCGAGACTCCATCTCAAAAATAAAATAAAATAAAATAAAATAAAATAAAATAAAATAAACAAGTGAAACTCGATATAGAGATGGCTGCACATGGGGAGAGGATGATGGAAGAAGAGACACTATCGTACTAATAGTTTGTATTCCTAGGTAGACTTGAGGGCGTTTGGGTTTTTTTTGTTCTGTTTTGTTTTGTTTGTTTCGTCTTGCTGGTATTGTTTCTCTTTTAAGAACGGGTTTAAGTTTTATAATAAGAAAGACTTTTTTAAGATAAAACTAAAAAAAAACGAGGAAAAAAAAGAAATGATAAAAGAAGAATGTAAATTTCAGCATGTTGCAATGGAGATTTCTATAAGAGCCATTAGTGACTCTTGTCTTCAATATTGTGTGAGCCCAGCAGAGAGCAGAGGGAAGTACAGACAGGGAATATACTGTAGCTAAAGGGGAGATATAAATAGCTAGAAAATGGGGAGGTTCAGTGTCTGCTCTGATTCCTTTGGGAATGTTCTCATGACAGATACACATATGGGAAGCCTGTCCCTGGACATGTGACTGTGAGCATTTGCAGAAAGTATAGTGACGCTTCCGACTGCCACGGTGAAGATTCACAGGCTTTCTGTGAGAAATTCAGTGGACAGGTAGGTTGAACACTATTTTTTCTAGAGAATAGCGATAAAGGCATTGTTGAAAAGCAGTGAGTTGCAGCATTTTTCTGACGCAGGAAGAGAACAATCTAGAAGAGAATTCCATGTTGGCTATTGTAATTTTTCAAAAAAAATCATGAACTTAGCACAATGGGAATTATTTATTTCTCGTAATTGCCCATTGTGAGTGTTTCAGAACGATAGACACTGAGCCATCTAAAGCCTCCATGGGCATTCACTTCTACAAAGGAAGGAAAAAACCATACACCTCTTAATTGCCTTAGCTGGCCAGGCCATCAGTTCTGCTCTCTCTGTGAACAAGAACCTATCACATGGCCCCACCAAGATGCCAGAGAGTTGACAAACACAGTCCCCATATAGAAGGCCGCTTCCCAGCCACAGCTGAATATTATGGAGGAGGAACCAGACTTTGATGAGGAGTTCTAATGGTCAAGAGCAGATGTACTGTGTATTTCAAAATAGCAAGTGGACAGGACTTGAACTATTTCCAACACATAGAAATGATACATACTTGAGTTGGTAGGCACCCTAAATCCCGCGATGTGATCATTACACATTCTCTGCATGTAACAAAATATCTCGTGTACCCCATAAATATGTATAAATATTATGCATCCTTTGTACAAAAAAAATTACTCCTCAAATTTTAAGACATTTCTATCGCAATATATCTAGGGAATTTCAGATACCAAGGAATACATCTGTCAATTATACATGAGATATTGTTGTGAAATTTAATATTTAGTTGCTAGAGAATATTTATTGTGTCCTCGTCATAGAAAATGCCTACATGATGTTGTCCCCCCACAAAAATCACACCGGTTATCTGACCACTGATCTATTTAGTATAATATGCATTATATTTTTGTATTTTATTTTCTCCCTTCTTAGCTAAACAGCCATGGCTGCTTCTATCAGCAAGTAAAAACCAAGGTCTTCCAGCTGAAGAGGAAGGAGTATGAAATGAAACTTCACACTGAGGCCCAGATCCAAGAAGAAGGAACAGGTTTGTGTACTACATGGGTATAAGAGAAAACACAACAGGCATTGATTTTCTTAGCCAAATAATGAATTGTAAGTTGGGGGGAGGTGATAGAATTTTAGAGACATCATTCTTCCCAAAAATAACAGATTTTTTTCTCTTTTTTCAGTGGTGGAATTGACTGGAAGGCAGTCCAGTGAAATCACAAGAACCATAACCAAACTCTCATTTGTGAAAGTGGACTCACACTTTCGACAGGGAATTCCCTTCTTTGGGCAGGTGGAGTATTTTCCAGTTCACTCATCAACCCATGTACTGTTACCTAATTAGCACAATAGTTATGGTTTGTGCTAAAACCATGCCTGGTTAATGTTATCATTTAATATAACCAAAAGTATAAAATATCACCAAGGCTTGATTAGTATAACCAAAGGTATAAAACTACATAAAAATAGATTTATTCTTCTGTAAATTTGTGTATGAAATGTATGTAATTATCCTAAGGCCTTATTAAAATTAGTAGAGTTTTCCCCCCTTCTTTTGAAACAGCATTGTACAAGTCACTCAATCTCCTTCTCATGGTTTACCAGGCAGTCTCAGGTTTTTATGACATTTTCTCACAAGAATCTCAAAATTCATGCTGACCAGTTTCATTACGATGCTAACACTAACTTTGTATGGAAACAGGTGGGTAGGTGGTTTTAATTTTTATTTTGAAGTATTAAAGATTCTACAATAATGTTTATTTCATGGATAGTATATTTACACTATTTTTCTATAACAAGTATATTTCTAAAACAGTGAACATGGGGTAAAACACTGCTATTTAAGGTTCTCAGATTTTTGAATTATGAATTTTCATGTTATCTACCAAAAAAATCTTCTCTTACAATTTTTCTGTTGTCAGCAGATGTGCAAATGGATCTTTATGACTCTAGAAGTCTGAGATCACAGTTACATGTGCCTCAATGTGTATTTACTGTGTATCATTTTCTTAATGTAAATGTTACAGGATTTCAGCTATGAAGGGTGTAAAAGAGGCATAGACTCAACAAAGTGGAGTACATTCTAGAAGGCTTGGTTATGTCATGACACCAAAATGTATTCAACTTCCTAAAATGAAAGTGTAGCTCATTTGTAAATTTCTCAGAAAGATAGTGTACTTTGTAAGTACATTTTATTGCTGTTAAATATCCTATTTGTCATAAGACTCTCTAGCTAGAAGAAAATCAGAATTATGTGCCTATTCTTGTCTTTGTACATGCAGCCAACATTTCACTGGCAAACTTAGATTTTGTAAATCAATTATGAGTACTGATGGGGGTCAGCCTATTGTTCTTCCTGCTACCAACTGTAGCTTATACTGAAAAAGAATTGCCACCTTTACAATCTGAACTGGACTACTCAACTGCCAATACAATATTAGCAGTAAATTAGATTTGGCAACTTATTTAATACTGTGTGCCTCTTTTCAATTTTATATTTTTCACATGGGAAGTGTGTCATAAAATCTGCCTACCTTCCAAAAGGCTGAAGATCTAGGTTGAGAAGCAGAGACCATGTCTAAGGCAACTGGAGAAACACACAGGACAATGTATTGGCAATTGTTTACTTGTGCACTTATGAGACTTCAGACACTAATCTATAGGAAGTTAATGGTCCACTCCAAAATAGGTGTTTGGGGCACAAATAAATTTAGTTAATAGATTAATAGATTAAAATATTTCATTATCATATTACTCTAGTGCTCTGTGACTCTCTAAGAGTTATATATAATAATACACAGCACTTCCAAAATATCTAGAAGACATTTTTCAGGTCACTCTTGTTATTATCCCTATCACTCTCTATCCCTTCACACTGCTCTGTTTTTCTTCTTAGGATTGATTACTACTAAATTAGTGTATGTTATGTATATATTTATTTAGCATCTATCTCTTTCACTAGACAGTAAGCTCTGTGATGGAAGAAACTTCGTTTTTTTTCACTGCTGTGTCCTCAGTGCCTGGAACCATGTTCAACATAGAGGAGGCACTAAAAAATGTGATAAATGAATATGTTTGGTGCCTATTAGTTATTACCAATATAACTAATCCACAGCTTTTAATCTTCAGGTGCGCCTAGTAGATGGGAAAGGCGTCCCTATACCAAATAAAGTCATATTCATCAGAGGAAATGAAGCAAACTATTACTCCAATGCTACCACGGATGAGCATGGCCTTGTACAGTTCTCTATCAACACCACCAATGTTATGGGTACCTCTCTTACTGTTAGGGTAAGTTTGGAAAGAAATTACCAATGACATGAAGTAGCCTTGGAAACAAGGTTGCAACCTAAGGGTGAGAAAATTTCCAAACTGTGTCTAGTTCTATGGAGAGAAAAAAACTAGCAATTAGAAACCGATTGAAGGTTAACTTTTTTAAAGTTTATGAAAAGAAGGCAGTATATTGTGATTAAAAGTGCGGGTTAGACTTTAGCAGTGTTGCTGGGAACGTAAAATGGCGGAGCCACTATGAAAAACAGTATAGTAGTTCCTGAAAAAATTAAAAAATAGAATTACCAAATGATCCAGTAATCCTACTTCTGGACATATATTCAAAAGAATCGAAAACGGGGTCTCAAAGAGCTATTTGCACACCCGTGTTCATAGCCGCACTATTCACAATAGCTGAGAGATCGAGGCTACCCAAATGTCCATCAAGGGATGAACAGGTAAACAAAATGTGGTATATAAATACAACAGAATATTATGCAGCCTGAGAAGGGAAGAAAATCCTGTCACATGCTACAGCATGAATGATCCTTGAGGACGTTATGGTAAGTGAAATAAGCTAGTCACAAAAAGACCAATACTGTATGATTCACGTACATGGGGTTTCTAAAGTAGTCAAAGTCATAGAAACAGAAAACAGGATGGTGGTTGCCAAGGGCTAGGGAAAGAGAGAAATGGGGAATTCCTCTTATTGGTATTCAGGTTTAGTTTTACAAGATGAAAAGTTCTGGAGATCTGTTGCACAACAGATATACTTAATACTACCAAACTGTACACTAAAGAATAATGAAGATGGTAATTTTATGTTGTGTGTGTGTGTGTGTTTATAATAACTTTTTTGAAAAGTGTGAATTCCAGAATCTGAATCAGATAAAGTGGTTAAAAATACTGGCTCAACCCTATTTTAAGGAATTAACTAAAACCTCTGTGCTTCATTTCCTTATCTGTAAAATGATTGCAATACTAACACCTGACTCTTGGGGTGGTTGTGAAGATTAAGTGAAATCATACATGTTGAATCACTTAGTAAGCCCCCTTTAACTGTTAGATACTTTTACTATAAAAGCCAATTCTAACATAATTAGCATTTAGTTTTAAATATATATACTCCAAAAATTATTACCTTACTTTATTTTGTCTTGCTATTCTAATTTTCTCCAGATGACCTGTTCATACCAATATAAGTTATTCGGTATAGCATGCAGTCCTCTATTCATCAAGAGAGATGTAGACATGTCTATAGATACATGGATATACAATACATATTTAATATATATTACATAATCATGGTAATGGAAAACGCCTGCCTCTTTAGAGTTTTACCTTGTTATAGAGAAATAAATAATACATTTTATTTATTTAGCTTTAATAGATGGCATAAAAGCACCTCCCTCTAATTTGAATGTTTACTCATTTCAAAAAGTGTCTTGAATGCTTTCCACGTGCCAGCACTGTGCTAGTCTTGACAATGAAATTATTATTTCTACCTGTTCCCTGTTTGGGGTGATCATATATGTGTTGTCACCAAAATATACATTAAGATATGAACAAAATGTTTTGCTCAAGGATTCACTAGTGCTATTGGGAGCTGGGGATGAAGGTAGAGGAAGCCTGAAAGGAGCTAAGGAATAACTTCTACAGGAAGAAAAGTTGGAAATATAACCCAAATAGGGCCTCTGAGGTATTAGAATCCAGATTGCAGGGAGCATTAAAAATAGTCAGCCTAGGCCAGGCACGGTAGCTCACGCCTGTAATCCCAGCACTTTGGGAGGCTGAGGTGGGTGGATTGCGTGAGGCCAGGAGATCGAGACGAGCCTAGGCAACGTGGTGAAACCCTGTCTCTACAAAATATACAAAAAATTAGCTGGGTGGGGTGGCATGCACCTGTAGTCCTAGCAACTCAGGAGGCTGACTGGGAGGATCACTTGAGCCCCAGAGGCAGAGATTGCACTGAGCCAAGATTGTGCCACTGTACTCCAGCATGGGCGCCAGAGCAAAACCCTGTCTCAAAAAAATAATAATAATAGCAATCAGCCTAAGATAGCCCAGAAGAGGTAGACTTCAGCTAATTCATCAGCTCAGCTCTTAAACCAATGCTTTCTACCAATGTCTTCTCAGACCCCTAAGGTTACAATATTTTATTTATTCATAATACCCATTCAAAATCCACCCTAAAAGAGGCAGCTGCTTTCTGAAAGCACAGTTCTTCCATTTCTAGAGATTATTTACTCTCCTCAATGAAGTTTCATAGCTCCAGTGTCTCTAATTGCACAGGTAAAGCAGTCAAAGAAATTTCAAGCAAGCTAATCAGAGCAAAGGATGCCTCCTTTTATGCTCTTAAGAAATATAAATCTCAATCCCAGGAGGCTCTGCAGTGTAAAGTCACAAAGCATGCCTACATTTGAAGCAGAGAAACAAAATCAGGGGTCCTTCTCCCACTTTTCATTGTGGAACAAAAGATTTCTAGCTACTAGTTAAGGTAGGACAGTAAACTTACGTAGTTTTGTGAGAACATTAATCTTTATGACGTATAATCTAAAAATAATATAATTTTTCTAATTCATTAGGTCAATTACAAGGATCGTAGTCCCTGTTACGGCTACCAGTGGGTGTCAGAAGAACACGAAGAGGCACATCACACTGCTTATCTTGTGTTCTCCCCAAGCAAGAGCTTTGTCCACCTTGAGCCCATGTCTCATGAACTACCCTGTGGCCATACTCAGACAGTCCAGGCACATTATATTCTGAATGGAGGCACCCTGCTGGGGCTGAAGAAGCTCTCCTTCTATTATCTGGTGAGAAGGGAGGTTACTGCGTTGACTTCACTGTAGACAAAAGCTCTCTGTGGAGCAAGTAATCATGAAGCTCTTTAGATGTCATTACTTCAACTTCTTATCCATGTTCCTTTTGAAAGTTTGATTTCTCTTGAGGTGAATTATTGCCGGCAGGGACTCAATAAAACAAGTATATTGAAGTGAGACTGAAGCGTGTTCTCTCTGGCACATTTAATTTCTTTTTATTTCCTTTTTTGCAGATAATGGCAAAGGGAGGCATTGTCCGAACTGGGACTCATGGACTGCTTGTGAAGCAGGAAGACAGTGAGTATTTCCATCATCTCTGCATTGCTGCCCCATTCTGACCCATTCAGCCTTACACCACGGAAGTATCAGAATACTTTCCCTTTTTTTCCATAGGTTTTTGGGGGAACAGGTGGTGTTTGGTCACATGAATGAATAAATTCTTTGGTAGTGATTTCCGAGATTTTGGTGCACCCATCACCCGAGCAGTATACATTGTACCCAATTTGCAGTCTTTTATCCCTCACCCCCTTCCACCCTTCCCCCTGAATCCACAAAGTCCATTGTATCATTCTTATGCCTTTGCATCCTCATAACTTAGCTCCCACTTCCTAATAGCTTAGCTGCCACTTCCTAATAGCTTAGCTCCTACTTCTGAGTGAGAAGATATGATGTTTGGTTTTCCATTCCTGAGCTGGGAATATCAGGAATACTTTCAAGTAACGAGAGACCATTTCCATCTAATATTAATTAAAAGAAAGTTGAGGGAGGGAAAACAATAATGGTTTTTTTCTCACCCTTTATCAAATATGTGTTGTCTTTTTTTTCAGCCTATTTTCTTTGCGTTATTTAAAATATTGGTGTGGGCCAGCTATGATGGCTTACGCCTGTAATCCCAGTACTTTGGGAGAACGGGATGGGAGGATCTCTTGAGGTCAGGAGTTTGAGACCAGCCTGGTCAACATAGTGAGACCCCATCTCTATAAAAGTAAATAAATAAATAAATAAATAAATAAGAACAAAGGGGGAAAAATAAAATACATAAAATATTGTTGTGTATAATCTATGCTTATTCCAGATTTTTAAACCATAAATATTCTTGAACCTCTTCTCAAAATGAGAATTGTGTTAGAGAATGGGGTGGAGAAAATGTACGATTTCAAGGTATGTTGTATATACCAGGTCTTGTGCTGAGTCATTTATGTCATTTATATTATTATAAATATCTTTTTTCCCTTTCAAGATAGTTATGATTTATGAAGCATTAAATTGGGTACTTCTACCGACTGAAGCGGACTCTTGCCATGAGCAAATATGTCATAATATAAACCTTTGAAGGTTGCTCCTAGTCTAGTAGACTCTAAAAGATAACTTGCTAGAAAAGTATCAGTAATCTACTCTCTCATTAGTTCTTGT
Source organism: Homo sapiens (assembly GCF_000001405.40). Lineage (NCBI taxonomy): Eukaryota > Metazoa > Chordata > Mammalia > Primates > Hominidae > Homo > Homo sapiens. The sequence goes on along the minus strand of NC_000012.12, from coordinate 9,100,027 downwards.
AGCAACACAGAAGCACCATAGCAGACTGAAGGAAACTTAATGCAACCTCTAAAGAATCTACATAGGCATCAAAAAATAACTTCTGAAGGAGCATGGTGTTCCTCTTATGGAGAAAGAACCAAATATTGGCTCATAGAAGGTTAAAGAGCATGTAGCATGAATACAATGTGTTGAACTCTTACTCTTACATCTCATAACTTCAGGTTCTATTTCCCTCTTCTAGTATGAGGCCTAGATCAAATGGTAGTGAATTGGATGTCTTCATACCCTTAACTAGCATCAGAACATTAGGTGGGTGAGCTGAAGCTTAAAGCTGGTGAAAAATCAACAGAGTATATGATTTATGAGAGGAGAGAGGGCTTTGATAGGGTTTTTTTCTAAAGCTAGAGTCCTTAGAGGTAATCATCCATTTGTTACATCTACTGTTTATTATGTCTGTTACATCTACTAATGGAAATAGTCATTAACCTATGATGGCTTCCTCTCATTCTCTTTGTGCCCCAGTGAAGGGCCATTTTTCCATCTCAATCCCTGTGAAGTCAGACATTGCTCCTGTCGCTCGGTTGCTCATCTATGCTGTTTTACCTACCGGGGACGTGATTGGGGATTCTGCAAAATATGATGTTGAAAATTGTCTGGCCAACAAGGTGTGTGTTTTAGATCATAAAATCTTCAACATGTAAAACTAGAAGTTACTATTGTTATCATTTGTTTTACACATGTGAACATTAGGGCCAAAAGGGTTAAACAAATTCCCCAGAGACATTCAGCAAGGTAGTGGCAGAGTCACACTAAGAAGCAGAATCACTTGATTCCTTATACAAAACTCTCAAACTTCTCCTAGCAGTGCCTCTTACCAATTACACAGTTCAGAGTATGTTATTCCCTTCTTCTATGATGAAACGTTGGGAAATATGTAAGCAAGTTTTTAAGACTACTAAGGAGCCAAAAGAAAAATGCAAGAGCACCTAGACCCATGCATGTCCCACCACAATTAATGAGCACCTTGCCGTGTATCAAAGATAAAAATGGCATTTCATGACTAGTAATTTATAAGAATAATTAGAAATAATTCTACTGGCTCAAGTGATTCTTGAGAATGAAAGAGAAGTGTAGGGAACAAAAAGCTTCAGGATTGACACAATGCCAACCCTCCACGAAGTCAAGCAGAGTGGTTATACATTGTACATGAGGAACACTCTGCAAATGCGAGTGAATGCATGGGTAAACCTGGAAATTTGCTTTTCTGACCTTTTGTTCCAATTTCACAGGTGGATTTGAGCTTCAGCCCATCACAAAGTCTCCCAGCCTCACACGCCCACCTGCGAGTCACAGCGGCTCCTCAGTCCGTCTGCGCCCTCCGTGCTGTGGACCAAAGCGTGCTGCTCATGAAGCCTGATGCTGAGCTCTCGGCGTCCTCGGTGAGTTCCTGGCAGCCTCAGGAATCAAGAAGGGCCGTGCCAGGGGCTCAGAGCAAGGAAAAATGACTGGATAAGTAGGATAAGATCAATTAAAATTATATTTATCTAGGAATTAATTGCTTTGAGCTCTCTTGTGGGCTTTCATTGGTAAGGAATTATATATATATATATATATAACTACTCACTTCTGCAGTTAAAAAAATAAACAAAATACAATATATTGAATCAAATAAAAGAATTTTTAAAAGGACAAAATGTGATGAAAATTAACAACCAAAAAAGGACTCGTTATTCAGACACGTTAAGCTTCTTGCTCAAGAGCACATAGCAATACAAATTCAAATCTTCTGATTGTGTCAGGACATCCGTATATGCAAGGCTGGAGAGAATACAGAGCAGATTGTGAAAAGTGCTATATGAGAAGTGCAGTTATGCAAAATAAAAGAAAGGATTAACTGAGCAACCGGGGAAGCCGTTCGAAAATTATATATTTAAAATGTAAAAAGACCATACAGTACCCAAAGTCCTTAAAATCCCAGAGCTCCATGCAACCAGTAATAGGAGTTGTCAAACTAGTTTCAACATTTCAAAAAGCCTAACAAAAGTGATACATATACCTGCACTGAGGCTATACAGGCTAAATGAAATATCAGATTTCCGTTTTTATAAGAATTATGGCTGGGCCTGGTGGCTCACGCCTGTAATCCCAACACTGGGAGGCCAAGGCAGGCAGATAACTTGAGATCAGGAGTTTGAGACCAGTCTGGCCAATATAATGAAACCCCGTATCTACTAAAAATACAAAAATTAGTCAGACGTGGTGGCGGGCGCCTGTCATCCCAGCTACTCAGGAGGCTGAGGCAGGAGAATCACTTGAACCCAGGAGGCAGAGGTTGAGTGAGCCGAGATCGTGCCACTGCACTCCAGCCTGGGCAATAGAGCAAGACTTGGTGTCAAAAAAAAAAAAAAAAAAAGAATTACATCAGTTGAAATAATTGCTGTCCCAAGCTACACATAATTTCTGAGGGAACATATGTATTATCTCTGAGGAACAAAACTTAGGGAAATTGAACTACTATATAATTGACATTGATAACTGAACTCTTTGAAAATATGGAGCTAATAGAAGAAATACCAAAAGGATATGCTGAATTGGAACAACAAAAACTAGTTAATAGCATGTACTAATAGTAGTTTGCTCACATCTTCAAATTTTTAATATGAGACCAATTGTAATAACCTCTTACTGAAGCTTTTTCTACTACCATAATTTAACAAAGAGAAATTTATATTTTTATTTTCCTGAAATAGAAACTTATAAAAAAATGTTTCTTACTTGTTTGTCCTTCTAATGGGATTTTAACTGAAAATATTAGAATACTTCTAAAGGAAGCATCAAGTACATTTCAACAGTAGGATCTCAAGAGGATATGTGGGAAAATAATATACATGTTTTATACTTTTATAATATAATTTTATAATTCTCAAAGAATTTTTCAAATTATAACAACCCTGATGGGTAGATAAGGCAGACAGTCCTATTTATTAATAATAAAGCAGAAGCTTTCAGGGATTTAGTAGTAGACCTGAGTTAAAACACCAACTCTTCTCAAGCTTTGATTAGTGTCTTACCAATGAAACACTTTGCTGCTACTAGTGTAGGTCATTCATTCAACACATTTATTTAATGCCCACTGTGTTCTAGGTATTATACTAAGTGCTAGTAGAGATCAAGCAGTGAGCTACTGGAAAGATAAAAATGTATGTCTCATGGAACTTACATTGTCTGTCCCATAGATGAGACAGACAATAATTATGCAATATGCCACAATAAAAGCAGGGAGAGGAAATGAGAAATGTTAAGATACTTTGAGAAAGTGTCTAATTTCATCACACCACTCACTTTGCTCATCTGTTCTTGTCAATCAGTTTTAAACTCCTACGAATATAATGCAATGTAACTATCACAATTTTTATGTCTGTCTTACTTCTCACCTTCAAATGGACTTGAAAGCATCATGCCTAGAATTTTACGGTTAAAGTTGTATGTATTATATGAAGATCTGGAGCATTTTGTTTCCACTAATAATACCTAAGAAAATGCCATCGTGTCCTGTGGAGAGAGGATATTCCTATTCGTGTGCCTGTTTAGAACATGCACCCATTAACTTTGCTATATACTGAGTCAGTTGCTCACCACAAGATAAGCACAAAACTATCATTTCCTTCTATCATCTCAAAGCTTTGTGCAATGTCACAAATACAGCAGACCTCGATTTTTCAATTAATAAAGTTTTATTTCATTCCAGTGTTGAGTCTAGTGGTGGCCTCTGAACTGTGTAACGAAGTAGTACTTAGTACTTAGATGAGTACTTAGATGGAGTGTTTGGTTTTTCCTAAAATTGTTAAACATCTTCAAAATGAAAACACTGTGTCAAGAAAATGATCCATACCCTCTATAAATCATCAAAGCAATGAGAGCGCTCAAAGAAAGACGGATGTTCATTATTCCTGTTCTTTTCTCCTTGAACTTAAAAAATGTCACAAAGGCCGGGCGCGGTGGCTCACGCCTGTAATCCCAGCACTTTGGGAGGCCGAGGCGGGTGGATCATGAGGTCAGGAGATCGAGACCATCCTGGCTAACAAGGTGAAACCCCGTCTCTACTAAAAATACAAAAAATTAGCCGGGCGCGGTGGCGGGCGCCTGTAGTCCCAGCTACTCGGGAGGCTGAGGCAGGAGAATGGCGTGAACCCGGGAAGCGGAGCTTGCAGTGAGCCGAGATTGCGCCACTGCAGTCCGCGGTCCGGCCTGGGCGACAGAGCGAGACTCCGTCTCAAAAAAAAAAAAAAAAAAAAAAAAAAAAGTCACAAATAAGTTTGCCTTTTTGTCTTTCGTATTTGTACAGGTTTACAACCTGCTACCAGAAAAGGACCTCACTGGCTTCCCTGGGCCTTTGAATGACCAGGACAATGAAGACTGCATCAATCGTCATAATGTCTATATTAATGGAATCACATATACTCCAGTATCAAGTACAAATGAAAAGGATATGTACAGCTTCCTAGAGGTAAACTCCTTATGTTGCAGATGGTCTGATCTTAAGCTTCTTAAAATATTACACATGGAAAAGAGTCTGTATTTGAATGCCTTCATGTCCTAGTTGAGGGTAATGGGATATAAAGAGGTAAGTGGCTTCTCTACTAATAGCAGCAGATCTGCGAAAAGCTGCTGAACTAAGCTGGAACTTTTTGGAGTATTATTCAAGTTTTCTTTTTTCACAGGAATTAATTGCTCTGTGATGTTTATTAAAATCACATATACAAAATAATTACTGTTGAAAGAGTTTAATGAAAAGAATAAAATTACATCCTTAAGTATATAAATATCCCTTCTACAGATGTGAATGTTAAAAGTTTAATTTAAGTTAACTGGATTGCTTGTCAAATTCAATAAAAAGAAGTAGCTACCTATGTATATTTTATAATATATATTTACTGATTAGATGATAATTTTCTTTGCAGGACATGGGCTTAAAGGCATTCACCAACTCAAAGATTCGTAAACCCAAAATGTGTCCACAGCTTCAACAGTATGAAATGCATGGACCTGAAGGTCTACGTGTAGGTTTTTATGGTAAACAAAAAATTAATAAATATATATTGCCTAATATATTCACCAAATTTTAAATTTTTTAAAAGATACAATGTGACAAAAATTAACAAACAAAAAGGACATGTGAGTCATACATATTAAGGTTATTGCTCAAGGTCATATAGTAATATAAACTCAAATTCTAGTAAATGGAGGTACATGTGTTAGGCTGAAAGGAAAGAGAAAGTTTCCAAGCGTAGGATTAGTGTAAACAGAAATAGAAATGTTCACACAACAACACTACATTCTCCATCAGTCAGGTAAAAAAGCTGTTCAACTTCCCCAAAACATCAGCCAATATTTATGTTGGAACCACACACATTCATCAATGACATGAGCTACTTCTTTGATGAACTGAATAGTAATCAAGCATTTATTTATAGTCCCATATTGTCAAATCATGATTGAGGATAAGTTGAGTACAGAGAAAAGAGGGTCAAAAATCAAGGAAAGCATTTAAGGAGAATCAGTTGGCTCTATGGAATTCACTATGAAGCCTACCGCATATTTTATTATTTATAAATTATATTGTATAATCCTTTATCAGTAAGATATATAGTAAATTTATGCATGTATAGGTATATATATATATATATATATATATATATATATATGCACAATTTTTTTTTCCAGAGAGCTGGTTGTGAAATATTGACCAGCACACCCTTAATAGAAGGTGAATAGAGTGAAGGAAACTAACTGTAATCTTCTGACACGATAGAGAATAAAAAGTCTTTATTATTATTAAACTTTTCCCTCCTGTAAACTGTTTCTCAAAGCCACTGTCATAACATGTGTGTCAGTTTTTCCTTGCTCCTGCAGAGGAGCACACCAATGGAAACTTGGATTCCTGCCCCTCTTCACGGCCTTGTGTCATAACACTCTCCACTTAGCACAGCGGCAGCAGCCACATAGGACTCCACAGAGTCCTTGTGCCCCACAGACAATCCAAGCCTCTGTCTGCCAAAGTCTCTATAGCCTCTGCTTATGACCCTCCTCCCCCAGCTCACTCCTAGCTTATTCTTGTTTTTTTTTGTTGTTTGTTTGTTTGTTTGTTTGTTTGAGACGAAGTCTCACTCTGTCGCTCAGGTCGCCCAGGCTGGAGTGCAGTGGCGCCGTCTCGGCCTCGGCCTCTCAAAGTGCTGGGATTACAGGCATGAGCCACCGCGCCCGGCCTCTCCTGGCTTGTTAAGTCAACCAACATATTTCCTCCTCAAAGAAGCTTTCCTTGATGACCCAAGCGCCCTCTCCTCCTTCCTCTCTATTTCATCAGACGATTTGTTTTTTGTTTTTTTTTTTTGGTGGCAACTATTACATTCTCTCATAAGCTTTATCTGTATGTTTATTGTAATGTCTTCTTCCTCACTCACCATAGAGTCAGATGTAATGGGAAGAGGCCATGCACGCCTGGTGCATGTTGAAGAGCCTCACACGGAGACCGTACGAAAGTACTTCCCTGAGACATGGATCTGGGATTTGGTGGTGGTAAAGTAAGTAACTTCCTGCATATGCAATATGCAACAATAGAGGTCCCTGACTATTTTCAACTCTTTGCTAGTTTTTCTGTTTTTATTGTTTTATATGTTTATGATGTACAACATGATGTTTTGATATATATATATACACATACACATAGTGAAATGATTACTACAGTCAAGCAAATTAACACATCCATTAGCTCACATTGTTACCTATTTTTGTGTGCATAGCAAGCACACCTAAAATCTATCCTCTTAGCCAAGTTTCAGTATCCAATACAGTATTATCAACTGCAGTCCTCATGCTGTACTTTAGATTTCTAAATTTATTCATCCTACGTAACTTCAACTTTGTACCCTTTGACCTGCTTCTTCCCATCCCTGCAACCCCAACCACCTTTCTACTCTCTGTTCCTATGTATTCAACTTCTTTTAGCATCCACATACAAGTAAGATCACGCAGTACTTGTCCTGTGTCTGGCTTATTTCACTTAGCATAATCTCCCCCAGGTTCATCCATGTTGTCACAAGTGGCAGGATCTTCTTCCACTTAAGGCTGAATAATATTCCATTACGCATAGCCACAATTTATTTATCCATTCACCCAGACACTTAGGTTGTTTTTATATCTTGGCAACTGTGAATAATGCTGTAATGAACACCAAAACACATATATCTCTACAAGGTGCTTATTTCATTTCCTTTGGGAGTATACCCAGAAGAGGGATTTCTGGGACATATGGTAGTTTCCATTTTAAAATTTTTGAGGTATCTCCATACTGTTTTCCATAATGGCTGTGGCAATGTACATTTGCACCAAGGGGAGTGAACAAATTCCTTCCAGAGAGACACTGGAAACAGAGTTTTATCCGTGAAACAAGCCAGTGGGGCAGGTGGAGAGAAAGAGCCGGAATGGCCATATACTCCCTTTCAGGCTCCTGGAGTCTTGTTTACTTCTCCCTTTCACTCCCAGATGCAGGCTGTTTAGAAGCCCAACCCTTAGGAGACAGCCAGAAATGGGAGATTTTGCCTGTTCTCTCTGTATTGAGCCAAGGGGTGGTGGGGGCGGGTAGCCACTGGCATTGCTCAAAGGCCTATTTAAAACCACCTCTGTGTTCACTGTGGTCTAGGGAGACTCCTGATTGCAGAGCTCCATCTACTCCTGGAGCTAGGTGATTTAGGAGCCAGACCCTTAGGTACGAGCTGTAAACATTGGGGTGCTTGATGCATAGACAAATTATTCCCAGGGGTATGTTCAGACCTGGTTTTATCCGTGGGGCGAGCCAGGGGAAGGAGGCATGGGAAGTGCCCTTACTGCTTTTCAGCCTTCCTGTAAGTCTGTCGTTTCCCTGCTCCTTCTGCTTCCCAGTGCAGGCTAGTTAGAAGCCCAACACTCAGTCAGCAACTGATAAAGTGGGTAGACGAAGCCCTTCCAGGGAGAAACTGGGAGCTGTTAGCTAATTTTTCAGTACTGAAGTACTTCTTTCAAACGCATTGCTAATTTCAGGAGATGTTTAACATAAATACATCAGCTAAGAAGTCTTACTAATCTAATTGCATCAGAGCTAAAAAATTTTGTGCAAATTTAATTCTAAGATTTCCAGAAAATGGGCATAAGGACCTAATACAACCAAGGACTGCACAGATTGCCTGTAAGAGATCCCTCACTGGTTAGCAATCCTGAGTTAAATACAGATTCAGTCAGGCCCACTATACACAATAGTAGTAGAATTTAAAATTATAAAGCAGCCCTCAGTGAAATAGCATTTTAGAGAAGAGAACTTAAGAACAATCTCAAACTGCATGTTAAATTTATAACTATATTGTCTGTAAAAGATTATGCTACAATTCTGATATACTACAATTAAAAACAGTTGGAAGAAAAGGACTTATATTCCCATCTCAATCCTTGATTATACTCTCCATTATTGGTATTTCTATTGAGTGTTTTTAAGTCATGGCAGTAGAATCATTCCTAGGGATTCTCTCCCTAGAAAGGATGTATTTAACTGCTTACTTTCTGTTCTTCACTTACACTCCTCTCCAGCTCAGCAGGTGTGGCTGAGGTAGGAGTAACAGTCCCTGACACCATCACCGAGTGGAAGGCAGGGGCCTTCTGCCTGTCTGAAGATGCTGGACTTGGTATCTCTTCCACTGCCTCTCTCCGAGCCTTCCAGCCCTTCTTTGTGGAGCTCACAATGCCTTACTCTGTGATTCGTGGAGAGGCCTTCACACTCAAGGCCACGGTCCTAAACTACCTTCCCAAATGCATCCGGGTAAGGATCTCTTTCCTAAATTAAATACAAGGTAGCCATCAAGTAAATTAAAAGTTGCATTCCTAGGAATACTGCAAACTCTTGTATGCAAAATATGCTTACTAGATATTCATGATTGTAAAAGTTACAGGTTTTGAGATCTCCAAATACCAAATTGCACCATAAAGCAAGTTTCTAGCCCTTATAACCCTTCAAAGTTAGTATTTGTGTGGTATGAAGAATTCTGACAGGGGTGACAAAAGTCAGTACTCTATTCTCATGACAGATTCTACAAGGTTTCAACCTCTACGATCTCATATATTTAACTTTTCGTAGCTCATTCATTATATTAAACCTAATTTTAAAAGTCGTTTGTGAGCATCTTACCTTTGCTGAAACCATAACTGTTTATAAGTCTTGTATCCTCTGCCGGGAGATCCGGGGGAATGGTCAAAGTTCCAGACCAAAGAGGTAGAGCAGCATGCCATCATTACCTTTCCCTTCCTCTGGTCCCATCATGTGAAAGAGCAGGTTGCTTCCAAAATAACTCAGATTTACCTGTGTAAATCTGATACATTAAGATCCACTTAAATATATTTCAGGTACTTGATCTTCATTTATATCATCTTTAATGTGAGGCAACCTGAAATCTAACCAATTCCTCAAGATGCTTTACTTCAAACCCATTCTCCCTCTGTTCTCCTTCCCTCTCTACTCCCTTTCTTATGTGTGGTTTCAGGTCAGTGTGCAGCTGGAAGCCTCTCCCGCCTTCCTAGCTGTCCCAGTGGAGAAGGAACAAGCGCCTCACTGCATCTGTGCAAACGGGCGGCAAACTGTGTCCTGGGCAGTAACCCCAAAGTCATTAGGTGAGCAAAAAACTGCTAGAGATAATTCTCTACTCAAAGATTGTATATGGCAGTGGGAACCTTATATTGAGTGCTACTTCCTTCAGGAAAAGACCACTAGATGCTGCGATTTTTTTCCTTTGCCTTTTATTCTAAGATGCCTACAAGGATATCCTCAACATCTCCACCTTGAATTCTCAGTATCATTCACCTCTCATTTGCATGTTTCCGTTCCTGCTTCTGTGTTTTAATAAAACAAAAGTTTACAGAGCATTGAACATTTCTAAATCTTGAGTTTGGAGGCATGGAGGAAGGGGAAGATGCTATTCATTTCTACTGGCCTTTTTTTTCAGGAAATGTGAATTTCACTGTGAGCGCAGAGGCACTAGAGTCTCAAGAGCTGTGTGGGACTGAGGTGCCTTCAGTTCCTGAACACGGAAGGAAAGACACAGTCATCAAGCCTCTGTTGGTTGAAGTAAGTAAACCTAAATAATATATAGTCCACAATAATATATAATATATGTGGGTAATATAATAATATATGGATATTTTATAATATTATTCTCATGTATCTCTCTGTCCTATCTCTCTCTTGATTTACTTTCTGTTTTGTTGGGGGTTTTTGTTTTTGTTTTTGAGGCAGAGTCTTGCTCTGTCATCCAGGCTGGAGTGCAGTGGCAGGATCTCTGCTCACTGCAACCTCCGCCTCCTGGGTTCAAGCAATTCTCGTGCCTCAGCCTCCTGAGTAGCTGGGATTACAGGTGTGCACCACCACGCCCAGCTAGTTTTTGTATTTTTAGTAGAGACAGGATTTCACCACGTTGGCCAGGCTGGTCTCGAACTCCTGGCCTCAAGTGATCTGCCCACCTCAGCTTCCCAAAGTGCTGGGATTATAGGTGTGAGCCACCATGCACAGCCTCCCTTTGATTTACTTTCTTAATTTTTCCTTCATTTGTTCATGCATCGAACTACCTCCTACGTATATTGCTTATATGTACAGAATTTTCTTAGATAATACAGTTCAAATCCTTCTCTTCACTATCCAAATATCTGTGGTCCCTCCATTAAAACACATGTTCTGAAGGTCAGTCCATTCTCACTAGCTTTTCTTTCTTTTACCTAAAGCCTGAAGGACTAGAGAAGGAAACAACATTCAACTCCCTACTTTGTCCATCAGGTAAGAGTCAACCATCATAATTTAAAAAACATTAAAGTCTAACATTTAAAGTTCAAAGAACATTTATATATTATTCCTACACTTTCTCTGTGATCTAAGACCTGAAGCACCATCAATGCATTTGACAAATGTGGAAAATAGTTCTTAGGAAGGCCAAGTAATTTGATCAGAATATCCCTAGGCCTGCATTCTGAGTCTTGATCTTTTGCAGCACCTGTGCAAACACCAAATGACTTTCTGACCAGTGTATGGTATGGGCATAGGTAGAAAGTGGGTAGAATCAAAATTAATATTACCAAAAGGGATGTTTCCTTAAATAATTAATAATGCAAACTATGGACGGCTGAATTTAGGGCATTCTAACACTGAGTTTTACATAGCCAACAGTATTTGATAACGGGATTGCTATTTCCCAAAGGAAAAGTTGTCATGGCCTTTACCATTATTGTCATATTAATATCTGTTTGATGCCTATCCCGTACCTAATGCCCTATCAAACATTTGAGAAGGAACTGAAGAAACTTACAGGAAAAATTTAATACACTAAGAAATTTATCAGCACAATGCATTCTCACCCCAAACCAACATTGAATCAACATCATACATAGGTTCATTGCCTTTCTCTGACTACCTACAAATTTAGTATGTTTTTCGTACTAAATACTTTATCTATTCATCTGTTGCCAAGATGTAACACATAAAATGTACCCTAAAAACATAACTTCCTTGTCATTTAGCCTTATTTCTACATTTAAGTGAACTGATTACCTATCATTCAATCCTTTTATCATGACTTCTCCGTTTCTGAGTTACTCATTTTGATGTATCTCTTAAGTGTAAGGGCTAATCATCAAATAGTTTTACTAAATTTCATTTTAATTACCAACATAATCAAATGTGCCTACCTAATTTTACAAAAATATATTCTTCTTTAAAAAAAAAAACAGAACATCACATTAAAGGTTAATGTCACCCCCCTGAACATTTTTCAGTACTTTGCCATCCATTTATCTTTAGAAATAATGTGTGTAGATGTATATGTTTGTGGATGTGTGATTTACATATAATAAACTGTATAAGTTTCATTCTATAAATCACTGTTTGTTTTTCACTCAGCATCCTGTCTTGGAGATTTACCTATGTTAAATTGTAGATCTAGGTCTTTCCTTGGAATTGCTTTTAAGCCTATAATATAAATACATCACAATTCTGCTTAGTGTTTTAGTCTTCCTATATTGGTTTTTTCAACTATTCACTAGCTTTAAAAAATTAGTTAGTTAATTATAATAAGAGCCTCTTAATGAACATATGCAAGTACAGCTAGGGTAGATCCAAAATGTTAAATTCCTGAGTCAGAGAGCATATGCATAGATATGCATAGTTTTGTTTGGTTGGTTGTTGTTGTTGTTCTTTAATTACATTGTAAACTGACCATTTATAATTGTATATATATACAGCATACAAAGTGATGTTATGATTTATGAATAAAATGTGAAATAATTAAATCAAGCTAACCTGAAATACTTATGTTTTGTGGTGGGAACATTTGAAATTCTCTAAGCAAGTTTGAAACATAAAATACACTATTATTAACTATATTCACCATGCTGTGCAATAGATCCCAAAAAGAAAAAAATGTATTCCTTCTGTCTGAGACTTTGTGTCCCTTGAACACCACCTTCCTTTTACTCCAGCTTCATCCTCCATAACCACCATTCTACTCTCTGCTCCTGTGAATTTGAATGTTTTAGCTTCCACATACAAATGAGAACATGCAATATTTGTTTTCCTATACCTGGCTTATTTCACATAACATAATCTCCTCCAGATTTAATCATGCTGCCATAAATAGCAGAATGTTCTTGTTTTTTAAAATGGAATGGAATTCTATGTGTATATACCAAATTTTCTTTATCTGTTCATCTGTTGATGACACTTATGATTCCATAACTAGACATCAGTAATTTGTTAGGGATTACATTCAATATGTAGATTGCTTTGGGTAGTGTGGACATTTTAACAGTATTAATTCTTCCAATCCATGAACATTGTATTTTTTTTCATTTATTTGTGTTCTCTTTGATTTCTTTCATCAGTGTTTTATAATTTTCACTGTACATTTCACCTCCTTGATTAGATTTATTTCTACATATTGTTTATAGCTATTGTAAATGGGATTGTTTTTATTTCTTTCTCAATCATTCATTGTTAGTGAACAGAAAATACTACTGATTTTTATGTGTTAATTTTGTATCTTGCAACTTTATTGCATTCATTTATAAGTTCTTGCAGCCCTTTGGTGAAGTCTTTTGAGCTTCCAATATATAAGATAATGTCATCACCAACAGTGAAAATTTTACTTCTTCCTTGTCAATTTGGATATTTTTCATTTCTTTTTCATGTTTGATTGCTCTTGCTGCTACTTCCAGTGCTACTTTGAAAATAAATGGTGGCAGTGGGTATCCTTGTCTTGTTCCAGATCTTAAAGGAAAGTCTTTCAATTTTCCACTGTTAAATATGTAAGCTATAGGTTTATCATACATGCCCTTTATTGTGTTGAGGAACATTGCTTGTATATCTAATTTGGTGAGAGTTTTATCATAAAAGAGCATTGAATTCTGTCAAATACTTTTTCTCCATCTAACAAGATGATGGTATGGTTTTTACCCTTCATTCTGTAAATGTAATGTATCACATTTATTGATATGCATATGTTGAACAATTTTTGCATCTCAGGGATAAATCCCACTTGACTAGGTAGATGATCCTTTTACTGTATTGTTGGATTTAGTCTGCTAGTTTATTTCGTGTGGTTGGTTGGTTGGTTTAGTTTTTTAAGTGATGAGCTTTTGCTGTGTTCCCCAGGCTGGACTTGAACTCCTGAGTTCAAGCAATCCTACCACCTCAGCCACCCACAGGTGTATGCCACCATGCTTAGCTGCTATGCTAGTATTTTATTGAGGATTTTTGCATCTATATTCATCAAGAATATTGGTCTGTAATTCTTTTTTGTAATGTCTTTTTATGACATTGGTATCAGGGTAATGCTTGCCTCATAAAATGAGCTTGAAAGTATTCCTTCCTCTTCCAGCTTTTGGCAGAGTTTGAGAAGGATTGGTATTCATTCTTTTTAAATGATAAGTAGAACCTAGCAGTGAAGCCAACAGTTATTAGGCTTTTCTTTAATGGAAAACTTTTTATTACTGATTCAATCTCTTTACTCATTATTTGTCAGTTCAGATTTTCTATTTCTTCATGATTCAGTCTTGGTAGTATGTATATGTCTAGGAATGCATTCATTTCTTCTAGATCATCCAATTTATTGGTGTATACTTATGCATAATAGTCTCTTATGATCCTTTGTATTTCTGTGGTATCAGCCATAATTTCTCTTTCATTTCTGATTTTATATATTTAAGGCCTCCCTCTTTTTTCTTAGCTAACCTAGCTAAAAGTTTTTGTCTGTCTTTTTAAAAAAACAATTCAGTTTCATTGATCTTTTGTATTCTTTTTCTAGTCTCTATTTGATTTATTTCTGCTCTAATCTTTATTATTTTCCTTTCTTCTGCCAATTTTGAGCTTACTTTGTTCTTCTTTTCCTACTTCTCTGAGGAATATCATTAGTATCTTTATTGGAAATTTTTCTTCTTTTTTGGTGTTTATTGTTATAAGCTTTCCTCTTAGAATTGCTTTTACTTTATGCTATGTTTTGTTATGCTCCATTTCCATGTTCATTTGTCTTAAGATATTTTTGAATTTCCTTTTAAATTTCTTTATTGACCCATTGGCTGTTCAGGAGCATGTCATTTAATTTTCATATATTTGTGAATTTTTTCTAATTCCTCCTGTTACTCATTTCTAGTTTTCATAGTATTGTGGTCAGAAAAGATACTTGATACGATGAAACGATTTCAGTCTTCTTAAATTTGCTAAGACTTGTTTTGTGGGCTAAAATATGATCTATCTTGGAGAATGTTTCTTGTGTGCTTGAGATGAAATGTTCTGTATGTATCCATTAGGTCTATTTGATCTAAAGTGTTGGTCAAGTTCAACGTTTTCTTATTAATTTTCTTTCTGGATAATCTATCCATTTTTAAAAGTGAGATGTTGAAATTCCCTGATATTACTGCATTGCAACATATCTCTCCCTTCAACCTTTAATATTTGTTTTATATATTTAGGTGCTCCAATGTTGGATATGTATAGATTTACAATTGTTATATCCTTTTGATGAATTGACCCTTTTATCATTATATAATGTTCTCCTTTGTCTCTTTGTACAGTTTTTGACTTTAAGTCTGTTTTGTTGAATATAAGTATAGCTACCCCTGCTCTCTTTTAGTCCCCATTTACCTAGAACATCTTTTTCCTTCTCTTCACTTTCAGTCTATGTGTGTCCTTAAAAATTAGGTGAGTCTCTTGTAATTAGCATATGTTTCGGTCCTGTTTTTTTAAATCCATTCAGTCACTTTATGTCTTTTAAATGGGGAATTTAGTCCATTTGCATTCAAGGTAATTATTAATTTAAAAATGACTTGGTACTACCATTTTGTTGTTTTCTGGTTGTTTTGCTTCTTTGTTCCTCTTTTGCTGTCTTCCTTTGTGGTCTGATGTTCTGTAGTGGTATGATTTGAATCTTTTAAAATTTTTGTTCTGTGCTTCTATTAAAGATTTTTGCCTTGCTGTTACTATGGGGTTTACAGTCAATTTCAAGCTGATAACAACTTAACTTTGCATTCTTTCACTCCCCCACACACATTTTATGTCGTTGATGTCAGAATTTACATATTTTGTAATGTGTATTTATTGACAATTTATTTTTAGCTATGCTTGTTATTAATATTTTGTCTTTTAACCCTTGTACTAGAGATAAAATTGCTTTAAATACCATCATTACAGTCATAGAGTATTTTGAATATGGCTCTATATTACTTATACCATTAAATTTTGTGCTTTTGTGTTTTTGTATTATTAATTAGGGGCCTTTTGTTTCAGCTTAAAGAACTCCCTTCAGTAATTCCTGAAGGCAGGCCTAATGTTGACGACTCCCTTAGCTTTTAGTTTGTCTGGGAATGTTTTATTTCTCCCTCATTTCTGAAAGACAGCTTTGCTGGATGAAGAATTCTTGATTCCATGTTGTTTTTATTTTTGTTTTCCTTCAGTACTTTGAATATATTATTCCACTCTCCCTCAGCCTGCCGGGTTACTGCTAAAAATCCATGGATAGTTGTATTGGAATTCCTTTGTATGTGATATGTTTCTTTATCACCTTCTGCTTTTCAGAATTTTTTTTTGTCTTTGATTTTTGATAGTTTAATTATTGTGTCTTAGTGAGCAGTTCTTTCATTTGAATTTCACTGGAGACCTCTGTGCCTCCTGTACTTGGATGCTAGCATCTATCCCCTAATTAGGGAAGTTTTCAGCCCTTACTGCTTTTTTTTTTTTCTGATTCTATACTCTTTTTTTTCATTATTGCTTTAAATGTGCTTTATAGTCTCTTTCTTCTTCTTCTGGACTTTCTTTAATGCAAAGGTTTGATTTCATGATGATGTCCCATAATTTCCATAGGCTTTCTTCATTCTTTTGTCTTTCTGCTCTTCTGCCTGGATAATTCCAAATACTCTATCTTTGAGCTCACTGATTCTTCTGCTTGATCAAGTCTGCTGTTGAGCTTACTTTGAATTTTTAATTTTAGTCATTGTATTCTTTATTTCCAGGATTTCTATTTGGTTTCTTTTTGATTGTTTCTATTTATTTTTTATTTTACAATATTAGCTAAGTTGCAGATAATTGTTTCTATTTCTTTTTTTTTTATACTTTAAGTTCTAGGGTACATGTGCACAATGTGCAGGTTTATTACATATGTATACATGTGCCATGTTGGTGTGCTGCACCCATTAACTCGTCATTTACATTAGCTATATCTCCTAATGCTATCCCTCCCCCATCCCCTCACCCCACAACAGGCCCCGGTGTGTGATGTTCCCCTTCCTGTGTCCAAGTGTTCTCATTGTTCAATTCCCACCTATGAGTGAGAACATGCGGTGTTTGTTTTTCTGTCCTTGCAATAGTTTGCTGAGAATGATGGTTTCCAGCTTCATCCATGTCCCAGGAAACAACAGGTGCTGGAGAGGATGTGGAGAAATAGGAACACTTTTACACTGTTGGTGGGACTATAAACTAGTTCAACCACTGTGGAAGTCAATGTGGCGATTCCTCAGGGATCTAGAACTAGAAATACATTTGACCCAGCCATCCCATTACTGGGTATATACCCAAAGGATTATAAATCATGCTGCTATAAAGACACATGCACACATATGTTTATTGTGGCACTATTCACAATCGTTTCTATGTCAAACTTCTCAGTTTGTTGGTGTATTGTTTTGCAAATTTCATTTAATTTTGTATTTATATATTCTTGTAGTCCACTGAATTTCTTCAAGAGGATTATTCTGAATTCTTTGTCAGTGATTTCATAGATCTTTATTTCTATGAGGTCAATTTTTTGAGCTTGGCCAGTTTCTTTTGGAGGTGTCATCATTCCTTGATTCTTCATAATCCTGTGTCCTTGCATTATTTGTGCATTTGAGGAGAAAGCCACTTCTTCTGGTTTTTATAGGTATTCTTTGGCAGGGATAAAGGTTTGCTATTTAGTCTAGCCTATAATTCTGGAAAGATCAGTTGGTGACAACCTTGAGCAGGCAGAGTTTTCATGGGTTCCCTAGTTGGCTGGGCCACTGCCTTTGCTCTTATGTTTGGTAGGGCCACTGGTTGGGCCTTGCTCTCTGGCAAGATCACTGTTTTGTCTCTGCTATCTGGTGGAGCTGCTGGCTGGGTACTACAATGGCCTCTGGTCAGGCCAGTCACAAGATGTGTTGCCTGGCTGGATGATTCTGCTATTTGGGACCTGAAGTTAGGCAGGGTCACAATCCGGGCTGTGAGGTTAGGTAGAGTTGTTGCTTGGGATGGGCAGAAATAAATACTATACTTCTTAGATGTGCATAATAGAGGATTGCTACCCCACCCTTGTGAATGGAGCCATGGAGTGAGGTTTTGGCTGAGTTGAGCTACCCTTTAGACTCCCAGGTCAAGCATATTTAACCCCTACACTTCTATGAAATACACAGAGGTGGTGTCTGCTACCTGGGTGGGGTCACTGGCATAACCTCTGAAGCTGGGCTTACAGACTGGCCATCTGGAAACTCAAGCTAGGTTGAACTTCCCAACATGCTTCTGAAAGTGACCAGCTCAGTTTTGCAGATGGGCTATGCAGTTGGCTGGTATCTCTGAATGGGTGCCATAGCTGGCAGAAACACAGAAGCACTACCAAAATCCACATGCTGGTCACTGTGAGCTCTGTCCTTCTTTGTTTCTACCTGACCTCATTACTTCCTGTGTTCCCGGTGAAATGAGACCAGAGTGGGCTTCCTGAGAAGTGTCTTTGAATACTTGAGAATCTTGATGTCTACCCCTGGTTCTCTTCCCCGCTGTAGAAACTGTGACCCCAGGGAACTCCTCTCTATCTGGCATTGTGCTAACCTAAAGGAGTGGGAACAATGACATGGTCAAAGTGAGACCATTCTTCCTACTCTTCTAATTTGTCTTCACTCAGTTCTATGAACAATGTAGGTGTCCTAGACTTGTTTCCAAGTATTGGGGTTTTCAAAATAGATTTTCTGATCTGTGGATAGCAGCTAGTTGGACTTTCTGTGGAGGGAGGAAGATCCTGAGACTTTCTAGTCCATCATCTTGCTTTATTCTGAATTTTAATTGAACTACAAAACGAAAATCCTCCTCTTTATTACCTAAATGCATTTATACTTCCACCAGGATACATTTCCATAGTGTTATATTTGCCATCATCTGTTACCATCAAAGTTTTTAATTTTAATTTTTGCCAAAAATTTAGAAAAAAAAATTTTGCTGTTGTTTTAATTTATATTTTCTTAATTACAAGGATGACCTTATTTTTGCATGTTTATTAATTGCCTTTATAATCTTTGGCTATTTGTCTTTTGAGTAGTTTTTTTCTGACTCAGTTGTATGACACTAATTCTTTATCTGTTGAATATGTTGCAGATATTTTCTTTCACTTGGTCATTTTTTTAACTTTGTTTATGGCATCTGTTTTTTTACAAAAGTTTTAACATTAATTTTATGAGAAAGGGAAGATAACTGCTACATTTTTCATTTGTATATAATTCACCAATACTAAAATTGTAGTAAATGTATGTTCATCAGTAGCAGTTATTTTATTTTCAGTGAGTCAAGCATTTTATTTTGCTTAGCCATTTGTCCTTTAACTATGCTTATGGCTTTTTTTTAAGAAACATTTTAATATGAATTTTATGAGGAAGGGATTCAGTATGAAAATAAATACCATACTTCTCTCATTTTCATTTCATATAATTTACCAAGATTAAAATGGAAGTAAATGTATGTTCATGAGTAGTAATTATTTTATTTTCAATGCATCAAATACTGTTCGTCTTCACTTCCTTACCCTCAATTTTCTAGGTTTTCCATAAAAATACTATCTTTGTATATGAAATTTGAAGAAAGAACATAGCATTATTATAGAATTCAGGACCTTTTGTGGGTAATTTTACTTATGTATACTTATAGGGCTTTGTTGTTGGTGTTTTCTCCATACAACTGTTGAGTAAGGAAGTTGGTGGTGGGAACTAAATAGATCATCTTGTGATAACCGTCTTGTGTCAGCCATCAGATGACAGCAACTGAATCACAACATCACCAGGCTCTTACAATTTGTTGTCTTATTTGGCATGCGATTCTACATAAATTACTGAAAAGATCATTGAAGAAGAAATTCTGAAAATCACAGGAAACCAGTAGCCCATTTTTAAGATATTTATATATTACTGTTGTATTAAAGGCGGACAACTTTTCAGGAGGAGTTTAGGTATAAGGCATAGTCCTAGCTTCTGGGTCATAGAGCTGTTTAGAAAGATATAATGCAGAAATAATTTTCATATGTCTGATTTGCTTATTTCTCTAGGTGGTGAGGTTTCTGAAGAATTATCCCTGAAACTGCCACCAAATGTGGTAGAAGAATCTGCCCGAGCTTCTGTCTCAGTTTTGGGTGAGTCTCCAGCCCCTAGTGGATCCGGGCATTAACAGCTTCTATTATACTATTTTTATTTCCCATAAATATTTACTAAAAATAATACTATAATTTTAACTTCTTTCTTCTCTTCTTCTTTGGGCTTGTTTATTGCTTTCAATCATACTTCTATCCCTGGAAGAATCATCCTTCCTAAAAATTCTCAATTTCTAAGCTCAACTAATTATTTCTGCTTAATGACTTTGATAGATGATAATCTCCAAGCTTTATGACTTCCCATCTCTCCCATTCTCTAGGAGACATATTAGGCTCTGCCATGCAAAACACACAAAATCTTCTCCAGATGCCCTATGGCTGTGGAGAGCAGAATATGGTCCTCTTTGCTCCTAACATCTATGTACTGGATTATCTAAATGAAACACAGCAGCTTACTCCAGAGATCAAGTCCAAGGCCATTGGCTATCTCAACACTGGTGAGTGATTACTTGAGTAAGGGAAAACTTGAATGTTATTTCAACTGGATTTCCCAGTAGGTTTCAGTTACTTATGAATATTATGATACATTAGCTTAGCTCACTATGATAGCTGCTATGATAGTTAATTTCAAGGAAACTATCCACTCTCCAACCTCCAATAAAATATTTAAGGCTCAGAAACTCCTAATCTATGACAACAAAATTTAAGAAATGTCACAAGAGAAGCCAAGGTACTTTTAGTAATTTCTCCACCCTCAGCATGCACATTAATCCATTGTGCTGTTTCGTTAATCTTCCTTTCCAGGTTACCAGAGACAGTTGAACTACAAACACTATGATGGCTCCTACAGCACCTTTGGGGAGCGATATGGCAGGAACCAGGGCAACACCTGGTAAGGAAAGAACAATTTTTTGAGCTTCTTTTTGTGTGCCAGCTCTTTTACATGTATTACCTCAATTATATTCACAGCAACACTATCAGATATGTATTATCAGACCGATGGTTTGTTATACTAGATAAATCCACCAAGATTAGCAAGGTAATCAGAAGAAAACCTGATATCCAAATACATGTTATGTTAGGCTTGTTTCCAAAATGGATCCTATTAATAATGTACCAAGGTTTTCTTTCTGAAATGGCTATTCTTTCTAAAGTAGCTACCATAACCATGAGTTTTAAAATGATATTGCCAGTGAACATATATAACTTCCAGATAAACCATGTTAACTTCAGCTTATATTGTCACATTCTAAGTCATTCAGCTTGACTTGGAATGAATTCATTAATAAGAGGAAACAATTGAGAAGGAAACAGTAATATAAAACATTTTTTTAAATCCCTAAAGTAAAGCAATATTAAAATTTACTGCATGTAAGAGCTGCATGTGAGAAGATTCTGTCATCTGCAGAAGGAAATCTCTAAAGATAAGAGAGATTTAAAGCCTTACTCAAGTAACTAACAAAAATAAGTACATTCAAATTACTTGAATGTAAATTTGTTCAACCATTGTGGAAGACAGTATGGCGATTCTTCAAGGATCTAGAACCAGAAATACCATTTGACCTAGTAATCCCATTACTGGGTATATACCCAAAGGAATATAAATCATTCTACTATAATGACACATGCACATGTATGTTTATCGCGGCACTATTTACAATAACAAAGTCATGGAACTAACCCAAATGCTCATCAATGACAGACTGGATAAAGAAAATGTGGTACATATACATCATGGAATACTATGCAGCAATAAAAAGAAATGAAATCATGTCCTTTGCAGGGACATGGATGAAGCTGGAAGCCATCAGCCTCAGCAAACTAACACAGGAACAGAAAACCAAACACCACATTTCTCACTCATAAGTGGGAGTTAAGCAATGAGAACACACGGACACAGGGACAGGAACAACACACACCAGGGCCTGTTGGGAGGTGTGGGGTGACGGGAGGGAACTAAGCGGATGGGTCAATAGGTGCAAGAAACCACCATGGCACACGTATACTTATGTAACAAACCTGCACGTTCTGCACATGTATCTCGGAACTAAAATAAAATTAAATATACTAAGACTCCCTGTGGCAAAGAGAGAGTTAGCAAGGAAATACTACATCTAGCAGATTAATCAGGCAGACTAAAGATTAATCAAGGAGATAAGCTCTCTAAGTACACAAGAATTTTGTTAGCTAACTCACATCATATGAAGCCTGTTGCTGTGAAGTGGTTATAAAACCATTTTGACAACATAAACATCATGATTGCTTCCTCCCTGGTCAGGCTCACAGCCTTTGTTCTGAAGACTTTTGCCCAAGCTCGAGCCTACATCTTCATCGATGAAGCACACATTACCCAAGCCCTCATATGGCTCTCCCAGAGGCAGAAGGACAATGGCTGTTTCAGGAGCTCTGGGTCACTGCTCAACAATGCCATAAAGGTGAATCATTCTGGAGCTAGTTTTGATTTGTCCATTATGATATCTGCAAGGATGAGGATAGGAAGTGATAATGTGAAAAATTCTAAGGGAAAGCCTCAGAGGAAAATAAAACCTGGATGGCACCAAAAAAGAGGGGATAGAACAAAAGTTGATTGTGATACTTTGCCCTATAGGGATGGATATGGGTAAGGATGAATTCCATGACACAGCAGAATAGAAAGAACTAATCAATAGCATTCTCAGAAGTTGAATTATTCAGATCTCTCTCTCGTATTCACAGGGAGGAGTAGAAGATGAAGTGACCCTCTCCGCCTATATCACCATCGCCCTTCTGGAGATTCCTCTCACAGTCACTGTAGGTACCACCCCATTCCTCTGCTGAAGGAGAGTTCTGGATGCAATGAAACTGCTGACCTGCTGTCTGAAATACTATCCTATTAAAAGCAAAGCATCAGCTTTCTTTCTATGCAATGCCAGTGCTTCCCAGATCTACAGAGAATTTGGTCAGCCCATTAAGAAAGGTTTAAATTTTCCCAGTAATTCCCCTAGGCTATTTACCACCACCACTCAAAAAAGAATCTTAAAGATGTATCTTTTGAATGTGAGAATAACAGATAAAAATAATATTATATCTATTGATAAGAATGAGGAATCGTTGGAAAAATGCGTTTGAAAAACTTCTGTGCTGTGATCCGTGTATTTGCCTGGGAATGCTAATATGCCTGTTTACATAGCTTAGTTCCCTTCTTGTTCTGCCTTCACAGCACCCTGTTGTCCGCAATGCCCTGTTTTGCCTGGAGTCAGCCTGGAAGACAGCACAAGAAGGGGACCATGGCAGCCATGTATATACCAAAGCACTGCTGGCCTATGCTTTTGCCCTGGCAGGTAACCAGGACAAGAGGAAGGAAGTACTCAAGTCACTTAATGAGGAAGCTGTGAAGAAAGGTGAGAGCACACCTGAGATCCTTCTCCTGGCCCATCCTCTGTATCAAGAACTGCATGGCAAAAATCCCTCACTCCTACCTCCTGTGATCCCTGTCTCCTCTCTTCTTTTCTATATATCATATATATTTTGTCCATATTGCATCTTATAAAATCTAGGATTTCTTAATCAAATCAGAAATCAGAAGACAAGAGGCCGTGCAGATGCTTCTCAATTACGATGGGGTTATATCCTGACAAACTCATTGTAAAGTCTAAAAAATCTTAAGTGGGACCATTGTAAGTCAGGGACCATCTCTATAGTATGCTGGTAAGAAGAGCATTCTCTGGAGACTAGCTCCAAAATGTGCTACCTATGTGAGCTTGGGAAAGTCATTAACTTCCTTGTGTTTCAGTTCCTTCATCAGTAAAATGGGGATAATAATAGTATTTACCTCACAGAGCTGTTGTAATAAATGAATTGGTACACGTAAAACACTTAGTAGAGTACATGTCACATAGCAAATCCTATAAAAGTACTAGTTATTACAATTAACATATCAGTTCTCAATATATGCCCAACCCTTACCTGGTACATTATATAACCTTAAACATAAGAAAATAATCATGGAAGTAACTCCTTGAATGAATTCTGGTATTTTAAGCCCATTTCATAAGACCAATAATGTTGACCAATCTACTCATATTCACACAGTACTTCTACATATACCATGGTCTATATGAGCGGTTGAAGAAATAGAAAATAAAATGCAAATCACAAGATGTCCATTAAAACAGTCTACCTTTTTCCTTTGACAGCCATTAATTCTTCTTAAAATGTATTGAGAAATATTTTATAATAGATATACAAAAGGGCATAAGCTATAACTAGAAAACACTGTACAACTCTCTCATAGATTAAGAAATAGAAAATTACCGACATGGGAAAAATAAATCCCTTGTGTATCACTACCACCTCCAGAGGCAATCATTATCCTGAATTTGTCGTTACAATTCCATGGATTTCCTTATATTTTTGCTGCATATGTATCCCTAACTAATATTTAGAATCTTCACATGTGTTTCATCTTGAGAGAAACAAGATTTTTATTTCTCTCTTATTCAAGAAACAAGAGAAACATTTTTGAATATTTCAGCAGCTTAGTTTTTTGTTTGTCTGCTTTTTATTTTCTAAGTTCAACACTATGTTGATGAAGACCCCTATACAAGTATGTGCAGAGTCAGCTCATTAATTTTCACTGCTGCATAATATATTACAGTCTATAAATTAGTCATAATTTACACATCGAGTTTCTCCTCATGGATTTTTTTTATGTTTTGCTATTAAAAAAAATGCTGCAATGAATACTCATGTGCCTGTTTTCTTGTGCATCTGTGTTTCTCCAAATTATGCTTTGAGAAGCATAATGACTGATTAGTGGGCTAAGCACATCTTCCCCATTGCTGAATATTGCCAAAGAGCAGTTGGCTTCCCACAGCAGTGTATATTGGTTCCCATTGTTTCACATCCATGTCAGCCTTTGGTATTTCAAGGATTACTGTATTTTTTTTTTCAATTTAATGAGTAGAAACTCTACTATTTCATGTGATCTGTGATCCTCACAAGAAACTGATAAAGACACACTTTATAGGAAATGTAACAAACTCCAGCTATAGTCTAATATAACATCATAAATAGGAAATAGCCAGACTCAATGAGACAACTGCTGTGCCATTTCTTTCTCCCACCAACCCGACTATAGCAACGATTTGAAAACATAGATAGGCATAGGCTTCTGACTCCAGCATCAATATCTGCCTTAGCTGGGCTAAAACACACCAAATTCAGATTTACATGAAGGGAAAAGCATCTACATACAGTACAGGGGATTATAATGGGCATGCAATTCTCATTTCAGCACTGGCTTGGGTACTTTCACCTTGAATTAAATATAAATATGTAGGCACTTATAAATATCTTTTTCTCATCTTTAAGACAACTCTGTCCATTGGGAGCGCCCTCAGAAACCCAAGGCACCAGTGGGGCATTTTTACGAACCCCAGGCTCCCTCTGCTGAGGTGGAGATGACATCCTATGTGCTCCTCGCTTATCTCACGGCCCAGCCAGCCCCAACCTCGGAGGACCTGACCTCTGCAACCAACATCGTGAAGTGGATCACGAAGCAGCAGAATGCCCAGGGCGGTTTCTCCTCCACCCAGGTTGGTGATTTGCCAAAACCTTTTATTTCACCTTCAGGTAGCAAAAGATTTGAATGAAAAAGAAACAAACACATCCAAGAAGAAAAAAATACAGATGACAGTAACTTGAAATGAGGAAAAGTTTTCAGTATCCAAGGATAATGGAAATAAAAGCAAATCAAAGTCAAAGAGGGCCAAAAGGAAATGCTCAGAATCCCGGCACCCCATCGCTGTGTTATTATCCATCTCCTATTTCCCATAACAACACTGCCTTCCTCAAGCAGCAGTGGAGCACCAGCAGAATGAAGGAGATGTCTCCTGCCATTCTCCTGAAAGCTCTAGGGTCTCTTTCAAACTGTTCAAAGGAACTCTACTCAAAATCCAACAACCTCTCCTCGCAAATCTCTCCATTCTTAGGTCCCCTTTAATAGGCTTTTCTCAAAACTACACATTTTGTGCTTCCCCTATTCACCTTTTTTTTTTTTTTTTTTTTAAGACAGAGTCTTGCTCTGTCACCTAGGCTGGAATGCAGTGGTGCAATCTCGGCTCACTGCAACCTCCATCTCCCAGGTTCAAGCGATTCTAGTGCCTCAGCCTCCCAAGTATCTAGGATTACAGTCATGTGCAATCATGCCTGGCTAATTTTTGTATTTTTAGTAGAGACGAGGTTTTGCCATGTTGCCCAGGCTGATCTCGAAGTCCTGAGCTCAGGCAATCCATCCGCCTTGGCCTCACAAAGTGCTAGGATTATAGGTGTGAGCCACTGCGTCCAGCCCCCTATTCACCTCTTAATACACAAACATTTATTCATCAGGAGCATAAAGAACTGTCTTTATTCATCCAACCTCCTAAATCTAGCTATATAACCATGTATCTGAACAATTCATTGATATGTACACAGCAGAAAGTTTTATCTTCAGAGAATTCGGATGTTTGCTTATATACCCTAAAACGGAAAAAATGTGACAAAATGGCATTCCATCCTATTTCCATTGTATTAATCTTTTATCATATGAATGAAAAAAACTAAGTAATTTTGTTAAAGGTTATCATTCATTTATTAGAAACATATTATTTGAAGGAGGCCAAGCAGGTTTAATGTTGTTGAGGATACATACCAGCAGACATTCACTGGGAACAGGAAATCATCCAATAAAAAGGGAAAGCCAAATAAAAATGTCATTAAATCCAGAAGATAATTATAATACTCATCTTTTATTTCTTTTGGAGAAACTGAAGCATGACTCTGCTCATGGCTGCAAAGAACCTTGGGTTCTCTCCAGGACACTGACCTCAGCAACTGAGCAAAGTTTAATATGGGAGAGAGCCAGACTGAACTTTGCTTGAGTGGTGGCAGATATGAGCATAGTTGTCAAGAAAGACATGTTAGCAAATAGCTGATGCCAATAACTGATTGCCATTCACATGTTTTCCACATTCCATGTCCCACATATACTTACAGAGAGAAAAGGATCAATTTTCTGATAAATAAAATAAACATGTAGGGCATACAGTCCAAGGTAGATATGTGAATGTTATGGTTCTTCAACTATCTAAAGATTATAATCAATCTTGAAATTACAGCTCCTATATTTAAGTAGTGAGGGAAGTAGGAAATCAAAGTCCCTCACATGGGTCTTTGAAAAATATCTCAGCCCTCAAAGCCTTATAATGCCCAATGGGTTCTCTCACTCATCTGTCTCTAACAGGACACAGTGGTGGCTCTCCATGCTCTGTCCAAATATGGAGCAGCCACATTTACCAGGACTGGGAAGGCTGCACAGGTGACTATCCAGTCTTCAGGGACATTTTCCAGCAAATTCCAAGTGGACAACAACAACCGCCTGTTACTGCAGCAGGTCTCATTGCCAGAGCTGCCTGGGGAATACAGCATGAAAGTGACAGGAGAAGGATGTGTCTACCTCCAGGTGAGACTCTTGGGCAGGTGAGGACAGGACAGATGAGGACAGCAGCTGTTCTCTCTGAGAAGTCCTAACTCAGAAAACAATGGGACAGATCAGAGAAAGGGTTAGGGACGTGGACAGGAATTCTGGGAAAGGGCAAAAAACTGATTTTGTCTTTGATGTTCTATAGACATCCTTGAAATACAATATTCTCCCAGAAAAGGAAGAGTTCCCCTTTGCTTTAGGAGTGCAGACTCTGCCTCAAACTTGTGATGAACCCAAAGCCCACACCAGCTTCCAAATCTCCCTAAGTGTCAGGTAAGACCTTCTGACTCTATCACCTAATCCTAAGAATAACCACCAGTCTTCTTTCGGGAACTCCTCTTTAAGTAAAGCAGTGCAACAGTAGATATTTGCACTATTCACAAAAAATGCAATGTATTCTCTTAAGTTGATATAATTTCTCAATGATGGGGTTTACATTGTCCATCCAGGATCTACTATTGTGCAACCTCATTGTTTAAAGGGTAATAATTTCCCTCAATAACAACTAAGTAAATATTACCCATTGCCTCTGACCTGAATTCCTTGTTATGTAATGAAATCCTATATTATTCTTGCTTTATTGAAGATAGAGATGAAGAATTATTGAAAAGTTTGAATAGAAGGAAGTAGTGACTCCTTAGTTAGAATTCCTACTGGCAATAATAAATCTCAGGTTATATATGATATAATTAATTTGGGGGGAAGATACACTTATATGCATCAATATTTAAATAGCTGCAGATCTGATAAAAAACTCTCTCTCCACAAACATATTATTACTTGGTTGGAGATACTATTCAGGAAAAAAGTTAGGACAAAATACATGTAACAAATAACTGGCACACATCAAAAAGAATGAGATCATGACCTTTGCAGGAACATGGATGGAGATGGAGGTCATTATCCTTGGCAAACTAGCACAGGAATGGAAAACCAAACACTGCATGTTCTCATTTGTAAGTGGGAGCTAAATGATGAGAACATATGGACACAAAAAGGAGAACAACAGACACCAGAGCCTACTTGAGGGTTAAGGATGGGAGGAGGGAGAAGATCAGAAAAAAACAACAATTCAGTGCAAAATTTAGTACCCAAGTGATAAAGTAATCTGTACACCAAACCCCCATGACACGAGTTTACCTATATAACAAACCTGCAT
Source organism: Homo sapiens (assembly GCF_000001405.40). Classification (NCBI taxonomy): domain Eukaryota; kingdom Metazoa; phylum Chordata; class Mammalia; order Primates; family Hominidae; genus Homo; species Homo sapiens. The sequence goes on along the minus strand of NC_000012.12, from coordinate 9,071,472 downwards.
GTGTACGCCTGAACCTAAAAGTTAAGTATATATATATATATTTTTTTCATTTAATTTGGTGTATATATATGCCAAAAAATAAATTAAGCAGTCCAAATTTCGGATGCAAACTCTCGGGGACAAGACGCTAGGTGTTTCTAAGTGTTTTGTTGAAAGCCAGTGTTTAAGTAAACATTATAAATTATTGTTGTTTTTGTAAATAATGTAGACTGAAATTTATTATTCATAATATACATCATTTTGTCAGCTGAAAGAAAATAAAAGTAAACAAATAAATAAAATAACTGGCATAGATTAGAGGTCACAAACAGCCTGTGCATCACTTGTAGAGCTTTCTTAAAATGCAGATCCTCAGCCGGGCGTGGTGGCTCACGCCTGTAATCTCAGCACTTTGGGAGGCCAAGGCGGGCAGATTACCTTAGGTCGGGAGTTCAAGACCAGCCTGACCAACATGGAGAAACCCCGTCTGTACTAAAAATACAAAATTAGTCGGACGTGGTGGTGCATGCCTGTAATCCCAGCTACTCGGGAGGCTGAGGCAGGAGAATCACTTGAACCCAGGAGGCGGAGGTTGCGGTGAGCCGAAATCATGCCATTGCACTCCAGCCTGGGCAAGAAGAGTGAAAAACTCCATCAAAAAAAAAAAATGCAGATCCTCAGCCCCCATACACTAGACATTCTGATTCATCAGGTCTAGAGTAGGGCCTGGTCTCTGTGGCTTTAACAGGCTTCCTAAAAATTCTACGCACACCACTTTTACAAACCACTGGGATAAGATATTTGGGAAGACTTACGTGTACCTTTTAGAGCTGTGGAATGCTTAACATGGACATAGAAGAAGAAAATATTTAAAAACACAGAAAACCCTAATCCTTTCCTCCCCTGGATCCTCAGTTACACAGGGAGCCGCTCTGCCTCCAACATGGCGATCGTTGATGTGAAGATGGTCTCTGGCTTCATTCCCCTGAAGCCAACAGTGAAAATGGTAGGTTTATCATAACCCCAGACTGCCCTATTTTATTTAATGATGTATGTATCCCCAGCATAAGACAATACTAATATCAAAATACTATTAAAGTCAATCTCTATCAAAGCCTTATCCTTTTTCCAGCTCAGAAATATAATCACATGTGTTTGTATGAATGCTGACCATGTGCAGAGCACTGTGCTAGGACCCATGACTACAAGAAAAAGATTGTCAGCAGGTTCCTGCTTTTCAATTTCTTCTTAGCTTAGAATTTTGCTAAGAAGATAAAAGATATGAACACGAACCAGTGAAAAATATGAAAATGACTGATTGGCATAAACTATAAGTATTACAGAAGTTAAAAGAAAAATAGAGCAAGCAAAACAGGAAAAAAACTCCTTATGAAGAAATAGAAACTGAATTGAACTTTGAAATATGAGTAACTACCAAGTTTAGGATACTTAGCTGTCTTTTCTTCAGATAAATAACTTTACACATTAGTCGTGTGTTATACTAATAGTAAACCCTTTATGCCTTTCATTTTTAATTGTATTACATTATATATTTCCTTACAAAAAGCATTTGAAGAATTCTACCCTCAGGGTTATTTTGGCAATACAAAGATTTTTTCTCTGGATCCCCCAGGGGTTTCATCTATTTATTAACATTTGTGGTATTTCAATTTTCTTCAGCTTGAAAGATCTAACCATGTGAGCCGGACAGAAGTCAGCAGCAACCATGTCTTGATTTACCTTGATAAGGTAAGAGAACTTCCAGTCTATTTGCAAAAAAACGTAGATAATAATCCTCTAAGGGAACATCTGGGAAGGTAAATGCATTTTAGAAACATCACTTCCATGCTAGAAATTTGAGAATTCTAATGTTAACTCTAAAAGAATGTTCTTCTCTCCTTTATTTATATTTCACCAGGGATTACAGGTAGAAATGGCTTATTATGATCTTGGGATATGAATATTCCTAAAATCCCATAAGCAAGAAATCTTCACAAAATGTGTTTATTATGTTGACAAGTTTTTTGGATACCCAGTAATATAAGGAAGTAGCCCTTGTGATTAGTCAATTATTAGTTAATTATCAACATACTCAACAACAATATGAAAGGGAAAAAAAACTGTCAGTCTCCACAAGGACTTGAACCATAAAATAATAAGACCAGTTCACCAGTAAACCAATCTGATTTTATAGATATGTGTGGTAGGAGAGTTTGTTCATGCATAAGTTGATGGGAATTATAGTTTACAAATTTTATGAAACTTAAGCCTGGGAAGATCAACCTTTTAGATGCCTCTTTGAGTCTACGCAAGTATTCCTGCAAGACAGAGAAGTCAAACTATACCAAATCTCTGGATATTAAAAAATGAACACAGTTAGTCATCCAATAAAAAGTATATATCATTTACCCCCATGAACAGAGCTATGTATTGGCATTGACAGAGGTATATGCGTTATGTTAGTTATTTAAGAAATAATCTGGAGAATTTATCATCCCCTCTGAGAGATTTCTGCACAATTTAATTAAGGACCCTATAGTGTGCTGTAGGATAATAAAGCTTTTCCCCCAAAAAACAGGTGAATACTTAAACTAATTCAAAGAGAGAAGAAAGCTTCCTGAAAGGTCATTTAATTGACTTTTGCTTTCCAGGTGTCAAATCAGACACTGAGCTTGTTCTTCACGGTTCTGCAAGATGTCCCAGTAAGAGATCTGAAACCAGCCATAGTGAAAGTCTATGATTACTACGAGACGGGTGAGTGAGAGTGATTTTCACGTAGAAATATTTAATTCCTGATCACAGAAATTCAGGTTTAGGAGATGTGTTGGGGTTATTTATTACATTAAGTAATTACATTATCACTTCATTTTGTCTCCATCAAGTCTGATGCCCCTCTTTTTGTCTCTTATACATACATTATAGAAACAACCTACATTATAAATTTATCAACTACTAATACAAAACACCTGTGGGATATTTAGTTCCCTTTTCATCAGATAAATGGACTGTATGACAATATGAGATTTAAGTAAGTAGAACATCTGAAGAGTCCTTCAGGAGTTTGGGATAAAAGAATATATAAAACACTATATTTGAAAGGAGAATATAAGGTAGCAAGCAACACATCAGATGAATGATGCTTATGTTTCTGGTACAATACTGTTCTTCCCACAACAAACTCCTTCCTTGGCCTGTATCCCACAGATGTTTGCTTTCTTTCTCACTTCATGTAATGATTTCTGGTTTTTTGTTGGTTTTTTTTTTTTCAGATGAGTTTGCAATTGCTGAGTACAATGCTCCTTGCAGCAAAGGTAAGCCACTCACACTCCTCCAAAAGGCAGTCAGAGCTCCTTCAGCTTGCCCCCCAAACCTTCTCCTTCATAAAACGCTGGGTAAATATTTGTCAAAAACATCAAATTACTCACACTGCACATTATTATAGAAAAACACATTTATTGGAGAGGGCCGCTGACTCTGTCAAACCTCAGAGAGTCCATAGGATTGCTTATGGGTAATGATTTGGAATAGATTTGGTTTCCCACTGTACTGATTAGGTTTCCTTGGGCACTATGCTACCCAGAACTAAGGGAAAGAATACTCTCTGCTCATGGAGACCCAAATCTGTCTTAATTTTTTTTCTTTCCAATGTCACAGATCTTGGAAATGCTTGAAGACCACAAGGCTGAAAAGTGCTTTGCTGGAGTCCTGTTCTCAGAGCTCCACAGAAGACACGTGTTTTTGTATCTTTAAAGACTTGATGAATAAACACTTTTTCTGGTCAATGTCTTTCCCTGTTTCCTGTTCATTCAATAAATATCATTGTACATTTCCATATGATTCCCAATAGAATACCAAGATTAAACTTAAAGGAATCAAGTGCTGAAGGACTTCAGAATACAAAAAAATGATACAGTGATGTCGGTCTGAGTAGGCTTCATGTAAGGACTGTGGGGAAAGAAGAAAGTATTGGGTTATGTACTAGGAAAGTGTAAAGTGTGTTTGGTTATGGGAATACCCTATGAAAAACCCAAAGGGTGAATTTTTATGAGAAAATAAAAGACTGACTTCACCAGAAAAGACTTTTTACATTAAAATGAAGTAGAATGAAATACAACATTGAACATGTCATATTGAGAGGCAAGATAATTGGGACTTGACCTGAATTGGGAGTGATGTGTCCTATGTTACACCAAAATCTGCCACTGATGAGAGTGATCAGTCAGTTAACCTGGGGTTTCAGATTCAATAATAGATGAGCTGAAAATAATGAAGGGAGGATTCATGCAGAAGCACGTTTTCTCAGAAGAAGGAATGTGTATGACTCAAAGTCCAAATAGGAGTATTATATTGGATCATCTTTCTTCTGGAACTTTGAGCCAGGATTAAAGGATAGCTGTAAAGTCAAGGAGATATTCTGATGCAGAAATCAGTTCTCACAACATCTGATTGATGTCTGATGTCTCACAACATCTCTTTAGTCTATTTTTAAAATATATAATTTTCTTTGCAGTAAGTATTGCGACATATATTTCCATTCTATAGAAGGGGAAGCAAAACTTCAGGAGTTTTTGAAGTAGGAAAGGTTAAAGCAGGAGGATTGAGCCAAGAGAGTCTGAGGACAATCGTAGGAGTCCTACTCTTCATTTGGCACAAAAATGACAATGCTTAGTTAGGCAGAAGGTGAGTATGGATTGTATAAACTAAGAACTGGAAAAGACTTTGCAGTTCAAGGAATCCTTAGCTCTGTCTCCAGGCTAGACAAAATAAGAAATAAAAGCTATCACTTCTGTGTGGTGCTTATAGAATAGAATTAACATATCAGCATTATGGGATCTTTAGGGTGTCGCTTTCCTGGCCAGTCTAGTGGCACCTTTGCCTGAGTTTTGCTCTGGGCCCACTGGGCTGCTTCTGCCCACTCGCACTTGCTACCAACCTGGATCCCGGATCCAAGGGAGATTGAGACGGGTGGAGCAGAGGGGTGTGCTAGGGGTGTGTGAGCAAGCGTGGCCACTGTGCAGTCACACACACAAGCTGCTGCCCAGGTTGGGCAGCTCCAGGTGCCAGCACAGGCTCTCCATGAGGTGGCTGGACCAGGCACACAACAAACAGCTTCCCCCTGGACCAGGCGCATCACAAGCAGCTTCCAACAGTGGCACTGGCGAATGCAGTGACGCCAACCAGGGCCCCAAAGAGGGAGTCACAGCCCGGGCTCAAGGAGCTCCCAGGTCTGGGCTTCTCCGAGGGCCAGAGCTCTTCTCTCCCTGTGGGGAGCAAGGGGCATGTTGCAGCCCTGTTTGTGTTACAGCTCTTTTAACCTTGCTGTGCAGCTCCTCAGCTCCTGCATCAAGCAGACAAGTGGAGAATGAGACAGATGAAGAGGAGCATTACTGAGCAATGGAACAGAAGGATAAGGAAGATGAAGAGGAAGGAGACCTGCAGTTAGTAGCTCATTTCCACAGTAAGGATGTCCTTTCCACAGCAAGGGTGTCCCAACGAGTGTTCAGCTTCTAGCAGAACGGAGACCCTGGAGTGGCTGGCTCCTCTCTGCAAACAGGTCTTCCCATTGAGTGTTCAGCTTTCAGCAGAGAGGAGGTTCTGGAATGGGTAGTTTCTCTCCACAGGTAGGTCATCCATTGTCTTCCCATCCTCTCTTCCAATCTAGCTGAGTCTGGGGGATTTTATGAGCCTCAGAGGGAGGAAATGCATGCTGATTGGTCCATGGGCAGCCATGAGTGGGCCCAGGGAGCAGCACCACAAGTTACCTCTCTGGTCTGCAGGCTTCAAGCCCTCACCAGCTTGAGGGTGGGACTTCACTGGGGACCCATCCCCTTCCACCCAGGAACCTGTCTGCCTCCTGCTCCCAGGCTGTTCATGCCAAGGAGCGCCTGCAAGTCAGTGTCCAGCTGTCTTCAGACCCCTCTCAGCCTCCCTCCCACGCTTGTTGGTGCCCAAGTTCCAAAGGGGGCCGAGACGGCAGGGGGCTGGCGTATCAGCACTGTCCTGAGCGTGTGCACGCTCGGCCAGGCTGTGACAGTACCCAGGCTCGGCCCGACCTTGCTCTGAGTTCAGAGTGGGTGCTAACAGTGGAGAGAAGCCAGGCAGCCGGAGTAGGCACCCTGGAGCCTGCAGTGGGCAGGGGACTTTGCTGGGCCTCTGAGAGCACAGAAAATGTCCACAGCCGCGGCAAGGTGGCTGCAGCTGCACCCTGGGAGCTCCTGCTCCACCAGTTCGGAAGGGGCGGGGCTCCTGCTTGTCCCTGGCTCACCTGCTCCTGAGTGTGCAGGTCCGGTGGCGCCTCCTTGCAGGCTGGGCTGATGGGCGGGGGCGGGGGGGGGGGGGGGGAGGAAGGGAATGTTCCAGGTCCTCCCTGGGCCCGGGACTGTGTCCGGGGCAGGGATGACGTCGCTGCAAGTTCTTCCCGTGGCCCCGGGGCTCAGGGGCAGCCCAGGACTCTCCCTCGCCCGGCTCACGGCCCTGCCTGGGGGGCGCCTCCGGGAGCAGATCACGAGCCCTGGGGCTCAGCCCTCAGGCGCGTCTAGCTCGGCGGTCACCCCAGTGCCGGGAGGACCCTGAAGACGCGCCCCAGGCGGCCCTACTCAGAGCCTCCTCCCAAGGCCCAGGAATGCGGCGCTGTCGGAGGTGTGCGCGGTGGCCACACCGCTGTCCGGGTCCCCAAAGCGGGCCCCGCTCCCACTTCTCGCCTTGGCCCCGAACCCTGGGTCCAGCCCCAGCGCTTTGTGTGCGAACACCGCTCCGCCCCGGACCCAGCTCCGCCTTGGGGCCCCTCTCTGCCTGCCCCTCCGTGCCCGACTACACTGCTTCCCCTCCGGCGGGCGACTCAGCCCGGTCCATCGTGGCGGCTTCCAGGGCGGCAGGCTCCGGGAGTACTCCCGGGGCCGGCTCCAAGGACTGTTCCCCTCCTCCCCACTCCCACTCCGCGGCGGCGGCGGGCGAGAGCGGCGACATAGGGCCAGGGTCCGGAGCGGTGGAGGCTCCTGGCCGGGGAGCACGTCGCCCCACCCGGCAACGCGAGGATGGTGGCGGCGCAGTCGGCTGCTTTGGGGTCTCAAGGCACAGGGGACGCGAGGCACAGATGTCCCACAGCAGCCACTGCGGCTCCCGCAGCTGCTCCGCCGCCGCTGCCCGCCCCTCCCTGCTGCAGCTGGCGTGATGGCAGCGGCAGCTCTGGACGCCCCACTGCTGCCACCATCAGCCTTGTGAAATAGGTACTACCTTAACAAATGAAATTGAAGCAGAGACATGTAATTTGCCCAAAGTTACTAAGTTAGTGACAAAGCTAGAATTCAAGACCAAGAAGTCTAGCTTCCATGCTCTTAACTTCCAACCATGGTGACACCTCAAACAACTTCAGACAAAAAGGCCAGGAGAAAGTATATTTCAGAGCTTAATAAACATTATAATTAGCTGTCAAATTAAGTATCAAGCCAGGGCACAGAACATAAAAGAAATCAGAGTATGGCTATGGGAACAAGACAACAGGATTATAATTTTACCTCTTGGTTCTAGTTTTTTTCTTTGTTCATATGGAAATCGTTACTGAAAAGGTACTTTAAGGATATGCTTGTTGCAAATCATTAGCTGTATCACTGACCAAGAGTGTTTATTCCTGAAATACTAACTGATTGCCTACTATCTGCCAGGCACAATATCCCATGCTATAATACAAAATTAAACAAAATAGGATTCCTCCCTTAGAAAAACTCACCGCAGAGTAAAAGAAAAAGATACACATCTGGGTCATTATAATGATCAGGTGCTCAAGCTATTCATTGCCCCAGTGGACTGGAGATACAATGGCCTTCTCAAGTTTTGGGGTATTACACTCAAATTCATATGTAATACTGGAGAAAAGGCCTAATTACAACTTAAACTGGATTTCCCACCAGCCTGGTGGCATGGGAATCTTGGAATTAAAATTACGTAGAATTTTTAAAAGTGATGTATCTTCTACATCTGATTTTGTGAACTGAAGTTTATTCTTTCCAGGAAAGCATATAGATACACGACAGGAAATGAAATGGATACTTGTTGGGGTCAGTTTTATGTATAGTTTGTATTTTATTTTGAAATATGATACACTGCTATTCTCTTGCATTTTCTTATATGTGACTCACCACTAACCCTATATTCCCCCATTTCAGGCCAGTTGGTCATAAGCATCCATTTGCCTCAGAGAATACTGGGTTGTTATGACAAGAATATAAAGTTGGAAAGAAATAGAATATTTGAGTCTACCCTGTAAGAATAAAAAGAATAAAAGGGGTTTAAATTTATTTAGACCCTATTGTTTAATCAAGAATTCTGGCCAGGAGCAGTGGTTCATGCCTATAATCCCAATGCTTTAGGAGGCCAAGGCAGGAGGATCATTTGAGGCCAAGAGTTTGAGACCAGCCTGGGCAAATTATTGCTCGGGAAAAAAAGGTCTTATTTAGTATTTTAGTCTTTACAATGTTTTTTTCTATTATGCAATATTCTCTCAAATACTTTATGTCCATCCACGTTGTCTGAGACATGCCACTTTAACATTCTAGTTATGCTGTAGCTGTCATTTTACCCTAAGCCGTTAGTAGTACTGATCCACATAAAATTGGGCTGTTTAGGTGTTTAACTGTTTAAATGTATAATATATCTGATATATTTATATATTGTATAAAAAATCACCTAACACAATAGATATTTACTATGTCTGCTATAAATATATATCATATAACATATAACAATATATTATAAATGATAATATACTATAATATAAAATATAATAAATATATTATAAATGTACAATATATCCGATATAAATATATAAATATGTCAACTATATTATACATATAAATGTATATGTATAATATATACATATATGTATAATACAATGTATTTATTATGTATATATATAAATGTATATGTATAATATATAAATGTATAATATATCTGATATAAACATATCAGATATATTATCCATCTATTGTGTCAGGTGATTCTTTATACAATATATAAATATATCAGATATATTATCCATCTATTGTGTCAGGTGATTTTTTATACAATATATAAATATATCAGATACATTATCCATCTATTGTGTCAGGTGATTTTTTATACAATATATAAATATATCAGATATATTATCCATCTATTGTGTCAGGTGATTTTTTATACAATATACAAATATATCAGATATATTATCCATCTATTGTGTCAGGTGATTTTTTATACAATATATAAATATATCAGATACATTATCCATCTATTGTGTCAGGTGATTTTTTATACAATATATAAATATATCAGATATATTATCCATCTATTGTGTCAGGTGATTTTTTATACAATATATAAATATATCAGATATATTATCCATCTATTGTGTCAGGTGATTTTTTATACAATATATAAATATATCAGATATATTACATATCTATTGTGTCAGGTGATTTCTTATACGATATATAAATATATCAGATATATTATCCATCTATTGTGTCAGGTGATTTTTTATACACTATATAAATATATCAGATATACTATACAGTTCAGCCCATCAAAGCACCATATTTTGGGGGGTTGGTTTCCGTGTCCCAACACTAGCTACGAAAATATTAGCTATTAGCTACCTATAACTCTTCAGTAGTAAATTCAAGAAACGTAAAGTAATTCTCTTCATTAAGTTCTTGCCTTGTCTACTAAAAAAATGGTCATCACCGATGTGGACAATGAAGACCTGTGGGGTTAAAAGCTCTAACTAGTATGCCTCCAAGATTCTTTGATTGCCTGCCATCATGATCGAAGAATAAATAACTTCTTTTTCATCTTATTTATTTATTTTTTGTAGAGATAGGGTCTCGCTATGCTGCCCAGGCTGGTCTCAAACTCCTGGGCTCAAGAGATCCTTCTACTTAAGCCTCTCAAAGTGCTGGAATTACAGGGGTGAGTCACCACGACTGACCATTAATAATTTCTTTCAATGACACTTTAACATAGGCTCATTCATCTTTACCTCTAAAGAAAAGTCTTTCTGGTCTTTTTAAAATTATATTTTTTGGCCAGGCACAATGGCCAGGTGCGGTGGCTGACACCTGTAATCCTAGCACTTTGGGAGGCCAAGGTAGGAAGATTGCTTGAGGCCAGGAGTGCAAGACCAACCTGGCAAACATCTGGAAAACATAGCAAGGCCCCATCTCTATTAAAAAAAAATTAATTCTATTTTTCTAAGAGAAAAAAGATTCCCAATTCAACAACACTTTTCAAAAACTTTATCTGGCAGCTACTCAGGAGATTGAGATGGGAGGATCATATGAAGCCCAGGAATTCAAAACCAGTGTGGGCAACATAGTGAGATCCTATCTCATAAAAAAATAAAAAATAAAAAAAGCTTTACTTGGAATACAACCCATGACTCTGGTTATAAATACAAAATTCTTCAAATTCATTTAAAGGAATTTAATCCTAGCTTCTCGGATGAAAAAAGGAAATAATATTCACAATTTGATCCATCATCAGTAGACAAGTTAAATGTGTTTCACAAAAGCAAGACATATTAATTAAGCAAAATCATATTCGAGTAACCACAGGAAATATAAATATACTGTCTCTTACCTAGAGAAATCTTATAGTCTAATTGTGAAGATAGTCTTCACGTGACGAAAAAGATCATCATTAATCCAAAACATATAAGTTATAAAGAAGCGACATATACCAGCAATTCTAAAATCTGGTTAGCATCCTTTGTAGAATTTATTTTAAAATGCAGATATCCAGGTCTCATCAATAAAGATTTAATTAATTATTTTTGGGGATGTGCTCAGACATCTGCGTTTTTTGTTTTTTGTTTTCGTTTTTTTGTTTTTTGAGATGGAGTCTCACTCTGTTGCCCAGGCTGGAGTGCAATGGCGCAATCTCAGCTCACTGCAACCTCTGCTCCCAGGTTCAAGCAATTCTTCTGCCTCAGCCTCCCTAGGAGCTGGAACTATAGGCGCCCACCACCACGTTGGGCTAACAGGCATCTATGTTTTTAATGAACTCTGTAGGTGGTTCTATCATGCAGTTAGTTTTCAGAACCATTCACACTGACAGTAAAGGCTATTTATTCCCAGCAGTTGAAAGACCACTAAGGACACAGGAATAGTTAGCAAAGCTACTTAAAGATGCCAGGGCTGGGGCCGGGTGCGATGGCTCACGCCTGTAATCCCAGCACTTTGGGAGGCCAAGGTGGGCAGATCATGAGGTCAGGAGATCGAGACCATCCTGGCTAACACAATGAAGCCCCGTCTCTACAAACAAACAAACAAACAAACAAAATACAAAAAATTAGCCGGATGTGGTGGCGGGCACCTGTAGTCCCAACTACTCGGGAGGCTGAGGCAGCAGAATGGCTTGAACCCAGGAGGCGGAGCTTGCAGTGAGCCGAGATCACGCCACTGCACTCCAGCCTGGGCGACAGAGCGAAACTCCATCTCAAAAAAAAAAAAAAAAAAAAAAAAAAGATGCCAGGGCTGGCTGGGCACAGTGGCTCACACCTGTAACCCCAACACTTTGGTTTGGGAGGCCAAGGCGGATGGATTGCTTGAGTTCAGGGGTTCAAGACCAGCCCAGGAAACATGGCAAAACCTCATCTCTACCAAAAACACAAAAATTAGCCGGGCATAGTGGCATGCACCTGTGGTCCCAGCTACTCAGGAGGCTGAGGTGGGAGGATAGCTGGAGCCTGGGAAGCTGCAGTGATCAGTGATCATGTCACCACACTCCAGCCTCGGTGACAGAGCAAGAACCTGTCTCAACATACATACATGCATATATAAAATTAAACATAAAAACAAAAATAAATAAAGATGTCAGGGCTTATGTTGAACCTTAACTGAGAGCAAGATTCAAAAGACACTGAGGCTTATTTTTCTTTCTTATATCTATAGTTACACAGGGAGCTGTCTAATCTTGGATGTATCCAAGTTGATATCTGGTTTTATCCATTGAAACCCACAGTGAAAATGGTAAATAGGTGCTAGGTGTTTGGATTTTTTTAATCCAATGTAAGAATAAAACAATGGTATCCTAATAATGTCAAAGCAACATTGGTCATAATCTAAGGAAATTGAATTCATATAGTACCAAATATATATTTAGCATTGTGCTAGGTGCTGATACATTCTAGATAAAAATATTACACATGGGTAACCAAAACTGTCAAATGACATTTCAGGGCAAGATATAATTAAGTACCAAAATCATTGGCATAGTCTTTAAGTACTGTGAAATGTAGAGAAAGCTGAGATGAATGGCAGTGTAGAGACAGATGGCTTTGCAAATCATCTCAGATGACTAGCTATCCAATGTGAGGACACTTCTCCCTCACCTTCAAACAAATGCTAAAGACGCCTGTTACTTAATCATATGAATATTCAATCTTGTATCTAATGTGGTGGTATTCATAATACTCTGTATATGTTTTCATCTTACTGGACAAGTGTCTTCGAACTCATTTAAATGAATTTAACCCCAGCTTTGTTTATGTATAGACTTCTTCAATCTCATAGTCTATTTGTCTCTTTGTACCCCACAGGCTTTCTTTATTCAGTAACACTGGTGATTTCTCTTATTTTCCTTAGCTTGAAAGATCTAGCCACGTGAGCAGGACAGAAGTGCACAACAACCATATCTTGATTTCTGTGGACCAGGTGGGGCCCCTGCCAGCCTTGCTAGACAGACCCAGGTGAACAGTCCTTCTAGGGGATCTCATCACCAGGCAAGCACGTGGTACGAGAAGAGCAGTCATTAGGAAGGCCATTTGGAAAAGCACATCCTCTCTGTTCACGTGAGATATTTTACATCCTCATTCCTCATCGCAAGCTTCCTGGGATTTGGAGTGTCACAGACAAGAGGGTTGGGGGAGGCCAGTAGGTATGGATTTGTTTATATTAAAATGAGCATATGAATATTTATATGTTTATATTAAAACATATATGTTTGTTTATATTACAATGAGCATATGAATATTTATATGTTTATATTAAAACATATATGTTTGTTTATATTAAAATGAGCATATGAATATTTCTGTATACTTCAGATAAACATTCTTTTCCATAAATAAGCTTCATCATCCAGAAGCCATGTTGAAAGTTGGTAATCAAGGATAGGAAGTGTTTCCAAGGGTTGTCAGTGATTAAATCAACCTTACCTTAGCATACATGTATGAGAGAAGTTAGATAAATTATACATAGAGAGATAGCTAGATAGATAATAGATAAATAAGGTAGATGACAGATTAGATACAGATGATAAACAGATATGCTATCAGTCTAGATCTATTACTCACAGTCAGTCGTATCACAGTGTAATTCCATCAACTTCATTTGCAGCAAAAGAACAGCCCCTGATGTACGCCTGTTTCCTGAATATTTGGAAATATTAATATTAATATAGATAGAGTCAGCTTGCCAGTATAAAGAATCTATCTCTCACTATAGGCAGAGCCATGTGTTGGATATTATGGAGGAATATGTATTATTTTAATCGTTTAAAAGACTAATAAACTTCTAATCTACTTTTGGGAGCCTCTGCTCAAGTTCCTGAGGTTCCTACTCTAAAATCCACATCACCCTCCAACTGCTCCCTATGTGAGCCATTAGGGAGCACAATGAATTAGAGAATGAATCCTATTAGCCCACTAAAAAATTATCTTTCAAAGGATGAAGACTGATGCTAAGGAAAAAGAGATGAGGCCTCCCTGGTTCCGCATTATTACTCCTTCCTTTCTTGGGTTACGGATTGAACACTGACCTTTTCTTTCACTCTTCTGCAAGACAACCCCATAAGAAAGCTGAAACCTGCTTTTGTGAAAGCCTATGATTACTATAAGACAGGTGAGCAAAACAGAATCCTAGATAAACTCAGTTCTTTCCAGTGTGGTGTCTTTGATGGAAAAATAAAATAAAAGCCAATGTGTTTGGGGTTTTTTTCTTTTTTACTTTATATAGATTTAGGGGGTACAAGTATGGTTTTGTTACATGGCTACATTGCACAGTGGTGAAGTCTGGGCTTTGAGTGTAGCCATCACCCAATTAGAGTACATTGTACCCATTAAGTGATTTCCCATCCCTCTTGCCCTGTCACCCTCCCACCCTTCTGAGTCTCCAGTATCTGTTATCCCACTCTCTATGTCCATGTGTACAAATTATTTAGCTCCCACTTATAAGTGAGAATGTGAAGTATTTGACCTCCTGTTTCTGAGTTATTTCACTTGAGATAGTAGCAACAAGGGTGGAAGTGGAGGCCAAACCTCAATTCTTAAAGCAATAAAAGTGTGGTAAACCCTTGTACATCTTGTTTTCAGTTTAATCTGTCTCCATAACTTATTTTTTCTTCCTTGGCCTACAAAACTACTGCCAAAACTACCTGTAATATACATGTATATTGATATGTAAGCCTATCAGTCGTGCAAAATAATCCAAAGTACCAAGAGTTTTACGTAGAAGTGCTTATAAATAAAGGCATACATAAATCTTAAAAAGATAATATAGCAATGCAAAGAAATAAAGAAGAGCCTAAGAACTATACAAATAATTATAGTAGGAACTAAGAGAGGGGTGAGAACTATAGCGTTGAGTGGTCTTTAAACAGCAAATGAAGAGGCTGGGCACAGTGGCTTATGCCTATAATCCCAGCAGTTTGGGAGGCCATGGCAGAATGATCTCTTAAAGCTAGAAGTTTGAGACCAGCCTGGGCAACTAAGTGAGAGCCCATCTCTACAAAAAATTGAAAAATAAAATCAGCCAGCATGCTGGTACACACCTGTAGTAGTCCCAGCTACTCAGGAGGCTGAGGCAGGACGATCATTGGAACCCAGGAGTTTGAGGCTGCAGTGAGTGAAAGAGTGAGACCCCATCCCTAAAATACACACACACACACACACACACACCCCCCAAGTAAAATTTCAGCTGGAATATAAATCGTGGGTATTATACTGATTTATGGAGAGAATTATGCTAAGTCTTTCAGATGAGGAAAACATATAAGAAATATCATGCAAGAAAAAAGAAGCAAATATGGAACAAGAACTGAAAGAACACATACCCGCGTGATCCCCCCTAGTACTTTGCTTGAACACTGTAGCATGAGCAGGCTTTGATTTTCCACCAGAGTAACGGATTATACTAATGGTATCAAGAGTGGAAATTCCTTGACCATGTCTATATATTTCCCCAGTGAGCTGACATTTTTGTGATCACGCAGGCCCTGATTCAGTATGGTTTGCAGTCCTTAAATAGGTCAAAGCCTCTCCACATAGCCCTGTCCCGTTGAAGCTCCCATTCTCAAGCTTTTCTCCCATTGTGTGTTTCAGATGAAGCAAATTTGCTGAATACAGTGTCCCCTGCAGCCGATAGGCAGTTTGCTCTACATATCCCAAGCCTTCATTTTGCTCTCAAAAGCAGTCCTCCTAAATACAAAATCATCTACATCTTTTATTAGTTGATATCAGATTTATCATACTGCAAGGTAACGCAGAACTATACAGCTTTGGAGAGGAACACTAACTTCCTGGAAGGTTTCCTGATTTTCTTATCAGAAGAGTGTAAATGAAATTACCCTGTGATTAGGGTAGATATCTGATGGATTCCATTCTCAGCCATAACCAGTTTGGTCTCCTTTAGCAAAGCCCTGCTGCTGTCCATATCCAATTAGAATTAAATTCACTCCTTGGCAAGCCCGAAGTCATCCTGTTCGCTTTCCTCTTCTCTCCACAGGCACAGAGCAAGAAAATGTTTGAGGCTTGTGTCTATAAACAAGACTTGGCTGGAATCCCCAGACCCACGACTTTTTAAAAGGATATTTTGTCCCTGCAATACAGATACTGAATGAGGTTGGCAAATAAATATGTATTTCTAGAGACTCTATAATTGATTCCTTCTTCATTTAATGCAAATTTACTCCATGCGCACTTACTGCTTTTCATTGTACCCTGTATTTGCAATAAACAAATAATGGCATCCAAATTGAGGTAAGAGCACCTAGCATAAATTTAGGAACAATTCACAACAGCCTCACTACTGCAGAACCTCAGAATATGCAAAGCAATGTAATGGCAATCTGGGAAAGTTTCACTCCAAGAAAAAACTTCTAAACTGAAGATTAGTGACAAGAGTGTAGAGTATATCTGAGTGGAAACATTTTTTGCAAAAGCAGAAGAAATGGTTTATTTTAGCACCAGGTAAAATGACTGGCCTGTCTAGATAGAAGCTCCGTATTGCAGAAAGGTGAAAATTTATCAATCAATCAATTAATTAATAAGTTATGTTTAGGTGGGAGTCATAATATTACGACAATTTCATGGAATTAGAAATGCTTAACTTCTGGTCCAAAATCTGCCACTGACCATTTGTATGACTTTGGGTTGAAAAACATCTGGATATCAGTTTTATGTGTGTGACAGAATCACGTGTTATTGGAGAAGTATAAATAAGTACAGGTGGCGTATCCCTTATCCAAAATACTTGGGACCAGAAGTGTTTTGAATTTTGAATTTTTTAGATTTGAAATATTTGAAGTATGCTTACCAGTTGAGTATCCCTAATCCAAAAACTGGAAACCCAGAATGTTCCAGTGAGTATTTCCTCCTAGCATCACTTCAGCACTTGAAAAGTTTCAGATTTTGGAACACTTTGGATGTCAGATTTTTGGATTAGAGATGCTCAACCTGTATAGTAGATCCTCTCTTAACACCATTGATAGGTTCTTAGAAACTGCAACTTTAAATGACATGACATAGAACAAAACCAATTTTACCCTAGGCTAATCAATATAACCAAGGAATAAGATCTAGTGTTCAGTAGCAAAATAGAGCAACTATAGTAAACAGTAATTTACTCTCCATTTAAAAATAACTAGAATAGTAGAATTGTGTTAGGAAAGCTCCTAACACAAATAAATAATAAACGTTTAATGTGATGAATATCCCAATTATAAGTGATCATTACACGTTGTATGCTTGTATAAAAATACATGTACCCTATAAATACATGCAACTATTATGTATCCATAAAAATTAAAGATTAAAGAAGTCCATGAACTATTATTTTTCATAAAGAGTCATAGGAAAATTTGCCTTTTTAAAATTTTGCACATAACCTTGGTAATAAAAATTATATTTAAATTTTAAAAATAAAATGAGCTGTTTCTACAGCATATATCTGATCACAGAAACATCACCAAACTTCTAAATGAAGACCCAAAACATTTCTAATATTGAACATTGAAATAAACATGATAAATAAATAAAAACAAGGCGACTCCCCAATTTATGGTGAATCACTGAGTGACAGCATTCATAGTGTTACATGACCAACAGATTCGTATGACCAGTGCACAATAACAGACCAGTTACACTGAGACAGCAGGGTTTGTAGCAGAGAAAGGGTTTAACGTTCACAGAGCACCAAGTGAGGAGATGTGAGGGGACCCTCAAATTCACCTCCCTGAAGAGTTCTGGGCTGGGGCTTTTAAGGGGATCATGGAGGGTGAGGAGCTGGAGAATTGGGACCATTGATTGGCTGGGGTAAGGAGAATGAATTCATCAGGACATGGAAACTGCATTCTTTGGTGAGTCAGCTCCTATGGGGTCCTTCAGACCAGTTGATGTCAGTAGTTTCATTAGTATGCAGCACCTGAAAGGATATCTCAAATGGAAAACTTTGCATTTTATAATGTTCAAGTTGTTATCTGTAGAGCAGTTAAGGGGAACTACGATCTAGGGTCTGTGTGATTCTAGGGCAACAGGCAGCAAACAACTAGGAGGAAGCAGGTCCGAGCACAGGCTGACCTAGTGCTTAATGCTGAGTGTGCTGCAAGCTGGGTTTATTTTCATTTCTCCCCCTCCCTTCTTCCCTGATTAATTTTATAAAGTTTATAGGGATGGTTTCCTTAGTGGTGATGGGTTAAATCAAGGAAGAAATGTTTACAAACCAAAGTTTTGGTAGGAAGTAGCACCTCCTACCAGCATGCAGTTCAACAACAAATGAGAACAAATGTGGTGGGGTCGCGAGCATTTTCATCCTGCATCATTTATTGCCATGTATCTGTATGATTATCATCTACTTCACAGGGTAGACATCTGATGGATCCCATTCTTAGCCATTAATTTCACAAATTATTGTGAAATTATGTATTCATTCTTTGTTTCTTTTTCCAAGCTGTGTATTCTAGTTCAGGGTCACAGGTGGTCACAGCCTTTCCTGGTAGCTCAGGGCCAAGGTGGGAACAACCCTGCACAGGACACCCCGTCGCAGGCACACTCACACCCACACTCACACTCAGACTAGGACCATTTAGATGTGCCAACGAACCTAATGTGCATATCTCTGGGATTTGCAAGGAACCCGAAGTGCCCAGAGGAAACCCACACAGACATGGGGAGAATACGCAAACTCCACACAGACAGGTGGCCCTGGCCATTGTCTCATCAACATTATAACAAAACGAGGTTGAACAGGAACAATCTTATTGGAGGACCTGCTGTACAGGAACAAGTTTTCTAAGGAGATTAAAAAAATGTAGAAGCACAAAAGAGATAGAAGGGTTAATTTTTTAAAAGGCAATACTGAGTATCTACCATCTGCCTGGCACTGCTTTAAGCATTTTTCTGGTATTAGGTAATTTTATCCTCACAATCACATTATGATGTAGATACTATTATTAATCCCATTTTTAAATGAAAAACAGAAGTTTGGAGAAGTTCAGAAACTTTCCCAAGCTCCAAGTGAAAAATGAGGCAAGATTTTAACCTAAGCATTCCAGCTCCAGAGTCCATACCCTTAACTACTTCTCAGTGCTACTCAGCTGTGAGGAAGGAGACGGCTGTCTCTTCTTTTGAGATATCAGATGATGGTGGGAGGCTGAATGCAGAAGGACAGATGTGTTCAAAAGAAGAGAAAGTATGTAAAAGCAAAGCAGAAAAAAGAAAAATGGGGCAAAGAAAACAGGAAAGGCATCTGTGAGACCCTTGGGTGAGTTCATGTCTGAGACCTGTTGGCATCAGCATGGCGTGATTGTCCGCTTCTTGTGTGAGGCATGTGGCACTGGTAGACTGTGACCAGTGCTGCTCACGATTTGAATTTGCCCTTCCCAAAGTCAGACTATGCTGAGGGAGGAGAAAAGGTAACACCTACAAAACTTCTTGCTTAGAGTCTCTTTATTTAAAGATTATGTGGCCCTACCTTCTTTCTTCCCAGAGTAGAGAAAGAAAAGAGCCTCTCAGTGTCCTCGAAAGAGCCAATAGACTTATAATTGGATAATACAATGGAGTCCAAGATTATGAATAATCCACTATCCTGTATTTAATAAAAGGGTCAGAGAATCTCCATCCTCAGAATTGGATCCAGCCATGCCTGCAGACGCTCTTATATAAGGCACATGAGATTCCTGTTGTAAATCTCAATCACAAGAGAGCTGCATCAGCTGGGGCCCAGATTTGCAGGGCTCCCCAACAAATGGACACAATAGAGAATGCCACCTTCGTGCATAGTGCTGTATTTGGTGGGAAACGAAGGAACAGAGAACATCCTGTTGATTGGTCTCTGACTCTTAATACTCTGATATTTTTGTCTAATTGCAATGAAAAGATCTAAGTAAGGCTTAGGACAGAAAACAGAGCAGTTCTCAATTGGGGCCTATGCTAAAAGAGTTAGACATGGTTTAATGTTGAAAAGTCAGGACAGTGTTGATGGCAGTGATAAAAAGTGAGGCTAGAGAAATCAGTTGAGACTCATTTATCAAGCGTGTTAACAGAAGTTTTCATGTTATTTTATAAGTAATGGTCTTAGGGGATTTTTGGGGGTGTTGATTTTCCCGTATGCAGACAAGTGAAGGGTGAACAAGACAAAGATGAGCTATACTAAGCGTTAGAACAGCTCAGAGGAGACCTGCAGTGGCTAGCTCTCTGTAGACAGGTTGTCCTGACGTCTGCCATCAACAGACAGGAAGCGTGGAGAGGATTGCTCCTCTCCGCAGCTGGCCTCCTGGAAAGGGTTGCTCGCCTCTGCAGGTCTCTGAATCTCTCAGCAGAGAGGGTAGTTCCTCTCTGCAGCTGGTCTTCCCATTGTGTCATCTCTGTAGACAGGTCATCCTGACATCTGCTGTCAGCAGAGAGGAAGCCCTGGAGGGGGCTGCTCCTCTCTGCAGCTGGCCTCTTGGAAAGAGTTACTCCTCTCTGCAGCTGGTAATCCCGTCTCTGGAAGTCTCTGAAGCTCTGAGCAGAGAGGGTGGTTCCTTTCTGCAGCTGGTCTTCCCATTGAGTCCTCTCTCCGTTCTCTCCATCCTATCTTGTTCTGGCTGAGCCCAGGGCTTTTATGGACCTCGGAGGGGAGGAAGTGTGTGCCGATTGGTCCATGGGCACCATGGGTGGGCAGGAAGAGGCACTACAAGTCCCCACTCCAGTTGGTGGGACTGGCAGCCTGGCCCCCAGCCTTCAGGCCCTTCCTGATCTGAAGGTGGGGCCTTACTGGGGGCCCGCCCCCTTCCTCCCAGGACTCTGCCTCCTGCCACCATTCATGGCTCCCAAGTCCTCATTCCAAGATCCAAGCCAGTGCCAGGAGCAGAGAGAGGCCAGGCAGTGGAAGCAGACACCCCTGAGCTTGCGAACAGGAGTGTGGGAGGGACCTTCCTGGGCCCATGAGGGTGCACACTGCAGAGATGCCCAGGTCCTGCGCCAGGGGAGCTCCCACCTCGCCAACTTGAAAGGGGGGAGGTTCCCACGTGTCCCTGGCTCCTGCCTGCTCCGTGGAGCGCGAGGCCCAGGTCTGCAGCTGAGGATTGGGCAGCTGCAGCTGCACCCAAAAGAGCAGATCCTGCCTACTCCCGGCCCCCTCCGGGAGCACAGGGAGGCTCATATCCACAAGCGCATTTGGGCGGCTGTAGCCCCACCCAGGAGGACGGGGCTCCTGCCTGCTTCATAGAGCAGGAAGCCTGGGTCTGCAGCTGAGGTTTGGAGGACTGAGGTTTGCAGGGCTGCAGCAGCACCTTGGGGAGCCCCCACCCCAACTCAGAAGAGGCGAAGCTCCCACTGGCTGCATGGGGCATGATAGCAAGCAGCCACTGCCATTAATAGGAAGCTAATGAAATCTTTTAGAGACAACACAGCGGCAAGATCAGATTTTGTTTAGGATGATAACAAGTGGCAGAGCTAGTGTGAGAGAGACAGGTGGCAAGGAGATTATTACAGTCATCCTTATTTCTCATGGAAAATTTTCCTGAAAAATGGGCTATAAGGATATTCCACTTCTTAAAACTGTATTTCTTACCGCTTAGGGAGAGCCAAAATGCTTTGCACCAATGTGACACGTTTTAGACCAACTGAAAGTCTACAAAGAGCTCTATTTTAATAATTAAGTCTACTGTAGATTTCAGGTTCAGCTTCCTACGAAGATTTTTTTTCTGAAGTTTATTAAAATCAATAATTGACACTAGGTGGCAAGTCAGGATCAACAATTACTGTGTTCCCAGCGTAGTTATGCATCTTGATTTGAAGTGAGGAATGGGGGAGTACTATGATAAGGTTAGACACAGACTAATAGCATTCTGAAAGACATATACTGATACATAAGACACGTATAGCATATATCAGATTCATGCCCCAGATACCGAGCAGTATTATTTTCAAATACGTTTTTTATATGCTTCCCCTACACTTACTTGTTCCTGTTTGGATGGCTTAGCAGAAGCTCCAAGATGCCCCTTTCATATACAGTAATAAAAGATAGCCACAGGGTGGCAGCAAAGGTTAAAAAAGTTGAGTGCTGCTACTTCATTAAAAATCTCGTAAAAAATAAAAATAAAAATAAACTTAGGCAATGGGAACAGAGAAGAGAGGAGTAAAATAACCATAGAAACCTGAAATGAGAAGATAAAATAAGGTACTAGCACAAATCATCCTTATCTATGGGCAGAATTGCATTCACAACCCTGGAAATAGCTGATTTTTGCTTTAAGTTTTATTTTCTTAGAAACAATGTATTCTACAAGAAATACCACATCCCTTTATTTTTTGTAAATAAAATATGACTCTAAACCCCAGCTCCATTGGACTGACAGGAAATTTATCTCAGACATTTTGGGTCCTTCCTACCTGGTGACCAAATACAGGATCAAGATATGGCACCCACTCCGCCACCGGCATCTGTCTGTAGTCCACATGACCATTCTAGATCCACCACTCTGTGGCCACATTGTGGGCCCAGAGGATAGGAATCTTTGACCAAGAACAAGCAGCTGGGCCTGGAACCCAACCTTCCAAGTGCTCCATGCAGACCTTCCTTCTGAAGCCCTGATACTTACTCAGAGAGTACCAGAAACTAGAGTAGGTCCCTGCTCTGAAGGGACTCACTGACCTTTCTCTGTCCAGACTAAAAGAATCATTTTAGCCTGGGGAAAGTCCCTCTCAGCATAAACTTCTGTCTCTTAATTGGCTTTCTTCCTTCTCAAATTCTGTTTTTCTCTTGTTTGTTCTTTTAAAATCAAAAGCCAGGTAACCCTGCCCCAAAGGTTCAACTCCTTCAAGATTTTTTACCTAGCCAATCATGTAATCTGTGAACAAAAACAGTTTCATTTCTTCCTTACCAGTCTGTATACCTTTCATTTTATTTTCTTCTCTTATTTCATTAGCTAGGAATTCCAGGACAATGATGACTAGGAGTAGTAAGAGTAGACATCCCCGTCTTGTTCAGGATTTGAGGGGAAAGTATCTAGTCTCTCACCATTAATTATAACGTTAGCTGTAGATTTTTTGTAGATGTTCTATATACAGTTGAGTTTGGAGAGTTTTTATCCAGAATGAGTGTTGAATTTGTCAAATGCTTTTTCTGTATTTACTCATATGACCAAAAGTTTTTTTCTTTAGCCTGTTATATGTGATGGATTACATTAAATGATTTTTGAATGCTGAACTAGCCATGCATATCTAGAATAAATCCCACTCTTCATTGCACATAACTATTCTTACACATTGTTGGGTTTGGTTTTCTAATATTTTGTTGAGGATTTTTGGATTTTTGTTCAGTAGAGATATTAATCTGTACTTTTCTTATCTTGTATTTCTCTAGTTTTGGTATTAGGGTAATGTTGTTCTCATAGAATGGGTTAGGAAGCGTTTCTTAGTTACTTGTTTTCATTTTTATTTAGTTCAACATATTTTTTAAATTTCTCGTAAGACTTCTTGGGCCTATATGTCATTTAGAAGTATGTTATTTAATCTCCACATATTCTGGAATTTTCTAGCTATCTTTCTGTTATTGACTTCTAATTTATTTCCATTGTTTTCTGAGCACATACTTTGTTTGATTTCTATTCTTTTAAGTTTATTAAGTTGTGTTTTGGAACTAGGATATGACCCATCTTTAAGAATGTTCCATGTGAGCTTGAGAAAAATGTGTATTCTACTGTTGTTGGATGAAATATCCTGTGAATATCAATTAGCACCAACTGATTGATTGTGCTATTCAATTCAACTATATGCTTACTGGTTTTCCTTCTGCTGGATCTGTCAGTTACTGATAAATGGGTATTGAAGTCTCCAACTATAATAGTGGACTTGTATATTTTCCCTTGCAGTTCTATCGGTTTTTGCCTCCACATATTTTGACCGCTGTTGTTAAGTATACAAAAACTCAGGATTGTTATGACTTCTTGGAGAATTGGCCCCTTTTTCCTTGCTCTAAGATGTGATTTGTCTGAAATTAATATAGCTACTTCAGCCTTATTATTATTATTAGTGTTAACTTGGCATATTTTTCTCCATCCTTTATTTTCAATCTATCCTTTATATTTACAGTGAGTTTTTTGTAGACTACATATAATTGAGTCTTGTTTTCTTATCCACTCTAATAGTCTGTCTTTTAAATTGATGTATTTAGACTATTCACATTCTAATTAATCATTCATATATTTAGATTTAATCTCTACCTTATTTTAATTGTTTTTTATTCATTTCCCTTGTTCTTTGCCTTCTCAGATTTTAACTGAGAAATTTATATTATTTCATTTTGTCTCATCTCTTAGCATATCAATTATACTTATTTCAAAAAAACATTTTCAGTGCTTGCCTAGAGTTTGCAATATACATTTACAACTAATCTAAGTCTGTTTTCAAATAACACTACACTGAGTCACAGGTGGTGCACATACCTTATAAGAGAGAACAGCCAATACCTCACTCCCGTCCCTTATAACATTCCTGTCACACCTTTCACATGTCTATAAGTTTTATTGCTACTAATAATATTTTGTTGCTACAAATCTTTTGAACAAACTGTTATCTGTTAGGTCAATTAAGAATAAAAAATAAAGCCAGGTGTGGTGTCTCATGCCTGTAATCCCAATGCTTTGGGAGGCCTAGGCAGGAAAAGCACTTGAGGCTAGGGATTTGAGACAGTCTGGGCAACATAGCAAGAGTTTATCTCTATAAAGAATTTTAAATTTAGCTGAGTATGGTGGCACGTGCCTGTAGTTTCAGCTACTCAGGAAGCTGAGGTGGGAAGATCACTTGAGTCCAGGAAATTGAGGCTGCAATGACCTGTGATTGTACCACTGCACTCCAACCTGGGTGACAAGGTAAGACTCCGTCTCATAAAAAAATAAAAATAATTTAAAAATGAAGAACAAGAATGAGGAAAATGAAAGACTTTAAATGCTCTCCCTTTCTTTACATAGATCCAAGTTTCTGACCTATATCATCTTCCTTTTCTATGAAGAGCTTCTTTTAACATTTCTTGGAAGGCAACAATTTCTCTCAATTTTTGTTTTTCTGAGTTTTTAATTTCTTTCATTTTTAAAGAATAATTTACCTAAATATACAATTCTAGGTTGGTGACTTTTTTCTTTCAATGCTTTAAATATTTCACTCCACTCTCTTCTTGCTTGCATGGTTTTTGAAGAGACATCTGCTATAATTCTCATCCTTTGCTCTCTGTAAGCAAGGCTTTCCCTCACTCTAGCTTCTTTCTAGATTTTCTATTTGTCTTTGACTTTCTGCAGTTTGATCATAACATGCTTAGGTGCAGATGTCTTGGTATGTATCCTGTGTGGTGTTCTCTGAACTTCCTGGATCTGTAGTTTGGTGTCTGTTGGTAATTTTGGAAAATTCTCAGTCATTATTACTTCAAGTATTCCTTTTGTTCCCTTATCTTCTTCTCCTTCTGCTATTCCCATTATGTGTATATTATACTTTTCATAATTGTCCCATAGTTCTTGGATATTCTGTTCCTTTATTCTCAGCCTTTCTTCTCTTTGGCTTTCAGTTTGGGAAATTTTCAGTTTCAAGCTCACTGATTCTTTCCTCAGCCATGTCCAGACCATGTTACATAGGTAAATGTGTGCCATGGTGGTTTGCTGCACCTATCAACCCATCACCTAGGTATTAAGCCCAGCATGCATTAGCTATTTTTCCTGATGCTCTCCCACCTGCCCCCCACAGGCCCCAGTGTCTGTCGTTCCCCTCCGTGTCCACGTGTTCTCATTCTTCAGCTCCCACTTATAAGTGAGAATATGCGGTGTTTGATTTTGTGTTCCTGTGTTAGTTTGCTGAGGATAATGGCTTTCAGCTCCATCCATGTCCCTGCAAAGATCTCATCCCTTTTTATGGCTGCATAGTATTCCATGGTGTATATGTACCACATTTTCTTTATCTGGTCTATCACTGATGGACATTTGGGTTGATTCCATGTCTTTGCTATTGTGAATAGTGCTGTAATGAACATATGTGTGCATGTATCTTTATAATAGAATACTGTACTTTTATTCCTAGCATTTCTTTCTTTCTCTTTCTTAGAGTTTCAGTCTCTCTGCTGATATTTCCCATCTCTTCTTGCATGTTGTCCACTTTTTCTATTAGATCCCTTAGCATAATAATCATTATTTTAAATTTCCAGCCTGTTAATTCCAAAATCACTGTCATATCTTCATCTTGTTGTACTTGCTTGGCCTCTTCAAAATGTGTTTTTTGCCTTTTAAAGTGCTGTGTAATTTTTTGTAGAAATCTAGATTATTATATATTGGGTAAAAGAAACTGAAGTAAGTTATCATGAGGTTTTATGTTTATCTATCTAGGAGTTCGGCTGTGTTTACTCTCTCTGTGTCTTTATTAGAGGCTAAAATTTCCTCTGTCGTCATTTTTGTCTTTGGGCTTCTCTAAAGACTTCTTAAATAGGATCTAAGCCTCACAGGTCCGATGACAGCTGTGGTATCTTCTCTCGCAAAACTGTGGTTCTCTCTCTCAGTTTTCTGAGTGATGGTTTGCCCGTTACCTCAATTCTTTGATGGATCTAAGAAAAGTTGTTGATTTTCAGTATTTCAGTTTTTTTTCCTTGTTGTGAGGGTGGCAGTGGTGACTTCCAAGCTCTTTATAAGTCATGCCAGAAACCAGAAGTCCTTCAATACTTTTCAGCCTCTTTCTGTGTTGCTATTTGCATGTTTTGTGTCATGCTTCTAACTTCTGTATAGTATTCCACTAAAATAATTTGCAGCCACCAAAATTTTATTCACTCCTTTAGTGACAGATATTTATGATACTTCTACTGTATACAGCAATGCTCTGAATATCCTAATACATGTCAATTTATCAGCCTATGTGATAATTACTCTGGGTTATAAAGCCAGGATAAGAATTGTTGAATAAAATGATATATACTAACTTAAATTTACTATTCAACCAGAATGCTACACAAATCTATACTCCCTCTAGTAGTATACAAGGAGGTCTCATTTCCCCTGTGTTCTTGCCAATATTTACCACTATCTAGGTTTCTAATTGTTTGGGGTTTTTTTTTTGTTTTTTGAAATGGAATCTCACTCTGTTGCCCAGGCTGGAGTGCAATAGGGTGATCTCGGCTCACTGCAACCTCTGCCTCCTGGGTTCAAGCAGTTCTCCTGCCTCAGCCTCCCAGGTAGCTGGGACTATAGGTGCACGCCACCACGCCTGGCTCATTTTTGTATTTTTAGTAGAGACAGGGTTTCTCACCATGTTGGTCAGGCTGGTGGCAAACTCCTGACCTCAAGTGATCCACCTGTCTCGGCCTCCCAAAGTGTTGGAATTACAGGTGTGAGCCACCACGCCAAGCCTGTTTGTACTTTTTTTGAGTAAAAATTCTTATTTTTTGATTGTTTAAACTTTTCCTTCTTTGATTACTAGAGGAGTAAAGCGTCTCTTCATACTAGCCATTGGGATTTCTTTTTCTACAAATTACCTATTCATATAATTTGCATGCGTTTCTTTTTTTCTATTTCATCAATTCTAAGTTGTACTTTGTTTACATTTTAAGATCCTTGAAATTGGGACACATATTACAATAAATTAATATCTGCTTCATTTATCTGTTACTGTATAAAAAACCACCCCAAAATCTAATTTGCTTAAAACAACAATTTCATATATTTCACAGTTTCATGGGTTGACATGGCTTACCTGGATGATTTTTCTCATGGTCTTGCCAAGAGTCTCTCATGAAATTGCAGCCAGATGGCAGCTGGGATTGGAGTCACGTGGAGACTCCACTGGGATTCTGAGAGACTGCTTGTTCTCTCTCTCCCTGCATGTAGTCTCAGGACTTCATTTTATGGTCTCTCCAACAGAGTAGCTTGGCTTGTTACATGGCATTTCAGAGCTCCCAAGAACAAGAGCTTCAAAAACTATAGGAAGAAGCTGCAAGATTTCTTTGAATTGGCCGCAGAAGTCATGTATTACTTCCATTACATTTGATTAGTCAAGTACATCATAAGGTCAGCTAGGATTCAAGAAGAGTGAAACAGATTTCACCTCTTGAGGGAGGAGTAGCAAGATCACATTACAAAAGAGCATGTGGTTGGAGATATTATTGTGGCCACCTTTGGAAACACACATTGTTATGAGCTGCCATTTGGCCACAAATTTCATCTCTCTCCCACATACAAAATGCACTTAGCCTCTTCCTCAAAAGCCTCATCTTCTTAAGCATAAGTCTAAGATTTCATCACCTAAATCAGATGTGAATGGAGTCCTTTGGGTGAACTTCCTTAGGTACTACTCCTTGAGCACAGGAGACAAGATATCTCAACCCGAAGACATTTGAACTTAAGAAACAAGATATCAGCCGGATGTGGTGGCTTATGCCTGTAATCCCAACACTTTGGGAGCCCAAGGCAAGTGGATCACCTGAGGTCAGGAGTTCAAGACTAGCCTGGCCAACATGGTGAAACCCCATCTCTACTAAAAAAATACAAAAATTAACCGGCGTGGTGGTGGGCACCTGTAATCCCAGTTACTTGGGAGGCTGAGGCAGGGAGAATTGCTTGAATCTGGGAGGCAGAAGTTGCAGTGAGCCAAGAGTGCACCACTGCACTCCAGCCTGGGCAACAGAGCAAGACTCCATCTCAAAAAAAAAAAAAAAAAGATATCTGCCATGCACACAAACCCAAAAAAGATGGTGAGACAAAGAAAGGATAAGGGCATAAATATTCCTATTCAAAAAAATTGAGAGAACAGGAAGCACATAGCAATCACTCATCATAGCAATTCTGGCTGGGAACACATCGCCATTCCTCCATGAGGGCCCAGTCCTGCAATCATCAAAGTGCTTCTCCATTCCTCTTCCCTCTGCTTTCTGGGTTCTAAGATCTTCCTTTTAAGTTATCTTTCCTTTTCTATAAGACATTGCCCATATTTGCTGGTCAATATCAAACTGCTTCCTGACTATAAAAGTTTGAAGACTCAGAGGCCTCTTTTTATTTTTTTATTTTCAACTGTCTCTCCCTTTCAGTACAAGGCAGCAGAATTCTTTTAAAAGCTGTATGGACTTCTTTTCTATCAATCTATAACCATTCCAGTAAACAAAAGCCACACTGATAAATCATAAGACAGGTCCCTCTCTACCTTTGACTGAGAAGAAAAGTGCTGGGTAACAATGCTCTTAAGTTTCTAAGAAGCCTTTAACAGAAAAGGTCTAAGAAACACGTCCTTGGGATTTTTAGTAGACTTTTTGCCTAGCTGAGAGGGTTCAGGAGGCATTATTTTAAATCTTTCTGAGGTCTACACAAAGGTCTACAGCTGTAATCTTGAAATCTTGACCCTGAGGCCATACTTTTAGTGGCAGTGCCCTGAATTTGATCTTTTGCTCTGTTGTAATTTATTACTTTAATAATCTTTTACTGGAAGAGAATGGAGATGAGAAACAGTTTTGTTTTCAATCCTAAAAAATCTGGCAAAGAAATGTGTTGCCTCTAGATTCTAGTTGAAAACTGAGCAGTTACTTCTTTAGTTCATCTCCATCTTTACCTTATCACATGCAGCTAAAAGAAACGAGCTGGTATATTCAACATCCTAGGTAGATACTTCCTTAGCCACCTTATCACAAGCTGAAGCATTGCTAAACTTTTTGCCACTACATTACACAAGCGACCTTTTTTCTAGCTCCCAATAAAAAATGTGTTCCTTGTCCTTCCAGCCTTTACAAAGAATTTCTTAGAGTCCCTTCCAGATTCTTCTCATCACCTGGTCCCCAAACCAATGCCACATATTTTAGATTTTTGTAAAATCATCAGCCTTTCATAGTACCAGTCTCTGTTTTGGTGATAAATTGCTGCACGCAAACCACTCCAAAACTTAGCAGTTTAAAGTAATTATCATTTTCTTATTTCTCATGGTTCTATGGTTGACTGGGGTAAGGTGAGTGGTCTCGCATGGGGTACCTCAAGCAGTTAGATGATAGCTAGAGCTGGAATTACCTGAAGATTTGATTAGGATGCTGGGATAACTTGACCTCTCACTCTCCAAATAGACTTAGGTCCTCTCTACCTGGTCTCTCCAGCAAGTAGATACACTTGTTACAAGGCAGGTCAGGGGTCCCAAGTGCAAATGTGCCAAGAGACAGTAGAAGTTGCCAGGCTTCTATAACCTAGCTCTCCAAGACACACAACACCAGCTCCACAGCACTCTGCTGGTCAAGTGAGTCACAGGGCTGGACTGGATTCAAGAATAGTAAAAATAGACTCAAATTCTTGGAGAAGCAGTATCAAGGACACATGGCAAAAAATCCTGTGGCTCATCAAAATACGCATGTCAAACAGGTGCAGTTTATAGTGCATCAATTACATATCAACCAAGTTTTTTGTTTTGTTTTTTTGTTTGTTTGTTTTTGAGATGGAGTTTCACGCTTTCGCCAGGCTGGACTGCAGAGGCGCGATCTCAGCTTACTGCAACCTCTGCCTCCCAGGTTCGAGTGATTCTCCTGCCTCAGCCTCCCAAGTAGCTGGGATTACAGGCATGAGCCATCTCACCTGGCTAATTGTGTATTTTTAGTAGAGACAGGGTTTCACCATGTTGGCCAGGCTGGTCTTGAACTCCTGGCCTCAGGTGATCCACCCGCCTCAGCCTCCCAAAGTGCTAAGATTACAGGTATGATCCACCACGCCTGGCAATAAAGTTGTTTTTAAAGGGCATGTCTGTTGGAAGATACGCAGTGATGTGCATCTTTGGAAACAGTCTGTCACAGCATTTTGCACAGCTGCTGTCAGGTGGGCAGTGGTCGTGATTCACTTGCCTTTCCCTCTTCATGCATAAACTTAGTTGTCTTCCCATTGACATTCCCATTGAACAACTACAATCTCTCAATGTTTCAATCAATGAACCGTTTAATAAGCAGTTGAAAAAGGAATCTGAATTCTAGTTGTTGTTTGAAATCTTTCAGTGATAAGTTCTTGTAAGATCAAAACATTTTGAGCATGAAGATCTGCAGAATAGTTTTCAATAGTTTGGAAAACAACCCCAGAGACAATAGTGAGGCACCCTTTCAGAAAATGTCCTGTGATGTCACAGACCACACAACCACATATAAAAACAGAAAGTCTGAAAGTGATTCAGAAGAATTACATTCTAAATAAAAGTAAGTTTTAGTAAAATTTAATATCTGAGATGAAGATGGGAGGGAGGCACTGGACAGAAAAGCTAGCTGACATTCCAAATATATCATTGCTATTTCATGACAGGACAATAAATATTTGGGTTGAACAATATGAAAGTGTCCTTCTTATAGATCCAAACCATCAAATGGTGAAAAACCTCCTGATTTCAACCTAATGGGTCCTACAGAATACTAAGGAAAGATTTCCTGACTTGGATAGCCCAACACAGAAGGCGCTTAAACAGAAAAATGGATAGCATGGTATTTATCTGTCAAGATGAGGCGAGAGAAGTTAAATTATATACTATTGTTCGAGGACAGACAAGGCCTAGGAACTTAGCACTGTGTGATTCTGTAATGAGTCTGTGCCATATACTGAAATTATATATTCATGATTATGGACCATTTCAAAATGGTAGCAAATTTACCACTATCCTACTTCTCTCCTACTTTTCAGAAAGTTTACTTTCCTATAATTGAGTGCCTTCTTTTTATTAAGAATCTGAAGTTTTTCTCAGTCTTATCTTCTCTTGACTTTTTCTTTACTAATTAGCCTTCTATTATTGATAGTTCCATTTTCCTTCTTACTGAAAGGTATCATTTCTTTTTTCTCTCTTACTCACTGTCATTCTAGTAGTGTCCATACCTGGCAATAACCTGAATGCATTGCGCAGGCATTTTTGCTAATCAAATAATCTATCTTGGAAATGTACAGTAACAAAGGGAATAATTGAATGGCCACTAAAGAACTATTTGTGTCTGAGTATTATCAAAAGAATGCACAAATTTTTCTAGAATCAAGGTAGTGAGAAAATGGTTTTTCCTCTAGTGATTGAATAGAAGAGACTTTACCCTTGATTGGCTACTAAACAAACAAAGAATCCTGGAAGAGAATCTGTAATCTCAGCACCCTCTGAAAAGTCACTGGACTGACTGCTTTAGCAACTGTCATTAATGGTGCAATTACTGGCATTGACCGAAAGAGGGCAGTTAAATCCTATAATGAGATAATGAGAATAATGTGTAGTAAGACATCAGTTGTTAAAGTGGTGTCATGAGGAAGAAGAAACAGAGGAAAAGGCCATGAACAGAAAAAAAAGTTTTTTAAAAAAGCATAAAATTATACATATGTCAAGAACAAATAAGATCGTTTTGTCAATCCTAAGTTTCTGTGTACACAAATTATTAGAGAAAAATACTTTTTAATCATTCTATTTGTAAAGTCATCAGAGAAGGAAAATACAATCTCACTTTCTAGTATTTCACATACGCAATCTAAGCTGGTTTTCTCATTCTTCTATTCTCAGTAAAAGCATAGAGTAGCCATCAAAAACAACAAATGAGAGAGGACAAAGAGAATAGACGCGGAGGCGAAGAGATAAGCTTTGAAGGTGATAACTAATGTTATATTTAGCAATCGTCTACTTTATACATATGACCAACTTATTGAATGAACAGAATTCATATATTGCAATCAGGAAAGAGCTTTATTCTCCAACCAGAGCCTCCATACCCTTGGACAACTTATCAGACAAATCATTTAGCTCTTCTAATAAATTTAAGCTACTCTAACAGTCTCATTTGACTGAGAAAGTTTAATCCAATCTAAATCAAAATGTTATTCTTATAACCAATTCATTTTTTGTTTCAATTTTTTTTTTTTTTTTGAGACAGAGTCTCACTTTGTTGCCCAGGCTGGAGTGCAGCCCACGATCTCTGCTCACTGCAGCCTCCACCTCCTGGGTGGAGAATCAAGCGATTTTCCTGTCTCAGCCTCCCGAGTAGCTGGGATTACACGTGCCTGCCACCACGCCCGGCTAATTTTTGTTTTCCTCTACATACAGCTCTCACAAACCAGCAGTGGGGGAGTGATGCAGCCCTCCAGCCTCAAAGATGGGGAATTCAAAGAAGAGGGAAAAGTCTTGCTCTGGTACTATTGTTCTCTGGCCATGATTTTGTGTGGAAGTTACCTGGGATGGTTTTTTCATGTGTCAACTTTGCTAGGCAATAGTCCCCTGTTACTCAATCCAACACTAATCTAGATATTTATTGAAGGTATTTTGTAGATTTCGTTAAAGTCCGTAACCAGTTGATTTTAAGTAAGGGAAAGTATCCTAGATAATCTAGGTGAAATTGATTCAATATCAGTTGAAAGGTCTTAAGAGTGGAATTAAGGCTTCCCTGATAAACATGAATTTCTACCTATAGACAGCAGCTTCAGCAGCTTTGGCTTCTGCTAGAGAGTCCCAGCCTGCCCTTCCTGGCAGCCTGCCTTATGGATTTTGGAATTGCCTAGCCATGAGCCAATTCCTTGCAGGGTCTTGCTCAGTTGCCCAGGCTGGAGTGCTGTGGCACAATCACAGCTTATTGCCATCTTGAACTCCTGAGCTCAAGCGAGTCTCCAGCCTCAGCCTCCTGAATAGGTAGGACTATAGGCAAGCACCACCACACCCAGCCAATTTTTTATTTTTTGTAAGGATTGGGGGTTCCCACTGTGCTGCCCAGGCTGGTCTCAAACTCCTGGCCTCAAGCAATCCTCCTGTCTTGGCCTCCCAAAGCACTGGGATTACAAGCATGAGCCACTGCAGTACATCTTTTAACACAGGTATCACTGAATTACAGGGATATGTTCTGATAAACGTAACCCTAAGCAACTTTGTTTTTGTGCAAAGGTCATAGATTGTATTTACACAAACCTAGATGGAAGAGCCTACCACACACCTGGCCTATATGGTGTAGCCAATTGCTCCTAGGCTACAAACCTGGACTGCATGTTACTGTAGGCAATTATAACAAAATGGCACATATTTGTGTATCTAAATGTATCTAAACATAGAAAAGGTACCATCAAAAAACAGTATAAAACATTAAAAATGGTACACCTCGATAGGGCTCTTACCACGAATGGGGTTTGCAGGACTGGAAGTTGCTCTGGGTGAGTCAGTGAGTGGTGAGTGAATGTGAAAGCCTAGGACATTATTGTACATTACTGTAGACTTTATACACACTGTATACTCAAGCTATAGTAAATTCATTTTAAAAAATTTTTTTCATAAAGTTTATTTCATGATTGGTGGGTAGTGCATTTAACAGTTAAATATACTTAAATAATGTGTAGGTGACTGCACGGTTGCAGCATATTGGTAACTAGATACATAACCAATTCAACTAGAAACCAGCTAACGAGTAGCTGTTTAAATATTTAAAATATAGCTCTTGTTTAGAGCCTTTGTTTTGATCACCTTCTTTGTGGGAAGAGCCTGCTGATCACAATGAAAGTATATTAAAGCCAAATCTTCTGATATCCATTGCCATTTCTTTCAGCTGGATTAAGTCTCCAACTCCAGGACAAACCCAAGTCTTTGGCCTCCTCCATTAATGCACTTTTTATCTAGCAGAGCAGAAAGTGCAAGCTTCACAGCAGGCTCAGAGTCTGAGTGTAAATGAAGTCTCTTTCCTTCCACTCCAATTAAACTAGAGTTGTTGACTTTTGCAAACATAGAAGCAGTGAAATGCAACTGATATTTAGTGGCAAGACAAAATGAGTGCAGTTGGCACTTGATGTCCGAGCAAGGTTTACTGAAGTATCAAGATTGTCACATACCCTCTGATAAACTGAGCCTCCAAATTCTGCCCCATTATTGTTATTAGTGTGAAGCTCGAAGTCCCCCATCCGGTAGCCCACTACAGTTATTCCTTGTCAGCTTTGACTTGGCACTGTCAGTGGTCATCTGGTACCCAGCAAGCCAGCCCTCGTAACCAAAGACAGCTGAAGCATAGATTGCAGGTCCAGCAAAATCAAAATTAACATCACAAGCAAGGTTTATGCAGTCCCTCTTGCAAGAGGACTTGATTTTACCACTTTTGTTTCCTGTGATTGCTAAGAAGGTAGTATCAAATATTAGTTTCAAACCTTGACAAAGGTGGTCCAATTGTGATTTCTGTTCCCAGAGTATTAACAGTGTCTCATTTTTCTGGGAAAGTCACACCATACTCACACCGTTTATATTTGGTCTCCAAGACTTCAAAAGCTTTTCCAGTGTCTGCATTAAATGAACCAGATGTTGAAAATCCCACAGCACTGCGTGACTTTGTTCTCACATCCAGTTTTACCAACCCCAAACCAAATCCTTTGTTAAAAATATCTCTGGCAGCTTTGCCAAGGTTAACATATGATGAAGAAATCCACACTGGCCACATGCAGGTCTGCCCATAGGTCGCCATGGTAAGGCCACAGTAAGAGGTGATATGGTGATCTCCTAAGGAGGGCCACGGCCACCACTCCACTCTCAGCTGAGGCTGGTCAGCCGCCTCACAGTCAGGCCACAGCTGCCGTGAAGTGAAATCTCTTTCTTCAATAATAAATTAACCTTAGCTTCTTCTAATTTTTTTACTTAATAAACTTTTTCCTTTTTGTGTTAACTTTTATTTTAGGTTCAGTGGGTACATGTGCAGGTTTGTTACATGGGTAAATTGCATGTCACTGGGTTGGGTGTACAAATGATTTCGTTACCCAGGTATGAGCACAGTACCCAATAGACAGTTTTTCCATCCTCACTCTCTCCCAATCTCCACTCTCAAGTAGCCCTCAGTGTCTTTTGTTCCACTCTGCCTCCCTGCATACTAAATGTTTACCTCCTACTTATAAGTGAGAACATGTGGTATTTGGTTGTCTGTTCCTACATTGGTTCACTTAGGATAATGGCCTCCAGCTCCATCCATGTTGCTGCAAAGAATATGATTTTATTTTTTATGGCTGTGTAGTATTTCATGGTGTAGATGTACCACATTTTCTTTATCCAGTCCACTGTTGATGGGCATCTAGGTTGATTCCATGTCTCTGCCATTGTGAATAGTGCTGCAAGGAACATGCACGTGCATGTGCCTTTTTGGTAGAACAATTTATATTCCTTTGGGTATATACTCAGTGATGAGATTGCTGAGTTGAATGGTAGTTCTGTCTTTTTTTTTTTTTTTTACTTTAAGTTCTGGAGTACACGTGCAGAACGTGCAGTTTTGTTACATAGGTATACATGTGCCATGGTTGTTTGCTGCACCCATCAACCCGTCACCTGCATTAGGTATTTCTCCTAATGCTATCCCTCCCCCTAGCTCCCTACCCCCTGACAGGCCCTGGTGTGTGATGTTCCCCTCCCTGTGTCCATGTGTTCTCATTGTTCGACTCCCACTTATGAGTGAGAACATGTGGTGTTTGGTTTTCTGTTATTGTGATGGTTTGCTGAGAATGATGGTTTCCAGCTTCATCCATGTCCCTGCAAAGGACATGAACTCATCCTTTTTTATGGCTGTATAGTATTCCATGGTGTATATGTGCCACATTTTCTTTATCCAGTCTATCATCGATGGACATTTGGGTTGGTTCCAAGGTAGTTCTGTCTTAAGTTCTTCGAGAAATCTCCAAACTACACTTTTTTGTATGAACGCACAGCTTACCACACAAATGTATTGTACAGCTATACAAAAATATTTTCTTTCTTTATATCCTTATTATATAAGTTTTTTTCTATTTAATTTTTTTTTTACTTTTTAAATAGCTTTGTTAAAAACTAAGACACAAAAACATACATTAGCCAAGGCCTACACAGGGTCAGGATCATCAATATCACTGTTCTACTTCCTTATCTTGTCCCACTGGGAGTTCTTCAGGGGCAGTAACACGCATGAAGCTGTCCTCTCCTGTGATAACAATGCCTTGTTCTGGAAAACCTCCTGAAGGGCCTGCCCAAGACCGTTTTACAATTAACAAATTTTTTAATGGATAAGTATAAAGAATGTACTCTAAAATAACAGTAAAAAGTATAATGGCCAGGCACGGTGCCTCACGCCTGTAATCCCAACACTTTGGGAGGCCGAGGCGGGCGGATCATCTGTGGTCAGGAGTTTGAGACCAGCCTGGCCAACATGATGAAACCCGTCTCTACTAAAAATACAAAAAATTAGCCGGGCATGGTGGCGCATGCCTGTAAATCCCAGCTACTCGGGAGGCTGTGGCGGAAGAATCGCTGGAACCGGGGAGGCGGAGGTTGCAGCGAGCCGAGATCACACCATTGCACTCCAGCCTGGGTGACAAGAGTGAAACTCCATCTCAAAAGAAAAAAAAAAAGTATGGTATATTAAGTACATAAATCAATAACAGAGGCACATATTATCATCAGGTATTATGTATCATACATAACCGTATGTGCTATGGTTTTTACATGACTGGCAGTGAAGTAGGTTCATTTACACCAGCATCACCACGAACACGTGAGTAATGAGTAATGTGTTGTGCTGTGATGTTATGACAGCTATGATGTCCCTAGAGATAGGATGTCACTAGGAATTTTTCAGCTTCGCTATAATCTTATGGATATAATTACGGCATATGTGTGATCTATTGTTAACCGAAACATCATTATGCTGTGCATGACTGTATGTATCTCTTCTACTGGTTCTGCTTCTGTGGTTGAAACCTGACTGATACAATACACAAATACCAATTGTCTCTCATGGGGTTCTTCAATGGATTTTTAGGAGATCCTACACAGAGATACATCCCTGAGGAATTTCTGCACTGCATCATTCCCTGATACAGGTGAGATGCTCTCTGGGAGGCCTCCTGTGACTTTACCTTAGCTCTCAACTTCTAGTGAAGCATCCAACATGGCTTCTTTCTTGTAGGATCTCCCACCGATAGGGAGTCCTCTTGGATAAAGCCCTTTGTAGAGGACGCAAACCCACATCTGCTACTTCTGGGATGAGGGGAGCTCATATACCCACTCACCAAATAGTGAAGCTGAGCCTTGAAGCCACCCCACCTTACCCTGTCATCAGGAGCAACTTCTGCTAACTTCTCACCACTGGGCCTCTCTAAACAATAGTCACACAAAAGTGTCTTTGTCCTCTTCAGTAAGGGACATAGGTCAGGTTCTTCCAAACACTTTTTTATTCTCCATGCTGTCTCAAATTTACAAGCTCCCATAGCTGAGCAAGCATAGAGCCAAGGAGTAAGACTCTGTCTGCCTTCAGCAAGCAGTGCCCAATTTCCCCAAAGTGCCCTCTTGTTTCCCCTCTCACTTGGAATCAGGGTGGGAGGGGAAATACCCCAGTAATCCCCTTTTTTTTTTTTAAAGAGTCTCATTCTGTCACCCTAGCTGGAGTGCAGTGGTATGATTGTAGCCCATTGTAGCCTCTATCACCCAGGCTCAAGTGATCCTCTCACCTCAGCCTCCCTAGTAGCTGGGACTACAGATATAAACCACCTTGCCCAGCTAATTCTTTTATTTTTTTATTTTTGTTAGAGATGATGACTTTCTACGTTCCCCAGGCCAGTCTTGAACTCCTAAGCTCAAGCGATCTTCCCTCCTTGGCCTCCCAAAGTGCTGT
This sequence comes from Homo sapiens, assembly GCF_000001405.40. Classification (NCBI taxonomy): domain Eukaryota; kingdom Metazoa; phylum Chordata; class Mammalia; order Primates; family Hominidae; genus Homo; species Homo sapiens. Next base: position 9,033,184 of record NC_000012.12, on the reverse strand, counting down.
GGTTACAAATGTAAGCCACTACACCCAGACCCCAGCAATCTTTTGATTCACAAATTCTTTCAAGGAATTTGTCTCTGCAATCATGTAATCACCGGCAGTTTCTTCCTGCCCTCTGCACAGGCAAAATCAATTCACTGAGACTACGGCATAGCAGTAAAGAAAGAGTTTGATTGACAGGAGGCTAACTCATGTAGTAGAACCAGAAATATCACTCAAATCAGTCTCCCTGAAGGCTCAAAGTTTTGGGGGTTTTAAAGGATAGTTGGTGGTCAGAGGGCTAGAGAATGGGGAATATTGATTGATTGGGGTAAAATCATAGGAGTGTGGAAAATAGTCTTCATGCACTGAATTGGCCTCTGGGTAGGGCTACAGGACTGATTGACTCATGAGTTGCAGGTCTGGCCCGAGTCAGCTGGTCATGAGAAACGTTAACAGTCTGAAAAAAATCTCAAAAGGCCAATCTTGGGTTCTATAACAGTTGATGTCATCTACAGGAGTAATTGGGGAAGTTACAAATCTTGTGACCTCCAGAACAATGGCTGGTTATCGTTTCACTTTGCCTACATTTTAGCAGAATTCAGGCCCCTCTCATAATTCCTAATCCTAACCTGTGGCCTTTCATTAGTTTTACAGAGGTGGTTTAGTTTTAGGAGAGGGCTATTATCATCTTTGCTCTAAGGTTAAAGTATAAATTAAGTGCCTCCTGAAGTTAGTTTGGCCTACACTGAGGAATCACCGAAGACATCTTGTAGCTTAGAAGCAAAATGGAGTCAACTATGTCAGTTTTCTCTTACTGTCATAATTTCGCAAAGGTGGTTTCAATCAGTCTCTATCTTTTCCTGATATGGGCTGTTGGTAATTGTCCTTAGACCAGTTTGGAAAGTCCTGTAGGGTAAGCTAAGAACTCTCTTTGGAATATAGGATTTCTTAACACCTATTGTTCTCAGCTTTAGATTTTAGCCAAAATTCTGAGTCAACCAAAAACACTCTTTCTAATATTTTATTATACTCATCACTGAGTAGCTTTTTGCACCCTCAAAAAAATCAATTAATCATAGGTGAGCTTCTGTGATGATTAATTTTATGTGTCAGCTTAACAGGGCCATGAAATATCCATATATCTGGTTAAGTATTACTTCTGCGTGTGTCTGTTCAGGTGTTTCCACTAGAGATTAGTATTTAAATTAGTGGACTGAGTAGATTCTCCCCCAGAAGGAACCATCCCTGCCAACACTTTGACTTTGGGCCTCCAGAACTGTCAGACCATACATTTCCGCTGGCTTTAGCCACCAAGTTTATGGTACTTTGTCAGGGCAGCACTAGGAAATTAATACGGGTCAGACAAACTCAACCAATTGTCAGCCAGAAAAGATTTAAATTTACCTTTAGCCTGGAAGCCCTTGCTTTGAGTTGTCCCACCTTTCTGAGCGAAACCAATGCATTTCTTAAGTGTGTTTGATTGATGTGTCATGACTCCCTGAAATATATAAAACTAAGCTGTGCCCCGACCACCTTGGGCACATGTTCCCAGGACCTCCTGAGGGCTGCGTCGTGGGCCATGGTCACTCATATTTAGCTCAGAATAAATCTTCAAATATTTTATAGAGTTTGACTCTTTTTGTTGACAATATTTTGGTGCCCAAATACATGAGGCCTCAGAGAAGACTCAGGACCCTGAAAGAGTTGCCCGAAACCAGAGCTAAGGTACCAGCAGCGGCCCGTTGAAGTCCCACTGAGTTCAAGCTTCTCCCCCGGTGGAACGGGTAAGTCCTCCTGAGCCCCAGACCTCCCTTTGTTTGACAGTCCTTGATTTATTCTGAGCTGGTTTTCTCCTAGGAAATTGTTGTTTAAGGATCCTAATTCTAATTCAGAGATGCATTCTAAAGGGAATTCTCTATTGCTTTTTCTCCTAAAATTTATCTTGATTCTGAGGAACTGAACTGTTGTTTTCAAAGCTAAATGAGAGACTGAGTTTTTCAGCTCTGAAGACAAAGGGCTTTTGCCCCTCCCAGCCTAAAGGTGCCCCTGGGTGACCAGGGGCCTCACAGGAGTGCCTGAGGGGTTGAGCCCTCACCACGTGCAGCAGCCCTGCAGGGAAATCCCCAACAAAAATTAATTCTAAAATGTTAAAATTAATTTCTGCCCACAGTCTCATGCCATTGCAAGCTAGGCCTCCACAATTTGACCATTCTCTCACTACCCCCTGCCGGGAGATGCTATCTGGTGTGCTCACTGCAATCCCTGTTACATTGAAAACAGGTTACCCTATCTTATCAACCTTTACATAGAACATCCCCACTCCTCTTTGCCTTAACTACAAGCCAACTGTTTCTTAAAATTATGTCCTCTCAAAATGAGGCTACTAAGTTGCAAGGAGAGTAGAAGTAGTGGAAGAGAGGAAAGTCAGCATTTGTGTTATTGTGGTTTTCCTTGCTGACTCCATACCATTGTTTTTTATCATGTAAAAATAGTTCCTTTAGGCTGGGCACAGTGGCTCACGCCTGTAATCCCAGCACTTTGGGAGGCCGAGGCGGGCAGATCACAAGGTTAGGAGTTCGAGACCAGTCTGGCCAGCATAGTGAAACCCCGTCTCTACTAAAAATACAAAAAATTAGCCAGGTGTGGTGGTGGGCTGCTGTAATCTCAGCTACTTGGGAGGCTGAGGCAGGAGAATCATGTGAATCCGGGAGGTAGAGATTGCAGTGAGCCAAGACCTTGCCATTGCACTCAAGCCCGGGCAACAGTGCGAGACTCCATGTCAAAAAGAAAAAAAAAATGGTTCCTTTAATGGATAGTGATAATGGCTGCACAACATGGTGAATATAATTAATGTCACTGAATTATACACTTGAAAATGGTTAAAGTGATAAACTTTATATTATGTACACTTTATCACAATAAAAACAATACCCAAAAAATAGCTTCTTTGAGGCACGTGCCACCTGCCCACCCCATCCACTACCCGTTCTCATCACTTTCATCTTCAAACCTTTTCCTTCCCTCTCAATGATCCAAGACTTTGCCCAGAACTCAGTCTGTCTTCTCTCTTCCAAGTTAGTTATCACAACTGCAAAAATTAATTAAAGATCAAAATGTGAAACCAAATAATAATTAAAGCCAGCTTAAGAGAGGGCCGGGCACAGTGGCTCACACCTGTAATCTCAGCACTTTGGGAGGCCAAGGCAGGTGGATCACCTTAGGTCAGGAGTTCAAGATCAGCCTGGCCAATATGGCGAAACCCTGTCTCTGCTAAAAATACAAAAATTAGGGTGTGGTGGCCTGTGCCTGTAATCCCAGCTACTCGGGAGGCCGAGGCATGAGAATCGCTCGTACCCAGGAGGCAGAGGTTGCAGTGAGCCGAGATCATGCCATTGCGCTCCAGCCTGGGCAACAGAGTGAGACTGTCTCAAATAAATAAATTAATTAATTAAAAATACAGACTTATTAGAAAAAAATTTTGGGAAAATACAAGTAAAATCCCAAGCAGGCAATTCTAGGTGGAATACCAAAATCCACAATAAGGGGGAAAAAATGACAGTTTTGACTTTATTAAACTTAAAATGAGGAGGGGGGATTGGGGAGATACTTGTCAAAATATACAAAATTTCAGTTGGAGAGGAGGAGTAAGTTCAAGAGGTCTAGTGTGCAACAAGGTGACTGTAGTTAATAACAGTGTATTCAGGCCAGGGGCCGTGGATCCCAGCACTTTGGGAGGCCAAGGCAGATGGATCATTTGAGGTTAGGAGTTCGAGACCAGCCTGGCCAACATGGTGAAACCCTGTCTCTACTAAAAATACAAAAATTAGCCAGGCCTGGTGGCACATGCCTGTAATCCCAGCTACTTGGGAGGCTGAAGCAGGAGAATCACTTGAATCCAGGAGGCAGAGGTTGCAGTGAGCTGAGCTTGCACCATTGCACTCCAGTCTGGGCAACAAGAGTGAAACTCCAACTAAAAATAAATAAATAAATAAAAAATTTTAAAAAACACACACAATGTATTGTATTCTTGAAAATTGCTAAGAAAATAGATTTTGCCTTTCTGCCCTTGGACACCACCGAGGAAGCATCATTAAAATCTCTCTTCTTTCTGCCGTCATGTCTAAGTCTGAGTCTCCTAAAGAGCCTGACCAGCGGAGGAAGCTCTTCATTGGATGGTTGAGCTTTGAAACAACCAATGAGAGCCTGAAGAGCCATTGTGAGCAATGGGGAACGCTCACGGACTGTGCCGTAATGAGAGACCCAAACACCAAGGTTGCAGGGGCTTTGGGTTTGTCACATATGCCACTATGGAGGAGGTGGATGCGGCCACGAATGCAAGGCCACACAAGTGGATGGAAGATTTGTGGAACCAAAGAGAGCTTTCTCAAGAGAAGATTCTCAAAGACCAGGTGCCCACTTAACTGTGAAAAATATGTTTGTTGATGGCATTAAAGAAGACACTGAGGCCGGGTGCGGTGGCTCAGGCCTGTAATCCCAGCACTTTGGGGGGCCAAGGCGGGTGGATCACGAGGTCAAGAGATCGAAACCATCCTGGACAAAATGGTGAAATCCCGTCTCTACTAAAAATACAAAAATTAGCAGGGCGTGGTGGTGCGTGCCTGTAGTCCCAGCTACTTGGGAGGCTGAGGCAGCAGAATCACTTGAACCTGGGAGGCGGAGGTTGCAGTGAGCAGAGATCGTGCCACTGCACTCCAGTCTGGGTGACAGAGTGAGACTAAGTCTCAAAAAAAAAAAAGGCCTGGCGTGGTGGCTCACACCTGTAATCCCAGCACTTTGGGAGGCCTAGGCAGGTGGATCACCTGAGGTCAGAAGTTTGAGACCAGCCTGGCCAACATGGTGAAACCTGTCTCTATAAAAACACAAAAATTAGCCAGGCCTGGTGGCACACGCCTGTAATCCCAGCTACTTGGGAGGCTGAAGCAGAAGAATCGCTTGAATCTGGGAAGCAGAGGTTGCAGTGAGCCGAGATCACACCATTGCATTCCAGCCTAGGTGACAAGAGCCAGACTCTGTCTCAGAAAAAAAAAAAAAAAAAGAAGAAGACGACGACACTGAAGAACAGATAATTTTGAACAGTTTGGAAAAATTGAAGTGATTGAAATCATGACTGACCAAGGCAGTGGCAAGAAAAGGGACTTTGCCTTTGTAACCTTTGACAACCATGACTCCGTGGATAAGACTGTCATTCAGAAATACCATACTGTGAATGACCACAACTGTGAAGTTAGGAAAGCACTGTCAAAGCAAGAGAGAGCTAGCGCTTCATCTAGCCAAAGAGGTCGAAATGGTTCTGGAAACTTTGGTAGTGGTCATGGAGGTGGTTTTGGTGGGAGTGACAACTTTGGTAGTGGAGAAAACTTCATGGTCATGGTGGCTTTGGTGGCAGCTGTGGTTGTGGTGGATATGGTGGCAATGGGGATGGCTATAATGGATTTGGTAATGATGGAAGCAATTTTGGAGGTGGTGGAAGCTACAATGAATTTTGGCAATTACAACAATCAGTTTTCAAATTTTGGACCCATGAAGGGAAGAATCTTTGGAGTCAGAAGCTCTGGCCCCTGTGGTGGTGGAGGCCAATGCTTTGCCAAACCACGAAACCAAGGTGCCTATGGTGGTTCTAGTAGCAGCAGCAGCTATGGCAGTGGCAGAAGATTTTAATTAGGAAACAAAGCTTAGCAGGAGAAGAGAGCCAGAGAAGTGGCAGGGAAGCTACAGGCAACAGATTTGTGAACTCAGCCAAGCACAGTGGTGGCAAGGCCTAGCTGCTACAAAGAAGACATGTTTTACGCAAATACTCATGTGCATGGGCAAAAAACTTGAGGACTGTGTTTGTGACTAATTGTATAACAGGTTATTTTGGTTTCTGTTCTGTGGAAAGTATAAAGCATTCCAACAAAGGGTTTTAATGTAGACTTTTTTTTTTTTTGCACCCATGCTGTTGATTGCTAAATGGAATAGTCTGATCGTGAGGCTGAATAAACGTCTCTTTTAAAAAAGAAAAAGAAAATAGATTTTAAGTGTTCTCACCTCACACACACAAATATGTGAAGTAATGCATATGTTAATTAGCTTATTTACCCATTCCACAATGTATATATATATTTCAAAACAACATGTTGTACATTGTAATATATACAATTTTTATTTGTCAATTAAAAAAAAAAAGCCAGCCACAGTGATGCACACCTGTGGTCCCAGCTACTCAGGAGGTTGAGGCAGGAGCATCACTTGAGCACAAGAGGTCGAGGCTACAGTGAGCCATGATTACACCACGGTACTCCAGCCTGGGCAAAAAAGTGAGCACCTGTCTCTAAAATACACAGACACACACACGATTTTTTTAAAACTTAAAATGTATGAATAGAAGGAAAAAAACACTCCATAATGTTTTAAGAAAACAAATAATATAAAATATTTGCAACACATATGACTGACAAATAAGCAGGTGGCATGTGCCTCAAAGAGTGCCTACATATTGATAAGAAAAAAGACAAAAAAAGAAAAAAAGAAAAAAACCCTGATAGAGTGAATAGCCAAAGGATATAAACATGTAACTCAGAGGAAATACAAATAACTAACTTACTTGAGAAGATGCTCAAAGCCACTAATAGTGTGGAAAGCACAAATGATGACAAAGCTATAACATCCTTCTTCCCCCACAAAAATAGTAATAATAATAATTAGCCAGAATTTAAAACATTGAGAACACATGGAGCTGAGAAGGACCTAGGACTAGTACCCTCATCTGTTGCCAGTGGCAGTAAAACTGCTTCAGTCTTTTTGGAAAGTAATCCAGTGGTATCTATTAACATTTTTGTTTTGGCATACGTTTTTGGCTCATGCTTTCAAAACATGAGAAAACAGAATACATGTACAAAAATGTTCACTGTGGTGTTTTATTTCATCTCCTACACTATTATTCCCAAATCTTTTCCTATACATGTCCCTCACTTCAGGGACCCTATTATTTGGGTTTCTTGCCTACTTCTGGCTACTTCTCTTTTCTGACACCTTTTCTCTTCCCCTGAAACCATTCTGTAACATCCTCTCCCTCCATCCTTCTTGCTATTTGATTTCTCTGTTATTATGACAAATCCCATGTAGGCTGCTGCCAAAAACCGTGCAATAGTACAGATTGAAATCACTGAAAATGTTCGGCCCCCTGCCTCACCCAAGCTCGCAGGGCTGCCCAGCAATGTCGTGTCTCTAGGCAGATGCCTCTCTTTCCCCTTTGTGATTATTCAAAAATTCTGCTGTCCATAGACCCCCAAACCTATTATTTCCTCTCTCCTTCTTAGTATATGACCTTGTCTTTGATTTCACTGAGAAAATGAAGTTCACCAGGTAATAACAGTTTACTTCCCTATCACTTGTAATAAACCCATCAGAATCCTCACCCATCTTTCCTTCTTCCATGGGGAAGGGGCACTCTTTCTACCCAAGGTTACTTCTTCCAGTTGTCCAGTCAGCTTCATATTCATCCACTGACTCAAGAATCTTGGTCTATAAAGCATCCTCTCTCACATGCATATTTTTTGGGTTTTTTTTGAGATGAAGTCTCACTCTGTCATCCAGGCTGGAGTGCAGTCGCACGATCTCGGCTCACTGCAAACTCCACCTCCTGGGTTCAAGTGATTCTCGTGCCTCACTCTCCTGAGTAGCTGGGACTACAGGCATGTGCTAACGTGCTCAGCTAATTTTTGTATTTTTAGTAGAGACGGGGTTTCACCATGTTGGCCAGACTGATCTCAAACTCCTGGCCTCAAGTGATCTGCCTGCCTCGGCCTCCCAAAGTGCTGAGATTACAGGCATGAACCACTGTACCCAGCCACACCCACATGCATTTTTAATCTCTCCCTTTCAACATAATTTTGTTACCTCAAGTTACAAAATGTGTTACTGTCTTCTATCTGTATTTTAAGATCTATTGACCCGACATATGACTCTACTTAGATATTATCTCTTTCCTTCCTGTCTTAACCAGACTTCAAACCATCTAAACTCATTGTTTCCATTTCCTTACCTTGTATGATCAGCCTGCTGAAATTTCACCTGTCACCACCACACCAGTGAAGAATGATAAACATGACCTTCATATTGCCATTTCCATTGAATACTCTCCTCTCATTATGTTACTTTACAACTCTTTGGCATTTTGTTCTAGTAAGTGCTCCCTCCCCCTTGAAAACCACTTCTTCTTTAGCTTTTACCACATCATTTTTATGCTCTTTCCTCTGTGCCACCAGTTTTCTTCCCTCTTCTTTACTTCCTTTCCCTTCTCAGTGCTAATATAGAAATAAAGACTTTACTATCACCAAAACTTTGCCCTGTGAGAGCATTACTAGCAAGGGAAAGATGTGTATTGTAGATGTTCCAGTGTGAAGAATATGAAAGACCTCCTTCTAGGTAAAAACCCCTCATTATCCTTCAAAAATGGAACCAGGGGTGAAGTCATCATAATCATGAAGAGCCTGGGGTTCACCTTATCTCTGCCTTGTGAGGGTATAAAGAAATAGGCACCCAAATTTATACATCGCTGGAGAGTTTACATTGGTGGGGCCATTTAAAGCTATCTTATAAAATTTAAAATGCATATTGCCATTAACTCAGTGATTTCCCCCATTATATTCACACATACGCAAAATGTATGAAAAGAACATTTATCTAAAATCTGTAGTAAAACCCTCAGGACCAAGAACAGATAAAACAATTTTTAAAAAGAAAAACAAAGTTGGAGAACTATACTACGCTATATTCTTACTTATAGACTTACTATAAAATTACAGTGGGGTAGAAGTGACAGGATAGATATATTTTAAAAAGGAACAGAAGAGAATGCAGAAATAAACCCATGTGTTGGCCAGGCACGGTGGCTCACACCTGTAATCCCAGCACCTTGGAAGGCTGAGGTGGGCGGATCACCTGAGGTCAGGAGTTTGAGACTAGCCCGGCCAACATAGTGACCCCTGTCTCTATTAAAAATACAAAAATTAGCCAGGCATGGTGGTGCACACCTGTGATCCCAGCTACTCAGGAGGATAAGGCAGGAGAATCACTTGAACCTGGGAGGAGGAGGTTGCAGTAAGCTGAGATCACCCACTGCACTCCAGCCTGGGCAATAGAGAGAGACTCTGGCTCAAAAAAAAAAAAAAAAAAAAAAAAAAAATCCATGTGTTCACGATCAATTGATTTTCAACATAGGTGCCAAAAGAATTCAATGGAAAAAGGATACTTATTTAAATAAATGGTTCTAAAATAATTGGGCATTTATAAGAAAAAAAAAACCTCAACCTATATCTCACACCATGTATAAAAGTTATATAAAAACAGGCTGGATACTGTGGCTCATGCCTGTAATCCCAGCAGCCCAGGAGGCCAAGACTAGAGGATCACTTAAGGCCAGGAGATCAAGACAAGTCTGAGCAACAGGGTGAAACCCCATCTCTACAAAATTTTTTTTAATTGGCCAGGCATGGTGGCATTCACCTGTGGTTCCAGCTAGCTGTGAGGCTGAGGCAAGAGGATTTTGAGCCCAGGAGTTTAAGACTACAGTGAACTATGATGGTGCCACTGCACTCCAGCCTGGGTGATAGAGCAAGACCATCTCTTAAAAAAAAAAAGGAAAAAAAAGTTAAATAGAAATACATTACCGACCTAAATGTAAAACCTAAAATTATAAAATTTCTAGAAGAATTCATTAAGGCAACCTTTGTGGCCTTGGACTAGGCAAAGATTTCCTTAACAACATACAAAAAGAATAAGCTATAATGCAAAAGATTGAATAGGAAAAAAAACACCAAAATCTGTTTCTCCCATACTATACTCTCACAACAAAATGCTTTTGTGACCAAATGTGTAGGGATTTTTCCCCACATGCCAAGCAAGCAATCGATTCTGCAGTGAATTCTCCAGAGGTCAGCAGCTAAGTGTCCTCTAACTCAATTCAATTCCGATACTATCTACCTGGAGATACCATCAGATCCCAAAAGGTCAGGGCTCAGCCTGACAAGACTGTCTCCCACTTCCAATGCCAGTCACAAGCACAGGATGTGGCCTGAGTTTCTGACTGACTGGCTCTAAATCTAGGTATCCTTGACACCCTCCTCAGGTCCAATTTGCTGGATGGCTCACAGAACTCAGGAAAACACTTAACATTTACTCATTTGTTTTAAAGAATATTACAAAAGATACAGATGAACGGCCAAATGGAAGAGATGCATGGGGTAAGGCATGTGAGAAGGGGCACAGATTTTCCAGGCCCCACACAGGTGCACCACCTGCAAGAAACCACCACCTGTTCAGCTGTCCAGAAGCTCTTGGAACAAGTTCTTTTGGGTTTTTATGGAAGCTTCATTACATAGGCATAATTGATTACATCATTGGCCATCATTGATGGCCATTGATCAACTCAACCTTCAACATCCCTGGAGTTGAGGAGTGGCACACGTAGGCATATATTACAGAGGCATAATTGATTACATCATTGGCCATCATTAATGGCCATTGATCAACTCAACCTTCAACATCCCTGGAGTTGAGGGGTGGGGCTAAAAATCCCAGCCCTCTGATCATGCCTTGGTCTTATTGGTGACCACCCCCGATCCTAAAACTATCTAGGAGCCTCCAGCCACCAGTCATTCATGAGCATACATAAGACACTCTTACCACTCCGGAGATCCCAAGGATTTTAGAAGCTATATGTCAGGAAATGGGAGGAAGACCAAATATATACAGTCATGCACACATAACAATGAACCATATATACATAACAATGTTTCTGTCAACAAAGAACCATGTATACACTGTGTTCCCATAAGACTGTAATGGAGTTGAAAAATTTCTATTGCCTCGTGATTCCATGAAGTCGTAGCTCAAGACACTGCACAAACACTCAGGTATTTGTGGTGAGGCAGGTGCAAACAAACTCACTGTGCTGCCAGTCACGTAAAAGTATAGCACATACAATTATGTACAGTACATGATACTTCATAATGATAATAAACAACTGTTATTGTTTATGTATTTAGTATACTTTTGGTTTTTTAGAGATGGGGTCTGGCTATGTTGCCCAGACTGGAATGTGGTGGCTATTCACAGGCACAATCATATCACTCAACAGCCAGCCTCAACCTCCTGGGCCCAAGGGATCCTTCCATCTCAGCCTCCCAAGTAGCCAGGATTACAGGCACATGCCATGGCACCCAGCTATTTCTTATATTTTTAATCATTATCTTAGAGTCTATTCCTTCTACTTATTAAGAAAAAAAAATAGTTATCTGTAAAACAGCCTCAGGCAGGTCCTTTAGGAGGTGTTGCAGAAGAAGGCATTGTTATAATAGCAGGTGTCAGCTCCATGCCTTACTTCCGAAGAAGGCCTTCCAGTGGGACAAGATGTGGAGGTGGAAGACAGTGATACTGATGATCCTGACCCTGTGTAGCCCGAGGCTAATGTGCATGCTTATGTCTTGTTTTTTAAAAAAAAGTTTAAAAATTAAAAATAGTTTTAAAATAGAAAAAAGCTTATAGAATAAGGATATAAAGAAAAATATTTTGTACAACTGCACAATGTGTTTGTATTTTAAGCTAAGTGTATCACAAAAAGAGTAAAAAAAAAAAATTAGCTGGGTATGGTGGCGTGCGCCTGTAGGCCCAGCTACTCGGGAGGCTGAGGCGTGAGAATCGCTTGAACCCAGGAGGCGGAGGTCACAGTGAGCTGAGATCATGCCACTGCACTCCAGTCTAGGTGACAAAGCAAAACTGTGTCTCAAAAAAAAAAAAAAAGAGTAAAAAAGTTTTTAAAAATGTAAATGTAAAAGTTTATAAAGTAAACAAGTTACAGTAAGCTAAGGTTATTTCATTATTTCATTTACTGTAGCTTAAACGTACAATATTTATAAAGTCTATAGTAATGTGGAGTAATGCCCTAGGCCTTTACATTAACTTACCGATTGGTCATTCAGGGCAACTTCCAGTCTGCAAGTTCCATTCATGGTAAGTGTCATATACCGGTGTACCGTTTTTTATCTTTTATACTGTAATCTGCAAGCTCCATTCATGGTAAGTGTCATATGCAGGTGTACCATTTTTTATCTTTTATACTGTATTTTACTGTATTTTTTCTATGCTTGGATGTGTTTAAATACATAAATACTTGCCATTGTGTTACAATTGTCCACAGTATTTAGTACAGTAACTTGCTGTGCAGGTTTGCAGCCTAAGAGCAATAGGCTGTCCCATATAGCCCAGGTATGTAGTAGGCTCTTCCATCTAGGTTTGTGTAAGTACATTCTATGATGTTGCCACGATGATGAATTTGCCTAACGATGCATTTCTCAGAAGGCATCCTTGTTTTCAACTAATACATAACTATACATCTACCATATGATCCAGCCATGCCACTTCCTAGGCATTTAGCCAAGAAAAAAGAAAGACTATGTCCATTCAAAGATTCGTATCCAAATGTTCATAACAGCTTTATTTTTAATAGCCAAAAGCTGGAAACAACTTAAACGTCCATCAAAGAGTAAATGGATAAATTAATTGCGGTAAATCCACACAGTAGAATATTAGCAATAAAAAAGAGTAAAATATTGATGCAAACAACAACATGGATGAATCTCAGAATAATTATGCTGAGTGAAAGAAGCCAGAAAAAAAAGTACATACTATATGATTCTATAAAACTCTATGTACTGTAAAACTCTAGAAGATGCTGTCTGATATATAGTGACAGAAAGTAGATTGGGAATTCCGGGGGTAATGAGTGTTGAGGGGACAGGGAGGAAAGGGAGAGGAATTATGAAAAGTCATGTGGAAACTTTTGTGAGAAATTGATATATTCACTCTGCTGATTGTGGTGGTGATTTCATGGATATATACACCTATCAAAACTTATCAAATTTTACTCTTTAAATATATCCCACTTATTGTATGTCAATTGTACCTTAATCAAGTTATTTTTTAAAGGAAGAAGTGCCAGGCATTGTGGTTCGTGCCTATAATCCCAGAGACTCAGGAGGCCAAGGCAGGAGGATCACTTGAGCCCAGGAGTTCAAGACCTGGGCAACACAGCAAGACCCCATCCCTAAAATTTTATATATGTATGTATGTGTGTGTGTGTGTATATATATATATATGTATACAAAGAATGATTAAGAATCTGTCACAGTAACCTAGGTGAAAAACAACAGTAGCTTGGAAAGAGTTGAAAAGTGGGAATGGAGGAAAAGAGTGAGATTTAGAATACACTTTGTTAACAGAGACAAGAAAGTTTTCTGATGCAGTGAGTAAAAAAGGAAGAGCCGGGCATGGTGGCTTTCACCTATAATCCCAGCACTTTGGGACACGAAGGCAAGAGGACTGTGTAAGCCCAGGAGTTCCAGACCAGCCTGGGCAACACAGTGAGACCCCCATCTCTATTTGTATTTTCTTTTTAAAGGAAGAAATCAGAAATTTCTTCAGTTTGATATTTAAACAACTGAGTAGATGGTAGAGCCATTTCCTGAGGTGGGGAAGATGGGAGTACGGATATATAAGAGAACATATTCATCCTATCATCCTGGCCACCGTGCCCAGCCAGGATCTCATTCTTTTTATGACTGAGTAGTACTCCCTCATGTATATGTACCACATTTTTCTTTATCCATTCTTCTATTCATTGACACTTAGATTGCTGACAAATCTTGGCTATTGTGAATAGTGCTGCAATAAACATGGGAGTGCAGATATCTCTTTAATATACTGATTTCATTTCTTTTGTGTATATACTTAGCAGTGGTATTGCTGGATCATATGATAGTTCTATTTTCAGTTTTTTGAGGAAACTACATATTGTTGTCCACAGTGGTTGTATTAATTTACACTCCAACCAACAGTGTATGAGGGTTCCCTTTTCTCCACATCCTTACCATCATTTGTCATTGCCTATCTTTTGGATAAAATCCATTTTAACTGGGATGAGACAATATTGTAGTTTTGACTTGGATTTCTCTGATGATCAGTGATGTTGAGTACCTTTTCATATACCTGTTTGCCATTTCAATGTCTTCTTTTGAAAAATGTCTATTCAGATCTTTTGCCCATTTTTAAATTGTATTATTAGATTTTTTTCCTATTGAGTTGTTTGAGCTCCTTATATATTCTGGTTATTAATCCCTTGTCAGATGGATAGTTTGCAAATGTTTCCTCCCATTCCATAGGTTATCTCTTCACTTTGTTTCCTTTGCTGGGTAGAAGTTTTTAACTGGATGCTATCCTATTTATTCATTTTTGCTTTGGTTGCCTGTGCTTGTGGGGTATTACTCAAGAAATCTTTGCTCAGACCAATGTCCTAGAGAGTTTCCTCAATGTTTTCTTTTAGTAGTTTCATAATTTGAAGTCTTTTATTTAAGTTGTTAATCCAATTTTATTTAATTTTTGTATATCAAGAGAGAGGAGGGTCTAGTTTCTTTCCTTCTTTCCTTCCTTCCTTCCTTCCTTCTTTCTTTCTTTCTTTTTTTTTTTTTTAAATAGAGATGAGGTCTCGCTATGTTGCCCAGGCTGGTCTCAAACTCCTGAGCTCAAATGATCTCCCACCTCAGCCTCAGAAAGGTCTAGTTTCATTCTTCTGCATATGAATATCCAGTTTTCTCAGCACTATTTATTGAAGAAACTGTCCTTTCCCCAGTGTTTATTCTTCACACCTTTGTTGAAAATGAGTTCACTGTAAATGTATGGATTTACTTATGAGTTCTCTATTCTGTTCCATTGGTCTATGTATCTGTTTTTAATGCCAGTGCCATGCTGTTCTAGTTACTATAGCTCTGTAATATAATTTGAAATCAGGTAATATGATTCCTCTAGTTTTGTTTTTGTTTTTGTTTTTGTTTTTTTTGCTCAGGATGGCTTTGGCTATTCTGGGTTTGTGGTTCCATATAAATTTTAGGATTACTTTTTCTATTTCTGTGAAGAATGTCATTGGTATTTTGATAGGAATTGTATTAAATCTGATCTGATGCTTTAGGTACTATGGGCATTTTAATAGTGTTGATTTTTCCAATCCATAAACATGGAATATCCTTCTACTGTTTTTGTGTTCGCTTCAATTTCTTGCATCAATGTCTTACAGTTTTCACTGTATGGTTTTCACTTCTTTTGTTAATTCTTAGTAATTTTATTTTATTTGTAGCTATTGTAAATAGGATTACTTTCTTGATTTCTTTTTCAGATTGTTCACTGTTGGCATATAGAAATGCTACTGATTTTTTGTAGGCTGATTTTGTATCCTGCAACTTCACTGAATTTGTTAATCAGTTTTAATAGTTTTTTGTGAACTCTTTAGGTTTTTGCAAATACAATATCACATCATCTACAAACAAGAATGATTTGACTTCTTCCTTTCCAATGTGAATGCCCTTCATTCCTTTCTCTTGTCTGATTGCTCTAGCTAGGACATCCAGTACTATATTGAATAACGGTGGTGAAAATGGGCATCCTTGTCATGTTCCAGATCTTAGAGGAGACAATTTCAGGTTTTCCCCATTACGTATAATACTACCTGTGGGTCTGTCTCATATACGGCTTTTATTGTGTTGAGGTATGTCTTTGTATACCCAATTTTTTACTGTTTTTATCATGAAAGGATGTTGAATTTTATCAAATGCATTTTCAGCATCAATTGAAATAATCACATGGTTTTTGTTCTTCATTCTGTTGATATGATGTATCACATTGATTGATATGTGCATGTTGAACCATCCTTGCATCCCTGGGATAAATCCCATTTTGTCATAATGAATGATCTTTTTAATGTGTTGTTGAACCCAGTTTGCCAATATTTTGTAGGAAATTTTTGCATCAATGTCTATCAGGGATATTTACATTTGGGTTTGTTTGTTTGGGATTTTTTTTCTTTTCTTTTTTTTTTTTTTTTTTTTTTTTTTGAGATGGAGTTTCACTCTTGTTGCCCTGGCTGGAGTGCAATGGCATGATCTCGGCTCACTGCAACCTCCACCTCCCAGGTTCAAGTGATTCTCCTGTCTCAGCTTCCCGAGTAGCTAGGATTACAGATGCCCACCACCACGCCTGGCTAATTTTTGTATTTTTAGTAGAGACAAGGTTTCGCCATGTTGGTCAGGCTGGTCTTGAACTCCTGACCTTGCGATCTGCCCGCCTTGGCCTCCCTGTTTGAAATTTTTTAAAGTGTGTCTTTGGTTTTGTATCAGGGTAATACTGGCCTCATAGAATGAGTGTGGAAGCATTCCCTCCTTTTCTATTTTTTAAAATAGTTTGAGGGCTGGGCACAGTGTTTCACGCCTGTAATACCAGCACTTTGGGAGGCTGAGGCAGGTGGATCACTTGCAGTCTAGAGTTCAAGACCAGTCTGGCCAACATAGTGAAACCCCATCTCTACTAAAAATGAAAAAATTAGCCAGGTGTGGTGACGCACACCTGTAATCTGAGCTACACAGGAGGCTGAGGCATGAGGAATCACTTGAACCCAGGAGGCAGAGGTTGTAGTGGGCCGAGATCGTGCCACTGCACTCCAGCCTGGGCAACAAAGCAAGACACTGTCTCAAAATAAAATAAAATATAATAATTTGAGTAGGATTGGTATTAGTTATTCTCTAAATGTTTGGGAAATTTCAGCAGTGAAGCCACTGGGTCCTGGGCTTTATTTTCCTGGGAGACATTTTGTTACAGCTTCAACCTCATTACCTGTTATTGGTCTGCTCAAGTTTTGAATTTCTTCACGGTTCAATCTTGGTAGGTTTTATCTGTCTAGGAATTTATCCATTTCTTCTAGGTTTTTCAATTTATTGGCATATAGTTGCTTGCAGTAGCCTCTAATCATCCTTTGAATTTCTGCTGTATTTGTTGTAATGTCTCCTTTTTTTATCTCTGATTTTACTCATTTGGATCGTCTCTCTTTTTTTTCTTACGTAGTATGGCTAAAGGTTTGCTGATTTTATCTTTTCAAAAAAACCAACTTGTGGTTTCATTGACCTTTTGTATCTTTTTTCATGTCAATTTCATTTACTTCTCCTCTGATCTTTATTATTTCTTTTCTTCTACTAATTTTGGGTTTGATTTGCTCTTGCTTTTCTAGTTCTTTAAGACGCATTGTTAAGTTGTATATTTGAGGCATTTTTACTTTTTTATGTAGGTGGTTTTAGGTATAAACTTTGCTGTTAGTACTGCTTTCATTGTATCCCATAGATTTTGGTATTATGTTTCCATTATCATTTATTTTCAGAAGTTTTTTAACTTCCTTCTTAATTTCTTCATTGGCTCACCTGTCATTCAGTAACATACTGTTTAATTTCCATGTGTTTATATAGTTTTCAAAGTTCCTCTTGTTACTGACTTCTAGTTTTTTTCCATTATAGTCAGAGAAGATAACTGACATGATTTCAATTTTTTTGAACTTTTAAAGACTTGTTTTGTGACCAAACATATGATCTATCCTTGAGAATGATCCATATGCTGAGGAGAAGAACGCATATTCTGCAGCCATTAGATAAAATGTTCTGTAAATATCTATTAGGTCCACTTGGTCTATAGGACAGATTAAGTCTGATGTTTCTTTGTTGATGTTCTGTCTGGATGATATGTCTAATGCTGAGAGTGGGGTGTTGAAATCTTCAGCTATTATTGCATTGGGGTCTATCTCTTTCTTTAGCTCTGATATTTGCTTTATATATCTGGGTGCTCCAGTGTCAGGTGCATATTTATTTACAATTAATTATTATATCCTCTTGCTGAATTGACATCTTTATCATAAGGTCAAAGAGACCTTGTCTCTTTTTATAATTTTTGTCTTGAAATCTATTTTGTCTGATGTAAATAGAGCCAGTCCTGCTCTTTTTGGTCTCCATTGGCATGGAACATCTTTTTCCCTCCCTTTATTTTCAGTCTACTTGTGTTTTTATAAGTGAAATGTGT
This sequence comes from Homo sapiens, assembly GCF_000001405.40. Taxonomy (NCBI): domain Eukaryota; kingdom Metazoa; phylum Chordata; class Mammalia; order Primates; family Hominidae; genus Homo; species Homo sapiens. The sequence continues at coordinate 9,015,262 of NC_000012.12, read as the reverse complement.
TTCTTGTAGGTGACAGATTGTTGGGTCTTGTGTTTTTATCCATTCAGCCACTCTGTCTTTTGATTGGAGAATTTAGTTCACTTACATTCAATATTGTTATTGATAAAACATACTCCTGCCATTTTGTTATATGTCTTCTTGCTGTTTTGCGGTCTTCTCTTCCTTCTTTCCTTCCTTCCTGTTTTCCTCTTAGTGAAGGTGATTTCCTCTGGCGGTATGTTTTAATTTCTTGCTTTTTATTTTTTGTGTATCTGTTGTATGTTTTTTTATTTGAGGTTACCATAAGGCTTGCAAATAATATCTTATAACCCATTATTTTAAACTGATGACAACTTAACACTGATTGAATAAACAAAGAAGCAAAGAGAAAACAAATAAAAACTCTACACTTTAACTTCATGCCACCACTTTTTAACTTTTTGTTGTTTCTATTTATGTTATTGTACTGTCCATGTCTTAAAAAGTTGTGGTAGTTTTTTTTTTTTGGTTAATCTTTTAGTCTTTCTACTCAAGATATGAGTAGTTTATGCACCACAATTACAGTGTTATAATATTCTGTTTGTCTGTGTACTTACTATTACCAGTGAGTTTTGTACCTTCAGATGATTTCTTATTGCATCTTATGTTCTTTTCTTTCAGATTGAAGAACCCCCTTTAGCATTTCTTATACAACAGATCTAGTGTTGACTAAATCCTTCTGCTTTTGTTTGTTTGGGAAAGTCATTATTTCTCCCTCATGTTTGAAGGATATTTTCACTGGATACATTACTCTAGGGTAAAAGTTTTTTTCCTTCAGCACTTTAAATATATCATGCCACTCTCTCCTGACCTGTAAGGTTTCCACTGAGAAGTCTGCTGTCAGACATATTGGAGCTCCTTTGTATGTTATTTGTTTCTTTTTTCTTGCTGCTTTTAGGATCCTTTCTTTATCCTTGACCTTTGGAAGTTCAATTATTAAATGTAGTCTTATTTGAGTTAAGTCTACTTGGTGTTCTATAACCTTCTTGTGCTTGAATAGTGATATTCTTCTCTAGGTTTGGAGAGTTCCCTGTTGTTATCCCTTTGAATAAACTTTCTACCCCAGTCTCTGTCTCTACCTCCTCTTTAAGGTCAAAACAATTAGATTTGGCCTTTTGAGGCTATTTTCTCCATCTTGTAGGCATGCTTCATTCTTTTCTATTCTTTTTTCTGTTGTCTCCTCTGCCTGTATATTTTCAAACAACCTGTCTTTGAGCTTCCTTCTTCTAACTGATCAGTTCTGCTGTTGAGAGACTCTGATGCATTCTTCAGTAAGTCAACTGAATTTTTCAGCTTTAGAATTTCTGCTTGATTTTTCAAACTTATTTTTGTTAAATTTTTGTTCTCTTTGTTAAGTTTTTCTGATAGGATTCTGAATTCCTTCTCTATGTTATTGATGTGGTTTGGCTATGCCCCACCCAAATCTCATCTTGAATTATAGCTCCCACAATTCCCACATGTTGTGGGAGGGACCTGGTGGGAGGTACCTGGTGGGAGGTAATTGAATCATGGGGGTGGGTCTTTCCCATGCTATTCTCATTATAGTGAATAAGTCTCATGAGATCTGATGGTCTTATGAAGGGGAGTTTCCCTGCACAAGTTCTCTTCTCTTGTCTGCTGCCACGTGAGATGTGCCTTTCACCTTCTACCATAATTGTGAGGCCTCTCCGGCCACATGGAACTGTGAGTCCACTAAACCTCTTTTTTTTTAGTAAATTGCCCAGTCTCAGGTATGTCTTTATCAGAAGGATGAAAACGGACTAACACAGTTACCTTGAATTTCATTGAGCTTCCTCTAAACAGCTATTTCACATTCTCTGTCTGAATGGTCATATCTCTGCATTCTGGCATTGGTCATTGGTGCCTTATTTAGTTCATTTGGTGAGGTCATGTTTTCCTCGATGGTCTTGATGCTTGTGGATGTTTATTTGTGTCTGGTCATTAAAGAGTTAGGTTTTTATTATAGTCTTTGCAGTCTGGGTTTGTTTGTACCCATCCTTCTTGGGAAAACTCTCCAAGCATTCAAAGGGAATTGAGTGTTATGATCTAAGTCTTTGGCCACTGCAGCTATATCTGCATTAGGAAGCACCACAAACCCAGTAACACTGTGACTCTTGCAGACTTATAGAAGTACCACCTTGGTGGTCTTGGGTATGATACAGGAGAATTTACTAGATTACCAGGCAGAGCCTCTTGTTATCTTCTGTTACTTTTCCCCAAAGAAATGGAGTCTCTCTCTCCATACTGAGCTATCTGGAGCTTGGGGAATAGTGACACAAGTACCCTAGTGGCCACCACAACTTGGAGTGCACTAGGTCAGACCTGAAGCCAGCATAGCACTGGGTCTCGCCCAAGGCTTGTGGTAACCACTACCTGGCTATCACTAATGTTCCCTCAAGGCCCAAGGACTCTTCAGTAAGCTTATGGTGAATGCTGCCAGGCCTGGGTCTCTACCTTCAGGGCAATGGGCTCCCTCCCCTCTGACTCAGGGCAGGTCCAGAAATGCTGTCCAGGAGCCTGGAATCAAGGACCCCAGGTGCTTACTTGGTGCTCTACCCCACTGTAGCCAAGCTAATACCTAAGCTGCAAGACAGAGTCCCCATTAGTCTTGGGTTAAATCTCTCCTTATCTATGTCCAAACTCCCTCTAATTTCCTCAAGCAGAAGAAGTCTCTCCCCATGGCTACCATAGCTAACAATGTGCTGGGTCACACTGGAAGCCGCATGGCACTGGATCTCACCCAATACCTATGGCAAACACTGCCTGGGTACTGCTGCTGATTATTCAGGGCCAAAGGGCTCTTTAGTCAGCAGGTGATGAATCCTGCCTGGACTGGGTCCTTCCTTTCAAGGCAGCACATTCCTTTCTGGTCCAGAGTGGGTCTTAAAATATCATCCAGAAACTAGGTCCCAGAATAGGGACCTTAGGACTCTGCGTGGTGGTGCCCTATCCTTCTGTAGCTGAGCTGTATCCAAATTGCAGGACAAAGTCCTCTTTACTCTTCCATCTCCTCTCCTCAGGTGGAAGGAAGGAGTCTCTCCCAGAGCTGCAAGCTCCACTGCCTGGGGTCGGAGGAGGGGTTACACAAGCACTCCCTTGGCCACCCAGCTGGTGTTTCACTAGGTCACATTCCCTCCAAGTCCACTGGCTCTGAGCCTAGCATAGCACCAGGACTTGCCCAGGAACTGTGGTCCTTGTAGCCTAGATTGCCTTTCAAGTTTATTTAGGATCCCAGAGTGTTTTAGCCGCAGTGGTGGGACTAGCAGAAACTCAGGTTCCGACCACTGGGATGGGCCATTCCCCTGTGGCTAGGGCTGGTCTAAATGCTCCCTCTGTGGGCACTGGCTGATTTCTGTCCCATGTCGCTATCTGCTTTGACAGAGCTGCACCGAGTTCCACTGCAAAGTCCCATAATCACAGCACTCTTCCTCCCCAAAGCACAGACTCTCTCTCCACACCACACTGTGCTGCTGGGAGATGGGGAAGGGGTGGCATTGGCAAATCAAGACTGTCTCTCCTGTCCTCGTCAGTGCCTCTTTTGTTGATATGATGTTAAAACCAGGTACTGTGACTGCTCATCTGATTTTTGGTTCTTATGAAGGTGCTTTCTTTTGCGGATAATTGTTCCATTTGTATTCCTGCGGGGGAAAAATCAGTGGAGGCTTCTTGTTCTTGCTCCACCTCCTCCTGTGTGTTCCTGGATTTTCTTCATTTTAATTTTGTGACTGCTCTGTTATTATCTTTAATAAATGTCCTATTCCAAACACTGAATGTCCCAGATATGTTTAATGTATAATGTTCATCAAAGAAGTCCACTGTGCAATGTAAGTGCTAATCAAAAAATGTTAGTTTCTAGTTTTACCAAACTTTATTTCACTAGGTAAGGTGCAAGAATTGAGTTACTAACTGACCCCAGCCCTTCATAAATAAGTCTAAGGAATAAATAAGCAACCAGGAAGTAAACTGTTACTTCTCTTGTAACAACCTTAAGGGAGACAAAGCAGTGAAGAACTACACCCAATTCTGACAATAGGTGGATGAATCCTTATAAAAGGCCTGAACCCTAGTCACAGAGGAGGTCTGCACACATCCTGCCTGCTCAGATGAGAATTTAAGACCCGACTGTAGTTCTCCTTTTCTTATCTTTCAATAAGTAAATGAAATTGTGCACCCTGTAGTAGCCAAGCCATGGCCCACATGGAATCGCTATCATTACATCCTTAATTGAGAGTCACTACCAAAATATTCATAACTAAGGGATACTTCCTGCACCAGAACCAAAGGGAAGAGATCACTAGGGGATGGGAGCTTGTTTCCACGACTTCCTTCTATGAGCATTGTATCCAGATTAACTGGCCCTTTGCCTTTGTAGAGTTAGCTACTGAAGACTCATATTGGTGAGTTAGGGAGGATTAGGATATACTGTTTTTCTCATCTTCAATTCCTCTAATTTATGGGCTAACAGAAATAACTAGAATGAACAGTTTTCATTCTTACTTTTTAATTCATCCATTTATTTATTTAATAGTCACTGAACGTAAGCACTATCTTAGGTATTTGGGATATAGTGGTAGATAAGATACAGTCCATGTTTTTAAAAAAACTATGAAAGATAAAGAGAAAAAGATTATAATCCAGGATCATCAACACTACAGAATTATGGTCTCCTTCATCACTGTACCTTCTCTCCTTATGTATGTCCAAACTCTACTGAGGAGAAATAATAAAGTTTTTCTTATTTTTGAGGCCTTAGTACCTAAGATAATTTGGTGATCCAACCACATAAACTGTTTCTGTAAACTTTCCTCTATGAAAATGCCTTATCGAATTGACTGCTATCTTGAAATTAATATGCAGGTCAAACAGTCACATAATGGAAAAGATACAATCACACATTGGTTCATTCAACCACATATATGCATACTCAGAAAAAAAACAAAATCAGTTAAGACCGGGTTTTTGCATTACGTGTGAAGAGCTCAGAAGGAGGAAGTACCACCTTGCCCTCACTCATTTCCCACAATTTATATTCTCACATTAGCATTTTTTTTTTTTTTTAGAGATGGAGTCTTGCTCTATCTCCCAGGCTGGAGTACAGTGGCACAATCATAGCTCACTGCAGCCTCAAACTCCTGGGCTCAAGCGACCCTCCCACCTCAGCTTCCCAAATAGCTAGGACTACAGGTACACACCAGCATGCCAGCTAGGTTTATTCTTCAGAATAAAGCTTGATCTGCAAAGGGACACTGTTAGGATAGAAATATACCATCAGGGATCAGTAATGTACAGAGGAGTACAGCAATAATGTACTTCTCTAGTACACAAGCAATAGTATATATTGGCATAGATTTTATCAGATTAGCTCAGAATATCATATGAAAAAGGTATATTTTTGACAGAGATGGTTGGGACGGGGATGAGAGTGGCAGCATTAGTTTCCATACTGAGAAATACAAAAAACAAACATCTATTTCAAAATTTGCTTAGATCTGGTCTTTAAATTGCTCACATAATATCTAAATAGTCTCAAAGAGAATCCATCAGTTAGGCATCAATCCCTAGGAGGTTGTCTTGCATCTAATGCCATATCTGAGAAAGTTCAGTATTTGCTAACTATATACTCATGGCTTTCCCAACAGCCAGTGGCCAGCTCCCTCCTTTTAGGGATACATGACAGATCTGAGGGTCAGGACAGAGTGGTCATCTATCAAAGTCTGACCTTCTTACACACCCAGTGTAAAGGAACTTCACAGCTTGAGGCTTGAAGACCATTTTTGTTGATGGCACCGCATGTCTGCACAAAGCTATTAGAAGAAATCCTGTAAGAAATCAGAAAAGTCAATCACTTAAGGCCGCATGCACAGAAAAGGAGTTGAAAGGCATGAAGGGATAAAAATGAAGCAAATTCTGTCTCCCTATTCAGGCCCCTAATTCCCCCAAACAGCAGAAGAATTAAAATTGTTCATCAGCCTCTCTTTAAAATGTTATCCTTTTTTTTTTTTTTTTTGCCCTTACCCATTGTTCATTCCCTTCCTTGTTCCCTATTTCCTCTCCTTTTCATTCTTTCCTCTCCTCTCCATCTGCTCTTCTTTATCTATTCCCCAAGTATCATAATTTGGCTTTCCTTTTTCCTCTCTCTCTTTTTTTGCATTCCTTTGAAGCCCCTTACCTTGAGAAGTTTAGAGGTGATCCATCTTCCCACCTCCAGCCAGAATTGTTCCTCAGACCAATCCAGCAAAAGGCCTCACTGAGGAAAACTTGGAGCAGGCTCTAAGGGAGAGGTTGAAAACCAAAAAAGGGACCTAGTGTCACAGTCAAACAATTATTCCTTTCCACATTGGATTCCTAATACTAAGTTAAGTAATTAATTAAAAGACAAACTAGCATTCCTTACAGCCTCCATCATCACCACTCTTAAGGACTGAATGCGTCCTAAAATCAATATGTTGAACCCCTAACCCCTAATGTGATGAAATCTGCTGGTGAAGCCTTTAGCAAGTAATTAGGTGTAGATGAGGCCATGAGGGTGGGGCCTCCATGATGCAATTAGTGTCCTTATAAGAGGAGGAAGAGATCAAAGCACTCTCTTTGCCAAGTGAGGATACAACAAAAAGGCAGCCATGTGCAAGCCAGAAGTAGGTCCTCACCAGGAGCCAGAGAACCTTGATGTTGGATTTTCCAGCCTTCAGAACTGAGAGAGAGAAACATCTGTTGTTCAAGCGATCCAGTCTATGGTATTTTGTTAGAGCAGCCCAAGCTAAGACAATTATTCACTCTAAATAACTAATTTCTCATTTAACATCTAATTCTAAAGATGTGTTAGCTGTAGAGAGGAGCAGCATCCTAGAATTGACCTTTCTGTCAATAACTGGATTCTTATAATGTAGCAAATAAGATAATATTACATCTCTACCTTCCATTGCAATTTTCTCCTTAATTAAAGGGAGCACCTGATAGGTATTCAGATTATTTCAAAAGAAAGAAGCTAAACATTTGCTGCAGAAGTGGTCATCTTTCCCATCATCCTTAAATATATAAATTACGATTAAGCCTATAGCAATATTCTTGTTTTTTTCCCCACTGAGGTCTCATTTTCCGCATCCTCATCAATCTTGTATGTGGCAAGAAAAAAACAGTTCTTAAGGGAACAAGTTTAAGGTAAAGGTAAATTGGCTACACCACTTATGTGTGCCACGTTACCCAACAGAACAGAGATAAAAGACTTTGATCTGCAAAGTCTGACATTCAAATGAAGAAGTTTATATCCAAAGAGAATTGCCTCTATAAATGAAATAAAATAAAATGTTAAAGATTAAAATAGATTAAAATAAAAGGTTAGAAAGATAATCCAAGGTAATTTTGTTGTAGGATTTAGTGTTGGTGTAATTAACAATTACACTTTCAATATTTTCTAATGACAGCTTAATTGGTTAAATACCTTTGGAATAAAATATTCTTTTTTATCTAGAAACTACTAAGAAAGCAATACAATTTCAACTGCCTATGGTGATTATGATACCACCAGATGTCCCATTTTGATGTTGTTTTTATTCCACTCCTGAAAGATGGTTGCTGAAGAGTAAACATTTATGGGCTCTGCTCTTAACTGTCTCTTTGCCTACTTGGACCCTGCATCAGCACAAATAAAGAGTTGCTCTTCTAAAGTTAAGGGAGGGCCAGGCACAGTGGCTCACACCTGTGATCCCAGCACTTAGGGAGGCCGAGGCTAGTGGATCACTTGAGGTCAGAAGTTTGAGACCAGCCTGGTGAATGTGGTACAAAAAGCCTGTCTCTACTAAAAACAAAAATAAAAATAAAAAATTAGGCATGGTGGCGGGCACCTGTAATCCCAGCTACTTGGGAGACTGAGGCATGAGAATCGCTTGAACCCAGGAGGCAGAGATTGCAGTGAGCCGAGATGGCATCACTGCACTCCAGCCTGGGTGACGGAGTGAGGCTCTGTCTCAAAAAAACAAAATAAAATAAAGAGAGGCAAAAAGCCTCTTTGCACTTCTAGTGGAGACACTACAGGAGAGAAAAGGAGTCTTTTGTGCTATTTCTCATGGTCAGAATAACCTCTATTTTCTCTTCACTGGGTTTCAGTCCTGTTTCCATTCAGGACATGACTGTGGTGGCTCCTAGACAAAGCATTTGAAAAATCAGTACAACTTGTTTATCAGTGCTTTTCTTCCCAAATAATCTATTCCTTATGATAACTTTGTTCTCTCAGAGCCCAGTATCCTGAAAACAATTATCTCTTACATTTGTATTGTACTCTAAGGTTTGCAAAATCCCTTTGCGTTCATTCCCAGTATCATTTGAAATACTGAATATACAGTATGGCATTTAGGAAAACAAAGCAGAAACAAAATTCTGGAGCCTCCTAGCTCTGTCCTCCTATCTGAAGATAAGCAGGTGGTTTAATCTGGCTGAGCGTCAACTTCTTTATGAGGATTTAGGTTAGATATTTTCTAGGATTCTTTCCAGTTATGAAATTCTTGACAATCTTGGAAGGTAGGCAACTATTATTATCCTCACCTTTAGAGATGAGAAGACAAGGTCATGTGGGTGAAAGAATTCATCCAAGTCTCCTTTTCAAATAATCATCCAACTTTTCTCTCCCAGTGCTAAACTTTTAATCACTCTGTGCCCCTGATTAATGTTCTCCAGTAGTCTCACTTTTCACATAGAATAAAATCTAAAATCCTTACTATGTACGCACAGTCCTACACAATCTAGCCCCTACTAACCATTTACTCACTTCCTAGGTTCCAGCCACATGAGCCTTCTTTCTTTTCCTTTAACATGCCAAGGTCATTCTTGCTTTAAGGTCTTTGCATAGCTTTTCCCTCTGCCTGGAATATCTTACCCGAGATTTCTACATGGCTGTCAATCAGGTCTAGATATCAACTCAAATGTTCCCTCCCCAAAGAGGCCTTCCTTAACTAACCAATCTAAAATAGTATTCACATTTACTATTATATCATACTGTTTCATTTTCTTTAAAGCACATATCACCATATTCATTTATTTAGTCTGTCTCTTCCGAAGAAAATGAAAGCACACGTAACATGTATGCAATGTGTAATGATCAGAGCAGGATAATTAGCCTATCACTTCAAACATTTACTATTTCTTTGTGTTGGGAACATTCAAAATCCTCTCTTCTAGCTATTTGAAAATATACAATAAATGGTTGTTAACTATAGATTACCCTGCAGTGCTATAGAACAAGGGTCCCCAACCCTCAGGCCATGCAAGGTGCTGGTCTGTGGCCTATTAGGAACTGGGCTGCACAGCAGGAGGTGAGCGGCTAGGCGGGCCAGCATTACCGCCTGAGTTCTGCCCCCTGTCAGATCAGCAGATCAGCGGTGGCATTGGATTCTCATAGGAGTACAAACACTATCGTGAACTGCACATGTGAGGGATCTAGGTTGCCTGCTCCTTAAGAAAATCTAACTAATGCCTGATGATCTGAGGTGGAACAGTTTCATCCTGAAACCAGCCCCCAGCAACGGTCCATGGAAAAATTGTCTTCCACGAAACTGGTGCCTGGTGCTAAACATCTTGGAGACCATTGCTATAGAACATTAGAACTTATTCTGCCTATCTAGCTGTAATTTTGTATCCTTTAACATAACTCTCCCTAACCTCCCCATCCCCAGCCATTCTCAGCTTCTTGTATCGTCTGTTCTGAGGTCAACATTTTTTTTAGTTTTCACATAAGCGAGAACATGCAGTGTTTAACTTTCTGTTCCTGGTTTATTTCACTTAACACAGTGTCCTCTAGTTCCATCCATTCTGCTATGAATGACAGGATTTCTTTATTTTCCATGGCTGATTAGTATTCTATGGTGTATACATACACATTTTCTTTATTTCATTTTTTATTATTATACTTTAAGTTCTGGGGCACATGTGCAGAATGTGCAGTTTTGTTACATAGGTATACACGTGCCATGGTGGATTACTGCACCCATCAACTAGTCACCTACATTAGGTATTTCTCTTAGTGCTATCCCTCCCCTTGCCCCCCACCCCCCGACAGGCCCGGTGTGTGATGTTCCCCTCCCTGTGTCCATGTGTTCTCATTGTTCAACTCCTACTTATAAGTGAGAACATGCGGTGTTTGGTTTTCTGTTCTTGTGTTAGTTTCATTTATCCATTTATTTGTTGTTGAACATTTTGGTTGATTTCATATCTTGGCTATTGTCAATATTGCTACAATACATATGAGAGTGAACATATCTCTTCAACATACTGATTTTATTTCCTTCGGATAAATACCCTATATATATAATTATTATGTGCCAATTTAAAAAAATGTTAATAACAAAACTAAATTTAAAATATCATTTTCCTTAAAAATAATAAATAAAATGTAAACATTATAATAGCAACAACTCTTGACTACCATATCCCTAGCACCTAGAAAAATATATAAAATTATACTCAATAAATGCAGACCAGGCACAGTGGCTCCTGCCTGTAATACCAGCAATTTGGGAGGCCAAGGTGAGAGGATTACTTGAGGCCAGGAGTTCAGGACCAGCCTGGACAACATAGTAACACTCTATCTTTACGAAAAGTAAAAAATGTAGCCAACCAGGCATGGTGGCATGTGCTTGTACTTGGTGACATGTACTTGGGAGGCAGAGGCAGGGAGGAGGATCACTTGAGCCCAGGAGTTTGAGGCTAAAGTGAGCTGTGATCATGCCATTGCTCTCCAGCCTGGGTAACAGAGCAAGATCCCATCTCTTTTTTAAAAAATTATGTTTAATAAGTATCTATAGAAATAAAGAACACACAATTAGGTATTATGCTGCAAGAAGTTAAAACTCTCTGAACACATGGCAATCATTAAAAAGTCAGGAAACAACAGGTGCTGGAGAGGATGTGGAGAAATAGGAACACTTTTACACTGTTGGTGGGACTGTAAACTAGTTCAACCATTGTGGAAGTCAGTGTGGCCATTCCTCAGGGATCTAGAACTAGAAATACCATTTGACCCTGCCATCCCATTACTGGGTATATTCCCAAAGGACTATAAATCATGCTGCTATAAAGACACATGCACACGTGTGTTTATTGTGGCACTATTCACAATAGCAAAGACTTGGAACCAACCCAAATGTCCAACAATGATAGACTGGATTAAGAAAATGTGGCACATATACACCATGGAATACTATGCAGCCATAAAAAATGATGAGTTCATGTCCTTTGTAGGGACATGGATGAAATTGGAAATCATCATTCTCAGTAAACTATCGCAAGGACAAAAAACCAAACACCGCATGTTCTCACTCATAGATGGGAATTGAACAATGAGAACACATGGACACAGGAAGGGGAACATCACACTCTGGGGACAGTTGTGGGGTGGGGGAAGGGGGGAGGGATAGCATTAGGAGATATACCTAATGCTAAATAACGAGTTAATGGGTGCAGCACGCCAGCATGGCACATGTATACATATGTAACTAACCTGCACATTGTGAACATGTACCCTAAAACTTAAAGTATAATAATAATAAAAAAGAAAAAGAAAAAAAAAACCCTCTGAACACAAACTCTGTATTTTTTACTTTCTCTCTGTGGAGCACTTAACTGTGCATGCTGGGGGTAAGAAGGTAGACCGGAGAGTGAATGAAGTATACGACAGATGAAATGACACTGTAATTTTCAAGATAGCTTAAAATTTTTGCATTTCTTAACCAACTTGTTTAAAGAATTATTTAAATTAGGAAAAAAAGAATGGATTTTTTTTAATATTTTCACAAAATTGGTGTGAATGATAGCCATGATCTAAAAGATTCAAAAATAAATGTTACTGCATTCAAAGTATATAAAATTTGAGTATATTCAAATCAAAAATTGTAAGCTAAATATTTGAAAAAATAAATAAAATTAACAAAAGGAAAAAAAGAGTGATTCCCCATTTCTCCACTGATAATGAGAAAAACAGTCCATTTCTTTTTCTTTCATTTCAAGAGGAGGAACGGCAGCTAATGAAGCACAGAAATTGATAAAGATTTGCTCAGAAATTTCAGTTAGAATCTGCAGAGCTAGGATTAGGTAATGCCCACGTACAAACCCCAATCCTGTGCTCATTTACTACCCTCAAGACCCATATAATTCTAAATCACTTGATCAGTCAGTCCTCTTACAACTTCTCATTGGTGAGGCTGGATATTGAAAATGTTTATTATGGCACTTTCACTCGAAAATCTTCCCACTTGGAAGAGGCCTTCAAAACCATAGTACAATAACCTTATATTCTATGTACTCATGGATAATGTGTGTGTGTGTGTGTGTGTGTGTGTGTGTGTGTATTAGAAAGAGAGAGAATATAGAAGCAGCATGAAAGTACAAATCGGTCTGGTGCAGTGGCTCACATCTGTACTTCCAGCACTTTGAGAGGCCAAGGCAGGAAAATCTCTTGAGCCCAGGAGTTCGAGACCAGCCTGGGCAACATGGCAAAACTCCATTAATACAAAAAATATGAAAATTAGCTGGGCATGGTGGCACATGCCTGTAGTCCCAGCTACTTAGGAGGCTGAGACAGGAGGGTCATTTGAGCCTAGGAGGTGGAGGTTGCAGTGAGATGAGATTGTGCCATTGCACTCCAGCCTGGGTGAGAGTCTCAAACAACAACAACAACAACAACAACAAAAGTATAGGTAAAGGTGGTAACTGAGAACTCTTGTCACCCAGAGAGGGTGTGAGCTAGAACACTTAGGTGTTATGTCACTTAGAGTTTGTAATGTTTGCTTATATTTTAGAAAAAATGCAAACCCTAAAAGCAAAGTGAAGATAAAACCCAAACAAATAAAATCAAGGGCACTTTTTCTTTTCTTTTCCTTTTTTGCTTTTTTAGTTCAACATTTATACCTTCCACATACACTTCTGTATGTAGTATTTTTAATTGAAATTAAAATATCATTAAGGCACAAAGCATACCCCTTAAACTTCCAAATTAAAATGGTTTACAGAATGTATGTAAGTTATTTCAACCCATATTAAGAAAAACTAATAATACATCAAAACTATAAAATCTTATCTTTTGATTAGCCAACTTAATTTTAGGGAATATAATGTAAATAAATAACTGCAAGCAAAATGATTTCTATAAATATGCTCACAGCTCATGACAATTGAAAACAAGGAGAATTTTATCTAAGAATATGAAAAGATTTAAGCAATAGTGGAATGATGCAAGACGTATAAAAATAATATTTAAAACTAAATAAAAAATAAAATAAAATCTGGTTGCAACTTTTTATTACCTGGAATAATTTAATGCTTAGCAAAAACCAAGAATGAAATAATGCTATTTGATAAAAGCAGAATACAAAATAATGGGTTCCAAAACACCTAAAAACATAGGATAAATGTATTTTTAGGCAGTATATCTCTGTTTTGTCCCACCAAACCCATGGCTGAAATCATCCCAAAAGCAGCGACAGGGGAATTCCCACAAGGGAGGACCCCAAATCATCATGAGATGGGGTTGGTTGGGATACCATAGAATAAAGCACTAAATGTCAAGGTGATCTGTGCAAAGCATCTATTAGGGGAAGTTACAGAGGGCTGCAGCAACACTCACGATGGACAGCCAGAGAAAAGGAGCATTTGACCTACATATGTCCACGGCCAGGGGGTCAGAGATGGAGATTTTATGAGGGTTTAAGGAATCTGACTTAGGGCTGGGGCTAGTTTATTTCAGTGTTTTGAGCAGCAACCTAGATACCTTTATCAGTGACTGGAAATGTTCAAGGCTGGGGTTTGGGTAGAGCCTGCAGGGGAAAAACCTGTAGCTGGGCGGGTCACAGAGCGGTCAAGGCCCTCTGCGATTTTCAGCCAATACACAGAAAGAAAGCCAGGCACTGGGGAACCCTACAGTCTCATATTTTAAAATAATATCATTAATATGTTTTTCTTCAGACACTTTTTCAGGTGAAGTATTTAAAGCAAAGGATGTAATTACTAATTTGAAAAAAATTTACAATACAGAGTACTCATAAGGTCTAAAAATAATTATATCTATTGCTTTAAATTTAGAGATGTTTCACTTGAAAACATGTCTCAAGATTGAGTAAAAATATAGAGCATATTACTTGAAAATGTAACCAACATACTGTTTAAAAATAAGTTTAGCCTGTTTCCAGACTTTTCAGATATCCTATAATATGAACACATTAATTACCATCATCTAAAAACATGCAAATAACGTTAAGAAATTTCAAAGGAAAATCTGACAGGTTACAAATTACTAGAGCTTAATATCAATAAGAATTTTCCCTATAATTTTGTGTAAGTACACAATGCTAAAAGTCAGTAAGCCCTGCTCCGTAAACCATCATTTGCTCCACTTTTTAAAAGCTTGTGGAAACAGTGTCTGTCAATAGATGGATATCCAAATTCACAGCAGCCTTACTCTCAACAGTCAAAAGGTTGAAGCATCCCAGGTATCCACTGATGAATAAATGGACAAACAAAATGTAGTATATCCATATAATAGAATGTTATTCAGCCATAACTTTGATACATGCTACAACACGGAAGAACCTTGAAAACAGTGTTCTAAGTGAATAAGTGAGACACTAAAGGACAGAATAGGCAAATACATAGATATGGTAAGTAGAATAGTGATTACCAGGGGCTAGAGGGAGGGGAGTTATTGTTTAAGAGGTACAGAGCTTCAACTGGGGATGATGAAAAAGTTCTGGAGATGATGGTAGTGATGGTTGTACAACAATGTGAATGTACTTAATGCCACTCAATTGTACACTTGAAAATGGTTAAAATAGTACATTTTATGCTATGCATATTTTCCCACAATTTTTTAAGTTAAAAAATAGTGGAAATATCCTAGCTTATCATGCCCATCCCTTGTTATGCAGTTGACACTAGCTGCTTAATCTGATTATAAAGAAGCGTGACAAAAGATGCACATTACCAGACTGTGAAGACCTCCAGAGTAAAGCAATTCCCCTACCATCTATGCTGTGTTTCCAGCCATTTCTTTGAATCTTCTGACATGTCATCTCAGATTTCCTCATAAACAATATACTCAATTCAACAAGTCATAATTTACTCTGTGATGCATATTTTACTGAAATTGTATGTCTTGGGACACAGAAGAGCAAAGTAAAAGTTATTTTTGGCTCTGGGCTTTATATTGTTTTTTGAGTTTTTTGTGTTTTTGAGACAGAGTATCACTCTGTCTCTCAGGCTGGAGTGCAGTGGCCTGATCTCGGCTCACTGAGACCTCTGCCTCCGGGGCTCAAGTGATTCTCCTGCCTCAGCCTCCTGAGTAGCTGGGATTACAGAAACGTGCCACCACACCCAGCTAATTTTTGTATTTTTAGTATAGATGGGGTTTCACTATGTTGGCCAGGTCTTGAACTTCTGACCTCAAATCATTCACCCATCTCGGCCTCCCAAAGTGCTGGGATTACAGGCGTGAGCCACCACGCCCGGACAGTCTAGAAAGTTTTATCTTCACTTTGTACATGAGGAAACTGAGAGTCAAAAAGGTTAAGAAAGTTGTTGAAGTTCGCATAGCTAGTAAGAAATATAGTAAAAGCACACTCATGACTGTCTGAAAGAAACCAAGCTGTTTTCATTACCTGATTAAAAATATACAGAAAAGTGACCATGTTACCATAGTGTTTGCATTGCTGCACCCAAAGAAGGAAACTTTGGATATTATTAGATGTAAATCCTAAATATGTGAGAAGCCGACATCAAAAGCTCGGGGAATCCCAAGGTCAGGAAGATAGGTAAAGTTGAATGAGAGGTTGTTGCAAGAGTAAAGTTGGATCATATAATTCCAAATTATGATAATGAGGAAGAGAGATATTATAGGGCAAGGAGCATCAGAATAGATTTAAAGAAATCAAAGCAGTTTCACTGGGAACTCACTAACGAATGCATACTTTAAAATAACATACCAATAACTATAAGGAACCAGGCTAACAACATCCAGGATGAACTGAGCTTGGTGGGGGAAAAATGGCAAGAAAAATCAAGAATTTGAATATATCCAAACATCTAAAGATATACTCATAGGGCAAGAAGAAGCAAGGGCTGATGCCATAATGTTAACACAAAAATGAGAAAATAACAGAGAAATTTAATTTCCATTTTATTTTCTCTATCAAGAATAATCTTGAAGTCCCAGATAGAAAAAAAAAAGAGATAATAAGAAAGCATCTCACTATTTTAAATATATTTAAGCCTATAATCCCAGCACTTTGGGAGACCAAGGCGAGAGGATCACTTGAGCCCAGGAGTTCAAGACCAGCCTGGGCAACATAGTGAGACCTCATCACAATAAATAAATTTAAATATCCACGGTCATACAATGTACATTCTGTATGTCAATTCAAAAAAATTTTTAAATATGTATAGAAAAGAAACCAGAAGACAATTAGTAGAAAAAGTTGTCTTGTTGAACATATGCAAAATGGATTCTGGAAGCTGTCAAATACGATATTTCTATAAGTGACTTTGAAGGTGAGTTGATGTGGATTTTTTTTTTTTTTTTTGAGACAGAGTCTCGCTCTGTTGCCCAGGCTGGAGTGCAGTGGTGTGATCACGGCTAACTGCAGCCTCTACTTCCTGGGTTCAGGGGATTCTCTCACCTCAGCCTCCCGAGTAGCTGGGACCACAGGTGTGCGCCACCACACCCAGCTAATTTCTGTATTTTTTTGTAGAGGCAGGGTCTTGCCATGTTGCCCAGGCTGGTCTTGAATTCTGGGTTCAAGCAATCCACCTGCCATGGCCTCGCAAAGTGCTAGGATTACAGGTGTGAGCCACCATGCCCACTGGAGTAGAATTTAAAATTTGGCTCTGCCAGATTTGTAGCCTTAGACTTACACTCATTAATTCTCCGAATTTTTTTTTTTGAGACAGTGTCTCACTCTGCTGCCTAAGCTAGAGTGCAGTGGTGCAGTCTCAGCTCACTGCAGCCTCCACCTCCTGGGTTCAAACGATTCAGGTGCCTTAGCCTCCCAAGAAGCTGGGATTACAGGTGCATAACAGCACGCCTAGCTAATTTTTGTATTTTTAGCAGAGATGGGGTTTCACCATGTTAGCCAGGCTGGTCTCGAACGCCTGACCTCAAGTGATCCACCCACCTCAGCCTCTCAAAAGTGCTGGGATTACAGGCAGGAGCCACTATGCCCAGCCAATTCCTCTGAATTTTATTCATTCACCAACAAAATGGGGATGTTGAACTCTACTTTTTAGAATTGCTGTGACGATTAAGAATACTATACATAAAGGTCGGGCGTGGAGGCAGGCGCCTGTAACCCCAGTTACTTGGGAGGCTAAGGCAGGAGAATTGCTGGAACCCTGGAGGCAGAGGTTGCAGTGAGCCGAGATTGTGCCACTGCACTTCAGCCTGGGCAACAAGAGCAAAACTCCATCTCAAAAAGAAAAAAAAAAAGAATACTATACATAAAACATCTGGCAAAAAGCAAGTGCTCAATCCATGGTAGCCTCTGTTATTATTGTACACTTTGCCGTAAGTGATCTAAGATAGGAGGTGAACTCTACGTAAGCATCTCACTGAAAGATGACCGTTTAACAGCATAAGAGGGATATTTTCCATAGGCCTGTAGATTCTACATATAGCAACAAAATTCTCTAGCAGCACTCTCCACCAATGGAATGTCAGTTTGAAAAACTTCAGTTTTAATAGATCCATAGAGCTCTCTTTTTTATTTTTACTTCTTGCTTTTTTGGTAGTGGCTCAGACCCCAGTATGATACTAGAAACATTGTACATACCTCAAAATAGTATGTAAATCTTGCCCTGAGAACAAAAGAATAATAACACTAGAACAACAGACGCAGCAGGGCACGTAAAATCAATTTGGTTCTACAGAATCTGACAAAAGCCGGAGCAAGAAAAAGAATTAAACCAGAGAATCAAGTAAGATTCCACAGGAATGTTAAAAGTAAAACTTATGACATCTAGCAGGGACATTCCGCCCTCTCCAGCACTGACTTGGCCCCAAGGAGCCTTAGGAGAAAATAAACTCAATTTGGAAATGCAGTGAATGTAACTCTGCTGGTTTTACTCAACAATAGTCTAAGGAATGGGGGCATGTCAGGAAGCAGAGGAAGGACAAAATCCCTCTAATGATCCTGCCCTTCCTCTGGGTTCCTCAGAGAAACAGAAATATTGCCATTTTCCCAGATATTCTGTGCCCTTCATCCTTTCCCTCCTCACCTCTCATGATCACACTGTGAAATTTATAGCAGCTGCTACACCACAATTTTCTGTGGCAGTGTCTTGTGCTATGACTCACGACTCCTGTTTATCAGTTTTGCCCTCAATGTTTCAAGTTCATGGCTCACTTCTGCTACTGACTTTAGTCAGCTCAAATCCTGAGAGTCACTATATCAGAATGAGAATAGGAGTTGCTACAACAAGGTCCAGAAAGCAAGGCTATATTGCTGGAGGCCATAAAACTAAGAACTCATGTTTAATTAATACAACTCAATGCATTCTGCCACCTCACTTAGAGAAGGCTTTAAAAAAAAAAGTTAGTCACAAATGTGGAATGATTTAGAGTTTAGATTCTATGTGGAATTCCAAAGGAGTAAGTGTTCCTTTGGCAGAAAACAAGAATCTGTATGCTTTATATAGGTAGTTATATAGGTAGCTATAAAATTTAGGAACTATATGTTCTCCCCCACTGCTTTAGAGTAACCTCTGGATTTTTCCCAAGGTAAGTTAATATAGTTTAATTCTCAATAAATTGTTCTCTGTGACTAGATCCTACCCAATAAAAGAAAACAGAAAACAATAGCAAAACACAAAAATCAGTATCAAATTAGCACTAACACAAAACTAAGATTTCTTGTTTTCCTTATAGATGTTATTTATGTTGACAAATTAGAATTTGATTGATTTTTATACTAGGCAACCTCAGGATGTCAGTTCCTTGTATTGCCTTGAGATGGTCTAGGACCAATAGCAAGCTCTTTTCCAAGAGATTGCTGGGTGGATAGGAAGGATCTGAGGGGCCTGAAGGAAGTGGAGGCCACCACACACACACACACATGCACGTGCACGCGTGTTTTCTTCCTTATATCCCAACTTTCTCAACATTGCAGTCTGGAACTTATTGGATTCCAGTGAATTAAGGGAAAACTTTTTAAAAGAAGGCATTTAAGCCCTTGCCACAATCACTCTGTCCCCGTGATCTCTATCTTTCCCTCCCTCCCAAGTTCCACTATATAAGGACTGGCACGGTGGCTCATGCCTGTAATCCCAGCACTTTGGGAGGCCGAGGCGGGCAGATCACAAGGTCAGGAGATCAAGGCCATCCTGGCTAACATGGTGAAATCCCATCTCTACTAAAAATACAAAAAATTAGCCAGGCATGGTGGCACACGCCTGTAGTTCCAGCTACTTGGGAGGCTGAGGCAGGAGAAGCGCTTGAACCTGGGAGGCGGAGGTTGGAGTGAGCCAAGATCACACCACTGTGCTCCAGCCTGGATGACAGAGGGAGACTCTGTCAAAAAAAAAAAAAAAAGAATCTGCTGCCTTGTTGTTGGACCTGTAGGTTTCCGGACCTAAGACTTCTTTTAACTAGACCTGTATTTCAGGTCTCATTCCTCTCCAAAACACTCACCATCCTTCTGCCTCCTTGCCCCACATACACACTTACATGCTATACAAGCATCTGGGTTGCTGTAACTGAGGTTTGTTGGGTCAGACAGCATAAGGGTAAAGAGTGGGGAGGGAGAGGGAAGAAGGCAGAAGTAGAAGAGGAAAGAGAAGAAGAGGGAAGGGGAAGAATATAGTATCCCCCCCAAATCACAGATTCCTTCTGTTCCTTAAAAGAGGATACATGATACATTTAAATAGCAGTTTAAAAACAAAAACAAAAACAAAACAAAAACCCTACATTTTCTAAATGTTTGCATTTACCATTTCCTGATTGTCCGTTATCACAAGGAGGTGTGAGTCTCTGGCTAGGCAGAATTCCAGACTAGAATTCCAGTCCTTTTCCTCCACTGAGAAATAATAACAATGGTTACCATATTTCATCCAGCGGTCTGGGCAGCTAGGACAGCTGGCACAAGTGGAGTAGTTGGAGCCTAGGAGAGAAGAGGACCTGGTTCACATCTTTATGGACCACTCAGTCTTGGAAATGAAATGGGAGATAAAATGGAATATGGCAGCCCTGGGTCTTCCCTGCTCCACCACTTTTCAGATTAAGGGTTAGAGAAATGTGTAACAATGCGTGGTGTCAATTTGAATACCTCATAATGTCCTCATAATGTCCAACTCCATCATCTACTAAGTATATATTCCACTACACAAGAATATGACTATAACTGAAGGAACAAAGAAGAAAGCATACAACAATCTGCCTGAAAACTCTGGAGCAAGTACTTGACTTGTGCTAGAGATCTCTGTGCACATGTAATATACACACACCAGATAACTGTGAATTCATATGATATGCATCTGTGTACTGTCTTTGCTCTGTGTATATATTGCATAATTGCATAATGTATATTGCTTAAATCAGGCAGAATCATTCAGAATGCCCAACTGAAAATGCCAAAAAGAAATTAGGAAAAGCAAACTTAACTAGAATGAAAGGTTTTGCTTTTTTATTATCACAGATGTAACTGTCCCTCACCATTGAAAACTGGAAAAAAACCCTTATACCTCAGCAAAAAGAACTTACTTTGATATTTTTCAAAAGGGTTTTCTGGCAGAGAAGCATAACAGGTGCTAAAGTGAAAAGTGATAGAATGCCCTAACCGAGCTCTTTTAAATACGGAAGATCCACATTCCTTTAAAATGGTTGGTTCATAGTTCTGTCAAGATGAAAGGGAACTGACCAGGCATGGTGGCTCACTCTTGTAATCCCAGCACTTTGGGAGGCCGAGGCAGGTGGCTCACATGAGGCCAGGAGTTCAAGATCAGTCTAGCCAACATGGTGAAACCTCATCTCTACTAAAAATACAAAAAAATCAGCTGGGCATGGTGGCACCCGCCTGTAATCCCAGCTACTTAGGAGCTGAGGCATGAGAATCACTTGAACCCAGGAGGCAGAGGTTGCAGTGAGCCAAGATCACACCACTGCACTCCTGCCTGGGCGACAGAGCAAGACACTGTCTCAAAAACAAACAATCAAAGATGAAAGGGAACTGAATATGCTTTCAAGGTAATTCCAACCAAGATTCCAAAATTCTATTGATTTTTCTACTTCAGTTTCAATACTTAAACATATGTGCATAAACTCGCCATAAGCACAATTCTACAGTGAGCAAGTATGAGCCATTATACTCCATGAGCACATGTGTAGATATATAATTGCAGAATAGAGTATATATCTACTCTAGATTTGGGAGTTACAAAGTGGGGAAAGTAGTATTTTTCATATAAATATTAGATAATTGTTCTCTAGGAAGTACTGGCATACAACCAATATAAGTTCTGGAGATCAAGCTGTTAAATTGGCACCTTATAGATTTTGCTTTTTCCATACAACTGTGACATTACTCAGCCTGGATTAGAAATTCCCAACTTCCCTAGGAGTTCCTTTTTGTCAAAGGTCGGACTTGGCTCTGAGGTAGAAGCCCTGGAGCTGAACTCTTAGAATCCTAATAAATCGGCAGAGCGCAATGGCTCACACCTGTAATCCCAGCACTTGGGGAGGCCAAGGCGGGCAGATCACAAGGTCAGGAGTTCGAGACCAGCCTGGCCAACATAGTGAAACCCCGTCTCTAATAAAAATACAAAAAATTAGCTGGGCGTGGTGGCAGGTGCCTGTAATCCCAGCTACTCGGGAGGCTGAGGCATGAGAATCGCTTGAACCTGGGAGGCAGAGGTTGCAGTGAGCCGAGATCACGCCATTGCACTCCAGCCCAAACAACATTGCGAGATTCTGTCTCAAAATTTTTAAAAAAATTTAAAAAAGAACCCTAATAAATCACTTCTGTGTAATCGGTCACTATCATCCCCTAAAAATATAAACCTAAGCTAGGACTCTAGACTGTAAAACAACAAACTGAGAGTCCTCTAGATCACCAGATTTAAGGTCCTAGAAGAACTAAACTTAAAAATTAGTTTTAGAAAATGTGAAAGCACCTGAATGGCAAAAAAAAAAAAAAAAAAAATTCAGAATGTTTCATTACATTATGATATATCTATTATGTGAAAAGTTAAACATCATTAATATTATAATTCAATCATCCCAATAAATATGGCAGTAAGGAAATGTTTCTGGCAACATAAAATTAAAAAGCAATATACAAAATTATGAGCATACTACGATAAGAACTATTCTCAGCCTTGCATTAAAAGAAAGAAAGGTGGGAGAAATTTTAAGAGGACTTGACTGCAGTTCTATTAAGAAAATATGGTCAGGTGCAGTGGCTCACACCTATAATCCCAGCACTTTGGGAGGCCAAGAAGGGCAAATGGCTTGAGCCCAGGAGTTTGAGATCAGCCTGGGCAACATGGTGAAATGTCTTTACAAAAAAAAAAAAATAATAATAATAATACAAAAATTAGCCAGGCATGGTGGTATGTGCCTGTGGTCCCAGCTACTCGAGAGGCTGAGGTGGATCACTTGAGCCTAAGGAGGTCAAGGCTGCAGTGAGCTGTGACTGTACAGTGGCACAGGATCCGCTGGTATAGCAGCACACAAATCTATCACCTACAGCCTGGCTGATTGAGGGAGACCCTGTCTCAAAAAACAAAAAGAAAAAAGAAAATACAAGCTTACACAAGTGCACATGGTCAAAGGCTATACCCAGGAAATAGCTGTATACAGATGGAGAGTTATTTTGTTTGAATTATTTTTTGATTTTTCAAAGCTTCTGCTATGTTATATTGCTTTTATAATATAAAATGAAAGATTAATTTTGGTTTAAGTTTGCACTTACCCTGGCACAGGATCCACTGGTATAGCAGCACACTCAGAAGAACTGCAGTCAGAAGCCCCAAAGCTATTGCCACAAGGCAAGAACAAGAAGGCCTGGAAGAGGAAGCTGCAACAACAGAGTCAAAGCACAATCCTGAGTCAGATGACAGGTTGAAAGAAAAGAGAAAGTCAGGGAAGGATATCGCATCTTAAAGCAATTTGGCCTAGTGGGAACTGAGATCCAGGCCATAAAGATTCCTTTTCTAGATGTGTCAGGAACTTGCTCTAAAGTCTAAGGTAACCACCAACACCTGTATCAAAGAACTTACTATATTTATCAAGATAAAGAATGCTTTTTTCCTTTGAAACTGTGACTTACACTGTCTCATACTTAGGTGGTGAGAATACAAATTGGTACCTCTTTGGAGGACAATTGGGCAATATCTACCAAAACGGCAAAGGCATGTACCCTTTGACCTAGAAATTTCTCCTTAAGAAATTTTTCCTACAGATACTCGCGGGTGCAAAATGTCATATTTATTCGTGGCAGCAATATTTGTAGGAGGAGAAGACTGAATACAATCTACATTCTATCAGTAAAAGGCCAGTCAAATACATTTTTGATATATCCATAAAGTGAATATATAGCTTCTAATAAAAACTGGCTTTTTTTTTAACTGATATGGAATATTTTGTAAGATATATAGTCAAGACAAAGAAACATTCTGCAGAACAGGATATACAAATATCTCTGCAAGCACACTCAAGAATCTGATAACATTGTTTGCCTCTGGAATGGAAAAAACAGTCACTGGAGACAAAATAGGAAAAAGACTTTTTACCCTATTTTCTTTTGTACCTTTTGAATTTTGAACCATGTAAACATATTATCTACTCGAAATTGAAATACATAAAATTTAAATAAAAATAATCTACATTTCAGAAGTGCTTTGTAAACTGTCGTTATTAAAAGAGCAGTAAGTTTAAGTTGATGCCAAGTTTAAGAATAGGACACTACTTCATGTTAGCTGTGTTGCATACAACCGAAATCTAAATTTTAAATTTGAAAAATGGAAGTATTTTCAGCAAATCTTTATTTTAAAATCAAAGGTATCTCATAGTGCAATAGTGTAGAAATTACGTGTAACGAGCAAAACTCTGTGAAGTAAGATGATATTTAACTTCTAATTTTGATTCCTTTGCTTAATAACATTTAATTAGGAAATTAAACTTGCCTATTTGGGCTTCAATTTTCTGATTAAATTTTAGATAAATTATTCTATATATGTGTGTATCTATGGAGTATTCTGAACTTCTTAAAGAAAAAAATTCATAATGAGAGATGCCTTCATAAATAGAGAATTCTGCATAATAAATATTTGGACTGATGAATCCAAAAGCATTAAGATTTCTAGAAAAACTTTTAAAAATACATTTGCATCACAGGAGAACATTTAATGAAATACACAAATGTTCATTTTTATGTTATGCTAAATTTTAAAAAGGTATCAAACCATAATTGAATTTGTGTAACCACAAGCCAATTCAAGAAGTAAAGTAAATTTTTAAAATTTACTTTAAGTATATATTGAAAGCCTCTAAATAGTTCCAACTAGGTTCCAATTTATCACCAGTTGTGTGTGTGACCTTGAACATATACTTTGAGATATGCATTACTTCTAACGTAATATTTCTATTCCTTAGAAATTAACATAGATACAATTCAAAAATAGGAAAAGGTTACACAAATAAAGATATCCAATGCTATATAATTTATGGTAATAGAAATAGGTCTAAATATCCCAAGTATACTAGAATGATTTAGCAAATTAAGGCAACACTCTCAAAAGACATTAAAAATTATAATAGTAAAACTATGTAGTAAAAAGAGAGAAAGCTTAGGGAACTACCCTAAAGAATACACCTTGTGGGAGTTCACTGCCTACGATACAAAATCAAGGATTAATTTTGGCATTTACACTATTACCTGTCTGTCTCAGATAATATTCTCTCAGGGCTCTATGTAAAAATGGCTCTTTTGCCTTCAAATCCTCAGTCACAGAGACTATTATCTGTAGTTTCTTGATACTTTTTCTTCCCTGTCACCATTCTAGTGCAACACTGTGAAGTTAAAAAAAAAAAACAAAACTAGATATGTAAATCAGTTTCTTTCCTGACAAAAATCTTACTCGTATCCACCAGCAAAACTATTGGTGTCCTCCTCATTCCATAGTCAGAAAAACAGCCATACCTAGAATTTAAACAGCTGGTCCAAGGTTACTCCGAATATAACTAAAGAGATAAAATTCTCCCAACAAAGTTCCCGCTTTAGCTAAGAGCAAGAAGGAATAACGGCAATGCCCTAAGTTGGGTTTCTAAGATGCGATCAAAGAAGTGAACAGTTAGAAAAGAGTTTACCTGAGACCTAAGATCAGATCCTGTACCATACACCAACTTTTCATATTCCAACTCTGGACTTTAAACTGAACCAAAAGTATTTCCTCAAATTATCCTCAATTCTTCTGCACCCTCTGCTTTAAACTTATTCTACTCCCCATTCATCCATAGCCTACTGTTGCTATGCATCGTCTTCCATGCTACCTTGGTTAACTCACATTTTTGCTGTGGTCCATAGTCATTCTGGGCTTGGGTTGCCGTAGGCAACTCTAACATGGAATAAATAACACTGTCAGTCATCTTCAGCTAAGATCTTTCACATGCAGTTGAGAGAGTTAAATTATAGAAGTGTGAAGGGATATGTATCAGTGAGGAAACAGCCCAATCTCTAAACTGCTAGCAGGAAACTTCACAAAAGCAGAAGTAATTTTTCAGGAAATGATTCAAATTTGGG
Source organism: Homo sapiens (assembly GCF_000001405.40). Lineage (NCBI taxonomy): Eukaryota > Metazoa > Chordata > Mammalia > Primates > Hominidae > Homo > Homo sapiens. The sequence goes on along the minus strand of NC_000012.12, from coordinate 8,989,481 downwards.
GGCTGCCTATAGAAATTAATATTGTAAGTTGCTATTTTTTTGCCCCATGACACTGTAGATGCTCACTAAATATATATTAAATTGATTCCCCATCTCACCTAATTCTGTTGAGCAAGGAAAAATTGCTCTCAAGTCCAGCAATTTCAGTTATGGAAACTAAAATAAAAGTGAGAGTGGTTACTAGCTATGAATTTCTCTCGGAATTTTTTCTCTGCTTTGTTTCCTTCTGAAAAAGTAGATGTATGCCAAATGAGACTGACTTCATCATTTCTTGGAACTTTTGGGCAGTGATAAGCAATAACGAAATGGACTGTTGGGTGCATATGCCTGGAATCACGGGAGAAATAGACTATTACCCAGATATATTTTGTGAATATGACATGACCACATCTTCCCCAAAACCTTGTCCAAATTGTGTGATGGTCTTTACCCTTCACAGTATCAGAAATTCCATTATATTTTTTCTCTTTGTTGTCTTATTTTTTTTATTATTATACTTCATGCAAAGATAACTAAAAAGAAGAGCAAAGTAAACAAATACATTCTAACATCTTAGTAATTTGTTTTTAGTAGGTGAAAAGTTAATAAAAAGTTAGAGTAGGCCAGGTGTGGTGGCTCACGCCTGTAATCCCAGCACTTTGGGAGGCCAAGGAGGGTGGATCACCTGAGGTCAGGAATTCAAGACCAGCCTGGCCAACATGGTGAAACCCCGTCTCTACTAAAAATACAAAAAAATTAGCTGGGTGTGGTGGTGGGGGCTGTAATCTCAGCTGCTCAGGAGGCTGAGGCAGGAGAATGGCTTGAAACCGGGAGGCGGAGGTTGCAGCGAGCCGAGACTGCACCATTGTACTCTATCTAGCCTGGGCAACAAGAGTGAAACTCCGTCTAAAAAAAACAAAAGTTAAAGTAAGGAAACAGAAAGAGTATTGAAACTCTTAAGAGTGGATAAGATCATCAAGATAGACTGCATAAGGATAAAAGAAGAGAAACAGGGAGTGCTTTATATTAATTTGTTTTATATTAATAAAAACAAATATATTTCTGCTTCCAGCCATGACAGAATGGCATTAGACTTACTCTCCAATCAAAATACAACACATGGCAAGACACACAAGGCAGCTATTTTCAGGAACACACAGGCAGCATTGTGATCCTTGAGAGAATACAAAGGTGAGTGCAATGATCACCCTAGCTTTCTATCTAGGACCACTTTCTAGTACAGAGCACAAAAATGAATCCTAAACAGAACAGCAGTCTTACTAAAATGAGGAGGCAGATATTGGAGTTTTGAGCTGCTTAAATGGCTGGAATTTGCAGGGCAGGATAATTCACAAGAGAGAGGCACCCTTAAGACTGTAGGAATTCACTGTATGTCTGTGGCCAAGTTCTAGGCTGCGCAGACATAGGACAAAACTCTGCAAGTCCAAGCTGAGATAGTTCCTGCAGGGCCAAGAGCTGAACAGAAAGGACAGAGGTGATGCATTGCTTAGTAGCACCAACCAAAAACAGAGCAAAACTTAACATTGCCAAAAAGAGTCATCAATAGTTTAGCTGCCTCTGAGAACAAATTTTCACGCCCTTAATATGAAGGCAAAACAAACAAAATGTGGTCTACACATACAATGGAATATTAGTCTTAGAAAGGAAATCCTGTCATACTTTATAACACTGATGAACCTTGAAAACATTATACTAAGTGAAATGAACTGATCACAAAATGACAAATACTGTGTGATTCCACTTATATGAGGAATCTAAAGTAGTCAAACCCATAGACAAAGAAAGAAGAATGGTTACTGAAAGAAGTTTGGAGGGAAAAAGAAAAGGAAGTTGCTTAATGGGTACAGGGTTTCAGTTTTGCAGTGTGATTAAGTTCTGGAGATACGGTACACAACAATGTGAATATTCTTGTATTCACTTGCTTGGACTATCACAACAAAATACCATAGACTAGGTGACTTAAACAACAGAAATTTATTTATATTTTCATCATTCCACAGACTGAAAGTCTAAGATCAAGATGCCAGCAGAGTTGGTGTTTGGAGAGTGCTTCCCCTGTGGGTTGCAGACTTCTCACTATATCCTCAAGTGGCTTTTCCTCAGTGTGTGCACAAGGGAAGAAAGAGAGAGGGCTCTGGTCTCTCTTCTTACAAGAACATTAATCCTATCAGATCAGGGCCCCACCCTTGTAACCTGATTTAACCTTAATTACTTCCTTAAACACTCCATCTCCAAATACAGTCACACTGAGGATTAGGGCTTCAATATGTGAATCTGGGGGAGACAAACATTCAGTCCATAATAATACTTAACACTACTGAATTGTATGCTTTAAAATAATTAAGATCATTTTTTAAAAAAAGGAAGGTGTATTAGTCCATTCTTGCACTGCTATAAAGAAATACCTGAGGCCAAATAATTGATAAAGAAAAGAGGTTTAATTGGCTCACAGTTCTGCAAGATGTACAGGAAGCATAGTGGCATCTGCTTCTGGGCAGGCCTCAGGAAACTTAGTCATGGTGGAAGGCAAAGGGAAATGTCTTACATGGCCAGAGCAGGAGCAAGAGAGACGCGGGGAGGTGTTACACACTTTTAAACAACCAGGTCTTGTGAGGAACTCTATCAGGAGAACAGCTCTAGGGGTATGGTACTAAACCATTCATGAAAAACCATCCGCGTGATCCAATCACCTCCCACCAGGCCCCATCTCCAACACTGGAGATTACAATTCAACGTCAGATTTGGGTGGGGATGCAGATCCAAACCACATCAGAAGGCAACATAGGAATCAGGGGCTCTTTGAAGAAATGGCTAATTCTAGGGCCAGGACAGGGAAAGTACAAAATAAGCTTGGAGGATCTTCCAGTCTTTTAATGTTAAAAAATAAGCAAGTTAAAAAAAAAAAGATGGGAGCATATCAGGACACAGAAACCAACCTGGAAAAGCTCCCAATGGAACAATATGAACAACAAAATAAATGACAGTGTTGAATTATAACACAAGGGGAAAAACTATATAAATCCATACTGATTTAAATAAATAAATAGGTGAGAAGTGACAAATCTTGCTTACAGAAAATACCAAATAATATATGTAGATACTCCCCATTCAGGATGTGGAATTTAACTCTCCTCCCTTTGAGGGTAGTCAGGGATAAGAGACTCACTTCCAAAGAGTACACTATGGATAAAAGGAAATAGTAACTATTCATTAAAGAATCTTGGCAAATACCACCTCAACCACATGAACAGGGTTCACTGCGTGAACCACCAGTGATGAGTCTTGTTGATATCATGTACCCCCTAATATGATGCAATGATAAAAGCACCTAACCAGTAAGGTTTGTTCCCCAAAATCCATAACCCCAGGGTGGTATTATACATATGTATATATTGGTTTTCATCCACAGTTTCTGGCTCCTAACTCCTATGGTCCCTGTTACAGTCCTTTCTTATAATGTTGAGTGTGTCAGGCCCCAAGGGGAAGGCCTCTGGCCTTCTTCTGCCCTCCTTTCATCTGCCTCAAGGCAGGACTCTAATTTTCCCCTGCCTTTCTGATTGTGGGTCTTAAAACCTTCCCCAGAGAGGGTCCTGCCCTTTACTGGGGTGACAAGGGGAGGGGGTCAGCAGCAAGAATGCTGATGTCCTGAAGCTTCCATAAAAACCCAAGAGAACTGTGTCAGAATGCTTCCAGATGACTGAACCTGTGGAGATTCCTGGAGAGCAGCCTTCCCAGAGAGGGCATGGAAGCTCCACACCCCTTTCCCCATACCCTGCCCTACAGTTCTCTTCATCTGTATCTTTTGTAATATACTTTATAATAAACTGATAAACATAAGGGTTTCCCTGAGTTCTGTGAGCTGCTCCAGCAAATTAACTGAACTCAAAGGGGAAGTTGTGGAAATCCCAACTTGAAGCTTATTGGTCAGATGTTCCAGAGGCCCAGACTTGTGACTGGTGTCTGTGGGTGTAGGGGGTGATCTTGCATATTGAATCCCTGAAATGTAAGATCTAACACTATCTCCAGGTAGATAATGTCGGAATTGAATTAGAGGATACCCAGTTGGTGTCTGCTAATTGGTATGTGGGGAACACCCCTACCACATTTGGTCACACAAGTCTTCTTCTGTGTTGATAATTGTGGTAGTGCTGGTGTGAAAGCAGAAGAAAAACACAGCTGAAGAAAGTTTTCCCCTACACATCCAATGTAAACATGCAAAAAAAAAATCAGATAATTCTAAATTGAGTGGTACTCTACTAAATATCTGACCAATACTCTTAAAATATATCAAGTTCACGAAAAAAAAAAAACACTGAGAAACTGTCATAGACCAGAGGAAAACAATAAATATAACAACTAGATGTAATGTGGTATCCTGGATTGGATCTTGGAACAGCAAAAAGAGCATTAGTGGAAAACTGGTAAAATTCAAACAATGTAGCAATATTCATTTCTTACATTTGAGAAATGTGCCATGATTTTTTAAGATGCTAACATTAGGGGAAATGGGGTGAAAGGTATAAAGAAATGTTCTGTGCTATCTTAAAAACATTTCTGTAAATCTGAAATTATTCCCCAATAAAACTTTTCTTCAAAAAAGAGGATACATAACACAGATTAGCCATAATGCATCACATTTAATATCTAGCATACAATAAAATATTATTAGAATCCAAAGAAATAAGAATATATGGGCCATGGATCAAAGAAAAGTCAGTAAGTAGAAAAGAAACTTATGTAACATAGATGCTGGAACTAGCAAACAAGGACTTTAATATCTGCATAAATACGTTCAAAGACTTAGAAGAAAATATAGTCATAATGAATAAAAATTTGAAGAATCTCAGAGAAGTAGAAACTACCAAAAAGAATCAAGTGACTATTCCAGAACAGAACAGCATTCATAATTTTTAAAAATAACTGAATGAGGGCCAGGCACGGTGGCTCACAGCTGTAATCCAGCATTTTGGGAGGCGGGGGCAGGTGGATAATTTGAGGTCAGGAGTTCAAGACCAGCCTGGCCAACATGGTGAAACCCTGTCTCTACTAAAAACATAAAATATTAGCCTGGCCAACATGGTGAAACCCTGTCTCTACTAAAAATATAAAACATTAGCCTGGCCTGGCGGCACATGCCTATAGTCCCAGCTGCTCAGGAGGCTGAGGCAGGAGAATCACTTGAACCCAGGAGGCAGAGGTTGCAGTGAACTGAGATTGCACTACGGCACTCCAGCCTAGGTGACAGAGCGAGACTCCATCTCAATAATAATAATAATAATAGCTGAATGAGATTAATAGCAAATAGAAGAGGGCAGATAAAAAGGTCAGTAAACATGAAGACAGATTGCTAAAAATAATCCAATATGAAGAATAGAGGGAAAAAATGGGAGAAAAAAATGAACAGAACCTCAGTGACCTATGAACAATGCCAAATAGTATAACAAAAGTGAAACTGTAGTCCCCCAAAATAAAGGGGACATATAATGAAATCGGAAAGGAATTTGAAAAAGTAATGATCAAATATTCCCCAAATTTGGGATACAACCTACAGGTATAAGAAACTCACTGAATCCGCATCAAGATAAACAGAAGGAAAATCACTCCTAAGAACATAATCTAAAACTAATAAAAACCAAAGATAAAAAGAAAATACTGAAAACAGCCAGAGGAAAATAAATAACACATTAATAATGGGAAACAACACATGAATGATAGCTAAATTCTCAACAGAAACAAAAAAGGAGAAAAGCAATGAGATGTCATCTTTAAAATGGTAAAATGGGCCAGGCACGGCGGTTCACGGCTGTAATCCCACCACTTTAGGAGACCAAGGCACATGGATCACCTGAGCTCACCAGTTCGAGACCAGCCTGGCCAACATGGTGAAACCCCGTCTCTACTAAAAATACAAAAATTAGCTAGGTGTGGTGGCAGGCGCCTGTAATCTCAGGTACTCTGGAGGCTGAAGCAGGAGAATCGCTTGAACCCAGGAGGCCGAGGTTGCAGTGAGCTGAGATTGCACCATTACACTCCAGCCTGGGCAACAAGAGCGAAACTCTGTCTCAAAAAAAAAAAAAAAAAAAAAAGGTAAAATGGTAAGACTGCCAATACAGAATTCTATATCCAGAAAAAGTATCCAATAGAAATGAAGAGGAAGTAAAAATATTTTCAGAGCAGAGAAAATAGCAAATTTGTCATGAGCAGTCCAGCACTACAAGAAATGCTAAAAGAAGTTCTTAGAAAATAAGTATCACTAGATAAAAACATAGATATACAGAAAACATTGAAGAGCAACAGAAATGGTAAATATATAAGTACATATAAAGAATTATATTTATTTTCTTTTCCCATCTTAATTTCTTTAAAAAAAACAGAAAGTAAAACAGATAAGGCAAATCATTTTAAAAAACAGCAAAATGATAAAGCCAGTCTTATCAATAATTGAATTCATCATAAATGGACTGCTGCACCAAATAAATGGCACAAATTGTAAGACTAGAAGAAAAAGCAAGAACCAAAAAGATATTGTCTGTTCTGGCTAGGCATGGTGGCTCACACCTGTAATCCCAGAACTTTGGGAGGCTGAGGCGGGCAAATCACCTGAGGTCATGAGTTCAAGGCCAGCCTGGCCAACATGGTGAAACGCTATCTCTACTAAAAATACAAAAAATAGCCAGGCGTGGTGGCAGGTGCCTGTAATCCCAGCTGTTTGGGAGGCTGAGGCAGGAGAATTGCTTGAACCCAAAAGGTGGAGGTTGCAGTGAGCCAAGATCGCACCATTGCACTCCAGCCTGGACAACAAGAATGAAACTCCATCTCAAAAAAAAAAAAAAAAAAGATATTGTCTGTTCTGGCTGTAAGATATGCACTTTAAATATAATGACAGATTAAAAGAAAGGTATACAAATATATACAATGTGCAAACCAATATACACATTACAGTAAGCACCTGGAGTGGTGTGTTAGTTTCTTATCACTGCTGTAACACATAACCTAACACAAACTTAGTGACTTAACATAACATATATTTATTTTCTTAAAGTTTTGTAGGTCAGAAGTCCAAAATCAAGGTTTTGGCAGAACTGATTTCCTTCTGGGAAAGTCAAGGAAATGTTCTCCTCTAAAGCCTCCAGAAGGAAATCAGTTTTGCCAAATTTCAAATTTCTTGGCTTGTGGATTCTTCTGCCACCTTTGAAGTATATAATTCCAACCTCTGCTTTTATTGTTACAACTCTGTTTTCTGACTTTGACTCTACTGCTTCCCTCTTATAAGGACTCTCATAATTACCTTGAACCCACGTGAACAAACCAGCATGATCTCTCCATCTCAAGATTATTAGCTTAATCCTATCTACAAAGTATCTGTCATATAAGGTAACATAATTATAGGCTGAAGGGATTAGGGTGTTAACATATTTGAGGTGGGGAGAGACATTATTCAGCCTTCCACAAGTGGTCATACTAATATAAGACAAAAATAGGTGAGTATAAAGAGGTACATTTCATAATTACATGAGTTACTGATTGCATCAAGCATATATAACAACTATAAATAAGTATGCACCTAATTTTGAGCTTCAAAACATATGAACAGAAGCAAAAGCTGAGTTAAAGAAAAATAAACATCAATAATCATAGTTGGATATTTTAAAAACCTTTTCTCAGTAACTGATAAAACTATTAAACAAAATTCAGTAATAATATAAAAAACCTCAACACCACCATCAACCACCTTGACCAAATTAAATTAACCCAACAAAATGACATTCACCAATTAAAGAATACACGTTTTTAGGTGTAAATAAAATGTTCGCAAAGATATATTACATACTCAGCCATAATATAATACATTACAAAATATTAAAATCTTACAGATATATTTTATAACCACAGTGAAATCAATAACAAGAAAAAATCGACATAATTCCTAAATATTCGGAAATTAAAATACCCACTTTGAAGAATAACCCATGGGTAAAAGAAAAAAATAATTTTAAACGTTAAAATATTTTAAATTAAATGATTATGAAAATAGAATACAAAAATATATAGAACACAGCTAAAACAGTCTTACAGCAAATACTGTAGTTTTAAATGAATGGAAAAGAAAAAAATTAATAAATAATCCAAGTTTATAATTTATGAGGGTTAAAAAAAGAAGAGTAAATTAAAACCAATGTAAGTAGAAGAAAAGACAGAATTTTAAAATGGAAAATTAATAAAATCATGAAACAAAGACTAGAAAAATTAACAAAGCCAAAATTTGGTTCTTTGACAAGATTAAGACTGATAAACTTCTAATAAGATTGAGCAAGAGGACTAACACAGCAAGAGAGCAGACTAGGATGTACCAGTCCTTATATATCCACAAAAACAACAATTTAGCAATTATCCACAGATGAAAATAGCTCTGGGAGAGTTCTGGAGTGCAATTAAAAAGCTGCTGCAACTCAGTGAAACAGAAAAACTGAGGATGGTCATGCAGAAAAGTGTAGAAAGCATTTTACCTGTGTAACCCCATTCCCCAGGCTGGCAAAGCTCAAAGACAAGAGGAATACCATCAGCTGTGACTTCCTCACAAGGTGAAAAGGAGAGCAGGAAAACCCATGCAACCTGTGCCACTCAGGACTCTAGCAGCCATCCCCACTGCCACAAATACCCACAGCCTTAACTGCCAAGGACCCCCACAGTCTTCAAGAATGCTGACACCAGCCGATGGAGCTGCCCAGAACTCACACTGCTGCACCCCCTCCAAAGCTAGAGCCTCAGCCACACCCTCTGGAACCAGGATGAATGCTGCTTATTTACCCCAAGCCCAGCATTGCATGTGTGCACTCACCTATCAGACCCAATGCCATGACACACCCTTTAGAACTAGTGCCCATATGTGCCCCACAAGTCTCCAGTCCCATGCTGACCCAGTGCACCATGCACCTCACCCAGCCACTACCCTTGCAGGCAGTAAGAGGTGACTGCTGTTTCAAACGCATTGACACCACTGCAAGCCTATAAGGAACATAAAAAATTAAGAAAATATGACATCACCAAAAAACGCAATAGATTTCCAGTAACCAAACCCAAAGAAATGGAGATCTATGAATTGCCCGACAAAGAATTCAAAGTTAAAGTGTTTTAAAGAGGCTCAGTAAGCTAAAGATAACATAGATTGACAACTCAGTGATATCAGAAACAATATATTAACAAAACTAGAAGTTCAACAGAGAGATAGAAATCATTAAAAAACAAAAAAACAAAAAAAACAGGGCCAGGCATGGTGACTCACACCTGTAATCCCAGTAATCCCAGTAATCCCAGCACTTTGAGAGGCTGAGGTGGGCAGATCACCTGAGGTAAGGAATTTGAGACCAGCCTGGCTAACATGGTGAAACCCTGTCTCTACTAAAAATACAAAAATTAGCCAGGCATGGTGGCAGGCCCCTGTAATCCCAGCCACTTGGGAGGCTGAGGCAGGACAATCACTTAAACCTGGGAGGCAGAGGTTGCAGTGAGCCATGATCGCACTACTGCACTCCAGCCTGGGCAACAGAGCAAAACTCCAACTCAAACAAAAAACAAAAACAAAAAAAGCAGAAATTATAGAGCTGAAGAATACATGAGTAAAATAAAAAATACAATACAGAGCTTCAACAGCAGACTTGATCAAAAGAAGAAAGATTCAGCAACCTCAAACACAGGTTATTTGAAATTATCCAGTCAGAGGAGAAAAAAAAAGAATGAAAAAGAAAACCTCCAGGATTTGGGAGACATGAATGTGCAAGCCAATATACACATTATAGAAGTCCCACAAGGAGAATAGAGAAAGAAGCAGAAAACATATGTAACAAAGTAATAATTGAAAACTATCCAAATTGAGGGAAGAACATAGACATCCAGATTCAGGAATCCTAAAAGATTCCAAGTAGGTTAAACATAAAGAAGTCTACACCTAGACACATTATAATTAAATTGTTAAAGGTAAGACAAAGAGAATTTTTAAAGTAGCACAATAAAAATGACTCATCACATATAAGACTATCAGTAGATTTCTCAGCAGAAACCTTATATGCCAGGAGGATGGGATGATATATTCAAAGCACTGAAAGAGAAAACAGCTAAACCAAGAATACTATACTTGGAAAAATTATCTTTTAAAAATGAAGGACAGGCCAGGTGCAGTGTCTCACACCTGTAATCCCAGCATTTTGGGAGACTGAGGCAGATGGATCACCTGAGGTCAGGAGTTCAAGGCCAGCCTGGCCAACATGGTGAAACACTGTCTCTACTAAAAATACAAAGAAAATTAACCAGGCATGGTGATGGGCATCTGTAATCCCAGCTACTCAGGAGGCTGAGGCAGGAGAATTGCTTGAATCCAGGAGGCACAGGCTGCAGTGAGCTGACATTGCACCATTGCACTCCAGTCTGGGTGACAGAGCAAGATATGTCTAAAAAAAAAAAAAAAAGACAGGCCAGGTGAAGTGGCTCACACCTGTAATTCCAGCACTTTGGGAGGCTGAAGCAGGTGGATCACTTGAGGTCAGGAGTTCAAGACCAGCCTGGTCAACATGGTGAAACCCTGTCTTTCCTAAAACTACAAAAATTAGCCTGGTGCAGTGGCACATACCTGTAGCCCCAGGTACTCAGGAGGCTGAGGTGGGAGGATCATTTGAGCCCAGGAGGCAGAGGTTGCAGTGAGGCAGGAATGTGCCACTGCACTCCAGCCTGGGTGACAGAGTGAGACTCCAAAAAAAAAGAAAGAAAGAAAGAAGAGAGAGAGAGAAAAGAAAGAAAAAGAAAGAAAGAAAGAAAGAAAGAAAGAAAGAAAGAAAGAAAGAAAGAAAAGAAAGAAAAAGAAAAAGAAAGACTGTCACATGTAAGACTATCAGTAGGTTTCTCAGCCTAAACCTCACAGACCAAGAGAAAGGGATAAAATATTCAAAGTACTGAAAGAGAAAACAGCCAACCAAGATATACCTAGAAAAATTATTGTTTAAAAATGAAGGACAGGCTAGGTGCAGTGGTTCATGTCTGTAATTCCAGGACTTTGGGAGACCAAGGCAGTAGGATTATTTGAATCCCACATCTGGGCAACATAGTGAGAATTCATCTATACTAAAAATGTAAAAATTATAACATTTTCAAAAATTTTTAATGAAGGACAAATTACTTTTTTCTGGATAAACAAAACTTGAGGGAGTTTATCACCACTAGACCTGCCTTACAAGAGATGCTCAAGGAAGTCCTTCAAGTTGAAACATGCTAAACAGCAATGTGAAGTATGCTAACTAGCAATGTGAAAGCCTAAATCTCCTGGTGAAGGTATATAGACAAACACAGAATCATATGACACTGTAATAGTGGTACATATAGTTTTAATCCTAACATAAAAGTTAAAAAAAATAAAGATTTGTTAACCAATGCACACTATGAAAAGAATGAAACTCTTAATGCAAAAATTAGCCAGGCATGGTGGTGCACACCTGTAATCCCAGCTACTCAGGTGGCTGAGGCAGGAGAATCGCTTGAACCCAGGAGGCAGAGGCTGCAGTGAGCTGAGATGGGGCTACTGCACTCCAGCCTGGGCAACAAAGTGAGACCCTGTCTCAAAAGAATGAGATTGAAACAATACAGAAACACAAAATTCAGGCAGAGGAAGCAACACTGTACAGATTTGTATGCAATTAAATTATCAACTCAAAATAGATTATTTTAACAACAAGTTATTTTATTCAAGACTCAAAGTAACCACTAAGTGTTACAGAAAAGAATCAAAGCAATTCACTATAAAAATCATCAAATAAAAAAAAGGAAGACAGCAAGAGAGGAAGAGAAGAACAAAAGAACTATAAAACAAAAAACAACAAAATGGCAATAGTAAGTCCTCACTTACCAAGAGTTACTTTAAATGTAAATAAAATCCCCAATCAAAAGGCATACAGGCTGATTAGATTTTAAAACTCAAGATCTAGGCCAGGTGTGGTGGCTCATGCCTGTAATCCCAGCACTTTGGGAGGCCAAGGCGGGCAGATCACAAGGTCAGGAGATCGAGACCATCCTGGCTAACATGGTGAAACCCTGTCTCTACTACAAATAAAAAAAAAAAAAAAAAAATTAGCCAGGCATGGTGGTGGGCACCTGTAGTCCCAGCTAATCAGGAGGCTGAGGCAGGAATATGGCCAGAACCCAGGAGGCGGAGCTTGCAGTGAGCCGAGATCACGCCACTGCACTCCAGCCTGGGCGGCAGAGCCAGACTCCGTCTCAAAAAAAAAAAAAATCAGTAGCTAGTGATGCAATGTCTACAAGAAACTCACTTTAGACTTAAGAACAGACATAGACTGAAGTGAAGGGATAGAAAAAGATATTCCATGCAAAAAGTAACCAAAAGAGAGCAGAAATGGCTATACTTACATGAGAAAAAAAGTAAACTTTGAGGATGGGTGCAGTGGCTCTTGCCTGTAATCCCAGCACTTTGGGAGGCCCAGGCGGGTAGATCATCTGAGGTCAGGCGTTCAAGACCAGCCTGACCAACATGGTGAAACCCCGTTTCTACTAAAAAAAATACAAAAAATTAGCCAGGCGTGGTAGTACATGTCTACAATCCCAGCTACTTAGGAGGCTGAGGCAGGAAAATCACTTGAACCCATAAGGTGGAGGTTGCAGCGAGCCAAAATGCACGCCATTGCACTCCAGCCTGGGCAACAAGAGCAAAACTCTGTCTCAAAAAAAAAAGTAAACTTTGAGTCAAAAACATCCTCTAAAGAAAAAAGGTAATTTTATATTGATAAAAAGGTCAATTCAATAGGAATACATAACAATTACAAATACATATGCACTCAGTGTCAGAGAATCTAATATATAAAACAAATATTGACAGATTTGAAGGGAGAAATTGACAGCAATACAATAAATTAGTAGACCTCACTACCCCCACTTTCAGTAATGAATAGAACATATGGACAAAAAATCAATTAAAAAAGCAGCTGATTGGAACAACATGATAGACCAAATAGACCCAACAGATATATACAGAAATTTTCACCCAACAACAGAAAAATATTCTTTTCAAGAGCACAGAGAACATTCTCCAGGATAGATCACATGTCAGGTCACAAAACAAGTTGTAACAAACATAAGAAGATACAAATCATTCCAAATATCTATCTCTTTCAATTACAATGGAATGAAATAAAAATCAATAACTAATAAAATGAGAAGATCCACATTTACATAGAAACTAAAAAATATATTCTTGAACAACCACTGGGTAAAAGAAGAAATCACATGGAAATTTTAAAACTATCTGCAAACAAAAATGATAACACAAAATACCAAAACTTATGGGATGCAGTAAAAGCAATACTAAGAGGAACCTTTAGAGCAATAAACATCTACATTCAAAAAGAAAATCTCGAATAAACAATCTAACTTCACACCTCAAAAAACTAGAAAAAGAAAAACAAATTAAGCCAAATGGTAGCAAAAGGAAGGAAATAATAAAGATTAGAGCAAAAATAAATCAAATAAAGAAAAGAAAACAATAGAAGAAAATTGACAAAACCAAGAGTTTATTTTTTGAAAAGATAAAAATCAACAAACACTTAGCTAGTCTAAGAAAAAAAAAGCTGGGCCCAGTGGCTCACACGTGTAATCCCAGCACTTCAGGAGGCCAAGGTGGGCGGATCACCTGAGGTCAGGAGTTCAAGACCAGTGTGGCCAACATGGCAAAACCTCGTCTCTACTGAAATACAAAAATTAGCCAGTGTGATGGTATATGCCTGTAGTCTCAGCTACTCAGGAGGCTGGCATGGGAGAATTACTTGAGCCTGGGAAGTCAAGGCTGCAGTGAGCCATGGCCGCACCACTGCACTCCAGCCTAGGCAACAGAACAAGACCCTGTCTCAAAAGAAAAAGAAAAGAAAAGAAAGAAGAAAAAAAGAGTGAAAACACAAATAAAATAAAAAATGAATGAAGAGGCATTACAATGAATGCTTCAGAAATAGAAAGGGTCATAAGGAGCACTTAAGAATAATTATATGCCAACAAATTGGATAACCTACAAGAAATGGATACATTTCTAAAAACATAAAGCCAACTGAAACTGAATTGAGAATAACTAGAAAACCTGAAAATATCAATAATAAATGAGGAGAATAAATCAGTATTCAAAAACCTCCCAACAAATTAAAACCCAGGACTAGATGGTTCCATGGATGAATTTTACAAAACATTTAAAGAAAAATTAATAGTAATCTTCTTAAACTCTTCCAAAAAATAGAAAATGTGGCTGGGTGTGGTGGCTCATACCTGTAATCCCAGCACTTTGGGAGGCCGAGGCAGGCAGATCACTTGAGGTCAGGAGTTTGAGGCCAGCCTGGCCAACATGGTGAAACTCCATCTCTACTAAAAATACAAAAAAAAATTAGCCAGGCATGGTGACAGGTGCCTGTAATCGCAGCTACTCTGGAGGCTGAGGTAGGAGAATTGCTTGAATCTGGGAGGCAGAGGTTGCAGTGAGCCTAGATCACACCACTGCACCCCAGCCTGGCTGACAGAGCAAGACTCTGTCTCAAAAAAAGAAGAAGAAGAAGAAGAAGAGGTAATGCCTCCTCATAATTATTATGAGGCAAGCAATATCAAAGATACCACAAGAAAAGGAAACTACAGACAAATGTCCCTGATAAAAACAGATGTAAAATCCTCAATAAAATACCCGTAAACCAAATAACAACAGCACATTAAAAGGCTCATGCACCATGACCAAGTGGAATTTATCCCTGGATTGTAAGAATGATTCAACACTAGCAAATCAATGAATGTAATACACCACATTAACATAATGAAAAAACTCTTTTGATTATCTCAATAGATGCAGAAAAAGCATGTAGCAAAATTTGACATTCATTCATAATGTACATTCTCAAAAAATGGGTATAGAGAGAATGTACCTCAATATAATAAAAACCATATAAAGAAGCCCACAGCTAACATCCCAATCAATACAGAAAAAACTGAGACAGCCGGGCGCAGTGGCTCACGCCTGTAATCCCAGCACTTTGGGAGGCCGAGGTGGGTGGATCACAAGGTCAGGAGATCGAGACCATCCTGGCTAACACGGTGAAACCCCGTCTCTACTAAAAATACAAAAAATTAGCCGGGTGTGGTGGTGGACGCTTGTAGTCCCAGCTACTCGGGAGGCTGAGGCAGAAGAATGGCATGAACCCGGGAGGCGGAGCTTGCAGTGAGCCGAGATCGCGCCACTGCACTCCAGCCTGGGCAACAGAGTGAGACTCCATCTCAAAAAAAAAAACAAAACAAACAAACAAACAAAAAAACAAAAAACTGAGAGTTTTGCCTGTAAGATCTGGTTAAAGGAAAAGATGTCATTCTCACTATTTCCATTCAACATAGTGCTGGATATCCTAGCCAGAGCAATTAGAGAAGAAAAT
The DNA here is from genome assembly GCF_000001405.40 of Homo sapiens. Classification (NCBI taxonomy): domain Eukaryota; kingdom Metazoa; phylum Chordata; class Mammalia; order Primates; family Hominidae; genus Homo; species Homo sapiens. Next base: position 8,974,035 of record NC_000012.12, on the reverse strand, counting down.
GAAATAAAGGCATCCAAATTAAAAAGAAAGAAGTAAAACTATAGCTATTTGCAGTAGACATGATTATATATATAGAAAACTAAAAGACTCAACAAAAAAAGTATTAGAACTAGTAAAGTTGCAGAATACAAAATCAACATACAAAAATCATTCATGTTTCTATACACAATGAACTATCTGAAAAGGAAAATTTTAAATTAATACCATTTATAATAGCAAGAAAAAGAATAAAATACTTAGAATTTATTTCTATTTAGCCAAAGAGTTGAATTGAAAGACTTACACACTGAGAATTATAAAACATTAATGAAGGAAATTAAATAAGACACAGATAAATGGAAAGATATCCCATGTTCATGGATAGGAAGAATTATTACTGTTAAAATATCCATACTATGTCTTAGTCCATTTGTGCTTCTATAACAAAATACCTAAGACTGGGTAATTTTATTTGTCATATTCTCTGGAAGTCCAAGATCAAGGCACAGGTTCAATGTCTGATGAAGGCCCAGTCTCTGTTCCAAGATGGCACCTTGTTGCTATGCCCACCAGAGCGAATGAACACTTGTTCTCATATGGGCAGAAGGCAGAAGGGCAAAAGGCGACTACCTGGTTTCCTCCAGCCTTTTTATAAGGTCATGAATTCCATTCATGAGGGCAAAGCCCTCATGACCCAATCACCTCCTAAAGTTCCCACATTCACCTCCTAAAGGTCCCACATCTTAATACTATCATATTGGCAATTAAGTTTCAACATATTAATTTGAGGGGACACATACAAACCACAGCCCACCCAAAGTGATCTACAGATTAAATGCAATCTTTATCAAAGTCCCAATGGCATTCTTTTTTTTTTTTTTTTTTTTTTTTTTCTTTTGAGATGGAGTCTCGCTCTGTCACCCAGGCTGGAGTGCAATGGCACGATCTCAGCTCACTGAAACCTCTGCCTCCTGGGTTCTAGCAATTCTCCTGCCTCCGCCTCCCAAATCCCAGCCTCCCTCAGCCCAGCTGGGATTACAGGTGTGCGCCACCATGCCCGGCTAACTTTTTTATTTTTAGTAGAGATAGGATTTCACCATGTTGCCCAGGCTGGTCTCGAACTCCTGACCTCAGGTGATCCACCCACCTGGGCCTCCCAAAGTGCTAGGATTACAGGTGTGAGCCACTGTGCCCAGCCCCAAGTGGCATTCTTTATAGAATAGTAATAATAATCCTTAAATTTATATGGAATCACAAAAGACCCCAAATAGCCAAAGTAATCTTGAGCAAGAAGAGAAAAGCTGGAAGTATCACACTTCCTGATTTCAAGATATATCAGAAAGCTACAGCAATCAAAATAGTATAATACTGCCATGAAAACAGACATATAAACCAATGGATGAGAATAGGGAGCACAACAACAAATCCACGTATTTACAGTTAAATGATCTTTGACAAGGTTGCTAAAAGCATACAAAAGGCAAAGAATAGTTTCTTCAATAAATGGTGTTGGGAAAACCAGATATCTACATGCAGAAGAATGAAACTGGACTTAACTCACACCATATAAAAATTCAACTTAAAATGGATTAAAGACTGGCTGGGTGCAGTGGCTCACGCCTGTAATCCCAGCACTTTGGGATGCCGAGGCAGGGGCGGATCACGAGGTTAGGAGATCGAGACCATCCTGGCTAACACGGTGCAACCCCGTCTCTACTAAAAATACAAAAAATTAGCCAGGAGTGGTGGCGGGTGCCTGTGGTCCCAGCTACTCGGGAGGCTGAGGCAGGAGAATGGTGTGAACCCAGGAGGTGGAGCTTGCAGTGAGCTGAGATTGCGCCACTGCACTCTAGCCTGGGCGACAGAGCGAGACTCCGTCTCAAAAAAGAAAAAATGGATTAAAGACTTAAACATAAGGCCTGAAACTGTAAAACTACTCTAGGAAAACAGAGGGGAAATCTTCTTGACATTGGCCTGGGCAATGAGTTTTTGGATGTAACACCAAAAGCACAGACAACAAAAGTAAAAATAGACAAATGGTATTTCATTAAACTAAAAAGCTTCTGCACTGCAAAGGAAACAATCGACAGAGTGAAAAGACATTCTATAGAATGGGAGAAAATATTTGTAAACCATATATCTGATAAGGGGTTAATATCCAAAATATATAAATAGCTGATACAAAACTTTTTTCTTTTTAAACAGAGGTCTCACTATGTTAACCAGGCTGGTCTCAAACTACTGGCCTCAAGCAATCCTCCAACTTCAGCCTCCCAGGTGGCTCAGGCCTGTAATCCCAGCACTTTGGGAGGCCGAGGCAGGCGGATCACTTGAGGTCAGGAGTTCAAGACCAGCCTGGCCAACATGGTGAAACCCCGTCTCTACTGAAAATACAAAAATTAGCCAGGTGTGGTAGCACACGCCTGTAATCCCAGCTACTTGGGAGGCTGAGGCAGGAGAATCGCTTGAACCTGGGGGTTGTGGGCGGGGTGGTGGGGGGGTTGCAGTGAGCTGCTGCACTCCAGCCTGGGCAACAGAGCAAGAATCTGTCTCAAAAAAAATAAATAAATAAAAACTAAAATAACAAAGAGAAAAAACACAAATTACCAATATCAAGAATGGAGAGGCTATATTGCTAAAGATTTTAAAGACATTAAAAGTATAATAAGGTAATGTTATATCTTTATGTCAATAAATTTAACAAGTTAGATTAAGTAGACAAATTATTTATGGAAAAAAAACAGAATTTAACAAACTGACACAAAAAGAAATAAATTTTTGAATAGCTCTTTACCACTAAAAAAAAAAGAATTGGTTAATACACACTTACCCACAAAGAAAACTTCGTGCTCAGGTGACTTCAATAGCATACTATATTAAACTTTAAGAAATAAATAACAATGCTCCTTCAAAAAGTAGAAAATGTAAGTACACTCTCCCAATTTGGTTTAGGAGGCCATTATGACTCTGATACCAAACCTGACAAAAAATTGCAAGAAAAGAAAATTACAGACGCTCCGCCTTCAAGATTATAGACATGAAAATCTTTAACAAAATATCTATAAAAATATAAAATAAATCATCATGACAAAGTACAGTTTATCCCAGAAATGTACAATGTTGGTTTAACATTCTAAAAGCAATCAATGTACTTTGCCATATTAACATAATGAAAAAGAAAAAAGATATAGATCACGTGAACTGAAGCAGAAAGAAGCATGAAAAAAAATTCAACACCCATTCAGAATAAATAAGGTCTGCAAAAGAACAGAAGGAAACTTTCTCAATTTGATAATGGCTTCTACATAAAACCTACAACTAACCTAACACACTTAAGGTGAAATATTGAATGTTATCTCAGTAAGATTAAGAACAAGGCAAGGATGTCTTATTTCAGCAACTCTATGAAACACTGTACTGAAATCCTAGAGAAAAGTAAATAAATAAAAGATGAAAAGGAAGAAGTGGAATTTACCAGTGAAGCCGAAAAGTAAATAAATAAAAGATGAAAAGGAAGAAGTGGAATTTACCAGTGAAGCCATCTGGGCCCAAAGCTTTCATTGTGGGAAAACTTTAACCATAAATTCAATTTTTTCAGTGGATAGGGGAATATACAGGCTATCTGTTTCCTTGAGTGACTTTGGTAGTTAGTGTCTGTCAATTTATTTGTTCTTTTCATCTAAGTCAGGGATCAGCAAACGTTTTCTGTAAGAAGCCACACAGTAAATATTTCAGGCTTTTCTGGCAATGTGGTCTCCCACAACTACTCACTTCTGCCACTATAGTACAAAAGCAGCCATAGATACAATGTAAATAGTTGTGTGTGTGTTCCAATAAAACTTTACTCACAAAAGAAATGGCAAGCCAGATTAGGCACACAGGCCAGATTTTACTGACCACTTATTATCGTGGTTGTTTTGCTTTGTTTTGTTTTGTTTTTTGAGACAAGGTCTCCCTCTGTAGCCCAGACTGGTGGAGAATGGCACAATCACAGCTCACTGCAGCCTCAACCTCCCAGGCTTAGGCAATCCTCCCACCTCAGCCTCCAGAGTAGCTGAGACCACAGGCATGCACCACCATACCTGGCTAACTTTGGTATTTTTTGTAGAGATGGGGTTTCACCATGTTGCCCAGTCTGGTCTCAAACTCCTGGGCTCAAGCAATCCACCTGTCTTGGCCTCCCAAAGTGTTGAGATTACAGGCATGAGCCCCACCATGCCCAGCCCTTAGTATGCTTTTCATGGCTTAGAATCTATAGTGATTTTACCTCCCTGATTCCTGATATTGGAAATGTGTGCCTTTCCTCTAGTCATTTTGTCAACATTTTATCAATTTTATTGATCACTTTAAAAAACTAGATTTTGGCTTCATTTTCTCTGTTGTTTTTCTATTTTCTATTCCATTGATGTCTTGTGCCTCTTTATTAGATTCTTCCTTTTGCTTACTTTAAGTGTAATTTCCTCCTCTTCCTCTCATTCCTCAATGTGAAAGCTTAGATCATTGATTTGAGACTTTTTTTTTTAACTAAAATAAAAGAGCTCAACCAGAAGTTCCACACTTTCACCTGCTACGGTAGCCAGCCCACTGCCAAGGAGAAGCCTGCAACCTCAGAGCTGGAATGCCCTCAAATCCATGACACTGGGCTCTTCCCCCAGAACTCCCAAGAACGGCTGACTGCACTGAGCAACAGCCTGGGAGCCCACAGAGCCACCCAATGGCAACTTCCAGAAAGAGGTGTGAGTACCACGCTGTACTGGCCACTGCATGTAAACAACTCACCATTTTCACACTCCACTTTGGAACTAGCCAGGAGCCACTGCACCCTCCTCTTTCCCAAGGCCTGGGCAGGGAGGCACAGCAGACTCAGCCTGGCTGGAGGAGCCAGACACGGTTTTGCCTGGAAGCCCAGGGCCCTTACTTGTTTCTCAGAGGCCCCTCAACCACTGGAGCCACATCTTAGCCCCTACCTGTCCTACCCTGTCCAAGGCTGGAGATGGGAGAGGAGAGCTTTGTTGAGGATAAACTTCACTCTGTGGAAATAAAAAATAATAATGCTATAAATTTTAGCATAATGCTAAAATTTTAATGCTATGAATTTCCCTGTAAGCACTGCTTTAGCTGCATCCCTTGATGATGATAATGTTTTCATTTTTGTTCAATTCAAAATATTGGTAATTTAATTCATTATTTCTTCTTTGACCCATGGGTTATAGAAAAACTGTTAATTTTCAAATATTTGGGGATTTTCCAGGTATTGTTTTATTAATGATGTCTAGTTTAATTCTGTTTTGGTCAAATATACTTTGCATGATTTCAGTCCTTGTAAATGTATTAAAACTTGTTTTATGGCCAGAATATGTGCTATCTTGGTAAAAGTCTGTGTGCACTGGAAAAGAATGTACATTATTCATTTGTTGGACTAAATGTTATATTAATGTCAATTAAACAGTTTAACTGATATGCTGTTCAAGGCTCCTATACCACCACAGATTTTCTGTTAATTACGTGGGGTGGGGGTGTTAAAACCTCCAACTATAATTATGGACCTGTCTTTTCCTCTCAAGTTCTCTTAGATTTTGCTTTATGTATTTTGAAGCTATGTTATTAGGTGCAAACACATGTTCTCCTGATTATCTGACCCTTTTATCCTTATAAAATTATCACCCCTTATCCCTTATAAAATTGTCACTCTATTTTAGAGCAAGGCTTAGTAATATTTCTTGTTCTGAAATCTACTTTGTCTGATTAAGATAGGCACTCCAACTCTCTTTGTATGGTATAGATTTTTCTATTATTTCAGTGTGGTTTTTTTTTTGTTTTAGATAGCATACACTTGGACCTTTTTTAAAAATCTAATCTGACGACCCGTTTTAATTGGAGAATTTTGGCCATTTAGATAATGTGATTATCATTTTACTTGAGTTTATATCTACTACTTTGCATTTATCTTCTGTATGTTCTATTTATTTTCTGTTCATTTTCTTTTTTAAACCGAATGTCTTTCATGATTCTACTTTATTATTGCTTATTATTTATCTTTCCCTTTCTTGATTTATTCCCTCCCTCCTCCTTCCTTCCCTTTCCTTAATTTTTCTTTCTTTCTTTTCTCCCTTCCTTCCTTCTTTTCTTTCTGTTATGATTGCTCTAGGTTCTCCATTGCACATCTTTAGTCACATTCTGCTTTCAAATAATACTATACTACTTCATGTATATGAAGTGAACTTTACAATAGTATACCCATCTCCCTTTCCCTGGCCGTTTTCATACATTTTACTTCTATTGTTATAAATTCCAAAATAAATTATTATTTTTCCTCATTTCTTTTTTTGAGACAAGGTCCAGCTCTGTTGGCCAGGCTGCAGTGCAGAAAATACATGGAACCATTGTTTCATATATTGAGCCTTGAACTCCTAGGCTCAAGAAATCTCCCATTTCAGCCTTCAAGTAGCTGAGACTGCAAGCATGCACCACCACGCCTGGCTAATTTTTTAATTTTTTGTAGAGACGGAGTCTCGCTATGTTGCCACAGCTGGTCTCAAACTCCTGGGCTCAAAGGATCCTCCTGCCTCAGCTTCCCAAAGTGCTGGGATTACAGGTGTCAGCCACCTGGCCCAGCCTGGTTATTAATTTTTTAGAGATATCTTTAAAAATTAAAACAGGTGTCTTTTACACTTATACACATATTTAACATTTATTTTATTTTATTTTATTATTATAAAACTTAAAGTATAAAGTTTTAGGGTACATATGCACAACTTACAGGTTTGTTACATATGTATACATGTGCCATGTTGGTGTGCTGCACCCATTAAATCGTCATTTAGCATTAGGTATATCTCCTAATGCTATCCCTCCCCCCTCCCCCCACCCCACAACAGTCCCCGGTGTGTGATGTTCCCCTTCCTGTGTCCATGTGTTCTCATAGTTCAAGTCCCACCTATGAGTGAGAACATGCGGTGTTTGGTTTTTTGTCCTTGCAATAGTTTGCTGAGAATGATGGTTTCCAGCTTCATCCATGTCCCTACAAAGGACATGAACTCATCATTTTTTATGGCTGCATAGTATTCCATGGTGTATATGTGCCACATTTTCTTAATCCAGTCTATCATTGTTGGACATTTGGGTTGGTTCCAAGTCTTTGCTATTGTGAATAATGCCGCAATAAACATAAGTGTGCATGTGTCTTTATAGCAGCATGATTTATAGTCCTTTGGGTATATACCCAGTAATGGGATGGCTGGGTCAAATGGTATTTCTAGTTCTAGATCCCTGAGGAATGGCCACACTGACTTCCACAATGGTTGAACTAGTTTACAGTCCCACCAACAGTGTAAAAGTGTTCCTATTTCTCCACATCCTCTCCAGCACCTGTTGTTTCCTGACTTTTTAATGATTGCCATTCTAACTGGTGTGAGATGGTATCTCATTGTGGTTTTGATTTGCATTTCTCTGGTGGCCAGTGACGATGAGCATTTTTTCATGTGTTTTTTGGCTGCATAAATGCCTTCTTTTGAGAAGTGTCTGTTCATATCCTTTGCCCACTTTTTGATGGGGTTGTTTTTTTCTTGTAAATTTGTTTGAGTTCATTGTAGATTCTGGATATTAGCCCTTTGTCAGATGAGTAGGTTGTGAAAATTTTCTCCCATTCTGTAGGTTGCCTGTTCACTCTGATGATAGTTTCTTTTGCTGTGCAGAAGCTCTTTAGTTTAATTAGATCCCATTTGTCAATTTTGGCTTTTGTTGCCATTGCTTTTGGTGTTTTAGACATGAAGTCCTTGCCCATGCCTATGTCCTGAATGGTATTGCCTAGGTTGTCTCCTAGGGTTTTTATGGTTTTAGGTCTAACATTGAAGTCTTTAATCCATCTTGAATTAATTTTTGTATAAGGTGTAAGGAAGTGATCCAGTTTCAGCTTTCTATGTATGGCTAGCCAGTTTTCCCAGCACCATTTATTAAATAGGGAATCCTTTCCCCATTGCTTGTTTTTCTCAGGTTTGTCAAAGATCAGATAGTTGTAGATATGCGGCATTATCTCTGAGGGCTCTGTTCTGTTCCATTGGTCTATATCTCTGTTTTGGTACCAGTACCATGCTGTTTTGGTTACTGTAGCCTTGTAGTACAGTTTGAATTCAGGTAGCGTGATGCCTCCAGCTTTGTTCTTTTGGCTTAGGATTGACTTGGCAATGTGGACTCTTTTTTGGTTCCATATGAATTTCAAAGTAGTTTTTTCCAATTCTGTGAAGAAAGTCATTGCTAGCTTGATGGGGATGGCATTGAATCTATAAATTACCTTGGGCAGTATGGCCATTTTCACGATATTGATTCTTCCTACCCATGAGCATGGAATGTTCTTCCATTTCTTTGTGTCCTCTTTTATTTCATTGAGCAGTGGTTTGTAGTTCTCCTTGAAGAGGTCCTTCACATCCCTTGTAAGTTGGATTCCTAGGTATTTTATTCTCTTTGAAGCAATTGTGAATGGGAGTTCACTCATGATTTGGCTCTCTGTTTGTCTGTTATTGGTGTATAAGAATGCTTGTGATTTTTGTACATTGATTTTGTATCCTGAGACTTTGCTGAAGTTGCTTATCAGCTTGAGGAGATTTTGGGCAGAGACAATGGGGTTTTCTAGGTATACAATCATGTCATCTGCAAACAGGGACAATTTGACTTCCTCTTTTCCTAATTGAATACCCTTTATTTCCTTCTCTTGCCTGATTGCCCTGGCCAGAACTTCCAACACTATGTTGAATAGGAGTGGTGAGAGAGGGCATCCCTGTCTTGTGCCCATTTTCAAAGGGAATGCTTCCAGTTTTTGCCCATTCAGTATGATATCAGCTGTGGGTTTGTCATAGATAGCTCTTATTATTTTGAGATACATCCCATCAATACCTAATTTATTGAGAGTTTTTAGCATGAAGTGTTGTTGAATTTTGTCAAAGGCCTTTTCTGCATCTATTGAGATAATCATGTGGTTTTTGTCTTTGGTTCTGTTTATATATTGGATTACATTTATTGATTTGCGTATGTTGAACCAGCCTTGCATCCCAGGGACACAGACTGGCAAAGTGGATAAAGAGTCAAGACCCATCAGTGTGCTGTATTCCGGAAACCCATCTCATGTGCAGAGACACACATAGGCTCAAAATAAAGGGATGGAGGAAGATCTACCAAGCAAATGGAAAACAAAAAAAGGCAGGGGTTGCAATCCTAGTCTCTGATAAAACAGACTTTAAACCAACAAAGATCAAAAGAGACAAAGAAGGCCATTACATAATGGTAAAGGGATCAATTCAACAAGAAGAGCTAACTATCCTAAATATATATGCACCCAATACAGGAGCACCCAGATTCATAAAGCAAGTCCTTAGTGACCTACAAAGAGACTTAGACTCCCACACAATAATAATGGGAGACTTTAACACCCCACTGTCAACATTAGACAGATCAACGAGACAGAAAGTTAACAAGGATACCCAGGAATTGAACTCAGCTCTGCACCAAGCGGACCTAATAGACATCTACAGAACTCTCCACTCCAAATCAACAGAATAAACATTCTATTCAGCACCACACCACACCTACTCCAAAACTGACCACATAGTTGGAAGTAAAGCACTCCTCAGCAAATGTAAAAGAACAGAAATTATAACAAACTGTCTCTCAGACCACAGTGCAATCAAACTAGAACTCAGGATTAAGAAACTCACTCAAAACCACTCAACTACATAGAAGCTGAGCAATCTGCTCCTGAATGGCTACTGGGTAAATAATGAAATGAAGGCAGAAATAAAGATGTTCTTTGAAACCAACAGGAACAAAGACACGACATACCAGAATCTCTGGGACACATTCAAAGCAGTGTGTAGAGGGAAATTTATAGCACTAAATGCCCACAAGAGAAAGCAGGAAAGATCTAAAATTGACACCCTAACATCACAACTAAAAGAACTAGAAGAGCAAGAGCAAACACATTCAAAAGCTAGCAGAAGGCAAGAAATAACTAAGATCAGAGCAGAACTGAAGGAGATAGAGACACAAAAAACCCTTCAAAAAATTAATGAATCCAGGAGCTGGTTTTTTGAAGAGATAAACAAAATTGATAGACCACTAGCAAGACTAATAAAGAAGAAATGAGAGAAGAATCAAATAGACACAATAAAAAATGATAAAGGGGATATCACCACTGACCCCACAGAAATACAAACTACCATCAGAGAATACTATAAACACCTCTATGCAAATAAACTAGAAAATCTAGAAGAAATGGATAAATTCCTTAACACATACATCCTCCCAAGACTAAACCAGGAAGAAGTTGAATCTCTGAATAGACCAATAACAGGCTCTGAAATTGAGGCAATAATCAATAGCTTACCAACCAAAAAAAGTCCAGGACCAGATGGATTCACAGCCGAATTCTACCAGAGGTACAAAGAGGAGCTGGGTACCATTCCTTCTGAAACTATTCCAATCAACAGAAAAAGAGGGAATCCTCCCTAACTCATTTTATGAGGCCAGCATCATCCTGATACCAAAGCCTGGCAGAGACACAACCAAAAAAGAGAATCTTAGACCAATATCCTTGATGAACATTGATGCGAAAATCCTCAATAAAATGCTGGCAAACCGAATCCAGCAGCACATCAAAAAGCTTATCCACCATGATCAAGTGGGCTTCATCTCTGGGATGCAAGGCTGGTTCAACATTTCTAAATGTTCTACATTACCTTGTATAAAACTAACTTTTCCCTTGGTGTTATTTTCCTTCATGCAGAAAAAATTCCTTTAATATATCTTTTAGTGGCCTGTTTGCAATGAATTCTCTCAGCATGTGTTCATGTTAAAAAAATTGAGTTTGCCTTCATTTCTGAAAGGTATTTTTGAATGCATAGAACTCTAGGTTGACAGGGTTTTCCATACTCACCCCAGTGTTTTAAATATATTTAACTTTTTCCAGCTTGCATAGTTTCTGATGCAAAGAAACTATGCCATTATATATTTTTTCTCTGGCTGCTTTTAACATGTTCTCTTTATCATTGACTTTCAGCAGCTTAATAATGTAGCTCAGTATATATAATTTTTCATGTTTCTTCTGCCTAAAATCTACTGAGCATCTTTGATCTATGAGTTTTTAGTTTTTATCTCATTTGGAAAAATTTGGGCCAAATTTGTCCTCTTTCTGAAACCCTAATTATACATGTTAGATTGACTGACGTAGTACCACAGGTCACTGAAGCTCTGATCTTTTCAGGGTTGGGGGAGGTATCTTCTGTTTTCCCTTTGTGTTTATTTTGTTTGTTTCCTTTACTTTTTTTCTTTCTTTCTTTTTTTTTTTTTTTGGGAAACAGGGTCTGGCTCTGTCACCCAGGCTGGAGTGCAGTGGTGTGATCTCAGCTCACTGCAACCTCCACCTCCTGGGCTCAAGCTATCCTCCCACCTCAGCACCCTGAGTAGCTGGGACTATAGGTGTTCACCACCAAGCCCAGCTAATTTTTGTATTTTTTTGGTAGAGATGGGGTTTTGCCATGTTGCCCAGGCTGATCTTGAACTCCTGGGCTCAAATGATCCATTCACCTCAGCCTCCCAAAGTTCTGGGATTACAGGTGTGAGCCACCACTCCTAGCCTCCATGTATTTATTTTGGATATTTTCTGATAATACGTTTTCAAGTCAGCTAATCTTTCCTTCAGCAGTTTCTAATCATTGTTGATCCCATCCATCATATATTCATCTTATCATTTCAGATATTACACTTCTCATTTCTAGAAGATATTATTTGAATATCTTCCATTTTTCTCTTCACCATGTTCAATTTTCCTCTATTCTCTGAACATATGGAGTGTATTTATAAAACCTGATTTATCATCCTTGCTGATAATTCTATCAGCTTTGTGATTTCTGGGTCTCTTTCTATTAATTTTTTTTCTCCTTGTTATAGATCACATTTACCTCCTTCTTAGCAAGCCTGGCAAGAGACGGGGTCTCACTCTGTTGCATAGGCTGGAGTGCAGTGGCAGGATCACAGCTCACTATAACCTCCACCTCCTGGCCTTAAACAATTCTCCCACCTCAGCCTCCTGTGTAGCTGGGACTACAGGTGCGTACCACCATGCCTGGCTAATTTTTAAATTTTTTGTAGAGATGAGGTCTTCCTATGTTATCCAGGTTGGTCTCAAACTCTTGGCCTCATGTGATCCTCCCACTTTGGACACTCAATGCGCTGGGATTACAGACGACAGCCACCACACCTGGCTTGTGTGGCAATTTTTACCTGGATGCCAGACATTGTGAATTGTATGCTACAGAGTGCCAGATATTGTTGTGTTCTTTTAAAAATCGCTGCCATGGGCAGTAGCTCACACCTGTAATCCCAGTTTGGGAGGCCGAGGCAGACAGATCACCTGAGGTCAAGAGTTCAAGACCAGGCTGGCCAACATGGTGAAACTCTGTCTCTACTAAAAAAAAAAAAATACAAAAATTAGCTGAGCATGGTGGTGGGTGCCTGTAACCCCAGCTACTCAGGAGGCTGAGGCAGGAGAATCACTTGAACCTGGGAGATGGAGGTTGCAGTGAGCTGAGATCGCACCATTGCACTCCAGTCTGGGCAACAAGAGTAAAACTGTGTCTCTAAAAATAAATAAATAAATAAATAAAAATTGCCATCTCTTTTTATGGAACACAGTTACCTGTTATCAGTTTGATCCTTTTGAGGCCTGTTTTTTATCTAGAACTGTGAAGAATCAGAGATTTTATGCTACTTCTGAGCAAACACATTAACCTGCCAAGTTTCACAAATATTAGCTAAAGACACAAAACTCCTGGCTCAAAGGCAAAGGACATTACTATTTACAGTGTAGCAAGCAACATGAGATTCCTGTTTGCATTGGTTTTTCTTGCCTCCCAAGTCTCAAAGCAGCAATATGGAAAAGGCCAGATGGATGCTGTGCAACCAGTGGGTCTACATCACAGCTTGAGCAGTTTAATGTCTGTGAACCTCAGTTTCCTTATGTAAAATGGAAATAATAATGAAACCTAACTTGCTGAGTTGGTACAGGGATTAAAGGAGATGACATTCTTGGTATCTTTGATAATCAGGGTAGAAATTTTCTTTTTCTCCTCTTCTTTGCCATCTCCTACACCTCGTCCCCTCAAATAACCTAACTACCAGAAAACATTGAGTGGGTCAAATGAGAGGAGACCTTAGGGAATCTCCCTTGAGCTTAAGGAATCTGAATTTTTATAATGTGCTACAAGCAGTACTATATTTTGTCCCAAAAGGATACATGACCTTTATTATACTGGACAATAAACAAATCTGCCCTTGGCCCCAGAAGGAGACACTATTTCTGTATTCTAAGGCTGTTCACTATTCAGATATTCTTGAAAAGATAGTCTGGAACAAAAGGTCAGTTAGGGCCTCTGCTTGAAAGACATGCAAAAATGTGAACAATCCATGGATCCATGCTTCCCACCATATTAAAGCTTTATCAGGGCTTTATGTAAGTCTAGAACTAATTTGAATGCGCTAGTGAGTCAAAAGTCTTCTCAGAACTTTACTGAAAATCCCATATATTAAGAACATCTTTCCACTCTGGCAGGTGAAAACACTATTCCTAGCACTGTGTGAGATCTAAGAGTTGTTCTGCCTACTCCTTTGAAGTGGTTCAGCTCAGAACTCAACCAAAGGCTTGAGAGGATTCCTCTGTAGTTATCTAGAGCTCACTCTTTGCGCATCTCTCTTTTCTCTGGTACTCTGACCCACAAATCTTAGTCTTTGCCTTAGTCTTCTCAAACTCCACACTCTCTCCCTCTGAAGCTCAGTGAAACTGGCAGGCTCTGTCTGGGTTCCCCCTTCCTGCACTGCACCTTGGATAGTCTCTCCATGCATTAAGTAGGGGGAATTGTGGGGCTCGCCTAACTTATTCCCCTCCTCTCAGGAATCACTGTCTTGTGTTACCTGTTGTCCAATATCAGGAAGCCATTGTTCCATATATTTTCCCAGTTTGCCAGTTGTTTAAGATAGAAGAATAAATCCAGTCCCAGTTATACCATCATGAACAGAATCCAGAAGTCTGAAAATAGATATTAAACTAGCAGACAAATTCATTGTCTAAATATAAAATCCTAACAAATCTAAAAAGCAACTGCCAAAATAAGTGGCAAACTAACAGAATACAGTTACAAATACAAAAACCAATTGTGTTTCTACATACTACCAGTAAACATTCACAAAATAAATTTTTCACAATAACTTCAGTTATAAAAGCATCAAAAAATAAAGCACTTCAGGACAAATGTAACGAAAGACACGTAAGTCCTCTACACTGAAAACTGTAAAACATTGCTGAAAAAAATTAAGGCCTACATAAATAGAGTTGTACCCTATTTGTCATAGCCCGAGGGGTTC